>NC_000005.10:54484807-55109807 GCF_000001405.40 Homo sapiens | reverse complement strand
GTGAAACTTGTACATGTTATCAGCTAATTTTGAGACTATTGCTCTGCTTTTGGAAAGGAAAGTCTCCTGTTTATTTGTCGTTTTCTCAAAATGCTTAATAACTCAAGGGGCAAAATAGTCAAATGCAGATGATACATTGAAGCAAAGAATAAACACTATGTTTTGTGGTTCTTCTAGCAGATAATTGCCTTCCAAAAGAAACAAAACCAAATCAGTCCCTTTCAGGCAAAAGTTGGCCTTATAAAGATATGAAATAAAGAACCATGTTGGAACCCGGGATCCTCCCTGAACAGGTTTATTTCCCCTGCCTGTTACAGTAACTGGCATTTGCAGAATTAGTCCTTTAGGTTTAATTCATCAATAGCCAATTCCAGGGTGTTGAGAGAACAGGCAAGGATTGCCAAGTTTCGGTGGTGGCGGGTGGCTGGTGGGATGGGGACTAGCGTCTTGGGATGCTGCCGTGGCCTTAGGATGCTGCATGTGGGTTCCAAAAGCATGAAGGTTCTGGGTTCCTGGGAACCCAGGGTGGTGGACAAGGGAGGGAATGGGGGAACTAGGGCAGAGAAGAGAAAGTGGACAGGTACTGAAGACAAATGTTTTCTTTTCCTGGGATTTGGCTAGCTTTGGTTCTGAAAGCAAGACATAGATCTAGGGAAGGACAGAGACCTTTGGATTTCTCAGTCTCTGGTAACTGCCAAACCATGCATACTGCACACCCTTCTTCAGGTAAGGCTCTATAGGGTCTTTGGGACAAATGAGAAATGCAAGGTAGTACTCAGTTTAAAAATCTGCAAAATGTTTCTTCTATTCTCATCTTTAAGCATGGCCCTATCCCACCTCTTCTCAGGGGGTTCTAGGATGGAAGCTTACACATTTTCTGGTATGAGTCATGCTTTGAAGTTTGCTGCAGATTAAACTAAGCTCTAGGAAGCTATGGGGTCTGGCTGGAAATATTCAGCCAGGCTTGACAGACATTTCAGACATGCCGATGTTAAATGGCAGAGGAACGTAGTGGGGAAGGAGAGGGAATGTACTGAAATGGGGAAAGAGTACTGAGTGGCCTTGAGGAACCCTGACTTCAGCTCTCATAAGTGTTGTATATCTTCAAGTTTAGATCTACGTATGTTAACATGAAAAATGAGACCAAACATTGCTTCTTAGTAATTTTTGTAAAAAATCAAAAATATGTAGTAGGTCACCCCATGCACTAGCAGTGAACTTCTTATTTTTGATTAATGACTCACTTGAGCTGCGAGCATTCATTTATTTGACTGGGGTTTTATTAAACTTATTTCAAAAAGCTCTAGGATCCTGTAGAAGCCAGTGCCATGACAAAACAAAGCATGACATTACATTTTCTCTGTCTGCATGACTTAATTCAATAGCTGAAACGTGGGATCTTATTTTACTTACATTGCACGAGTCTCTTCCACCTCGGAGGCTTCCAGCACAAACCATATTCATTCCAATCACAGGGTTAAAATTATAGTGATTTCGATCATTGCAGACTTTTCTGTCTATGATGGTGATATTGACTTCTCTCAGAGTATCGGACCAAGATGCACTATTGTGAGTCCTGCCCCACCCTGCAACTTGGCACATGGTTCCTGGTTTCACATCGTCCCCCTTTTTAGGTAGATGAAGGATAGTCACATATTTGTTAATTTTTGCTTTTTCCATCAGCTGTTGGAAGAAAAACATAAAGTGTTAATGGGATAAGATAAATATTTACATTTTAAATTATAGTCCAAAATTTCAGGATCCTCTTTATTGTGAGTTTTTACAACAGGGGCACCAAGGAAAGGTTTTCACGTCGGCGGCCAGATTGTAGAAGGTTCTATGACTTTTGAGAAGACAATCAAAGATACGTACCTGTAAAAGTTTAAGGTCACCTTCGCGTGTGGCTGGGTCATAGCATGGATAGGGAAACTCTTTCTTAACAAGCATTATCTGTTTTGTTGGCTCTTCCCTGGTTATTGAGTGAGCCCCAAGAATGACCTGGGACCTTTTGTTCCTGAGAACAGACACAACATTATTTACTGGATTTATTCTTTGTATTGGCAGTTGAGCATATATACTGATCAGTTTCATTGTCCCATTTGTAAATATGGAGGTGGGGAGATTTCTTTGTGGCTCAGAAAGAAAATGTGTGCTTTAAAGAATAAAAGAATGTTTATGAATAAAAGAATGTTTATGAATTTATCGTCATCATCATCATCACCAGCTTATTTATAAAAAGCTAAACTAGGTTCATTGAAAAACAAGAGAATTCCATGGCAGCAAAGCCAAGTCTTGTGCTTATCTGCCCCCTACCCCTGCCTTATTTAGCTGTGATGGAGAATTACTTATTAGCTGTGATGGGAAGCAAAGATCTCAGTAGTCCAGAGACAGAAGCAAAAAGCAGCCAATAGTTGTAAAGTAATGCACTGAAGGGATCTTTTCAAGAAAACAACAAACTCAAATGGGAAAACTTTCAGAAACAGATTGCCCCATGGAGGACCCTATTTGCTTGGCATTGAGTGTGCTTGGCATTGAGTGTGTTGAAGGGATGGTGGTCTGAAGGAGGGGTCCAGGAGTCTTTTTTTCTCTTAAAGGTTCATTTTGGTTATCAAAATCAAAATGCTTTCTGATGTACTGATGATTGGATTAAGGCTATCATTCATAACCTAGTATAAACTACACCAACCAGATTATGCACACTGCCTCTTTTCCATTACATCAGCTGAGATTAGTCTCACTTAAATGGTCACATGTATCCCCAACATATGTGCAACTATTATATGTCAATAAAAAGTAAATAATTAAAAAATAAAAGAAAAAGACCTTAGAACAGTGCTTTCCAGTAGAGCATATTTTTATGATGAAATGTTCTATGAATCTGCACTAGCCACATGTGGCTACTGAGGACTTGAAATGTGGCTAGTGCAACTGAGGAACTAATTTGAGATTTTATTTAACTTTAATTGATTGAAATTTACATAGCTACATGTAGCTAGTGCCTATCATATTGAATGGCCTAGGTTTAGAGGCTTGATTTAGAGAGTAGGAAAAGACCAGGCCTGGGAAGAGGTTTGAATGTAGTGGTCGACAGGAGTGAAGAGATGGCCAAAGATGTGAGAGGAATTCACGGAGGCATACAAGAAGGTCATTGGACACAAGCTTTCTGTACTTGATGGTTGCACCCAGGGCTCTGAGGGGGCACTGAAAGTTTCACCCTTCCATGCTGAGGCTAATTCTACCTGGTCACGCAGTCATGACAGAAGCAAAGCTCTGCAGCACCTGTACCCAATGGCTCAGTGGAGATGTACAGAAAGAGCTTGTGGATGCTGCTTCCTCATTGCCTGATTCTTTGTGGCAAGTGTGGGCCTAACTTCCTTTTAGGCTCAAGCAAGTGCCCAAAGACTTAAGCGATGTGAAGATACATATGAACCTCCCATGGCTTCAGTGGGATCTACTTTATTTTATTTTATTTATTTTATTTTATTTTATATTTTATTTTATTTTATATTTTATTTTATTTTATTTTATTTTATTTTATTTTATTTATTTTATTTTATTTTATTTTATTTTATTTTATTTTATTTTATTTTTTATTTTATTTTATTTTATTTTATTTTATTTTATTTTTTTATTTTATTTTATTTTATTTTATTTTATTTTATTTTATTTTATTTATTTTATTTTATTTTATTTATTTTATTTTATTTTATTTTATTTTATTTTATTTTATTTTATTTATTTTATTTTATTTTATTTTATTTTATTTTATTTTATTTTATTTTATTTTATTTTATTTATTTTATTTTATTTTATTTATTTTATTTTATTTTATTTTGAGATGGAGTCTCACTCTCGTTGCCCAGGCTGGAGTGCAATGGTGCGATCTCGGCTCACTGCAACCTCTGCCTCCTAGGTTCAAACAATTCTCCTGCCTCAGCCTCCAAAGTAGCTGGGATTACAGGCATGCGCCACCACGCCTGGCTAATTTTGTATTTTTAATAGAGATGGGGTTTCACCATGTTGGCCAGGCTAGTCTCAAACTCCTGACCTCATGTGATCCACCTGCCTTGGCCTCCCAAAGTGCTGGGATTACAGGTGTAAGCCACTGTGCCCGGCCTACTCTTTTTATTAATGTTTCCCCAAATTAGAGTATCTTTACAAACTTTTTTTTAAAAACCCAGGCACTTACAAGTTACAGTGAGCTGCAGTCAACACCCAGTCTTTTGCAATCAAAGCCCCAGCACAGATGGTTTTTCTGTCAAGACTAAGTAGGACCATGTAGGGTCTTGAATGAGGAGTTACTTCATTTCCTCCAATAATTTTTTCACAGACATCTGTTCAATGGAAAAAGACAAATCAGATTGGTGCTCACCCCCAAAGAGCTCTACACAAAGTCATGTTTCTAAGACCAGCCATGCTTTTTGCACTCAGAGAGGAAGTCTGGATGAGAGCATTTCCCCTGCTTTTACTCTATGTAGACCCGCAGACATCTGATGCAAATCCTATTCCTGTTGGACTCTAGGGTCCTGTTTTTCCACCCACAGAAGCGAGGCCATTGACTGTTCCAGGATCATTAGGCTGGATGTCACAAACCAGCAACCTCAGGCCCCAGGGCAGAAAGCTCTGCCTTGGTCTTTACCATCAACAGTTGCTGCAGGAAATGCCAGTGGTAGTGACAACCTCAAGTGCTCCCACCCTTTTTGGCTAACTATTAATTTGGGGGAAATAGATAAGACTTTTAGAAGCCTCATAACTTCCCTTTTAACCCCAAGCCATTGCAAAAATATAGCTTATGAACCGATATTAGCATCGTTTAGCTGTGACCCTACCCCTCAGTCCTTTGGTCATTATGAGACTTTTGGTTATTAAACTGCACTGTTCTCACTCATAAGTTAAGAAAATAACATCGATTGCACCTCCCCTTCAATCTCTAGACCAAACCATGGGGTTTAATCTAAGGTCTTTTCCAATGAGATAGGGAAGAGAAGAGAGAAGATACCATATGCCAAGAATTCTGCCTAAGTGACATTTCCTTGATGATAGTCTTGAAGTAGAGACCCATTGTTAAGGAACAGTGAGAACTAAACACAAGGCAAACCATACATGCAGATAGAGAGAACCTTATGTCTTAGTGATACACTCCGAGTGCTCCACCTCCTGCACCAGATGTTCTTGGATTCTCCCAAAATAGTTTTGCTGAGACTCATGGTTTCTTGAATAGGGCACAGTGCCTCTTGTTCCATAATTAGGACTAAGTCATTGCCAAATTCACAGGCAAGTATTAATGACAGCTATAGAAGCCTTTCGTAAGATTTGATGAGGGTAAGAGCAAGGAGGAGAGTGACCACATGAAATGTGGCTAGTGTGATTTGAAAAAGCAGAGGTCTCTGCTTTTAAAAAGGAAACTGGGAGGAAGAAATTCTAGGCTCTAGAAACAAAAGGGTAAAGAGCTTATAGAAACAAAAGACCTTCACCCAATCCCAATTTTCCTAGGGTGATTCATGTACAGATAGATTTCAACTGTGCCTTGCTTTGCTGTCTGTTCCTTATATGGGCCCACACTGCCCTCTCTGAACACAGGAAACAAAGAGGAGCACAGCAGGTTGCTTTTGTTGTTTTCCTTTGAAGAAAAGATATGGCTGGATTTATCTGCCCTGTGTTTTTCTGTTATGGAGGATTTAACATGCCTGAATATAGTCATACTATGCCCTGCTTATAACATAGCCAACCTTTGTCCCAAATGTCCTGCAGCCTTGTTATTTTTATATTTCTTCTCTCTCTCTCTCTTTTTTGTTTTTTTTTTGAGACAGAGTCTCGCTCTGTCACCAGGCTGGAGTGCAGTGGCACGATCTTAGCTCACTGCAGCCTCCAACTCTCTGGTTCAAGCGATTCTCCTGCCTCAGCCTCCTGCGTAGCTGGGATTACAGGCACGTGCCACCATACCCAGCTAATTTTTGTTTTTTTAGTGGAGACAAGGTTTCACCATGTTGGCCAAGATGGTCTCCATCTCTTGACCTTGTGAAACACCCACCTCAGCCTCCCAAAGTCTTCTCATATTTAGGTGCATAAACCAGATATGCACCTAAATATGATAAACCAGAGTTCTTTGGGAATTCCTGGCAAGGCAGGTTATTACATAAGTCCCTGCCTCCAAAAGCTGATGAATCCTGGGAAAAACCGTGGCTGGCTCCATATTGCCACAGCTTGAGAGTAGTCCTCACTTCCTAGCAGGTTCTTCAAGGGAAATCTAGAGCTCCCCAAGAGCTGTCACCCTTTCAGTGGTAATACCATGAATTATACAGCATTTTAACCCATGCATGCTCAACTCACACAAAAGCAGAAATATTGGTTACCATTTGGTAGACAAAAAATTAGCTTAATAAAAAATACTATAGCACACCCAAAGGGTTAATGAGGGAACTGGCCTCACGCCTTAATTTATTGCCAAAGAGTCTCTAGACCAGAGAAATAAGTATAAAAATTCTAATAATTCCTGATTCACTTTTGGTGTCTAGGTCAGATTTGTCTTAATTGTCTTTATCTATGCATTTTCTGCAGCAGGAAAGGCTGAGCTGACTAAGTTGCCACTATTCCTTTCCTGGAAGGTACTATTTGTTTTACGAACAAGAGAGTTTTGTTAACTCATTTTTACATTGTCCTTTTTGGCAATTTTCAAGTTACAAATTGGCAGCAATAAGCATTGGTGGTTCTGCTATCTTTTGCAAAATAATTATGAGAAGAAAAGATTTTTTTTTCTAAAATACAGACATATTTAAAATCCAAGAAAGAATGCTATTTAAAAAAAAAAAATAGAGACAGGGTCTCACTATGTCGCCCAGCCTGGACTCAAACTCCTGCGCTCAAGTGATCCTTCCACCTCAGCGTTCCTAGTAGCTGGGACTACAGGCATGTGCCATTGTGCCTGGCTAAACATTATAAGGCTTGGGGGAAAACATCTTCTTTCAGTATAGGAAGGTAATATTGCCAAAAGTTCATTGAAAGTCTGCTCCATTTTGCTTCATGGTCATAATGGAAATGAGAAGAATCAGTCTTACCTTCAGGAATTAGCAGGAGAGAAACGACAACTGAGAGAGAGGATGCCAGAAATCTATAGGAGTTCCTCATTGTGGCTGCTGTCCCACATCAATCAACCTGAAAATCTGTTTTCAGTTCTTAACTGCCTCTATCTATATACTGAGAGTAAAAAGGATGTGGTTTCCTTTCATTTTTTTTTTCAAGTTTCAAAGTTTAGCATTAGGAAACCAAATCCAAATAAGTGAGAATGGTGGATGATGGCTCACTGCCAGCAGGCAGGCTTTCCTTTGCTAGGACTGCTGAGGGGGGCGCTGGAATTCTACAGGGTAGGAGAGGGGCAAGGGACCTTGTTGCCATCAGAGTACACCAGGGAAGACTGTAAAGTGTCTCAGCTATGATTTTGAAGACGCTTTCATCATCTGCAATATTATCTGTAGTATCCATGACTGGAAACTCTCGAAGACTTAAATTAGAATTTTAATAAAAGTCCTCAAAATTGGTCACCAATCAAAATTCTTTCTAGCTGTCTCCTTGGGTTATATAAGAATTAGCAGGCCAAGTGCAAGCTGAGGACAGGAGGGAGATTTATTTACATAGAGGCTCCTGCCTGGATTTTCCTTCCCCACTTTGTGGTGAGTGTTTATTGTGCTCCTGCCTGGTCTGTGGCAGGTGTGGGAACATGGGCTGGAGGAGGGTAGGGGCTCTTGGCCCTTTTCAGCCCTCTGATTGTGCGTTCCTGATTGTCTAGTTTCACAACTTTAGATACTGAAAGTATCTCCGAGTTTCCCTCCCTCCCCGCCCCCCCCCGACCCCTGCTTCCTGCCTTTCTTCCTTACTTTCTTCTGAACAGGTTTAGGTGAGAAAAGAAGTGGGAGTCATTTTTGTTCCAATGTTGGGGAATGTCTCACTCTAAGAAGAGTCAACCTCAGTCCCTGGAGGAACAGTATGCAGTGTGCTTTCTATTTGAAATGAGTTCAGCTCTTTTTCTGAGCTGAGGATGTGGTCTCCGATACAATATACATGGTCAGATGTGCTGTCAGGATGTTGGGTACTGAACCAACCATCCCCATAGTTAACATCCTGATGACTTCAAACCTAGTGGTTACTTCTTTAGAAATCAAGTGACCTTAGAAGGGAGCCCTGCTGAGACCCCTGCATTTCTTTTTCTCAGATATTACAAGTGTATCAAAGGTTAATCATTTTCAGTAACAGCAGTGAGGACCCTGCTATTGGTTTTGGTGAGTAATTTTAGTGCAGACTTAAAAAAGTCAAATTGTAATTAACTACACCTACTGAAAAATTCTTAAAACATTGACAATTTTGTTTATTTTTATGTGAATGGTTGCTCTTCCATTTATGTTGACTTCTAACAACTTTATGAGACATAATTCACACACCATAAAGGTCACCCATTTAGAGTGTATGAGTCAATGGATTTTAGTATATTTGCATAGTTGTGCAGCCATTACCAGTACCATGCTGTTTTGGTTACTGTAGCCTTGTAGTATAGTTTGAAGTCAGGTAGCATGATGCTTCCAGCTTTGTTCTTTTGGCTTAGGATTGTCTTGGCAATGTGGGCTCTTGTTTGGTTCCATATGAACTTTAAAGTAGTTTTTTCCAATTCTGTGAAGAAAGTCATTGGAAGCTTGATGGGGATGGCATTGAATCCATAAATAACTTTGGGCAGTATGGCCATTGTCATGATATTGATTCTTCCTATCCATGAGCATGGAATGTTTTTCCATTTGTTTGTGTCTTCTTTTATTTCGTTGAGCAGTGGTTTGTAGCTCTCATTGAAGAGGTCCTTCACATCCCTTGTAAGTTGGATTCCTAGGTATTTTATTCTCTTTGAAGCAATTGTGAATGGGAGTTCACTCATGATTTGGCTCTCTGTTTGTCTGTTATTGGTGTATAGGAATGCTTGTGATTTTTGCACATTGATTTTGTATCCTGAGACTTTGCTGAAGTTGCTCATCAGCTTAAGGAGATTTTGGGCTGAGATGATGGGGTTTTCTAGATATACAATCATGTCATCTGCAAACAGAGACAATTTGACTCCCTGTTTTCCTAGTTGAATACACTTTATTTCTGTTTCTTGCCTGATTGCTGTAGCCAGAACTTCCAACACTATGTTGAATAAGAGTGGTGAAAGAGGGCATCCTTGTCTTGTGCCAGTTTTCAAAGGGAATGCTTCCAGTTTCTGTCCATTCAGTATGATATTGGCTGTGGGTTTGTCATAAATAGCTCTTATTATTTTGAGATACGTCCCATCAATACCTAGTTTATTGAGAGTTTTTGGCATGAAGGTTGTTGAATTTTGTTGAAGGCCCTTTCTGCATGTATTGAGATAATCATGTGGTTTTTGTTGTTGGTTCTGTTTATGTGATGGATTATGTTTATTGATTTGCATATGTTGAACCAGCCTTGCATCCCAGGGATGAAGCCAACTTGATCATGGCGAATAAGCTTTTTGATGTACTGCTCGATTTGGTTTGCCAGTATTGTATTGAGGATTTTCGCATCGATGTTCATCAGGGATATTGGTCTAAAATTCTCTTTTTTTGTTGTGTCTCTGCCAGGCTTTGGTATCAGGATGATGCTGGCCTCATAAAATGAGCTAGGGAGGATTCCCTCTTTTTCTAGTGATTGGAATAGTTTCAGAGGGAATGATACCAGCTCCTCTTTATACATATGGTAGAATTTGGCTGTGAATCCATCTGGTTCTGGACTTTTTTTGGTCGGTAGGCTATTAATTATTACCTCAATTTCAGAACCTGTTATTGATCTATTCAGAGATTCAACTTCTTCCTGGTTTAGTCTTGGGAGGGTGGATGTGTCCAGGAGTTTATCCATTTCTTCTAGATTTTCTAGTTTATTTGCATAGAGGTGTTTATAGTATTCTCTGATGGTAGTTTGTATTTCTGTGGGATCGGTGGTGATATCCCCTTTTTCATTTTTTATTGCATTTATTTGATTCTTCTCTTTTTTTCTTTATTAGTCTTGCTAGTAGTCTGTCATTTTTGTTGATCTTTTCAAAAAACCACCTCCTGGATTCATTGATGTTTTGAAGGGTTTTTTGTGTCTCTAGCTCCTTCAGTTCTGCTCTGATCTTAATTATTTCTTGCCTTCTGCTAGCTTTTGAATTTGTTTGCTCTTGCTTCTCTAGTTTTTAGCATTGTGATGTTAGGGTGTTGATTTTAGATCTTTTCTGCTTTCTCTTGTGGGCATTTAGTGCTATACATTTCTCTCTACACACTCCTTTAAATGTGTCCCAGAGATTCTGGTATGTTGTGTCTTTGTTCTCATTGGTTTCAGAGAACATCTTTATTTCTGACTTCATTTTGTTATTTACCCAGTAGTCATTCAGGAGCAGGTTGTTCAGTTTCCATGTAGTTGTGTGGTTTTCAGTGAGTTTCTTAATCCTGAGTTCTAATTTGGTTGCACTGTGGTCTGAGAGACAGTTTGTTGTGATTTCTGTTCTTTTATATTTGCTGAGGAGTGCTTTACTTCAAATTATGTGGTCAATTTTAGATTAAGTGCGATGTGTTGCTGAGAAGAATGTATATTCTATTGATTTGTGATGGAGAGTTTTGTAGATGTCTATTAGATCTGCTTGGTGCAGAACTGAGTTCAAGTCCTGGATATCCTTGTTAACCTTCTGTCTCGTTGATCTGTCTAATATTGATAGTGGGGTGTTAAAGTCTTCCATTATTATTGTGTGGGAGTCTAAATCTCTTTGTAGGTCTTCAAGGACTTGCTTTATGAATCTGGGTCCTCCTGAATTGTGTGCATATATATTTAGGATTGTTAGCTCTCCTTGTTGCATTGATCCCTTTACCATTATGTAATGGCCTTGTCTTTTTTGGTCTTTGTTGGTTTAAAGTCTGTTTTATCAGAGACTAGGATTGCAACCCTTGCTTTTTTTGCTTTCCATTTGCTTGGTAGATCTTCCTCCATCCCTTTATTTTGAGCCTATGTGTGTCTTTGCATGGAGATTGGTCTCCTGAATACAGCACACTGATTGGTCTTGACTCTTTATCCCATTTGCCAGTCTGTGTCTTTTAATTGGGGCATTTAGCCCATTTACACTTAAGATTAATATTGTTATGTGTGAATTTGGTCCTGTCATTATGATGCTAGCTGGTTATTTTGCTCGTTAGTTGATGCAGTTTCTTCCTAGCATTGATGGTCTTTACAATTTGGCATGGTTTTGCAGTGGCTGGTACCAGTTGTTCCTTTCCATGTTTAGTACTTCCTTCAGGAGCTCTTGTAAGACAGGCCTGGTGATGATGAAATTTCTCAGTATTTGCTTTTCTGTAAAGGATTTTATTTCTCCTTCACTTGTGAAGCTTAGTTTGGCTGGATATGAAATTCTGGGTTGAAAATTCTTTTCTTTAAGAATGTTGAATATTGGCCCCCACTCTCTTCTGGCTTGTAGACTTTCTGCTGAGAGATCTGCTGTTAGTCTGATGGGCTTCCCTTTGTGGGTAACCTGACCTTTCTATCTGGCTGCCCTTAACATTTTTCCCTTCATTTCAACCTTGGTGAATCTGACAATTATGTATCTTGGGTTTGCTCTTCTCAAGGAGTATCTTTGTGGTGTTTTCTGTATTTCCTGAATTTGAATGTTGGCCTACCTTGCTAGGTTGGAGAAATTCTCCTGGATAATATCCTGAAGGTTTCCTAACTTGGATCCATTCTCCCCATCACTTTCAGGAACACAAATCAAAATGGTCTTTTCACATAGTCCCATATTTCTTGGAGGCTTTATTCATTTCTTTTCACTCTTTTTTCTCTAATCTTGTCTTCTTGCTTGATTTCATTAATTTGATCTTCAATCACTGACATCCTTTCTTCCACTTGATGGAATTGGCTATTGAAGCTTGTGCACGTGTCACGAAGTTCTCGTGGTATGGTTTTCAGCTCCTTCAGGTCATTTAAGATCTTCTCTACACTATTTATTCTAGTTAGCCATTCGTCTAATCTTTTTTCAAGGTTTTTAGCTTCCTTGCAATGGGTTAGAACATGCTTCTTTAGCCCAGAGAAGTTTGCTATTACTGACCTTCTCATGCCTACTTCTGTCAACTTGTCAAACTCACTCTCTGTCCAGTTTTACTCTGTTGCTGGTGAGGAACTGCGATCCTTTGGAGGAGAAGAGGCTCTCTGGTTTCTCCCCATCTTTGTGGTTTTATTTACCTTTGGCCTTTGATGTTGGTGGCCTACAGATGGGGTTTTGGTATGGATGTGCTTTTTGTTGATGTTGATGCTATTTCTTCTGTTTGTTAGTTTTCGTTCTAACTGTTGGGCCCTCAGCTGCAGGTCTGTTGGAGTTTGCTGGAGGTCCACTCCAGACCCTGTTTGCCTGGGTATCACTAGTGGAGGCTGCAGAACAGCAAATATTGCTGCCTGATCCTTCCTCTGGAAGCTTCATCCTAGAGGGGCCCCCTGCCTGTATGAGGTGTTTGTCAGCCCCTACTGGGAAGTGTCTCCCAGTCAGGCTACATGGGTGTCAGGGACCCACTTGAGGAAGCAGTCTGTCCGTTCTCAGAGCTCGAACGTCATGCTGAGAGAACTACTGCTCTCTTTAGAGCTGTCAGACAGGGACATTTAGGTCTGCTGAAGCTGTCTGCTGCCTTTTGTTCTGATATGCCCTGCCCACAGAAGTGGAATCTAGAGAGGTAGTAGGCCTTGCTGAGCTACAGTGGGCTCCACCCAGTTCGAGTTTCCTGGCCTCTTTGTTTACACTGTGAGCACAAAACCACCTACTCCAGCCTCAGCAATGGCAGACATCCCTCACCCTGCCAAGCTGTAGCATTGAAGATTGATCTCAGACTGCTGCTCTAGCAGTGAGCAAGGCTCCGTGGGTGTGGGACCCACCGAGCCAGGTATGGGAGGGAATTTTCTGGTCTACTGGTTGCGAAGGCCATGGGAAAAGTGCAGTATTTGGGCAGGAGTGTACCATTCCTCCAGGTACAGACTGTCATGGCTTCCTTTGGCTAGGAAAGGGAAATCCCCTGACCCCTTGCACTTCCCCAGTGAGGCGATACCCTGCCCTGCTTCGTCTGACCCTTCCTGGGCTGCCCACCCTGTCCAACCAGTCCCAATGAGATGAACAAGGTACCTGAGTTGGAAATGCAGAAATCACTTGTCTTCCTCATTGATCTCGCTGGGAGCTGCAGCCTGGAGCTGTTCCTATTTGGCCATCTTGGAAGCCTCCCCGCATCTTCGCCTTTTCTACCACTAGCACAGATCATGCAGTTTTCAACAACCAGCTTGAAATTATAGTGCTCTGCATCATTGCATGTTTTTTGGTCCATCATAGTGATGTTTGTTCACTTCTCTCAAGGTGTTTTCAAAACTTTGCATGAGTCTCTTTTTGTGCTTCCCCATCCTGCCACATGACACTCGGTGTGAAGTTTTACATCCTGTCCTGTTTTTGGTAGATGAAGTTTCCTACAGCTTTGCTCATGGTTGCTTTAACTTCCAGCTAGAAAACAGACAGGAAATGGAGTTTTGGGCAGGTATGACAGTAACAAAAACAACAAAATAGCCCTGATTGAAATATATACTTGCTTCTGTAGTCTTATGAGGGACATGGCTTAAGACATGTGCCAACCTGTATTGACAATCGGTAATTGATTTTTAAAAAGTTACAGGACACTTTTTTCAGAAGTGCTTTGCTAGGCTAGTCTAAGTAAGCTTCAGTTCAGTTGACCTGTCAGTGATAAAATTATATGGTGGTGGCTGACAGTTCTGTGGTTGAAAACCTGTGCTGAGAATCCAAACGTTTTTATTCAGGCAGTCTTAGATTCGTGAACTGACTGGTACTGTGACCAGTGGAAGAAAACTCGGGATCCTGGTGCAGTGGGGCAGGGTGGGAAAGGGACCAGTGTCCTCATTTTCCATTTTGGTAGAAATGTGTCTTCCCTACTTTTGAGCATGAGCAAACCAGCCTGCAGGTTTCACCTGCTTTCGGTTGCTCACCTATACTTTGCCTTTTCTTTCATTCCCTAAGTCCTCTTCTTTGCTCGCCACCTTGATTTCTATTTTTCCACAAAGTCAAGGCAGGGAGAGTATGGAGTATGATTCAGGTTGAGTAGAGGGTAGAGGGAGGTGATTCTAGTTCTTTTATTTTTTCTTGCCTTAAGCTGAGTTTGAAATTGCAGGGGCTTCTGGTATTGTGGAACTGCTAAAAACACAACGGCACCACAGCAATGGTCACATTCCTATGATTGCATTGCTTTCAGGCGATGCTTCCTGACATTAGAGTGTCCCCACTTCCTCGGTGCTCCTTCTGATTACTGAAGCTCCTGCCCCCCACCTTGCTAACATTGTGAGGTGAAATGGCCACAGATGAGAGCCTTTCTATAGAACAGGACTTGAAATGTGCATGTGCAACTTTCCGACTTCTCACCCACTCATGCTTCCTCACAGCCTGCATGCTTGCTATCTGAGGACAAGGAGGAGGGAGACTTCAAAAGGGACTTTGGGGCTTAATGAGTGTATCAGAGTCTGGGAAGCACATGTTTGTAAGGAGCAGTCCCCATTCAAGCTCTCTTATGGTCAACTGCATAGGACTACCATGGCCGCACAATTAGGTTTTAGCCCTGGAGAGTTAACTATCCCTGGTCAAGTCTTGACACCTTCTTTGTGGATTCCCTCGCAGCATCACACTATTGGCCATAGTGTCATAGGTGGGAAGGAGTTTCCCAGCTCTAACAGCATGGGCCCCTCACCTCCTGTACCCACCTCATTCCTTTCTAAAGGTAAGATTTTCAGGTCCTGAAGGAGACCTGACTTCTACCACTTGCTTGAAACCAGAGTCTAGAATCCCTTCTCTGCTTTTGATTACATTTGCCACTGTCTGGCTTAATTCCATCTCTTATTCAAAATTATTCAAGAAATATTTATCGAGGGCCTAATTATGTATCACATACTGTTGTTCTAGGTATTGGAGGTCATAGAAGTAAGTAGACAAAAGTATCTCTTATGTGGAGCTTAGGTTCCAGTGAGGGAGGCAGGCAGACATACACCATCTAAAGTATATCAGGGTGTGTTAGATGCCATGGAGGAAAATGTAGCAGGGGAGTGGGCCAAGGAGTGCCCTCTGAGGGGCAGGGAAGGGAGTGTCCTTCAGGGCCTAGGATGCCCTGTTGGAATCAGGCTGTAAGTGGTGGGGGGCAAGGAGTATGGAGGTTTTGCCAGAAGTGCACAGAACCCTAAAGGCCTTTCTTTATTCCCAATGATGGGAGTGGGCCAACCCCTGGGCTTTCTCTCTGTCTCTCTTTTTTCTTTTTTTGAATTAGGGCCTCACTCTGTCATCTAGGCTGAAGAGTTATGGTGTGATCACAGCTCATCCAGGATGCAGTACAGTGGAACCATCACAGCTCACTGCAGCCTCCAACTCCTGGGCTCCAGCAATCGTCCTACCTCAGCCTCATGAGAAGCTGGGACTAAAGGCATGCACCACCATGCCTGGCTAATTTTTAAATTTTTTTGTAGAGATGGGAGTCTCACTATGTTGCTCAGGCTGATCTGAGCTCGTAGGCTTAAGTGATCCTCCTGCCTTGTCCTCCCAAAGTGCTGGGATTATAGGCATGAGCTACCATGCCAGAATGTCAGGCTTCCTCCTAACTCCTGCTGGTGACCATCATCATCAGCCCTTTAGGGCTAGTGTGAACTGTTTACACTCTTTCTTCCAGACCTGTTTTGCCCTACTCCACTTTCAGCATGGCAGCCAGAATGATCATTTAACAACAAGGGTGATAATGTTGCAACCCTACTCAAAACACTTTACCATTTCCTTCCCCATAAAGCTCAAGCTTCTTACCAAGGTTTGCAAGGCCTGGCTTTGTGGTCTGTGTCCTGCCTACCCCTCTTTCTCAAATCTTGTGTTAACTCCCTTTTCTCCCCAATTCCTCCAAATGCATTGTCCAGAAAGACACCTCCAGTACATACTCTTCTTCCTGCTGGTAAGGACCCTCCCTCCCTTCCTCCTGGCTGACTCTGTCCTTCTCCAGGAAGCTTCCCCATGTACTCAAGATAGAGCCCTCTTCTTAGTTATCTCTGTAACTGATGGACAAAATACCATTAGATCAGAGCTGGAGATTTATTTGTCTGGGAGCAAGTCCTGATTTCTGGCAGGCTGGCACTAACAGCTAAGCATTCAAATTTTCTGGCTACTCATAAACACTCTCATGGAACATCAGTGTCAGACCAGGTGATTCTAATAAAGTGAGAAAAAAACAAGTCCTCTCTGGCATCATGTTTGAGTCTTTCCATTCTTTCTGTCTCCTAGATAATTAAGGTTTATTAAGAGACTGAATCACAGAATTATTCCACTTGCTGACAACACCCAATTCACAGCAAACTCATTCTTCCTTGAATCCTACCCCAAACTGCCCAACACAAGCTCCAAGCTTGTGAAAAGCCCCAACCAACACCCTCTTACTGAGCCAGCCCATGGTTTCACATAGTGAGCAGTCTCCCTTGCTAAGCCAGCATCAATGAACATAAATTTGTTTGACTTCAGGTGAATTCCCAGTGGTCTTGGATTTACGGGCATCACCACTGTAGATTGCCAAGAGGGACTTTTGTGAACAGCTGTTGACGAACTGAATTCACAAGGGGGAAGGGACATCTGTGGTAGCAGTACTGGGCCTGGCTGTACTTCCTACCCCCAGACTTGAGGCATTAGCCCACTCTGTGCATTAGCACAAGTGCATGTGTGTGTGTGTGTGTGTGCGCGCGCGTGTGTGTATGTCTGTGTGTGTGTATGTGTGTATGTAGAACCTACTTTAAGATTACACTATAAAATCAAGGTTGATTTCTTCATTCCAACATTTAAAAGCTTGACTCTGGCCAACTTTTCTCATCCTTGGAGACTTCAGCAAGGCACACTGTTTCCCAAAGCATGGGAAAGTAAACCTGCTACTTCTGCAGGTTTACTTATATATAGACAAAAATTACATAGGAAAAGTTTCAGGTTGCACTGACCTTTTACTATTTCAAAATAGTTATCAAACCCCCCCCACATATTTATCTGAAGGAGTTAAAGATACCATATGAATGGCTGTGGATCATAGCATGGATAGGAAATCGCCTTTTTAATGGAAACTTTCTGGTCAAGTTTCTGTTTATGGGATGTAGAGTGGGCCCCAAGAATAATTTGAAGTTTGCCCCTCTTGGAAAGAAACACCACCTAACTTATGTAAGAGAATGGATGAAACTAAACTATTGGCTTAATTTACTCAAGTCTGGTCAGTGTTTTCAAATGCCTTCTGATTTATAAACAAGCACTGCAAGACAGAAGGAACTTAGGGAGCTTTTTTTTCCCTCTGGTGTTTTAGCACCTGTTACCCTAAATTCCCAAGATGTGTGTTATGATACATTGCTTCAACTTCACCACATCTTTTCAAGGAAGAAGCAACGGAAAGGGAGTCCCAGGTGTTTTGGCAGAGGCAAGAGCACTGACTTGTAAAGGCCTGGAGAGATCTGCTTGGGACCTGGAGTCGGGGCTTCCCTTGGGCCAGTGGTAGCTGGGGCTGCCTGGGTAGAGGAGCTGGGCTCTGCCATTCACCTGCTGAAAGGGGAGCTGCCAATTTCTTCACTTCCTTTGGATTTGTGGAGTAAAGCCCATTCCCTAGTGGCCTTCTCGGTTGTTGATACCTAATGGAAGAGACCAAACCTGAGAACTAGAGAAGTAGCAGGTATACTTTCCCATGCTTCTGGGAAACAGTCTGCCTTGCTGAAGTCTCCAAAGATGAGAAAAGTTGACCACAGTTAAGCTTTTAAAAGTTGAAATGAAGAAATAAACCTTGGTTTTATAGTGTAATCTTAAAGCCAGTTCTACATACACACATACACACGCACACACATACACACTCACGCTCATGCACGTGCAAACAAATGAACTAGGGCTAAACCTGAATCTAGTTTATGCACCTTATGTAGCTATTCTAGGAGAAGAGGGCAAAATATTTTCTGATTTGTTGGGCAGACTGCATTGAGCTGTTCCATTAATTAATCATCCCGGTGTCTAGCTTTATTTTCACTGCAAATTGTGCTGAAGTTCTTATTTGACAAATTCTTACTTCATATAACAGTATAATGTAAATATGTTCAAATATTTGTGAGAAGCTAGTTTTTAAGCCTGTTCTTTTGTTCATGCAATCTGTGTTAAAGTGAATACGGAAATAATAGGTACTGGTTGCTAACAACAGGTACTGATTAAGAAAACAGCAGCATATCCATGTGATAAACATTATTCTGCCTTTTGAATAATAACTAGGAAAACCACTAGTTTGAACCATGAGAAATTGCTATTTTTAAAGTGAAATAGTAGTAATTTCCTATGGATCAACCGAATATGTAATAATGAGACTTCCTGGGTTGAGTGGGGACTTCGAGAACTTTTCTGTCTAGCTAGAGATATTGTAAATGCACCAATCAGTGCTCTGTGTCTACCTGAAAGATTGTAAATGCACCAATCCACGCTCTGTAAAAACGCACCAATCAGTGCTCTGTGTCTAGCTAAAGGTTTGTAAAAGCACCAATCAGCACTCTGTAAAATGGACCAATCAGCATTCTGTAAAATGGACCAATCAGCAGGATGTGGGAGGGGCCAAATAAGAGAATAAAAGCTGGCCACCCCAGCCCACAGCAGTAACCCACTCGTGTCCCCTTCCATGATGTGGAAGCTTTGTTCTTTTGCTCTTCACAATAAATCTTGCTGCTGCTCACTCTTCGGGTCTGCACTACCTTTATGAGCTGTGGCACTCACTGTGAAGGTCTGCAGCTTCACTCCTGAAGTCAGCAAGATCACAAACCCACCAGAAGGAACAAACAACTCCAATCACACCACCTTTAAGAGCTGTAACACTCACTGCGAAGGTCTGCAGCTTCACTCTTGAAGTCAGCAAGACCAAGAACCCACCGGAAGGAACCAATTCTGGACACATTTTGGCGACCACAAAGGTACCATTGCCTATCGATGCTTGGCAAAGTGGTGAGTACCATTGGACCCCTTTCGCTTGCTATTCTATCCTATTTTTCCTTAGAATTTGGGGGCTAAATGCCTGGCATCTCTCAGCCAGTTAAAAGCGACTAGTGCGTCTGCCAGACTAAAGACACGGGTGTCAGGCTTTCTGGGAAAGGGCTCTCTAACAACCCCCGACTCTTCGGAGTTGGGAGCGTTGGTTTGCCTGGAACCAGCTTCCACTTTTCTTGTACTTCTGGGCTGAGCCAAGGGTCAACAGAGAGGAAAGCCATTCAGCTCCGGGGTCCTGACAACAAGTTGGTTGACCCTGCGGCCATGAGTGGAACTCTCAAAGTCATGTCTCCCAAGTGAGACTCGCCTATCTATCCTATCTATCCTGACCCTTGCCTCCTGGGTCCTAGCACCTGTCAGACAAACTTCCTCTTGCCTCTTTTCTCTGAGGCTAGTCCTGCTTCTAAAAACCACTCCCTGTCTCTGGTGCTTTTCTAGTTTCTCCTATAAGAATGATTTCTAGTATAAACTTCAGGACTCTGTTACCTTCTTTAGGCACCCAGGCTCACCAATCAGAAAGACATAATTTTTGCCCAAAGCCCCACTGGAGCGGGGGACTATCTGGAATTTTAGGATCCCTTCTCAGACTAGCAGGCCTAACAAAAACTATTCCTGAAGCTAGGATATGGGGAGCTTCAGAAATGATATCCTTCCTATTCAAGTGAGGACAAAAGGTGTCACTCTTCCAACCCTGGAGATCCCTTCCCTCCCTCAGGGTATGGCCCTCCACTTCATTTTTGGGGCATAACATCTTTATAGGACACGAGTAAAGTCCCAATACTGACAGGAGAATGCTTAGGACTCTAACAGGTTTTCAAGAATGTGTCAGTTAGGGCCACTAAATCCAATTTTTCTTGGTCCTCTTTGTGGTCTAGGAGGACAGGCAAGGGCGCAGGTTTTCAAGAATGTGTCAGTAAGGGCCACTAAATCCGACATTCCTTGGTCCTCCTTGTGGTCTAGGAGGAAAACTAGTGTTTCTGCTGTTGTGTTGGTGAGTACAACTATTCCAATCAGCAGGGTCCAGGGACTGTTGTGGGTTCTTGGGCAAGAGGAGTTTCTGCTGTTGTGTCAGTGAGCACAACTATTCTGATCAGCAGGGTCCAGGGACCGTTGCAGGTTCTTGGGCAAGAGGTGTTTCTGCTGCTGCATCAGTGAGCTCAACTATTCTGATCAGCAGGGTCCAGGGATCCTTGTGGGTTCTTGGGCTGGGGGAGAAACAAACAAACCAAAACCGCAGGCAGTTTTGTCTTTCAGATGAGAAACACCCAGGTATCAACAGGCTCACCCTTGAAGTGCATCCTAAGCCACTGGGACCAATTTGACCCACAAACCCTGAAAAAGAGGTGGCTCATTTTTTTCTGCACTACAGCTTGGCCCCAGTATTCTCTCTCTGATGGGGAAAAATGGCCACCTGAGGGAAGTTTAAATTACAATACTATCCTGCAGCTTGACTTTTTTTGTAAGAGGGAAGGCAAATGGAGTGAAATACCTTATGTCCAAGCTTTCTTTTCATTGAAGGAGAATACACAACTATGCAAAGTTTGCAATTTACATCCCACAGGAGGACCTCTCAGCTTGCTGCCATATCCTAGCCTCCCTGTAGCTCCCCTTCCTATTAATGATAAGCCTCCTCTAATCTCCCCCACCCAGAAGGAAATAAGCAAAGAAATCTCCAAAGGACCACAAAACCCCCCAGGCTATCAGTTATGTCCCCTTCAAGCTGTAGGGGGAGGGAAATTTGGCCCAACCTGAGTACATGTCCCCTTCTCCCTCTCTGACTTAAAGCAGATCAAGGTAGACCTGGGCAGGTTTTCAGATGATCCTGATAGGTACATAGATGTCCTACAGGGTCTAGGGCAAACCTTTGATCTCTCTTGGAGAGATGTCGTGCTATTGTTAGATCAAACCCTGGCCTTTAATGAAAAGAATATGGCTTTAGCTGCAGCCCAAGAGTTTGGAGATACCTGGTGTCTTAGTCAAGTAAATGATAGAATGACAGCCAAAGAAAGGGACACATTCCCTACCAGTCAGCAAGCCATCCCCAGTATGGATCCCCACTGGGACCTCAACTCAGATCATGAGGACTGGAGTCGCAAACATCTGTTGGCCTGTGTTCTAGAAGGACTAAGAAGAATTAGGAAAAAGCCCATGAAATTATTTAATGATGTCCACCATAACTCAGGGAAAGGAAGAAAATGCTTCTGCCTTCCTCGAGTGGCTATGGGAGGCCTTAAGGAAATATACTCCCCTGTGACCTGACTCCCTCAAGGGTCAATTGATCCTAAAAGATAAGTTTATTACCCAGTCAGTCACAGATATCAGGAGAAAGCTCCAAAAGTGAGCCCTGGGCCCTGAACAAAATCTGGAGGCATTATTAAACCTGGCAACCTTGGTGTTCTATAATAGGGACCAAGAGGAACAGGCCAAAAAGGAAAAGTGAGGTCAGAGAAAGGCTGCAGCCTTAGTCATGGCCCTCAGACAAACACATCTTGGTGGTTTGGAGAGGACAGAAAATGGAGCAGGCCAATTACCTGATAGGGCTTGTTACCAGTGTGGTTTGCAAGGACATCTTAAAAAAGATTGTCCAACAAGAAATAAGCTGCCCCCTAACCCATGTCCACTATGCTGAGGCAATCACTGGAAGGTACACTGCCCCAGAGGACAAAGGTTCTCTGGGCCAGAAGCCCCCAACCAGATGATCCAACAACAGGACTGAGGGTGCCTGGGGCAAGCGCCAGCTCATGTCATCGCCCTCACTGAGCCCTGGGTACATTTAACCATTGAGGGCCAGGAAATTGACTTCCTCCTGGACACTGTCATGGCCTTCTCAGTGTTAATCTCCTGTCCTGGACGACAGTCCTCAAGGTCCGTTACCATCCGAGGAATCCTGGGACAGCCTGTAGCCAGGTATTTCTCCCGCCTCCTCAGTTGTAATTGGGAGACTTTGCTCTTTTCACATGCTTTTCTTGTTATGCCTGAAAGTCCCAGGGACATATTAGCCAAACCTGGAGTTATTATCTACATGAATATGGGGAACAAGTTACCCATTTTTTGTCCCCTGCTTGAGGAGGGAATCAACCCTGAAGTCTGGGCATTGGAAGCAACAAACTCAAGCTCCAGCCTTAAGCCTTCCCACAGGACAAAACTTCTCTTTATATGTCACAGGGAGAGCAGGAATAGCTCTTGGAATCCTTACTCAGACTCATGGGACAACTCCATACCAGTGGCATACCTAAGTAAGGAAATTGATGTAGTAGCAAAAGGCTGGCCTCACTGTTTACAGGTAGTTGCAGCAGTGGCTGTCTTAGTGCCAGAGGCTATCAAAATAATTCAAGGAAAGGATCTAACTGTCTGGACTACTCATGATGTAAATGGCTTACTAGGTGCCAATGGAAGTTTATGGCTATCAGACAATAACCTACTTAGATACCAGGCGCTACTCCTTGAGGGACAGGTGCTTCAAATATGCACATGTGCAGCCCTCAACCCTGCCACTTTTCTCCCAGAAGATGGGGAACCAATTGAACATGACTGCCAACAAATCATAGTCCAAACTTATGCTGCCCGAGAGGATCTCTTAGAAGTCCCCTTAGTTAATCCTGACCTTAACCTATATACCAATGAAAGTTTGTGGAGACTGGGATACGAAGGGCAGGTTATGCTGTAGTTAGTAACAATACTTGAAAGTAAGCCTCTTCCTCCAGGGACCAGTGTCCAATTAGCAGAACTAATGGCACTTACCCGAGCCTTAGAACTGGGAAAGGGAAGAAGAATAAATGTGTATACGGATAGCAAGTATGCTTATCTAATCCTACATGCCCATTCTGCAATATGAAAAGAAAGGGAGTTCCTAACCTCTGGGGGAACCTCCATTAAATACCACAAGGAAATCATGGAGTTATTGCATGCAGTGCAAAAACCCAAGGAGGTGGCAGTCTTACACTGCCAAAGCTATCAAAAAGGGGAAGGAGAGGGGAGAACAGCAGCATAAGCGGCTGGCAGAGGCAGGGAAAGACCAGCAGAAAGGAAAGAGAGAGGAAGAGACAGAGACAAAGAAGGAGTCAAAGAGAGAGACAGAGAGAGGAAGAGACAGAGAGACAGAAAGTCAAAGGAAAGAGAGGAAGAGATAAAGAGGGAGACAGAGAAAGAGAGAGAGAGAGACAGACAAAGTAGAAGTCAAAGAGAGAGAAAGAGAGAGATAGAAATAGTAAAGAAAAAACAGTGTTCCCTAGTCCTTTAAAAGCCAGGGTAAATTTAAAACCTATAATTGATAATTGAAGGTATTCTCTATAACACTATAACACTCCAATACCACCTTGTTGTCAGTGTAAACAAGGGCGTAGCCTGAAAGCACTGAGGCCACTGACAACCCATAGCCTTCCTATCAAAAATCCTTAACCCAGCAGGTTTCCTAACAGGGGATCTAAATCTTAATTAATTACCATACAAAGGTCCGACCAGATCTAGGAGGAACTCCCTTCAGGACAGGAAGATAGATGGTTCCTCCCAGGTGATTAAGGGAAAAAGACACAATGGGCATTCAGTAAGTGATAAGGAAACTCTTGTAGAAGCAGAGTTAGGAAAATTGCCTAATAATTGATCTGCTCTAAAGTGGTAGCTGTTTGCACTCAGCCAAATCTTTTTTTTTATTATACTTTAAGTTTTAGGGTACATGTGCACAATGTGCAGGTTTGTTACATATGTATACATGTGCCATGTTGGTGTACTGCACCCATTAACTCGTCATTTAGCATTAGGTATGTCTCCTAATGCTATCCCTCCCCCCTCCCCCCACCCCACAACAGTCCCCGGAGTGTGATGTTCCTTGCAATAGTTTGCAGCACTCAGCCAAATCTTAAGGTACTTACAGAATCAGGAAGGAGCCATCTATACCGATTCTAAGAAAAGAAAAATTAAAATCCCCAACTTACAAAGTTTTCAACAAAAGTAAATTTCACTCGCATCCATGTGAAGAGACCACCAAACAGGCTTTGTGTGAGCAACAAGGCTGTTTATTTCACCTGGGTGCAGGCGAGCTGAGTCTGAAAAGAGAGTCAGTGAAGGGAGATAGGGGTGGGGCCGTTTTATAGGATTTGGGTAGGTAAAGGAAAATTAGTCAAAGGAGGTTGTTCTTTGGTGGGCAGCGGTGGGGTTCACAAGGTGCTCAGTGGGGGAGCTTTTGAGCCAGGATGAGCCAGGTAAAGGAATTTCACAAGGTAATGTTATCAGTTAAGTCAGGAACATGCCATTTTCACTTCTTTTGTGATTCTTCAGTTACTTAAGGCCATCTGGGTGTATATGTGCAGGTCACAGGGGATATGATGGCTTAGTTTGGGCTCAGAGGCCTAATAGTAAAGTTTGTTAAAAGTTAACAGTGTAACATATACTATCCTACTACCACACACTCTCAAAGGATTTCTCAGACAGTTT
Organism: Homo sapiens; assembly: GCF_000001405.40. NCBI lineage: Eukaryota > Metazoa > Chordata > Mammalia > Primates > Hominidae > Homo > Homo sapiens. The sequence continues at coordinate 55,085,293 of NC_000005.10, read as the reverse complement.
GCAAAAAATAATGAAATCTATCCTTACTCTACAATCCCAAATAGACTCTTTGGCAGCAGTGGCTCTCCAAAACCGCCAAGGCCTAGAACTCCTTACTGCTGAGAAAGGAGGACTTTGCACCTTCTTAGGGGAAGAGTGTTGTTTTTACACTAAGCAGTCAGAGACAGTACAAGATGTCACCTGGCATTTACAGGAAAAGGCTTCTGAAATCACACAATGCCTTTCAAACTCTTATACCAACCTCTGGAATTGGGTGACATGGCTTCTCCTCTTTCTAGGTCCTGTGACAGCCATCTTGCTATTACTTTCCTTCAGGCCCTGTATTTTTGACCTCCCTGTCAAATTTGTTTCCTCTAGGATCGAGGCCATCAAGCTACAGATGGTCTTACAAATGGAACCCCAAATGAGCTCAACAACTTCTACCGAGGATCCCTGGACTGACCTGCTGGCCCTTTCACTGGCCTGAAGAGTTCCCCTCTGGAGGACACTACAACTGCAGGGCCCTTTCTTCACCCCTGTCCAGCAGGAAGTAGCTAGAGCAGTCATCACCCAATTCCCAACAGCAGTTGGAGTGTCCTGTTTAGAGGGGGGATTGAGAGGTGAAGCCAGCTGGACTTCCTGGGTTGAGTGGGGACATGGAGAACTTTTCTGTCTAGCTAGAGGATTGTAAATGCACCAATCAGTGCCTAGCTAAAGGATTGTAAATGCACCAATCCGCACTCTGTAAAAATGCACCAATCAGCACTCTGTAAAATGGACCAATCAGGGCTCTGTAAAATGGACCAGTCAGCAGGATGTGGGTGGGGCCAAATAAGAGAATAAAAGCTGGCCACCCCAGCCCACAGCAGTAACCCACTCAGGTCCCCTTCCATGCTGTGGAAGCTTTGTTCTTTTGCTCCTCACAGTAAATCTTGCTGCTGCTCACTCTTTGGGTCTGCACTACCTTTATGAGCTGTAACACTCCCTGTGAAGGTCTGCAGCTTCACTCCTGAAGTCAGCAAGACCACAAACCCACTGGGAGGAATAAACAACTCCGGTCATGCCAACTTTAAGAGCTGTAACACTCACTGCGAAGGTCTGCGGCTTCACTCCTGAAGTCAGTGAGACCCCGAACCCACTGGAAGGAAGAAACTCTGGAGACATCTAAACATCTGAAGGAACAAACTCCAGACACACCATCTTTAAGAACTGTAACACTCACTGTGAGGGTCTGCGGCTTCATTCTTGAAGTCAGCGAGACCAAGAACCTACCAGAAGGAACCAATTCCGGACACAATTTAACATGTAACAATACTGCTGATAAAATAATACGTAAACCAGTGGTAATCACAGAGGATGCTCAAATGATTGATTTTGTAAAATATGCTGATGAAAGAAGTCTGGAACAAAATGTACCAAAATACTAACAGTGATTGTGAGGCATTGATGATATTGTGAGTGTTTTTTGTTTTTAACCTTTCCTGTTCTTAAAAATGTTAACAATGTTGCTATTTATAGTGGAAAAGATTTTTAAATTTTATGAGAAAATGATCATGCATTTTAATCTTATTCTATAGGATCTGGCCTTTGCTTATAAGGTGAATATCATATTAGAACATAGCATGGAATGTGCTTTTTTTGCTTTCTTTTCCATGCCTACCTAATTTTGGTTTTGGACTTGGTAGTCATTTTTACCTCCCTGAAATAACCTTGAGAGTGAGAGGAGCTGAGAATGACTTACAGGTCACAGTGAGCAGCCATTAACACCCAGTTTTATTTCATCAAAGGCCCTTGCACAGATTTCCAGCCCTTTGGTTAGAGTCCTGCAGCATCTTGCATGAGGTAGCACTTCATTTCCTCTACAAGATTCTGGAAAAACTAAAAGAGTGATACAGACTGAAATACTGTCTTACCTAGACACGCTTTACACTGAGAAAGTTTGGCTACAATGAAAAGAGTCAGCATGAGTTCACAGACATGTGCTCCGTGCAAGGGAGAGTAGCTCGAAGCAGTCCAGATGGTGCAGGGTTTGTGCCTCATTCTTCAGCATTCTCATCTACAATTATGTTCCCTGAAACACTTATATGCTTGATGGTGTTTTCTCATGATGAGTTTAGTACTCAGTTTTTGGGTAAGTTTTGTTTTAAGCAAACATTACTATTATGTTAGATTTTGAATGATTTTTTTTTTTTTGGCCACATGTCTAAATGAATTTCTCCTCTCTTTGAAATTGTCAGGGTAAACAATGATAAATTTGTAGGAATGCTCCTTTTTTTGAGCAATGGTTCTTAAACTTTAGTGTCATAATAATAACCCAGAGTGCTTACTTAAAATGCAGATACCCTAGACCCTTCTCCAGAGGGTCTGGTTCAGAACCTGGAGACTTGCATTTCAAATAAGCACCCCAGGTGATTCTGATACAGGTGGTCCCCAGAACATCTGTGGGATTTGTAAGACAGTGATCAAGTCTAGGCAAGCAGTGATTTGTCCTACTTTTGCCCCTTTGTGCAGGCATTACAAACTAGAAGTAAGTTATTTGGTAAGAGGTATGAATAGGTAGCCAGGAGGACAAAGTGGTGAAAGGTTCGAGGGCTGCAGTGAAATGAGGTGGGTTGGGGCTGCAGCATTCTTGGCAGAACACACATGACTTGGCTCTTGTTGTCAAATATAACTCTTTTTCTCCTCAGTTTGCATGGGTACTAATTCTCTACCCTCTGATTCAGAGGACAGGACATTGAGAGTCTGTTTGCACTGTCATAGATGAAAAAATTCCCTATTAGTAAAACATGTATTGTGTAAGTAAAGGCACCTTTGCATCTTAACACCTGAAAAAGAGAAAGAGTCCTTTGGGGCAATCAGTCTATAAAGAAACCAACCCATTTTCTTGATTTTATGAAGCCAGTGTTAGTCCAGCTTCCTGAGCTATCTAGATCTGCACTGAATACAATGGCCCACCTTATAAATACTAAAGTTGTAGGTATTTAATGGCTTTTACTTATTTCTATCTTGTTTTGTTTTTTGTTATTACTTATGCAGAAAGTGAGGCAAAGTAGATGAGCTTTAAAAAGGGGTGAGAAGGCCGAGGTGGGCGGATCACGAGGTCAGGAGATTGAGACCACAGTGAAACCCCGTCTCTACTAAAAATACAAAAAATTAGCCAGGCATCGTGGCGGGTGCCTGTAGTCCCAGCTACTCAGAGAGGCTGAGGCAGGAGAATGGCGTGAACCCAGGAGGCAGAGCTTGCAGTGAGCCAACAGAAAAAAAAAAAGGGGGGGGGTGAGACTATAAAGTATATGTTGTAGTAAAGAACAAATGTTGATGAGTGTCTCCAACAGGGAAAGAGAATTAGCAAATTCATTAACTGCACTTCTGCTTACACTTCTAATTCCAGGCTGAAATTACTATAGAATCTCTTTCCTAAAAAACTTATATATTCATTCAATTTTTTCCATGCAATTATCCCACAACTAGTTTTGAATAACTACTGTTAAAATGGATGCACAGATGAATGAAACATTGTTCTTGCTGTCAAAGAGCTTTAGTAGTAGAAAGATAGAAAGAACAAAGCTGTGGACAGATATACAAATGATAACAATGGCCAACAGTGTGCTAAGTGCCTTGAGAGGGCATAAATAAGGAACTGTAGGAATTCAGAGACATGAGAAAATGCTGCTGGCAGGGAGGTCATGAAGTCTCATGAAGAAGGCATTTCTTTTTTTTCCTGAAAAAGATTGAAGGATATGTAAGATTTCAACAGGTGGGGCTAGAGGAGATTTCAAGTTTAGGTATAAGTAAAAGGCAATATGTTCAGCGGGGGTGGAGCCAAGATGGCTGAATAGGAACAGCTCCAGTCTACAGCTACCAGTGTGAGTGACACAGAAGACGGTTGATTTCTGCATTTCCAACTGAGGTACCAGGTTCATCTCACTGGGGAGTGCTGGACAGTGGGTGCAGCTCACCGTGCATGAACCGGAGCAGAGCGAGGCACCGCCTCACCCAGGAAGTGCAAGGGGTCAGGGAATTCCCTTTCCTAGTCAAAGAAAGGGGTGACAGACGGCACCTGGAAAATTGGGTCACTCCCACCCTAATACTGCACTTTTCCAATGGGCTTAACAAACGGCACACCAGGAGATTATATCCCGCACATGGCTTGGAGGGTCCTATGCCCATGGAGCCTCGCTCATTGCTAGCACAGCAGTCTGAGATCAAACTGCAAGGCAGCTGCGAGGATGGGGGAGGGGCACGTGCCATTGCTCAGGCTTGAGTAGGTAAACAAAGTGGCCTGGAAGCTCGAACTGGTTGGATCCCACCACAGCTCAAGGAGGCCTGCCTGCCTCTGTAGGCTCCACCTCTGGGGGCAGGGCACAGACAAACAAAAGACAGCAATAACCTCTGCAGACTTAAATGTCCCTGTCTGACAGCTTTGAAGAGAGTAGTGGTTCTCCCAGCACTCAGCTTGAGATCTGAGAAGGGGCAGACTGCCTCCTCAAGTGGGTCCCTGACCCCTGAGTAGCCTAACTGGGAGGCACCCCCCAGTAGGGGTGGACTGACACCTCACATGGCCGGGTACTCCTCTGAGACAAAATTTCCAGAGGAACGATCAGGCAGCAGCATTTATGGTTCACCAATATCTGCTGTTCTGCAGCCACCGCTGCTGATACCCAGGCAAACAGGGTCTGGAGTGGACCTCCAGTAAACTCCAACAGACCTGCAGCTGAGGGTCCTGACTGTTAGAAGGAAAACTAACAAACAGAAAGGACATCCACACCATCTCTATGTTACCATCTGTATGTCACCATCATCAAAGACCAAAGGTAGATAGAACCACAAAGATGGGGAAAAAACAGAGCAGAAAAACTGGAAACTCTAAAAATCAGAGCACCTCTCCTCCTCCAAAGGAACACAGCTCCTCACCAGCAACGGAAAAAAGCTGGACAGAGAATGACTTTGATGAGTTGAGAGAAGAAGGCTTCAGAAGATCAAACTACTCCTAGCTAAAGGAGGAAGTTTGAACCAATGGCAAAGAAGTTAAAAACTTTGAAAAAAATTAGACGAATGGATAGCTAGGATAACAAATGCAGAGAAGTCCTTAAAGGACCTGATGGAGCTGAAAACCACGGCACAAGAACTACGTGATGAATGCATGAGCCTCAGTAACCGATGCGATCAACTGGAAGAAAGGGTATCAGCAATGGAAGAAGAAATGAATGAAATGAAGTGTGAAGAGAAGTTTAGAGAAAAAATAATAAAAATAAACAAACAAAGCCTCCAAGAAATATGGGACTATGTGAAAAGACCAAATCTACGTCTAATCGGTGTACCTGAAAGTGACAGGGAGAATGGAACCAAGTTGGAAAACACTCTGCAGGATATTATCCAGGAGAACTTCCCCAATCTAGAAGGCAGGCCAACATTCAAATTCAGGAAATACAAAGAATGCCATAAACATACTCCTTGAGAAGAGCAACTCCAAGACACATAATTGACAGATTCACCAAAGTCGAAATGAAGGAAAAAATGTTAAGGGCAGCCAAAGAGAAAGGTCGGGTTACCCACAAAGGGAAGCCCATCAGACTAACAGCTGATCTCTCAGCAGAAACTCTACAAGCCAGAAGAGAGTGGGGGCCAATATTCAACATTCTTAAAGAAAAGAATTTTCAACCCAGAATTTCATATCCAGCCAAATTGAGCTTCATAAGTGAAGGAGAAATAAAATCCTTTACAGACAAGCAAATGCTGAGAGATTTTGTCACCACCAGGCCTGCCCTAAAAGAGCTCCTGAAGGAAGCACTAAACATGGAAAGGAACACTAAACATGGAAAGGTACCAGCCACTGCAAAAACATGCCAAATTGTAAAGACCATCGAGGCTAGGAAGAAACTGCATCAACTAATGAGCAAAATAACCAGCTAACATCATAATGACAGGATCAAATTCACACATAACAATACTAACCTTAAATGTAAATGGGCTAAATGCTCTAATTAAAAGGCACAGACTGGCAAATTGAATAAAGAGTCAAGACCCATCAGTGTGCTGTATTCAGGAAACCCATCTCATGTGCAGAGACACACATAGGTTCAAAATAAAGGGATGGAGGAAGATCTACCAAGCAAATGGAAAACAAAAAAAGGCAGGGGTTGCAATCCTAGTCTCTGATAAAACAGACTTTAAACCAACAAAGATCAAAAGAGACAAAGAAGATCATTACATAATGGTAAAGGGATCAATTCAACAAGAAGAACTAACTATCCTAAATATATATCCACCCAATACAGGAGCACCCAGATTCATAAAGCAAGTCCTGAGTGACCTACAAAGAGACTTAGACTCCCACACCATAATAATGGGAGACTTTAACAACCCACTGTCAACATTAGACAGATCAACAAGACAGAAAGTTAACAAGGATATCCAGGAATTGAACTCAGCTCTGCACCAAGCGGACCTAATAGACATCTACAGAACTCTCCACCCCAAATCAACACAATATACATTCTTCTCAGCACCACACCACACCTATTCCAAAATTGACCACATAGTTGGAAGTAAAGCACTCCTCAGCAAATGTAAAAGAACAGAAATTATAACAAACTGTGTCTCACACCACAGTGCAATCAAACTAGAACTCAGGATTAAGAAACTCACTCATAACTGCTCAACCACATGGAAACTGAACAACCTGCTCCTGAATGACTACTGGGTACATAATGAAATGAAGGCAGAAATAAAGATGTTCTTTGAGACCAACGAGAACAAAGACACAACATACCAGAATCTCTGGGACACATTCAAAGCAGTGTGTAGAGGGAAATTTATAGCACTAAATGCCCACAAGAGAAAGCAGGAAAGATCTAAAATTGACATCCTAACATTACAATTAAAAGAAATAGAGAAGCAAGAGCAAACACACTCAAAAGCTAGCAGAAGGCAAGAAATAACTAAGATCAGAGCAGAACTGAAGGAAATAGAGACACAAAAAACCCTTCAATAAATCAATGAATCCATGAGCTGGTTTTTTGAAAAAATCAGCAAAATAGATAGAGCACTAGCAAGACTAATAAAGAAGAAAAGAGAGAAGAACCAAATAGATGCAATAACAAATGACAAAGGGGATATCACCACCAATCCCACAGAGATATGTACTACCATCAGAGAATAGTATAAACACCTCTACGTAAATAAACTAGAAAATCTAGAAGAAGTGGATAAATTCCTTGACACAAACACTCTCCCAAGACTAAACAAGGAAGAAGTTGAATCTCTGAATAGACCAATAACAGGCTCTGAAATTGAGGCAATAATTAATAGCTTACCAACCAAAAACAGTCCAGAACCAGATGGATCCACAGCAGAATTTTACCAGAGGTACAAGGAGGTGCTGGTACCATTCCTTCTGAAACTATTCCAATCACTAGAAAAAGAGGGAATACTCCCTAACTCATTTTATGAGGCCAGCATCATCCTGATACCAAAGCCTGGCAGAGGCACACAAAAAAAAGAGAATTTTAGACCAATATCCTTGATGAACATTGATGCAAAAATCCTCAATAAAATACTGGCAAACCGAATCCAGCAACACATCAAAAAGCTTATCCACCATGATCAAGTGGGCTTCATCCCTGGGATGCAAGGCTGGTTCAACATACGAAAATCAATAAACGTAATCCAGCATATAAACAGAACCAAAGACAAAAACCACAAGATTATCTCAATAGATGCAGAAAAGGCCTTTCACAAAATTCAACAGCCCTTCATGCTAAAAACTCTCAATAAATTAGGTACTGATGAGATGTATCTCAAAATAATAAGAGCTATCTATGACAAACCCACAGCCAATATCATACTGAATGGACAAAAACTGGAAGCATTCCTTTTGAAAACTGGCACAAGACAGGGCTGCCCTCTCTCACCACTCCTATTCAACATAGCGTTGGAAGTTCTGGCCAGGGCAATTAGGCAGGAGAAGGAAATAAAGAGTATTCAATTAGGAAAATAGGAAGTCAAATTGTCCCTGTTTGCAGATGACATGATTGTATATCTAGAAAACCCCATCGTCTCAGCCCAAAATCTCCTTAAGCTGATAGGCAACGTCAGCAAAGTCTCAGTGTACAAAATCAATGTGCAAAAATCACAGCATTCTTATACACCAATAACAGACAGACAGCCAAATCGTGAGTGAACTCCCATTCACAATTGCTTCAAAGAGAATAAAATACCTAGGAATCCAACTTACAAGGGATGTGAAGGACCTCTTCAAGGAGAACTACAAACCACTGCTCAATGAAATAAAAGAGGATACAAACAAATGGAAGAACATTCCATGCTCATGGGTAGGAAGAATCAATATCGTGAAAATGGCCATACTGCCCAAGGTAATTTATAGATTCAATGCCATCCCCATCAAGCTACCAATGACTTTCTTCACAGAATTGGAAAAAACTACTTTAAACTTCATATGGAACCAAAAAAGAGCCCACATCGCCAAGTCAATCCTAAGCCGAAAGAACAAAGCTGGAGGCATCACGCTACCCAACTTCAAACTATACTACAAGGCTACAGTAACGAAAACAGCATGGTACTGGTACCAAAACAGAGATATAGACCAATGGAACAGAACAGAGCCCTCAGAAGTAACACCACTTATCTACAACTATCTGATCTTTGACAAACCTGACAAAAACAAGCAATGGGGAAAGGATTCCCTATTTAATAAATGGTGCTGGGAAAACTGGCTAGCCATATGTAGAAAGCTGAAACTGGATCCCTTCCTTACACCTTATACAAAAATTAATTCAAGATGGATTAAAGACTTACATGTTAGACCTAAAACCATAAAAACACTAGAAGAAAACCTAGGCAATACCATTCAGGACATAGGCATGGGCAAAGACTTCATGTCTAAAACACCAAAAGCAATAGCAACAAAAGCCAAAATTGACAAATGGGATCTAATTAAACTCAAGAGCTTCTGCACAGCAAAAGAAACCACCATCAGAGTGAACAGGCAACCTACAGAATGGGAGAAAATTTTTGCAATCTACTCATCTGACAAAGGGCTAATATCCAGAATCTACAATGAACTCAAACAAATTTACAAGAAAAAACAAACAACCCCATCAAAAAGTGGGTGAAGGATATGAGCAGACACTTCTCAAAAGAAGACATTTATGCAGCCAAAAAACACATGAAAAAATGCTCACCATCACTGGCCATCAGAGAAATGCAAATCAAAACCACAATGAGATATCATCTCACACCAGTTAGAATGGCAGTCATTAAAAAGTCACGAAACAACAGGTGCTGGAGAGGATGTGGAGAAATAGGAACACTTTTACACTGTTGGTGGGACTGTAAACTAGTTCAACCATTGTGGAAGTCAGTGTGGCGATTCCTCAGGGATCTAGAACTAGAAATACCATTTGACCCAGCCATCTGATTACTGTGTATATACCCAAAGGACTACAAATCATGCTGCTAGAAAGACACATGCACACGTATGTTTATTGTGGCACTATTCACAATAGCAAAGACTTGGAACCAACCCAAATGTCCAACAATGATAGACTGGATGAAGAAAATGTGGCACATATACACCATGGAATACTATGCAGCCATAAAAAATGATGAGTTCATGTCCTTTGTAGGGACATGGATGAAGCTGGAAACTATAATTCTCAGCAAACTATGGCAAGGACAAAAAACCAAACACCACATGTTCTCACTCATAGGTGGGAATTGAACAATGAGAACACATGGACACAGGAAGGGGAACATCACACACCGGGGACTGTGTGGGTGGGGGGAGGGGGAGGGATAGCATTAGGAGACATACCTAATGTTAAATGACGAGTTAATGGGTGCAGCACACCAACATGGCACATGTATACATATGTAACAAACTTGCACATTGTGCACATGTACCCTAAAACTTAAAGTATAATAATAAAAAAAGGCAATATAGTCAAGGGTTATGAGAATGAAACGGATCACCCACAGAGGAATATTAAATTGAGCTTAATGGTTCATTATGTTTAAAGCTTTCGAAGTGCAGACTTGACATGTATCTTACAGCCAGTCCATAAAATTTAACTGTTAGCAAAGTGATTTTTTTAATCTCCAACTTGATTTGCTGTCATTCTTTAATTGTTCAGGTTAGGTTTATTTGAGCTTCTACAATTTTCCATAATCTCTCTGGATAATAGTATCTTGAATTTAAACAGTACTTCTCTGCCCTAAGAGTTCAAAGCACCTTTAACGTGATGTATATCTCTAATATATATCTCCTTCTTATCCTTGGGAATTAGGGAATGTCAGGAAATTTCTTAAAGCTCAAGAAAGAAAAAGATTAGAGACCCACCATCACAGGGTAGAGTGGGAAGGGACCCCTCCTCCTAACTCCTTCCCATTCACTTCCTATTTTAGACTGGATTTTCTCAGTCTCAGTTGGACACTATGTTATGGGCCTTAAAAATCTTATAATATTTGTATTTTTAGTAGAGATGGGCATGGTGGTGCATACCTGTAATCCCAGCTACTTGGGAAGCTGAGGCAGGAGAATTGCTCAAACCTGGGAGGTGGAGGTTGCAGTGAGCTGAGAGTGTGCCACTACACTCCACCCTGGGTGACAGACTGAGCTCCGTCTCAAAAAAAAAAAACTCATAATATTTCATGGCAAGAGTATTATGTGGGATGATAGTTTAGTAAGCTATATTAAAATCAAAGGAAAAAATCAACAACTACAGAAACAACATTAATGAAAGCAGCTATGACTTACCAGGCACCTGTTAGTGTCAGACACTGGCTCTAATTATTACAATGCAAGGTAGGTGTTATTATTTCCATGTAGAGATAAGGAAGATGAAGTTTAGACAGGGCAATTAACTTGTCCTAGTTCACACAGCTAATAAATGGCAAAGTGGTGTTCTAACCAGTTTCATATCAGGCAAAACCCCTACTGTTTCCATTATGAAGCACTGACTCCTAAAGTAGTAGCTCTTTACATGTTTTTTTTTTAAATTACAGAGCCTTTTGAGAATCTGATGAAGTATAGATATACATGTGCATGTAAATATTTACATACAGTTTTGGGAGATTCACAGACTTCCTGATGCCCACCCATGGCTGTGAATTAGCTCGTGGATCTCATGTGAACAACCCTGGCTCTGAAGGTATCATTGAATTATATCACAATGTGTGGTTAAGAATATGAGCTCTGGGCTCATTTACCAATCCTGCTACTCACCAGATGATAAACCTTATTACATTTACTTAACCTCTCTGTGTCTTAGTTTCCTCACATGTGAAATGGGGCTGATAACAACAATACTTAAGAAGATTAAATGAATTAATATATATGAAGTACTTAGAATACTTCTATTTTAAAGTTTTATTAAGTGTTGGCAAATATATATAGGTATATATATAGTACATATAGTTCATTGTTTTATTATTATTAGTATTATACTTTAAATTTTAGGGTACATGTGCACATTGATGTTATTTTCTTTATCATCTTCACCACTGGAAATAGTCAAAAACAAATTCTGAACCCAAAAGTTTTTTTTTTTTTAGACAGAATCTCTGTCACCCAGGTTGGAGTGCAGTGGTGTGATCTTGGTTCACTGCAACCTCTGCCTCCTGGGTTCAAGCGACTCTCCTGCCTCAGCCTCCTGAGTAGCTAGGATTACAGGTGTGTGCTACCATGCCTGGCTAACTTTTGTATTTTTAGTAGAGATGGGGTTTCACCATGTTGGCCATGCTGGTCTTGAACTCCTGATCTCAAGCGATCCACCCTCCTCAGCCTCCCAAAGTACTGGGATTACAGGTCTGAGCCACCGCACCCAGCCATGAAACCAAAAGTTAAAAGATTTATAGAGGACTATGACCATTCAGTTGGATTTGTATAACTGGAAGATCCAGTTAGTGAGTAATTTATACATCCCTGATTTAGTGGCTTTGTCAGTTTTTCACTTAAAGGTTTTGCTCTGTAGATCTGACATGAATTTATGAGAGCCACCAGATATAGTCGATGCTTTCATATTTTTGCTGTAGACACATAAGGCATATTTTCTTCTTAAAAAGCCAATGTTCCTTTTAGAAAGACAAATGGTAACATTAAAAATGATTGGAAATTAAGTTATGATTACTTTTGCCTTTTTACATGATGTGAAACATTATTTAAGCCAATATAGGATTCTACTTTCTCATGAGCAATACTGAAGAGCTATGAAAACATGTCTTATCTCCAGGAATTAGAAGGAGAAGCATGGTAGTAGGGAAAGAGAAGGGAAAAAAAATTTTCCTGGCTTCTGTGATCCACATATGGAGATCTTTCAGTTTCAGGTATGACATTAGTAATATACAATGAAACACAAAGGATGTGGGATTTTTCTTTCTCTGCTGTGCTGCTGAAGATTTGGGTGTTTTATTACTGGAAAATATAACCATTTTGTCTGTGGTGTGGTTACTTGTTTCACAAGTGAGATCATTTCCTCAGGCGTTAGAGGTCTGCTACATAAATGTAAATGTGAAGTTGTGAGACTGAGAATCTAAAACATTAAAACAAATCGCTCTTCTTTGATAACTTTTTCACTTTCAAGTAGGAGTTTATTTAAAAGCTGAGAATTCAAGTCTGTATCAATTTGTTTTGAAATATCATCTTCAAATCTATTATAGTAGAGAAAGGATAGACATTTGATGCATTCTTTATTGAGACTGGTAATCATTGAGGAAAAACTGAAGTTAGATTCTTAACTCACAGCATTCAACCATAAAAGCACTAAATGAAGATATGGATGAATATTTATACAAATGTAGAAATGAGAAAGGTACTTCTAAATGTGATACTAAATGCAGAAATTATAAAGGAAAATATTGATAGATTTGATTATAAAAAGTTAAAACTTCTGTATCTTAAAATATCAAACATTAAAATCAAATTGAAGCTATTTTCAATATGTGTGACATAAATGGATATTTTTACAAAGCAGTAAGAAAAGTGAACACCTGAAAAGAAAATGAATGGAGGATTTGAAATAATTTACAAAAGAAGAAATTAAAACGGCTGCTATGTGCCTGTTCTATAGAAGAATGCTTAAACATATAGCACAAGCTTATCAGTAATGAAAATGCAATTTAAAACACTTAGGTACTATTTTTGCCTTTCAAATTGCTAAGAAAAAAAACCAAAAAGAAGGACACTTTCTGTTGTTGGAAATTTTCAAGTGCTGATGGTATTTCAGACTACTATTGTCTTTCTGGAAGGCAATACATATAAAGGGCTATTAAATTTTATAGAGTCTTTGACCCAACAAGTTATATCTACGAACTAAGAAAAATTGTGGACATGTGAAAGAATTAAGCTATAAGCAGTTTCATTGTATTATTGTTTATAATGAGAAAAAAGTTGAAAATAATCAAAATGCCGCCAAACAAGGAATTAGTTAAGAGTATTAGTTTCCTATGGCTGCTGTTGTTGATCGCCACAAACTTAGTGGCTTAAAAAAACACAAATTTATTATTTTACAGTTCAGTAGGTCAGGAATCTGACATGGGTGTCACTGGGCTAAAATGAAGGTCTTGGCAAGGCTGTGTTCCTTCCTAGGGGCTCTGGGGAGAATCCATTTCCTTGCCCTTTCCAGATCCCAGAGGCTGTATGCATTCCTTGGCTTGGAGACAATGCAGTGCATGCATCTGCAGAAGGAGGAGTTTTCTTTTTGAAAGGCTCTGCCCTTGCCACCCCTATTGACTCCAGACTGACAACTGGAGTCAAATCTCAGCATAACCTGAGTGGAGAACTATGGTTGTTGCTCTGGGAGAAAGTAGCTTATATGCCAAAGGAATTACAGGACCTGATGGGTTTGTACCAGCCCAAACTGAGAGAACACATGTGCAATTGCGTCATGAGGGTGCTAGCCTTGAGACCAAGGTGATCCAACCTCCCTCAGCCACTCATTCCTGTGGTCATACCCCAGACCTTGATAGCTCCAGCATTTGCAACCCCTCCCTCATCTCACTTTCATGGATCCTTCTCTATTACTGTCCCTATTTCCAGCTCACTCTCTTTAGTAGCCTCAACTACTGATCCTTTGATCCCACCAGGACACCAAAACCATTGCTCATATCTCCCTTTCACTCTTTCTCACTCTCTCCTCTCTTCTCTATTTACACAACTTAAAACTCCACTGTCCAATGTATGAATAGAGAAACTCATAAAGTGGGTATCATTTAGGATTTCCTTGCCATTCTGGTGCTGACACAATGAGCCATGACCAAAGTGGCCATGTAGTAGGGCTGGAGGCTTCGAGAGAGGGATTGATCTATTGAAATGATATTTACACAACCTGTCCTCAGGCCAAGGTGCCTGGTGGTAGGGGCTTCTTATCACCAAGGCAATCCAGCTACCACCACTGCTGAGTGCCCCCTTGCCAGCAGCAGAGACTCATGCTCAGCTCTTAGTATGGCACCATTTCAATTACACCCTGACAGGGGCAACAACTATTTTTTTCTAAAATTAGAAATTGTATATATATATTTTAGAGATGGGATCTTGCTCTGTAGCTCAGGCTGAGCTCCAGTGGTGTGATGATAGCTCACTGCAGCCTTCAACTCCTGGGGTCCAGCGATCCTCCCACCTCAGCCTCCCGAGTTGCTGGTACTACAGGCACATGTCACTGTGCCCAGCTAATGTTTAAAAAATTTACTTTTTGTAGAGATGGAGTCTTGCTATGTTGCCCTATCTGGTCTCTAGCTCCTGGCCACAAGTGATCCTCCTGCCTTGGCCTCCCAAAGGGCTAAGATTACAGGCGTGAGCCACCACACCAGGCCTCATTTCTTATAATTGATTCCTACTCCAGATGTGGGTTTACCTTCCTTGCTAGCAGTGCATCTAGGAACACATTGATTGACACATTGACATGATGTTTACACAACATAGCTTCAGACCAAGGGACATATTTTATCCCAGAGGAAGTGAAACCAGGGAAAATGACCACTGGGTCCCATGTAATCCATTATCCGAAAAAATAGCCAACCTAATGGAAGGGCAGAGTAGCCTAACAGAGGCATAGGAAAGGTGGCAGTTGAGAAAAAACTTCTGGTGGTTTGAGATGTTGAAGCAATGGCCAATATTATGGGGCTGTGTCTCCCGAAACCAGATTATGCAAATCTACAGGGGCAAAGGAGCAGGAATGGTCCCTCTTATGAAGATTCCCTGTGACTCTTTTGTACAATTTGTCCTTTTCATCTCTGTAATGTTAGGTTCTGATGGGTACAGAGGCCTCGGTTCAGGATCAGGGAGGGTGGGGAACTGCTTCTTCCCAGGACAAAGTAAGACAGTAAGAGCTCCATCCAACTGGAAGATGGGACTAATATAGCCAATTTAGGTCCCTCATGTCAGTGGACCAGAAAGCAAAGAACAGACTTATTATACTGGGATGGGGTGATTATAATTGACCCTGTTTACCAAAAGGAAAGCAGAGGATAGCTAGGGGTGTTGTCACACACTGTGAACAGGGAGGAGTATATATGGAACCCAGAGGATTCACTGGGTATCGCCTGGACTTTCTGTGCCCAAGGACAATGGTAAATGAGCAGTTGCAGAGATCATGACCTGATAAAGGCAAGGCAATGAAGGGCTTGGGCTCCCTGGGGATGAAAGTGTGGGTGATTATACCAGGAGAGAATCCAAGAGCAGTCAAATTCCTGGCCAAAGTTGAGAAAATTCTGGAATGAGTGGCAGAGAAAGGAGATGACATATTTCAATGTGGGAATAACTGTGGTAGAAGAGACTGTAGCTTTTTTTCATTAACACTCTTGCCTTAAGCTTTTTTAGAAATTGTGGCTGGCCACCAACTTGGAGGGGACGCTGACTCCACCCCCAACCTAACCTCTGTGGGGAAGAAGTGAGGACAAGGCTATTCTCATGAAAATGGAGATGTCATATTTTACTATAGAGGTCAGTTGTAATGGGACAGCACTAATGAATCTATGTCCCACATCTTTAAGTATACACCAGATGATCTCTGCCTCATCTGTTCTTAGGCCACTTAATCCTTGGGCTGCATGGGCTACAACCAACTTCACATAGACACCACCCAATGTCGCCTTAGCTTATGCCCTAACAACGTATCTCTCATATTCCACCTCTTTTCCTCATGGCCACTGGAGTGTCAGATGCCAAAGGTCTTCCTAGTGCCCACACATAATTCAGAAGTGGAGATGGGACAGTAAATGCCCTTCAGGGTAAAAGCTGACCAATGAGAGACAGAAGCTAGTGTAAACATTCCCCTTTGCCTGCCTGGGTGGACTAGACTGAGACAAGGCAGCTCAGTTCAGAGGGTGGTTCCATGAGTTCAGGCATCCGCTGCACCTCATACCAGAGGTGGCCATAATGGCAGTGCACCCTCTAGAGACTTCTTCCCTGCCTCTCTCCTTCTTTGCCCTGCTTCTCTGGTATCATAGTGCTTAATAAAATAGTAGCATCTCAGCTTGTTCTTCAGGCTTTGCTTTTCAGAAACAATTGCTAAAAAAAGCGGGTTATATAATATTCTCATTTTGTTTATATTATGTACATGCACATATACATTTAAACACACATGAAGAAGAATACTAGAACATATTTATTTTCTTTTTTTAAAAAGTCTATTTTATTTTAAATTCTGGGATACATGTGCAACGTGCAGGACGCGCAGGTTTGTTACATAGGTAAAAGTGTATTATGGTGGTTTGCTGCACCTATCAACCCATCACCTAGGTACTAAGCCCAGCATGCATTAGCTACTTATCCTGATGCTCTCCCTCCCCTTGCCCCCGCTGACAGGCCCCAGTGTGTTTTTTTCCCTTCCCTGTGTCCATGCCAGAACATATTTTAATACCAAATGTTAACAAGAGTTATCCCTGGTGATTATGGGTGATTGTTTATTTTCTTCCTTTTATTTAATTATAGTTCTATAGCTTTAACATTTTACAATGAATGTGTTAAAGGACAAAAATTGTTAATAAAATAATAGAACTTTGTTTTTAAGAAATATTAATCATGAAATTTTTTCCTACATATGATCTACTATATATTTTATTTTACCCTTTTTTTAGAGTATTGATACCCCTAAAGATAGGTGACAGTAGCAGTTATAATATTTACATGTTGTTTCAGATGTGAAGATTTATTTTAATGATCGAAATTTTTTTCTAGTTAGTAAAAATTTCTATATTTGGACTTTTTATATCTGAAACGTGATTTCACATAAGATAGTTAATCGAACACTATATCTGTTAAATCAAGGTTTACAATTGAAATAATATGTATATAATTCATGTAATTTCACATTCATTTATTCTTCTCATATTTGTTAATAACTTTTTGTGTTAGACTGTATTTTGAGCATTGAAAATGCAAAGAATTAAGACACGTTCTCTGTACTCAAGAACTCACCATTGAGAGGGGAAGTTCTCCTAATGTTACTTATCTTCTCTCACAGTTCTCCATCCATCCATCCATCCATCCATCCATCCATCCATCCATCCATCCACCCACTCACTCAGTCTTTAATGATGGTCTATTGTGTTCCAAACTGCAAAAGGCATGAAAAGTAAATGTTGCCTTATAACAATGAATCTTGGGCACTTGAAGCTGATGTGGAATAATTTTCCTAACATATGGAATTGGTATAGAATATGATTTCAATAAGTGTATTCACTCAGCATGTGTTTGCTCAGGTGCTTCTTATGTGCTGGTACGGTGCTGGATGAATAGATAAATCTGGGCCTAAGGACCTGGATTATATACAGAACCTGGGAACTATACCTAGCTCAGTGTTTCAGGAGCCTACGTGTGGAAGAAGTAAGAGATGAGGTTAGAGAGAGAGGAACATTATGGAGAACTTTCAGCACCATGGCAAATAAGGTAGATAGACTCTCACAGGACAATGGGGAGCCAGTGAAGAGTTTGAAGCAGGCATAGGATTCTGTCTTCATTAGAGAGACCACTCTGACACCAATGTGGAGGCAGTGGCAGCTCTGGAATGTCTGTATCTAGGAGGTTTAAGGAGCAGCAATCTGTTGGAAGGGGGAATTTGGAAAGTATCTTGGAGCAGTGTTTTCATAGCAATACCCAATTTTAACCTAGAGTGAATGCTTACTAAGGATGGAAGTGTTTAATGGGAGGGAATGACAGAAACTCATATTAGCAGGGGGAGGCTGAAAGTTTCCAGTGATGGAGGAGGAAGTGAGGCTAGAGCAGGGTAATTAGTTAGGAAATTATAGAACAGATCTGTACTAACAGAGGCTGTGGGGATGGAAGGGAAGGAACAGATAAGAGGGGTTAAAATTAGTTTGTTCAGTGATAATGAGTTTCCACAAAGAGATGATAAGAGGAATTTGGGGGCAGGGCCAGGAAACAGTGGGCTGGATTGGAGTGTGGGGCTGGCAATGGGCTTCTCTACTTGTCTTGCCTCATGGTGCAGGAAGTAATTGGGAAGAAAAGTGAGGCCAAGGGAGACTTTTTTTTTTTTTTTTTTGAGATGGAGTCTCGCTCTGTCACCCAGGCTGGAGTGCAAAGGGAGGCTATTTTTAAGGTGAGAGGAATAACAGTGTATTTGATGTTAGAGGGACTGATTCTGTAGAAAGGGAAATTTGAGGTAGGTTTACAAAAAGGAAGAATTGGTGGTATAATGTTCAAATAAGTGAGGGGGATGGGTCCTGTGCAAAGTGGAGGAGCGGGTCCTGGATGGGAGCGCAGAGAGTCTGTCTACAGTTATAGATGGGAAGTGGAGTGTGCAAGTGCAGACATGGTAGGTGGGTGGATGTGGTGGAGGGAGTCTGTAAAAGTCCCATTCTGACTACTTCAATTTCCTCAGTGCATAGGGAGCCAGGTCATCAGCTCAAAGTGAGAATGCGGAGTGGATATTGCAGGTTTGTGGAGAGAGGAGAAAGTATGAAACAGTCATTTAGAAGAACAGGGAAAATGAAAGAACTAAGGAAATGTAATACTGATTGCCAGGAGGCATTCAAGACCCATTTAAGGTTCATGGTCATTAATTAAGATAAGGCCAAGGAGTTGTGTGATTTTTCTTAGATGCCTATGATGAGTTACAGGTGAAGAGTTTATTTTAACTAGGGTGGTAGTTTTCTAAGCAAACACAACCAAGTGATAAAAGGACCCTGGAATTGAAAGTGTAGGCACAGCAGTGATTGAAAATAAGTGATTATGTACAAAAATTAGCTGGGCGTGGTGGCAGGCGCCTGTAATCCCAGCTACTTGGGAGGCTGAGGCAGGAGAATCGCTTGAACCTGGAAGGTGGAGGTTGCCGTGAGCCAAGATTGCGCCACTGCACTCCAGCCTGGGTGACAGAACAAGGCTCCATCTCTAAATAAATAAATAAATAAAGAAGAAAATAAGTGATTATGGAATTCAAGCTTGGTGTGTGGGGGGAAGTTAAGACATGAAAAGACCAAGGAAGTGTGAAAAGGTGGTAGGGTCAAAGAATTGGAGTTCCTGCAGAGTTGAAGGATTTGCTCTACCTGGTACTGGAGAGACTACTGAAATGGAGATTCCGGAGATGCCCTTAGTGCTGATGACAGGTCTAGGGAATGACCACAGTGGGTGGAGGGGAGTAGGAGATAAGTGAAATAGTGTGAAGGACAAGCTATTGAGGTGAAGGAGAAGAGTTTAAGGAATTGAAAGGCCAGGTGCTGAAAGGATATTGAAATCACCAATTATTAAGACAAAAATAGTGATAGAAAAGGTAGCAATAAGCTAGGGTTTAAATTATCAAGAAATGAGAGGGTTCCTCAAAAAGCTAAGCATAGAATTACCATATGACCCAGCAATTTCACTCCTAGGAACATACTCAAAGAGACTGAAAGCCAGGACTAGAACAGACTCTTGTACAGCATTATTCTCAATAACCAAAAGGTGGATATAACCCAAATGTCCTTCAACAGATGAGTGGATAAACAATGGAATATTACCCAGTCATAGGAAAGGATGAAGATTTGATCCATGCTACAATGTGATAAACCTTGAAGACATTGTGCTAAGTGAAATAAGCCAGATCAAGGGACAAATATTGTATGATTCTAGTTACATAATATACCTAGAATAGGCAAATCCATGGACACAGAAAGTAGATTAGAAGCTATGAGGGGCTAGAGAGAGAGGGGAACGAGGAGTTGTTGTTTAATGATTACAGAGTTTCTGTTTAGGGTGATGAAAAAATTTTAGAAATACATAGTAGTGATGGTTGCATAACATTGTGAATATAATTAATGCCACTGAATTATACAATTAAAAATGGTTAAAATGGCAAAGTTCGCTACCTACATTTACAAAAATTTTTCAAATTAATAATGTAATATACCCGAAATCATTGAACTGTACATTTTAAATGGTAAATTCTATGGTATGGAAATTATATCTCAATAAAGTGGTTAATAAAAAAGAAATGAGGGGACTGTGCAAGTGATCATGAGAGGCGCAGAATAGTGAGAGGCAGTGAGTGGCCTCGTGGGATGACATGAGATGCAGACCTTCCATTGGGCTGGGGAGCAGGGGTGGGCAGAATGGTCTAGCAGCTTCATTACGTAGAAAACCCACCACATAGAAACCTCCAGTCCTAGACCACATCTAACTGACCAAATTGCAACCAGAAAGATTTGGTGGGAACCCCATAAAAGTCTGTTCTCATGACAAAGTTCATTCTAAGTCCACAGGTCAGAAAATCAAGCAAGTTGCAATTACCTTTCTCCCACCCACCCCACTTCAGGGAAATCCTGTTCCTACACATCCTTCACCAGATGCAGGGTGTAGGGCTGCCCCTGTCCTGCACCAAAAGAATCAGACTCAGATATGACTCTGATGTTAGAATTATCAGAAAGAAAATTTAAGTAGTAATGATTAATATATTAAAGTGTCCAGTGCAAAAGGGGGATAGCATGGATGAACATATAAGGGTATTGACAGAGAGATGGAGACCATAAAAAGGGACCAAATGGAAATGCTGGAGATGAAAAACACAGTGAAAGACTAATAACTTTGTTATTCTCAGTAGCAGACGTGACTGTGCTGAGGAAGTAGGGTACTTGAAGACAAGTCAGTAGAAATTGCCCCAACTGAAGCACAAAGGAAAAAAAGTGAAAACCAAGACAAAACAAAAATAAACTCAGAGCAGACTATCCAAGAGCTGTGGGACAATATCAAACTAACAGTGATGTAATTGGAATCCCAGTCAGAAAACAGGCAAGGAGACTGAAGAATATTTGAAGAGATGACGAATAGAGTGAACATTTTATCCACAGTGAAGGAATGAAAGGCTTTGCACTCTTTGTTAACCTGGGCCTACATTTGCAGTCTGATTCTTTGTTTCATTAATCTGATCTACTTGGACAAACTTACCTTTCTAATTCAAGTTTTAGAACATGATATATTCATTTATTCCATTTAAAATACATATGAAGTATCTAGTTACTTTCTGAATTGATTGTATGGTCTAAATGAGGACCAGACTAGCTAGTCTCTAGTGCTGCGGTCAGGGAAAAGAGTAGGACTTTAGAAAGAAGATAGCCATGGCTCTAAATTCTGGCCCTGCTGTTTAATGTCTATGTCATATCTGAGCACAGCAGTACCTAGTTTATGAGGCTGTTGAGAGGATTACGGTAAAGTAATTGTTCTGACTGTGAAATACTTGGTTTGGAGTGGTCCCAGGCCTTCCCACGTTTCCTTCCTGTTTTCCAGGTGATGATGAACTGGTTGTCAGGGTAGAGAGGTACTAAGGTAAAGTGTTGCATGGCACATAGTTGGCACTCAGCAAATGTCAGTGCACCTCCTATACCCTAACTAAACCTGGACTCACCCCCAAATCATAATTGTTGCCAGATGCATCCCCGAGGGCAAAGCTGATTTCCTCTTTGTTATGATTGACGTGGGGGATGGATGGAGCCAGAAGAGAGAAGGTCTCCAAGTGAGTCAGAGCCTGGATGGGCTATGCTGCCTGTCTCATTTCCCAGGAATTACAGACTTTGTCATCCTTCCTTCTAGCTTCTCTCAGCACCTAGAGACCCAGGGTTTTAGCCCAAAGCAACATATGAGGCAGTACCTGCCCCGTCAGAGGGGATAGTGCTCTCTTCTAATTTCTCTGCCCCCAAACAGCCACATGCCTGTTTGATTTTCTGTGAACACACATACAAAAGATTATAGTATAAGACATTTATAAATTGACCTTTCAAAAGTAGTTGAATTGGCAAAATTTGATAGTTAACTGGTGATAGGGGCTGACAGATATGGAAAGGTTTCTACATTATTCTCTGTACTTTTGGAGTCCTTGGTGGCTTACCTGTGCTGTCTATATTAATTGTACCTTTGACAGGAGAGTGACCTTATAATATATTAATATATTCTTGCCATTCATTTTAGAGAGATGATTAAACTTGACCAGTTCACCAAATATCCTGTATCAACATTCTGACAGGATTTGACTAATTACAGTGAATTACAATGTAAAAAGATATCCAGCCTAGAGTATTTTAAATGTTTATTCTGCATTTATTTGGACTTTTTGGAGTTATTTTATTGATAGTATATGGGACAGGTGAGTTTTTTTTTGGTCTGAGTGAACTTGAGAAGCATATAGGCATATTTGACTTTTTATAGTGTTTACAGAGAGCAATACAGCCACAGTGTTTGTGGTTATGTACTGAACCACTTGAAAGCACAGCTGTTGGGCAGAGTGGTAGCTCGCTAGCTGTTTGAGTTAGATACACCACATCTTACTATAATAAATAGTAAATATTTAGAGGCTAAAAACCATATCTTACATTATGGGAGAATAGAATAGAACTAATTATTGGGACTTCTGGGGGCTCTTGGCAATTTGGATTAGTTTTTGCTTTGTCCACCAGATCACTTCATTAAAAACGATGTAAGTACTTCTCAAGGAAGGTATTTAAGGGTAAGTGGATAATAAGAACTATTTATTTTCTTAATTGGCATCTAAAGAGGGATGCAGGGGAGTCCCAGGGTGCCCTGGGCGGCAGGATGGGATGCGGGGTGTGGTGGGATGTGGGTTGCGGTGTTGGGGAATGGAGCGGGTGAGAGCGTGTGCATATGCATGTGTGCAGGATGCTGACCGAATGTGAAAGTGAAGGCTCGATTCAGATGTCTTCAGCTAAAATAAAACATTTCAACTAAGCTGATAAAATCATGAATGAGGTATTCATGAGGAGATGTTAGTGTAGAAAAATCTCCAGAGTGGCACTTTTTAAAGAGTAAAGATGGAACAGTATTTATCATGTAGCTTGCCCAGCAGGTTTATGTTGGAGCTGGGATTAGGACCCAGGTAATTGGCACTTCTTGCCTGATGCCCCAAGACACTTCCCGATCAAGTTCATGGCATTGTACCAGGTATTAGGGGATGGTGGTACAATTCCAGTCTCTTGCCCTCTGGGAGATTATAGTCATGTAATATGCAGCTAGACCAGTGTTTTCTTTCTTTCTTTTTTTTTTTTGAGAGGAAACTTGCCCACCTCATTGAATCTTCTGTGGAAAACTAAAATATAAAATAGATGAAAGTCAGAGCTGCTCTGACTATGTGTGTATACATGTGGGGGTCCCAAGTCTTACCACCCCAGCCTCCTCCTCATAGCTCCTTCTCCTTCTTGGGTGATAGGGCTCTAGGGAACAGCTGGGAAGTTTGTGATCTATCCTCAGGCTCCTATGTTGGAAGGGACTGTGAGGCACAGGGATGGGAATGTGCAGAGAGAGGGCTCTGTGGGGCTTATTGCCTGCCTGGTGTTTCCACCGGGCAGGGGTTTGATGAAGATGACATGTCCTCCCAGTGCAGCATCTATTTCCTTCAGTGACGGGGGAGCAGGGGTATTAGAATAACTAATGGTGGCACAGCTTTTTTCCAGGCTTGTTGGACTTTTCTTGTAGAATTTCATTTATTTATTCATTGGTTTAATTATTTATTCATTAATTTGTGAGATATTTACTGAGTTCTTGTTCTGAGACAGATGCTGAACTAACATACTCTGGGGGAGGGGACCAATAGGCTAGCCTGAAAACTGCCTTCCTTGAGGGCTTCCTGAACAGATTTTGACAACCATTCTGAAGAGGGCAGGTGAACCAGCTCTCAACATAGACACCACTGGCCAACCCGTGTTGCCAACTCTTTCTGGACATTGAAGGCTCCTGGCTTTTCTTCACCAACATTAGAAACACACAACTGCAAGTGAACTGTATCTTGGCGGAAGAGCTCAGGTCAAACTGTTGTATTTTTGGATCGAATGCTGGCTTTATTCTAGCACGAGGAAGACTTTGGGTGTGAATGAATTTAGAGTAAGGATGGCAAGAACATCAGAGAGCCCCAAAATGTCTATTGCTATTTTCACAGGCTCTAGATGCTATTTCAAAAAGCTAAGTATGTACAGCATGGCAGATATTGAGGAAATTAATGTACATCTTTTTTGCTTAAAAAACTTCATGTTGTGGCCTGTAATAGTTCATTTGCTTATTTTTATTTTTAAATTTTTTGCAGGATTCTTTTTATTAAAGTAAGACTTATACAAATGGAATTTACCATTTTAACCATTTTTAAGTGTACAGTTTGATGGCATTAAGTCCATTTACATTGTTGGGCAACCGTTGCTACCAGCCATCTCCAGAGCTTTTTTCATCTTCCAAAATTGAAACTGTATACTCATTAAACAATAACTCTCCATTCCCCACTCTCTCAGCCCCTGGAAACTACCCTTCTTTCTGTCTCTGTAAATTTGACTACTCTAGGTACCTCATATAAGTAGAATTATACAGACAGTATTTGTTCTTTTGAGACTGGCTTATTTCACTTAGCATAATATCCTCAAGGCTCACCTATGTAATAGAATATGCCATATTTCCTTTTTATGGCTGAATAATATTCCATTATATGTACAGACCACACTTTATCCATTCATGCATTGATAGACATTTGGGTTGCTTCCATCTTTTGTTTACTGTGCATAAAGCTACTCTTAGCAGGGGAATATGAATATTTATCTGTTTAAGTCCCTGCTTTTAATTCTCTTGAGTATATACCCAGGAGGGGAATTGCTGGATCATATGCTAATTCAATTTAAATTTTTTTGCTGAACTACCATACTGTTTTCCACAGTGGCTGCACAATTTACATTCCCACTCAACAGTGGGCAAGGGTTCTGATCTGTCTACATCTTCCCCAATACTTGTCACTTTCTTTCTTTTAATTATAGTCATCTTAATGAGTGTAGAGTGAATGAACAACTTTTGAACAAAAACAATGCATTCATCTTTCTACAATGTTAATTATAAAACAATTTAATACAACTCTTAGGTACCTATTCTAAGTTTCACATGAGTGTTATACTAACTGACTTCTTTCTAAAACTTGGACAATTAAAGTCTGTTCTCAAAGCAAATAGAAAAATGGTAGTATAGTAATATGATGAAATATTATACAGTTATTTCACCTGATTCTCTTGTGCCATGACCACACAACCTCAGGACTTCCCATTCATATGCTTGCTATCCAGTCACTTCCAACTGTAAGCACCTGCAAATCTTTGCCAATGAGCTTTCTCTGAGTGTCAAAGCCCTCTGAGCCCCTTCGCAGAGCAGCCTTAAAATGCTGAGGATTAAAACCCCCTGGAAGCATCTCTCAGCCATTTGCCGATGGGAGTTAGTGAATAAATACCCCAGCTGCTTCACCCCTTGGTTGGGTTAACTCTAGGGTGTGTTCCACACTGTCTCCCGGGGTCCCCAGTGGGGATTGAGCCCTGGTGACTCACAGTGGTAACTTGCCCAATAACATATCCTTCACTGGTTTCCTCATTTTTCCCAGTTTTCTGCAAGTATTTCTTGGGATTACCTCCTAAAAGAACTATTTGTACTCACATCCATGTCTCAGCACCTGCTTTTTGGAGGGACCCAACCCAAGACAGTTGTTATGATGATGACCATGTGGACTTTTTTGTTACATGGTAAAGAGTTTATAAAAGAATGCTAAATTTAAAAAAGACTACATCTAGATTAAAATTACGTTTATGTGAAAATAAGCTTCAGAACTGACTATACATTTATGTAAACTGGTTTTATTTTCAATGGAGGCATTTTATGTGTGTTTTCCTGGTGAAGTTATTTACGTATTATAACAGAAATGAGTTTCCTTGAGCATTTCAAGGCTTTGATCATCGTTGTATATACATTTGAAAATGTCATGTCTCTGTTATCCTTAGAGTACAACCCATGTCCTTCCCAGATGGTTCAAGTTACATGGCATGTTTCTGGTTCATACAGTGCCTTACTGTGGAAAGATGGCTTCCTGCTCGCTCCTGGGTATATTATTATTTCCAGCTATGCTTAATTTTAAAAGGTAAATAGGGTTTAAAGTCCTACTCTCTTAGCTTTACAAATGTAGACAAATATTTATTTCCTTTTCCTTTTGTGCCAATAGATCTCATTTGCAATACTTCAGGAAATCTCACCCAATCAAATCTATGCCATTGTAACAGGAAATATTTTTAGTTTTCTTGTGATGGATCATTCTTTTGTATTTCCTATTCCCAAATGTTACTTTCACTAGTGTCTGAAAGGAAGATAGTTTAATGATCCTATTCAAGTTACTTCTGGTTATTTGAGAACAGGACTCACCATATGTTGTATACTCTGTATCTCTTAAGTGAGGATTTATGTGGAATATGAAAAGTATGTGGGCAAGGAGTTGTTTTTGAGTTTTTAGTGTTGTTGGCAGTCTAAACATTTCACAGAAGATTCAGTACAAACATTTATGTCAGATGAAATGTATAGCCAGGAGCTTAGGGAAAGAGGTCTTACTGAGGGAGAAATGTTAGACCCTAAAGAGGTAACTTCTGTTGGGAGAACACAATTTCCCTCAAAGCTTTGGGGGCAGGCACTGGGCAGCCTCAGTTGGTGGCCAACAATCCTATAAACCAACATGAAAGTTTCCTCAGAGAAACTAAACCCATCATAGGTGACACCATTATTATTCTAAGGGAAACTGACCTCGCTGTCATTGTTCACTTGGTTGTTACAAAATAGATGGCAGCAAATTGATCTTCCCTAATAATTCAAGGCTGTTTAGAAGTGAGGTGTACAACTTAAATCTCCTTGTAAGCCTTCCAACAGGATAAACATTCCTAACAGGCTCTTCCTTAGAACTCTGGGCAGGTGAGCTGAATTTTCTGAAAGGGTAAATTCATTTTGTTTAATAATCCCTTCTTTAGATAGGTCTTACCGCATCCGAGGACACTTAGCTTGCTTCTGAAGGTTGGGGGAACCAATAGTCAATAAATAAGGACCTGATATCTACTGTACATATACCAAATACCATGGTGGGCTCTGGGGAACCCTGATGAACAAAATCTTCAAGAGCAGGGATTATCTGTGTCTTTGATCCTAAATGCTCAGGTGCATCCTGTTGATTTTCACCTATCCATTTGCTTCTTTGATCTTGGGGAGCAGTATTAAATGTAATATGAGTTTGTGGACAGTGAAGTGGTGCTAAATCACCAATTTATCTTCTTCATCTTCAGTCTTCCCCCGTCCACCCTCTGTCTCCCACTAAATTTATTTTTGAGAAGATACAACTATAAAAATGATACCTATTATATTTTATTACAGGGGAACGTGTAGAAGACTGAGTTAGACCTTTAATATATTCTATAGAGGGGTGACTATACAAGAGAAGTTGCAATTCAACAAATTATTAACATTGAAGAAACCAATCGATGGCAAATTTTGATAAAAATTTGCAAACCTACGCTGACAAGGTGGAAGTGAAAAAGCCCTCTAAGATTGCTTTAAAACTTCTTTACTTTTTTGTGTTACCTCCTTGGATGACTTGCCCCTTTGTAAAAATCGCATTCCTTTGCTAGTTCACCTTTCAGTCAATAATTCTTCATAAAGTAAAACACTGGCTCAGAGGTATGCTGGAGCTGGCTTGTCCTAGCTCACAAGAGCCAACTGTTAAATTTTTAGGGATTTTGAAAGCCAGTTGTTTACTTAGCCAATATTGAAAATTAAGTTAGATAAACTTACAATTAAATAAATCATATAAAACAACAGTTGACCCTTGAACAACATGCGTTTGAACTTTGCAGGTCCAGTTATACACATATTTTTCTCAGTAAATATACTGGACAATTTTTTGGAGATTTGCAACAATTTGAAAAAATCCAAAGATGAACTGCATAGCCTAGAAATGTTGAAAAGTTAAAAAAAAGTCAGGAATTCATAAAATATATGTAGATACTAGTCTATTTTATCACTCACTACTATAAAATATACACAAATATATTATAAAAAGTTAAAATTTATCAAAACTTATGCATACAAATATAGACTGTTTATGTTGCCATTTGCAGTCGACAGAAATTTCACCAAACATAAAGATGCAGTATTAAATAATAACTACATAAATTAACTGTATTATACACTGTACTGCTGTAATAATTTTGTAGTCACCACCTGCTGCAATTGCAGTGATTTCAGTTGTTGCAAGTATCCATTTAAAATGCATGTGCTGGCTGGATGTGGTGGCTCACGCCTGTAATCTCAGCACTTTGGGAGGCCGAGGCGGGCAGATCACTTGATGTCATGAGTTCAAGACCAGCCATGGCCAACACGGTGAAACCCCGTCTCTACTGAAAATACACAAATTACCTTGGCATGGTAGTGGGCGCCTGTAATCCCAGCTACTTGGGAGGCTGAGGCAGGAGAATTGCTTGAACCAAGGAGGCAGAGGTTGCAGCGAGCTGAGATTGCATCACTGCACTCCAGCCTGGGCAAAAGAGTGAGACTCCATCTCAAAATAAATAAATAAATAAATAAATATTAAAATGCATATGCCACTCATCATCTTCTTGTGAGCAGTTCATCTCTCCAGTAAATTACAAATTGCAGTAAGAGGTGATCTTTTGTTGTTCTCTTGTATTTTTCAATGTGTTTAATGCAATACTGTAAACCTTCAATAACACCATGAGACCCATAGAAAGTGTCACCAACGATGGTGGAAGTGCCCCCAAGTAGTAAAGAAAAGTCATGACGTTACAAGAAAAAGTTAAATTGCTTAATATGTACCATAGATGAGATCTGTAGCTGCATTTGCTCACCATTTCAGATACATGATTCATCTTATAAGCAGACAATATAAACTTACAGTATTGAGAAATACAGTGCAGGACTGCGTTTCTTTTCCCTTATGATTTTCTTTCTTTTTCTTTTCTTTTTTTTTTCTTTTTGAGACAGAGTCTTGCTCTGTCACCCAGGCTGGAGTGCAGTGGCATGATCTCAGCTCACTGCAACCTCTGCCTCCCGGGTTCAAGCAATTCTCCTGTCTCAGCCTCCTGAGTAGCAGAAATTACAGGTGCCTTCCACCACACCCAGCTAATTTTTTGTTTTTTTTTGTAGAGATGGGGTTTCACCATGTTGGCCAGGCTGATTTCGAACTCCTGACCTCAAGTGATCCTCCTGCCTCGACCTCCCAAAGTGCTAGGATTACAAGCGTGAGCCACCGCGCCCAGCCTCCCTTATGATTTTCTTAATAACATTTTCTTCTCTCAAGTTTACTTTATTGTAACAATACAGTGCATAATATATATATTATACAAAATATGTGTTAATTGGCTGTTTGTGTTATCTGTGATGCTTCCTGTCAACAGTGGGCTATTAGTAGTTAAGGTTTTAGGGAGTTGAAATTTATACACAGATTTTTGACTCTGCAGAGGGTTGGTGCCCCTAACTCCCATGTAATTCAGGGGCCAACTATACTTCTTAATTATTTTATCACATTTTCCTAATACCTATACTGTTGAGGTCACTTATGTCTGTTGTGTCTGCACTATATAGTGGTGTGTTACTCAGCATCTCTTCCCAGCATCACATTTAGTGACGTCACATCAGTAGCCTGAAACTGGCTATGGTGGGAATATTTACACAATGGAAATCAGCAAACAATACAAATCAAGGCTTTTTCTTCCAAGAGCTGGTTGCTAACCATTTTACCAGCTCACCACTGACTGCTATGCTTTCAAGGGCATTGCACTTCCATCTCACCTTCACTGAGTTTTGGGGGTCATCGTGAAGGTCAAGGCAGTGAACCTCAGCATACTGGGATCCCAGGACACCAAGACACACAGAGGTTTTGCTTCTGGGTCACTGGCATAGTCTGTTTGGTGCTGACTGGCTGGCTCAGAGAGGTTTCCTCTCCACATTGAAGCTGTGGTCAGGAATGACAAAGGCTGTGTTCATAACCAGTAGGTCAGACTGAGAGACTTGGCCATCATGATTCTTGTGGGTCTACCTGCTTCGTGTGATCTCTCTGTGAGGCAGGAGAATAGGGTCTGGAGGCAGGGAACCTAAGGCCGATCCACACTGACTTCCTAGAACAACATAAACAGGAAAACCCCAGCTTTCCATGCCCAAGTGACAAAAGGACCAGAGGCTACTCCCTTTAGAACCCTCATGCCCCTTTTCTGGGTGGCAGATGAAAAATTGAAAGTACCTCTGATTGGTCCCCTCTTGCAACCAATCAGGCTGGTCGGGGCCAAGTCTTCATCTGCATAGGAGTATAACTTTGTAATTTCACTTCAGCCTCTGATTGAGGGCCACTACTTAATTTACATAGTAATTTACAAGTAACCAATGGGAAATCTCTAGAGAGTATTTAAATCGCAGAAAATTCTGTAACCAGTGCTCATGAGCCACTTGCTGAAGCCCACTCCTGCTCTGTGGAGTGTACTTTCATTTCAGTAAATCTGTTTCTTTCATTGCTTTATTTGTGAGTTTTTTTCCAGTTCTTTGTTTAAAATGCCAAGAATCTGGACACCCTCCACTGGTAACATCTGTACAGTGTGCTTTTCCTTTTCTGTTTTTCCTCTAACATCATGAACTCTGCCTGCATTCAATGGATGCTGCCTAATAGACTATCATTGTTTTCGAAGCAACATACGTGGCTTCATTATGTAATCATAGGACTTAGCTCTGTCTGGATTGGTTGGCCATTCACTCCCTGGCTAGAAACATTTCTGTCTCTTCTAATCTTCTTGGTCTCCAATTGCAGGCTTCTAGTGTCTTCTTCCTAGGTAGCATCATTAGAGTGTCCACTTTCTAAAGTTTCCTCTCATACTGTTTGTAGAGTTTAATTAAATCTGCCTGGTCCTCCATGCATTTTTTTTCAGAACTTCCTCTCTCCCTTAGTAAACACAGTATAGATTCTGAGGTCAGTCCAACTTGGTGCAAATGCCAGCTCTGTTATTTACTGGCTGCTATTACTGTTATCACTTGTGGGCTAATATTACTTGTCTATGTAATGGGTGTGAAGCAAATAGCCCTTAAGTCTCACTTATCTGAGTATATAAAGGGGATTACATTCTCACTTATTTGAGTATATAAAGGGGATTACATTAGCAGGTAAACTCAAAATCTGCTGCTGTGCAAATATTCCCACTCAGTGAGAGCAGGACCCCACTCCCTCTTTGCAAGTTTCTCTCCTATCCAGCTGTTCTGGGGGATGGTCGGGCAGATGTTGCCTCATCAGTTCCCACTGCATCTGAGCCTTTGCAGTCACTTAGATGTGGACTGCCTCTCCTGCTCAGCCACAGGCCACTGTGTCTATAGCTCTGGATGCCTCTCCTTCCCCCCACTGCCAACTCCTCAGCTAATGCTGCCTCTTTCATTTCTCTAGTGCGAGTGTATACATATCCTTTCTCCTAAATTCCCTAAAGAATTGTTCACCTATGTTGTATTTTTTAATAACTCAGGGGTAAACAAAGGGAATTATATTATGAAGAGTGACTATCAACTGGCTACTGGACGTGGCTGCCTTTGGGGCCCACAAGCCCAGGAGCCTCTATGTTGGTCCCTTGTCAGACCCAGCCTGCTGTTCTGGAGAACAGCCAATGTCTCCCTCCCCACAAACTTATTTCTATTCCTCAGTATCAGGTTCTCTGCGACCTGTGCCGCCCATTCAACTTCAACAGAGAGGAAGAAGTTCTCTATTGCTACATTATCATTCATTTACTTTAAAATAGATCACTAACAATATTAACATTAATAATAATGACAACCACAGTTTATACTTCTATAGAGTTTACTATATAAAGCATTCCATATATTAACTCATTTAAGCCTTATAACAATCCTGTAAGATTGGTACTATTATCATACCAATTTTACAGAGGATGAAACTGAAATACAGAAAAGGTAGGTAACTGATTTAAGGCCAAACATTGACTAAAGGGTGCATCTAGATTCAAAAGTAGGCTCTAGAAGCCATGTGATGCACGAGAGTGTATGTGCATGTGTATTTTTTTGTGTGTGTGTGAGTGCATGCATGCATATATGTACATGTATGTATGTGTGTGCAATATTGTATATTTATGTGTGTGAATATGTATGTGTGTGTGTGTACATGTGCATATGTATGAGTGTATGCGTGTTTGCATTAACATTCATCCACATCCTGGTTGGGGACGATTCACACTCAAGGGAGAGTTAGATTTTGAAGGGCTCTAATGAGGAGTTGTCACCACTCAGACGTGCTTCAAAGTTCATTATGTAAATCTGTATCAACGTACTGGTTAGGTAGCAGAAAGGATAATGGGAATGCATTTTCATTGATGAAATGAGTCATGTCAAAATACAGTCATGCATTGCTTAATCATGAAGATACATTCTGAGAAATGCGTTATTAGGCAATTGTGTGGTTGTGTGAATGTCACAGGTGTATTTACACAAACTAAGATGGTATAGTCTACTATACACCTCAGCTACATTGTATATCCTATTGATCTTAGGTGACAAACCTGTAGAGCATGTTACTGTAGGCAGTTGTAACACAATAAGTATTTGCACATCTAAACATAGAAAAGTGCAGTAAAATTATGGTACTACTGTGTAATCTTATCACACCATTGTGGTATATACATTCTGGCATTAACTACAACATGGTCTATGTGGCACATGATTGTAATGGGACTGTTTAGAAAGATTATGTAGACACCTTAACCCTTGAATGAATGGCATATAAGAATCAGGAGAGTCTAATACCTTCAGGAAAGAACTGCAGGGCTAAAACTGGGTGGTCTTATGTGGTACCACTTAATGGCAGGAGTTTGTCCTAATACTGCTGTCAGAAATTTTGTTGTATCTGCCTGTGAGGTAATATTTCATGCAATGGGCTTGTCCAAATTTCTAAAGGACAGCTAGAGATTTTCTGAGCCCCCAAGTCACATTGAATATTTTTGTTCCTGCTTACTGAAAAAGATGTGGCAGAATTCTGTCTGGTAGGAAGTTCTAGGAAAGAAGACATGCAGCTCCCATTCACCTCAAAACTAGAGGCTCCAAAACTAGATTTTTAGCAATTAAAACCTGATGTATGTGAAAAGCACACATTGGCTTAGGTCAGTTTGCAACATTTTCCCATTCTCAGTCTAGGGCGCATTCTCCAACTTCTTATTTGTTTTTATGGGCTCTTTCATTCCCAGGATGGTTGACAGTGGGAATGTACACCCCTTTCAGGGAAAACCCCATCCCCCACCCATTGTGGGTGGTCTTACCTTTAGGCCCCCAAAGAGCACTCCTATCAGTTTATGAGTCCTTCATCAGTTCATTTTGCCAAAGCTAGATAATTTATTCTTAAATAATTCCACAAATAAGACAAAAGTACTAAGCTTTCTCTAGATTGGTTCAGTTCCAGTTCCAGCTATAGTGAGGATTCATATCTTGACTTGCAGTTTCCTGTGAGCAATTCACATAAGGCCATATATCTTTCTCTAAAACAGAAAATGAATTTCAGGCACTATATCTTTGCTTAGGAAAATATATTTTTCTAAAGCGAAGGTTGTTGACTGGCTACACCTAGAGTATATTCTGATCACTGTTGTGTTTAGTTTGGTCTTCATGATGTGTACCAATACATTGTTTTAAATAATTTAAATTCTTTTTCATCATTTTAAAATACAGAAATTACATATAAAAATCTGGATGCCTGCCTTCTCCTAAAAGGTAAGAATATCTAATAACATTAGACTTAAAATCTCCTTCATCAACAATCAGGAAGAAGTAAGTAGTAGCTACCACCCTATACTGAGCAATTACCCTCCAGTTTGCCACAGTCCCCACCGCTCTCTGTTGTCTCTTCATAATGAGATCTCTACTTACCATTTATTATTGTGCTTATACTGTTGTTTTCCTTATAGTTGAAATAAATGGATTATGAAATGTGTCCTGTACTCATGTCTCACTCATGTCTCAATTATGAGTGGGAACCAAATGCAATCTTGAGAAATTCACCTGATATGATTTGGCTGTGTCCCCACCAGAATCTCATCTTGAATTGTAGCTCTCATAATCCCCATGTGTCATAGGAGGGACCCAGTGGGAAGTAATTGAATCATAGGGATGGCTGTTTCCTGTGCTGTTCTTATGATAGTGAATAAGTCTCACAAAATCTGTTGGTTTTATAAAGGGCAGTTTCCCTGCACATGCTCGCTTGCCTGCCACCATGCAAGACACGTCTTTGCTCCTCCTTTGCCTTCCGCCATGATTGCGAGGCCTCCCCAGCCAGGTGGAACTGTGAGTCTATTAAACCTCTTTTTCTTTATAAATTACCCAGTCTTGGGTATTTCTCCATAGCAGTATGAGAATGCACTAAAACACCACCTGTACCCAAAATATCCAGGATTCAATCCAAAATAACTCATTATACTAAAAAGTGGGAAGAGCTCAAACTGAATGAAAAATTACAAAAATGTCAACACTGAGATGACGGATATTAGAATTATCTGACAAAAATTTTAAAGCAGCCATCATAAAATTATTCGAGCAATTACAAAACGCTTGAAACAAATTAATAAATAGAAAGCCTCAGCAAATAAATAGAAGATATAAAGAAGAACCAAATGAAAATCTTTGAACTGGAAAATACAATAAACAAATAAATATCTCAATAGACAGGATTACTAGAAGAAGGGAGGGAACAGAGGAAGAATCTGTGAACCGGAAATTTTATGACCTGAACAACAGAGAGAAATAGATGAGAAAATATGAACAGAGCCTCAGGAACCTGTGAAACTATAGCAAAAGATCTAATATTTGTATCATCAGAATTTCAAAAGCAGTGAAGGAAGAGGTTGGGCCTGAAGAAGTACTCAAAGAAATAATAGCTGAAAACTCCTCAAATTTGGTCAAATTCAAGAAGTTGAGAAATTCCCACCCAGAGAAACCCATACTAAGATACATCATAGTCAAACTTCTAAAACTCAAGACAAAGGAATAGCTTGAAAGCCAGATGAGAGAAATAACACCTTACTTTTAGGGGAGAAATAATTCAAATCACAGCTGATTTTCACCAGAAATCATGGAGGCCAGCTGGAAGTGTGCAATATTTTTCAAGTGCTGAAGGAAAAAACTGTCAGCCCAGAATCCTATATCCAGTAAGTCTTTAAGGATAAAGAGGAAATCAAGACATTTTCAGATGAAAGAGAACTAAGAGAGTTTGTTTTCAGCAGACCAACCCTAAAAGAATGGCTAAATGCAGTTCTCTAAACAGAAAGAAAATGATGAAAGAAGGAATCTTGGAACATCAGGCAGGAAGAAAGAACATAGCAAGGCCAAATATGCCTAAGTACAATAGATTTTCCTTCTCTTGAGTCTTCTAAATGACTTGGACGCTCAACAGATGTTACGTGACTATCATCATAAGTTAGAGGTATAGCCTATAGCTCTGGGAAAACATTCTCTAGGTCCTGTTGTTATTTCCCCTTCCCCCTCCCTCAAAGCATGGGCAATAAAGCAGATCAAATAGGAGCTGAGTTTGTGGTCCTGCTTAGGGTCAAAGGGTCTTCAAACTGTCCACAATAGGGGGACAGCCAGTCCAAGAGAATTCCCAAAAGCAATGTTGGTTGACTTTGGAGGGCCAAATCCTCCCTGCGATTATAGCTGTTGCTTCTGTGGCCTGTCAGAGGAACACGCTCTTCTGGCCAAGGCCCGTCAATTTCAGGCCTACATCTTTCATATGTGGGCCTCCCATCTGTGATAAGATTTAGTATGGAGCTTTAGTTTAAGGCATTTCTGCCAGCCTTATTATCTTTATTTTCTTACTTTCTCACTCTTTTTTTCTATCATTTTCATTTTCAGGGCAGCAGAAATGTAAATAAACATAACGGCAGACTGTTTCTGGAACTTTAAATTGCTGACAGACCCAAATGGACCACTAATTGGTTAAGAGAAGTGCAGCAGTCCCTTCTTTTTTTGGGTGTGATTGTGACAATGCCTGGGGGAGCCTGGAATTGACAAACTGTTGAGTGAAATGTGCTTTGGCTGGATAAAGAGGGTAATTTTTTTATTTTAAAAATCCTATTGTGGTAAAAACACTTAAGATGAGATGTACCATCTTAACAAATTAAGCGTATAATACATTATTGTTGACTACAGGTACATGTTGTGTAGCAGATCTTTGGAGCTTATTCATTTTGCTTGACTGAAATTTTATGCTTGTTGATTAGTAAATCCCCATTTACTCCCTCCTCTGGCCCCTGGCAACCACCATTCTACTCTTTAATTCTATGCATTTGACTATTTTAGCTACCCAGATAAAGAGAGTAATTCTTAACAACCAGGTATGGGAGGAGATTCATTTCTGGCACAACCCAAGGGGAAGTGTGCAGTGCATGTCATTGATTCAGTATAGCCTGCATAAGTTTTGCTTAGGGAAAACTGTGGCTGTGGCCTTTTGTGATAGGGACCTTATATGATATGTCTCATAATCACTTTACATTCTCATCTCTCATCACGTTTTCTCCCATCCCATGCTCCAGCCACATAGAATTATTTACTGTTCCCTTCTCTTCAATGCCTCTGTGGCTTTGTTCATGCTGTTCATTTTGCTTAAAATGACATTCTGCCTTATGCTTGGAAAACTCCTTCTTATTTTTAAACCTGGCTTAAATATCTCTTCCTCTGGGGAGACTTTTCTACATTTACTCCACCCTCACCTCCACCCCATCCCTGCGAATTGCTCTCTCCTCTGTCTCCTACAGCTCTTTGTATGGATCTCTATTATAGTCTGTATCACTTTGTACTGTCTCCTATACTTGACTGTGAAAGTGGGATCTTGTGCATCCTTGTACCTTTGGGGACTAGCTCAGAGTTGGGGATATGGGAAGAACTCAATAAATTCTCATTAAATTAACAAACAATTGAATGAGGATATACCCAATGTCATAATGACAAAACATTGCCTAACACATCACTGTTAGAAAAGAGGGATTAAAAAATGCAATGTCAGGCTTTAACTTCTGGGAAGATGGAGTGATGCTTTCCCTATTCCTTTTGGAGAAAATATACTTTTCCTCATTTCTTCTGGAGTAAGATATACTTTTCTCTTTTCCTTCCCTGGATATTATATAAAAAACAAACATAAAAAGACTCCAAAAGTTGGAGAGAAGAAGGCAGACTAGATAGGACCTTGAGGCCTAAGGAGCTCAGCGGTGAGTTCTGCAGGTTTTCTTTTTTATGCATGGATCCAGACTTATTGCTTCAGAAGCTGGCAACCTGGAAAAAGGAACGTTCATGGACAAAGAAAATAAACCTCAATGAAAGCCTGATCTTTGTACTCAAAGGGCCAGGAAAAGAGAAGCCTCGCAAGGCAGAAAACTTTTAGACAATAACCACTCTACTCCAGCCAAATACCATAAAGCTGTGTACCCTCCTCCTCACCATGCCAGCACAAACCACGTGGTGGATCCCAGACTTCTATCCAGACTGTAATAAGTCTTTCCCAATCTCTCTTCCGGGGGCTAGGACCTTCATTCCCACTGAGTAGTAGTGAGCTGCCTGTCCCCAGTTGGTGCTGTTGGAGGGCATGGGGGAGCAGTCATGAGG
This sequence comes from Homo sapiens, assembly GCF_000001405.40. Taxonomy (NCBI): domain Eukaryota; kingdom Metazoa; phylum Chordata; class Mammalia; order Primates; family Hominidae; genus Homo; species Homo sapiens. The sequence goes on along the minus strand of NC_000005.10, from coordinate 55,047,399 downwards.
CACTCCTAAACTCCCACTCTGGGAGGTACCCATAGGCACCTAGTGGGAGCCAGAACTGTCCCATCTTCCCAGCAGTAATGAAGGACTTTCTCCCTGTGGGTGTTGATGGAGGCTGAGTGGGAAACCTGGACTTTGGCTTCCATCTGGCAGTAATGAGGTAGGTGGTGTCCCCTTTTCCCTTGCTGGAGTGGTGTCAGGGGATTCCAGCTAAAACAGGTTTAAAGTCAGATTTGCTGCACAGTAACTTTTTCATTTGCACTGGAAAGAGGTGTTGCCTGTGAAAACCCTGGATTCATCAATTTATTCAGCAAATGTTTATTGAGTATCTACCATGTGCCAGGTTCAGTGTGGGACATTTGGACATCAGACACAGATAGACATGGTCTCTGCCCATGAAGCTTACATCCTAGCAGGGGAGATAGACTTCACAGAAATGAATGAATTATAGCACAATGAAACAATCACAGTGCCACTAAGTAGTACAGACTTCCATAAGAGAACCACATCATCACTAACCCTTCAGTGGTGCCTACCACATTCTTACGGAGAAACAAACACTTAAGACCTAGACTCTATTCTCTTTTATACTGGTTACAACCACTTCCAACCTCTTGGTAAAAAAATTGGCCAAGAAAGGAAGCCCAAGACTCTGTGCTTCACTGAGAGTATCTTTTAAAAATGCATTTTCATAATGCATTAGCTCAGAGAAGTTTTTGGACTCACAGTACATTAGGCTACCTTCCTTATAGATAAATGAGTCTTTGAGTATAGAAAATATTCACTAAGTTATAAGATTTGCGTTAACCTCACCAACATTTTCAAATTTTCATTCATGTAATTAACTGGTCTACTTGTAGATTGCACACATAAATGGTTGAGTTCTTTACTCAGCAAACATGTATTGAGCATCTACTCTTTGTCAGAATCTGTACCAAGACGTAGAGACACAAAGATATGGAAGGCACAAAGCGATGAAAATTGAAGCGAGGAGAATTTTTCCAATTCTTTATGTGTGAAACTTAAAAAAAAAAAAAGAAAAATGAGACATCATATTTATTGCAGCGTTATCTGGGATTGAAAAACACTGGAATGAATCCAATCGTCCATCCAACCAGAGGACTGGTTGAATAAATTATTGATACATCTATACATTGCATACCATGTAGCTGTAAAAAGGGATGAGGAACAGTCATCTCTCCATATACATGGGGGATTGGTTCCAGGACCCTGCCTCTTCCTACCTCTGTAGTCACCCCTGTGGAATCCACCTATACTAAAAGTCAGGGTGTACATCCCATGAATACTGTATTTTTGATCCACATTTACTTAAACAAATCTTCATATAAGTGGACCTGCTCAGTTCAAACCTGTGTTGTTCAAAGGCCAACTGTGCTGCTATACAGTTATATCTTCAGAATACAATATTAACAAAAAGAAAAAAAAGGAAAAAGAACAAAAAGTAAGATGGTAAAGTATGTTAAATATGCTATCATATAAGAAAGCTAAATTAAAAACAAATGTTAATAACATTTTTAAAGAGGATAAAATTAACTTTTAATAAAGTAAAAACATAATTGTCTAGTGGAAAGGGAAGGAAAAAGACTAATCAAAGCTGTAGTTCTCTGAATAGCTCTTGTTTTGTGGATTTGATTTGAAACTTAAGTGACACAGGAATTTGTCTATAAATCCTTAATGGGACATACCCTAAAGGAAAAAAAATTCTTGCAAGACAAACCAAACTTCCCCTAATAATAAAATGTGCTTAAACTGTTTTCAGTAATCATATTTCGGTGATAGTATTGATATCATCATTGTGAGACCATTACGTATTATTTTCTGAAAAAAGAAATGAGTAATTATGCTTTTTGTCCTTAAGAGCTTGGATTTCAACATGAGAGAACGGAGATGTAAATGTGAGAATGAAATTAGACAAATATTCTGTGGACCCAATTTCCAACAAGAAGAATCAGTATGAACTTACATGTTTTCTTAAAAAACAAACAACCTGCTCCCCAAAACAAAAACAAACAAAAAACCAAAATTTCTTTCCTAGCTATACCCCCAAAAGAGGCCTAGAAACAATGACTGACCCAATAACTAGGACCATTCTAATGAATTAATTAAGGGATCTAGGCAGTGATCAATGCTGCTAACATCACACCAAAGGACACTGATATTATGTACTCGTAACAGAAATACAAACTTTACCTTGCCCCCAAACTGAACCTTAATCTGCTCAAGCCTCTAGAACTCACTACCAATTATCAGAAAATTGAATGGAGAGAGTGACATTTTAAATGACACCATGGAGATGTAATACTCAGAATCCACTCTGGCAAACCCTTCAGGAAAAATGGGCAGTTTCTTCAACGACAAAATTACAAGGAAACAAAATGATGTCAGAAAAATCCTATACATTCAAAGAGATTTAAGGGACACATTAATACGTTTCAATATATGGGTCACGTTTGGATACTGAATTGAATACATTACTTGTTTAAAAAACGAGACAATTGGAGAAACTTGGACATTGAATATTGTTTGATATCAAATAACTAATGTTAATTTTAGAAAAGATGCAAAATAAGATTAAACAATCACAGTAATGATATCAAGGTTATGCTTTCAAAAAGAGTTCTTGTCTTTTAGAGCTACATAGTAAATATTTACAGGTGACATGACATAACGGTGGGGATTTGCTTCAAAATAATCTAGAGTTGAGGGGACTGGGTGGGGTAGAGATGAAACAAGGTTGGCCATGAATTGAAAGTTGTTGAAGCTAGGTAATTGGTTCATGGGACTCATGAGAGTAAGCTCTTTAGCATATGTTAAAAATTTTTCATAATAAAAGCTTAATTACAAAAAGAGGCAGCCTGTTTAATATAAGGTTTACACTCTGATTTCACTTAGGCTTGGTCTGAGTTTGTTTAGGACCTGTCAAGTGGTTCCTGTTTCCTTAGATACCGAAAAATATTATTATAAAAAGAAAAATTACTTTGCTGAGATACTTTTTCCATGTACTCCCCTCATATAAGAAAAATTGGGGGATGCCAAACCTGTGAAACTGAGACTGGGACAAGGAGCCTCCTGTGGTTGCTGACTAGCTCTTTAGAGCTCTGCTTCTTGCATTTGGTCTCTGGTACTTATATCCAACAGCCATCTGTGGCTGTGGCTTGGAAATGATATGGCATCAGAAAAGGAGGGAACTCCAAAGGCAGGGCTTTGTCAATTGCTCAAAAAAGGGGAATGGAAGATGTTGCCTCCATCCAGCAGCATAATTAATGAGAAACATTTTTGAATCCAAGATCATGGATTTTTAGGGCTCCTAGGAACTTTATATTTTGTCTAGTCCAAATCACTTATGTGGCAGGGGAAGAAATGGAAGCTCAGAGAAATGAAGTGACTTGGTCAAGGTTGCAAAGCTAATAGCATTTTTGGGACGAGAACCCATATTTTACTGATTTCCAGAGTTCAGTGCTCTTTTCTGCACATTACATCTGGGGTGGTGCACCTTGATTTGTTTCTCTGTTTTTAGTATGAACTCTCTAGAATCTATTCCATGAATTCTCTGGAGCAATGTGCTACTGCGATGTAGAATTTTCTGTTCTTTCAGTACAAGGGGGAGACAGGGGCTATTGAGGCATGTGTTGGGGTGTGGGGGAGTGGGGTGATTTTAAAATAGTTGGTATAATTGGCTGAAAGAATCTCCTTAGGGTAAATTGTGGCTCTTGCTTCATATGAGGAAAGCTGCATGAGTTTGTGCTTGCCAGACCCCATGAAGGAAGTTATGGGACAAGCAGGCTCTAGAGTCAGATTACCTGAGTTTGAACCCATGCTCTTCTGCTATTTACTCACGGTGTGACCTTGGACAAGTTAGCAATCTCTCTGTACCTCATCTATGAAGCGAAGATAGTAACAGCACCCACATCATGGTCTCATTGTGTAGATTTAATGGGTTAAGATAGGTAAAATTCTTAAACCAATATCTGGCACCATGCAGGAAATGTGTGTGATCTCAGAGGGGAAACTGGATGCAAACAGCCGTCAATGGGCATGACCAATAGAACATACACATGAGACTGGTAGGTATCTTGGAATTTCAAATAGGGCCTACTTGCTGAACTTACTTGTAGGGTAGGATTTCAGGGTGTTAAAAATCTCCTTTCCAGAACCAGTTCGGTGCCTGAAAGTCTCAGCCCTGGATTCACTGTGTTACAATCCAGTGTGTTATCTGGAAGTAGCAAATGTAATCATGTAAGTCATTCACGTCTCATAGCCAACTCATTTATCATCTGAGGGAGCTAGTCATGCAGTCAAGCCTTTCTGGTAGGAAACATGGTCAAGGAGTAGTGAGTGCCTCCAACGCAGCTGTAACAGATACCATTGGTGCCTCTGGCACTTGCCTACACAACAAAAACTCCTTGCTACAAAAAACCAAAAACAAACCTGCAGCTCTGTCTGAGAATGTTTTGTGTTTTTTTCCTAGCTGTGGGAGTATATTCAGCCTGTATTAGTCCATTTTCATGCTGCTGATGAAGACATACCCGAGACTGGGTAATTTATAAAGGAAAAGAGGTTTAATGGACTCACAGTTCCACATGGCTGGGGAGGCCTCACAATAATGGTGGAAGGTGAACGGCACATCTTACCTGGTGGCAGACAAGAGAGAAAAGAGAACCATGCAAAAGCGGTTTCCCGTTATAAAACCATCAGATCTCGTGAGACTTACTCACTACGACAAGAACAGTATGATTCAATCATCTCCCACTGGGTCTGTACCACAACATGTGGGAATTATGAAAGCTAAAATTCTAGATGAGATTTGGGTGGGGACACAGCCAAACCATATGACAGCCCATGAGCAGGACAAGCTGGAAGGGCTGTAAAGTTAATGACCCTGGAGTGGCTCTCAAGCAATGATGGTGGGAGGTTGGTTGGTAAGGATCGCAGCTTCCTAGTCCCTCATTTGGAATAGCTCTGAGGAGTGTTCCACACTGTCTCCTGGAGTTCCCAGTGGGATTGTGTTCCAGTTGCCCATAGTGATAAATGCATGAAAATGTACGCTTTATTGGCTTTTTATTCTCTCCCTTCTCACTTCCCTACTTTCCTATCAGTTTCCTGGTGTTGCCTTCCAATGAGACTCTTTGCACCAAATCTGTACCTCAGGATGTGCTTTTGGGGGAGCCCAAACCAAGATAGCCTCATCCAAGTGTTTGGCTGGGGTCTCCCAGCCTCTTGTTTCTTCTGCCTCTCTGAATTTCCACATCTCCAACCACAATTCCAATCCTCAAATTTAGAGATTATTTTTCTAATATTATTTTTCTATTTTAGGGATTATTCGGCTACTACTTCAGTGTGAAACAGACACCTTGTTGTCCTCAAATATTTCTATTGCATTCTACTTGGGGTAGCAAGGAAGTGGGTATTGAGAAGTAATGATTATCAGTGCCAGGAAGGGGAAAAACTGTCAAAACACCATTTCTCTGCAGAGTTCAAGACTTCAATCCCCTTGACAACCAATTCCTAAACAACATCAGGGAGTTCCATTTGGGCTAGAGGTAAGTTATCTGACATCTCTTGTATCAATACCACCATCTATAAGATTTGCGGTTTATACCTGTCTTCAGATTTACTGACCCTGATGGTATTATTATAACCACTGCAAATTCACCAAACTTCTTTGAAAGTATAATTTTATACAGAATTGGAAAATGTTAACATTTCTAAATCCTTTAAGTATGCAATGAACTGAAGAGGACAAACATTTTAGGAAAATTAATAAGGTAATTAACAGCTTAAAGTTCAATATTGCTAAAAGCTGACTAAACTACTGTAGTATTTAGACAACGATGACAAGGCCAAAACAAGTAACTTTGAAAGTAATCTCTTTCAGACCAATCATACTAATCATTTTCTTAACCTTTTTTTTCCTCCTTGGAAAGCAATGGCAATACTTACTAAGTCTTATATAAAAGATGGCTCATTGAAACTTTCAAATAAATAATAATAATATTCAATGTTTATATAGTGCTTTTTTCCTACCATGGAGCTCAAAGCATTATCAAATAATTATGAGATTATTTCTATTTTATGCCCAACACAATCCTTGCCTTTATGAAGTAGTTATGATGTTTTAATTATTATATATGTCTTTAAATGGTTCCAGAAGCAGAGTTATTAATTGATCATTCACTCATTCAATCATAAATCAATCATTAATTGATACAATAAATTCTTTCATTCATCCATCCATTCATCCCTTCCCCTGTCTATCCGTTACAAATATTTATTAAGTAGTCACTGCATATGAGGTCCTCTGCTAAGTTCTGCCTGTACAGTGTTGATCAAAACAGATATGGGCCCCAGCTCTCATGGAGCTAATAGCATAGTGAATTTTACAGCACAAATTCTAGTAACATTTCTGTGATTATACTATTTCTATCTAAAAATTTTTTGAAGGCTAGTCAAGTGAAGCAATGGGAGTGGAGGAGGAACAAAGAAATCCATAACATTGTGATCAATTAGTTTAAACACCATTGCACTCAGACCAGCCTAAAATGTTTTGTGAAATATGTTTTTCCTAATTAAAACTCAAATAGTTAATTTGAGGTATAATATTTTTAATGACGTAGATTCGAAAGTGAGAGCACTTGGATAGAGAACACAGGTCTTGTGTAAATATGGCTGAATCTGACAAACCCTAATCTGTAGTTTGTGCAGGTTACTGCGGTTTGATCACTCTATAAGGTGGGAAACTCTCCAGCACCAGTCCTCCAGTATGGTAAGGCAGGACAGCAGCCCATGGAAGCCAGTACATCAGCCCACTTCTGTTTTAATATTGCTGAGTTGCCTTTATTTGAAAAAAATAAAAATGAAGAGAACAGAGGTGGCAGGTAGGCAAAGTTTGGGATAGGTATGTTTTAGAGTTTCCATGCTTTGTGGAATTCACAAATTCTTCTCATTCCCCAAATCTCCAAAGCTTCTAAAAGGTCAGATGAATATTTTTTTTTTTTTTTTGAGAGAGAGTCTTGCTCTGTGGCCCAGGCTAGAGTGCAGTGATGCGAGTTTGGCTCACTGCAACCTCTGCCTCCCGGATTCAAGCAATTCTCATGCCTCAGCCTCCCGAGTAGCTGGGACTACAGGCATGTGCCACCACACCTGGCTAATTTTTGCATTTTTAGTAAAGATAGGGTTTCTCCATGTTGGTCAGGCTGGTCTCAAACTCCTGACCTCAGGTGATCCTCCTGTCTCAGCCTGCCAAAGTGCTGGGATTACAGGCGTGAGCCACAGAGCATGGCAATAATCATTCTTGCTTCATGGAAAAAGCTGAATCATCTGTTGCTGAGGGAAATGGAACAGTTCCTCCTGAGACATCTCTGCTGGTCACGTGTTTTGCCTTGGATGTCTCTATGGAAGACCACAGAGGTGTGGGAGAGAGCTGAGTTCTTAAAAGGAATAAATGTGCTCACCTTTATTGACATGGTTTTATGATGGGAATTGCTGTAGCTTGTGTTTTCTTTTATCCGGTTGGAGTGGTTTGTACAAATCTGGTGATCTAGATCTTTCCCTCTCTTTACCTTAGGATATTTTTGAATCAGGTCTCATCTGCATAGGTCTAGCCAGGTAGGGCCAATTATTTGTCCTCCAGGAATTCTGAATGACTGACTTACGCCTGAGGTAAGTCGGTTTTCTGTCTCATGTGCATATCTGTATTATAATAATTTTTGTGCACGTCTGCATTGTAACCAATTTTGAAGCATAGTATATTTGTTTATTTTCATATGTATGTTTATTTGCATGTAAACATGGACATGTCTAGACTATGAGTTCTTGCACGGCAGGAATTGTATCTTTTCCTCTTGCTCCAGTGACCAGGTCAGTGTTTGGCAAATGGAAGTGCTTGATGTGTTTGTTGAGTGAGTGAGTGAGTGAATGAATAAATGAATAAATATCTCTCTCTCTAGATGCTAAATGGTGGGGATTCTGGAATCTATCGAATTGGTTGTTAACATGGCCATCCCATGTGCTGTTGACTGACCCCATATGGGACTGCTTTGATTTCCTACAACACTGCTAATATTCAGGATATTACTGTATCAACTGTCTTCCAATAGAGTTGCTTTTGTAGTTTGATTTGGAAACAGTGCTGTATTACTTCAAATGATTGTGAAATAATAAAACAAACAATAACCTGAAATGCCAGAAAACATTATTTTCATGGCAACTTTTCAAAAAACAGTTCTACAAGATCCATTTACAAAATATACATGGATGGGGCTGGGCGCGGTGGCTCACGCCTGTAATCCCAGCACTTTGGGAAGCCCAGGTAGGTGGATCACGAGGTCAGGAGATCGAGACCATCCTGGCTAACACGGTGAAACCCCGTCTGTACTAAAAATACAAAAAATTAGCCAGGCATGGTGATGGGCACCTGCAGTCCCAGCTACTCCGGAGGCTGAGACAGGAGAATGGCGTGAACCTGGGAGACGGAGCTTGCAGTGAGCCGAGATCGCGCCACTGCACTCCAGCCTGGGCGACAGAGCTAGACTCTGTACCCCCCCCCTCAAAAACACACACACACACACAAAAAACACCAACGGAGTAAAACGTATTACAGACTACTGAGTGCTATGTATCATTTTTATAATAGAAACAAAAATGTTTGCCATATAGCAGTATGTGGTTAAGATAAAAATAGCTTGTCAGGTAGGCCAGGGAAGTTTCTCCATAGTAAGCTATAGATGAACAGTGAGGGGGAAATCGTTTATTGATTATAACATTTAAATGTTAGTTTTTCTTAATCGATTCTTGTATGAATAAGGGAAGGTGGAAAGCTAAAGCCATTTAGGATTTGAGAGGGTCTGGGTATGAGGGGATAAAGGCATATGCTTGTCATTGTTTGGAGCATATATCAGGCATAGAAGTTTTAGGTTCCCAATTTTATTATTACGATTAGGTGGGATGTATACAACAGAAAGCTTCAAATAATAGTGGATTAAATATTTTTTATTTTTATTTTGTGTAAAAGAAAAAGTACAGGATTGGCATGGAGGCTCCTTGGTCATCAGCTGCTTCTTTCCACTTCACTGTCGGTAGCACTTGGCTTCTATTTAAGTTTGCCTCGTGGTTCAGCATTATTGCTGGAGCTTTAGCCATCACATCTGCAATCCAGGCAGTAGGAAGGAAGAAGGGGGAAAGGGCACTTCTTCCAGCTGAGTCAGCTCCTTTTATAGGCACTTCCTAGAAGCCCTCAGCCAATCACTTTCACTTATTTCTCATTGACCACTACTGGCAAGGAGAGAGGTTGGAAAATACCATGTTTTGGCTGTGCACATTTGTGGTAACAAATAATATTTGAGTTTTGATGCCAGAAAAAAAGAGGAGATGACTGAGTAGCAAACTGGTAGTCTCTAACCTTCAAGCAGATTACAGGTAGTCTTGCAGTTTTGGGAATGTCCCATGTCTCTTCAGAGTGATTTTATGTATCTTTGCTCTGACCTAATATGTATAGAGTTTAAATTTTAACTTTCAGAGAGCAACTTTATTCAATGTATTTGTAAGTTCTCAGGGAAAGCCTCAGTGTAAACCCATATGCTGACTCTAACAGGCTGTCACACAGACATTTATGGCTAAAACCAGAAAAAGAATGTGATCCTTTCATGGTAGAACATAAGAAGTGATGAGGAGATTTTGTTAATCTAGAGTTGACTGGTAAGATTCAGCTAAAAGACTGGAGAAGTCAACAGGAAGTCAATGTGTGAAAGCGTGAAAGCGGGGCTGAATCAGTTGACACAGGAGCCCAACCGTTCAGCCAGGATGCGTTTGGTCCTCAAATAAGTCATCAGACAACATACATATAGCTTTTCAGGCATGTCTCAGTAATCTTTTGAAATTGTAGGGCTTTTGAGACATCAGCTGCACTGCCCTTGGGCAGGTTGCACACAGTGTCCTTTCTCCCTCACCACAGGTGTGTCTGGCTTAGTCAACTTGGGATGCTATAACAAAATACTGCAGATTAAGTGGCTTAAACAAGAGCAATTTATTTCTCATGATTCCAGAGGCTTGGAAGCCCGAGATCATAGTGCTGACCAATGCATTTTCTGGGGAGGGCCCATTTCCTGGCTTGTAGATGGCTGCTGTCTCACCGTGTCCTCACATAGCAGAGAGAGGGAGCAATTGAGCTCTCTAGTTCTTTTCTTGTAAGGACACTGGGATCTCATTGAAGCAGGGCCCTGCCCTTATGATCTTATTTTACCTTATTTATCTCCTTATAGGCCCCACCTCCAAACAGTCACACTGAGCTTTAGGCCTTCATCATATGAATTTGGAGCAGACGTGATTCAGTCTACAGCAGTGTTCTTTCCCAAACTAAGAGCTTAGTAAAAAAAGAAGCACTTCTTTGATTGACCAATAGCACCTTCCTTTAATCAGATAGTTTTCTAAAAACAACCAAGCTTGAAGCACTGCTCTTCATATCATTTTAGAGTGAGTTGAGATTTAATATGTGCAAGAACTAAGAGAGTCAGAAGGTAGGACTAGTTCTGCTACCTGGTTCTAGACTGGTTTAATTGCTTATTTGAATCAATACTGATGTATTTCATGTATTATATCTGGACTTAGTGCTGTCACTTTCTATTATAACAGGGTGGACATAAAATAAAGCATAAAGCCTTCTTTTGCATCTGTGTGGAAGGCAAATATACTCTGTCCACAACCACAAAGAAGGGAGGAAATGGAATGATTGGAATGACAACAGCAAACCACTTTGCTCTAAAACCTTTGAGCAGTTTTAAAATCTGGATATTTGCTTCAGTTTGACTCTCAACTTCATTTTGAGGCCAAAGATAGAATCAAATAGGCTCTCGAAGACAGAAGTTTCCAAATAAAATACTATATTCTTTTAGGGTATGTTTGGGAGATACTGGTACATTTAATAAAATACTACTTCCCTGAAGGATAAGGAATGCATTTCAGTTGCAGTTTCTATCATTAGCTGCTTGTCAAAATAAACTGTTTATCTTCCAATTTCAGAGTTGCCAGGTCTGCCACAGCTGTTGAAAGAACCTTCTCTGGCAATCTGATCAGGTTCGACTATTAGATATTAACAACAGGGTGTCTAAAATCAAAACACAGCTCTCAAGTTTTAGTGACAGCTTTTCAGGATAACTTATTAGCTGGAATTAGGGACAATGGCAATAGTCCTTTTGGTTAAAAAGATTTATAATGGTATGTTTCATGGATTTGAAATTTAGAGAAAATAGACACAGGATTATTTTTTAATAAGTCCAGAGAATCTACAATTTTTTCCTTTTCTTTTGTTGTAAAATGTAGTCTCATAATCAGTATACTTTTAATAAATCAAAATGACACAAGATGAGATATTTAAAGAACCTTCTTTTACTATTTTCTCAATAATTTAAAAATTATTATTCTCAATAATTTTAGTTAGGTTGCCTTTTTAACCCAGTGCTTCCATTTCTCTAAGTATTCATAGTGCGGGGTAGTGCTGGTTAATTGTTTCTAAGAACCATGACAAAAGATAAGCCAATAAACAAACTACCAAAAGCATCTATTTCTATATGCATGTAAGAGAACTTGATGTTGCCTGGAAACGAGAACTATTTGTCCCCCCAAACTCAAATTAAATATAGAGGCTGAGATTAATCTTTTGGCTTCTGACTGTTGACGCCATCCCCCACCAATCTCCCACCATGCTCCTCCGCCCAAATTAGAAACTGTTACTTCTCTAATCACTGGACGACCACAGTCCGAGACAGCTGAGATCCTCCAGTGATCTTACTGAATTGCACTTTGGTCTGAAGCCATCAGTTCACAATGAGAGATTTGTAACAATCCCTTCACATCAATTGTTGTCTTTATTATAAGAAGTCACTAAGGATGTTCATTATCAGTGGCTTTCAGATTTGCCCATTTATCAGCATCAACTGAGTTGCTTTGAAAAAAACGCAGATTTTCAGGCCCACACCAAGCCTATTCAATCTGAATTTCTAGGCAAGGGGTCAAGGGAACCTGTATTACAAATAATCTTAGAGGTGGTTCTGATGCAGTTGGTGGGGATATGGGACACATGGCACAGTGTCCTTCTTCTTCTTCTTCTTCTTTTTTTTTTTTTTTTTTTTTTTTTTTGAGACAGACTCTCGCTGTGTCGCCCAGGCTGGAGTGCAGTGGCGTGATCTCGGCTCACTGCAAGCTCCGCCTCCCAGGTTCACGCCATTCTCTGCCTCAGCCTCCCGAGTAGCTGGGACTACAGGTGCTCGCCACCAAGCCTGGCTAATTTTTCGTATTTTTTAGTAGAGACGGGGTTTCACTGTGTTAGCCAGGATGCTCTCGATCTCCTGACCTCGTGATCCACCTGCCTTGGCCTTCCATGCACTAGGATTACAGGAGTGAGCCACTGCGCCCGGCCGTCACAGCGTCCTTCTTATGAGGACCGTGGAAAAAAGTTCTCTCTAGTTTTAGTTCCAGCACCAGGGGTCCTACTTCTGGGTAAACAATTTATTTTTATTTCCTGGACACTGTAATTCATATAATTGATTGTGTTGCTCTTTCTTGCGTTGGCCAAAGCATAGAGCCAAATTTGAATCCTTCTAGCAAATGTACAGAAATAAACTTCTGGCACTATCAGTACCATGTGACCACTCCGGCCTTCATCTTCTCTTTCTTACTCTCATTTCCCCATTGTCCCAATACCTTCATCAATTTATTTTTAATTCTGCATTTTGTTTTATTGCAGGCGTTGTTGTACATTGCTTTCAATCCTTTCTGGAACAAAATATGACATATATAAATAAGAAATACTGTCCAAATATTTGTATAAGCTGCTTGCTTGAATTAGGATATTTATATTTATGATTTATATTTAAAAAATACAAACTCATAGAAGCTTAGAGTAGAATGGGGTTGCCAGAGGATGGGGGTGGTGGGGAAATAGAGAGCTGCTATTCAACTGGCATAAAGTTTCATTTATATGAGATGAAGCAGTTCTAGAGATCTGCACTGCAAGATCATGCCTATAGTTAACAATAATGTATCATACCCTTAAACATTTGTTGCAAGGGCCTATCTCATGTTCAATGTTATCACAACAATGAAAAGAAAACAACCCAACAACTTAGGATGATCCAGCAGAAGTTACACCTAGTTGAAGGTGGTACCATTACTGTTTTATTCAGTGACCTTATTGCCCTTTGGCGAGTGTGGGTGCAATGGGGGCAGATATTACTTCATGTGATAAAAGACAAACAGAGAGTCTTCTAAATTTTATTTAGAATAAAACCAGCATGGTAGAAATACATCAGTGATACAAGTGAAAAAGAACTTGATTCCTTAATAAAATGACTTACAAGTGCAAAAATGGACCCCATATGTGCTCTGCTTTACTTACACCCAACTCTAACCTGCGAGCATATTAGGAAAAAAGAAGCAAGTGCATCCAATAAAATTATTTGTAACTTAATTTGTATGAGGCGGGACAAGGTTGCTTTTGATCCAAGTCTGGTATTTCTTGGTTAACAGGGTGTAGATTCCAGGCTTTGTGGCAACACCACATTCATGACCTCCAGAGACTATAGCGTGGAAGACACCTTTACAGATCAAGGGGCCCCCTGAGTCACCCTGGAAGGAAGAAAAAGGGCAAATACGTGGTAAGAAGCTGTTGGGATATTTTTGTTTTTTAACCACCAACTGCTGATTGCTCAAGGGATTATCATCTGGGTCTTTGCTTTCTTTATGTCCAGAAGAGTGTCTGACACTGCCTCTTACTCGTTATAGGTTGTCCATGTGCCTGTCTCTGTCAAGGACTATGTTTCTGCCTACTTGCTTCTCTGTTTATGTCTCTATCTATGACTATGACTATGCCTCTGCCTCTGTCTCAGTGTCCATGTCTATATCTCTGTTTTGTCCCTATCTATGTCTACATTCCTCTGGGAATCAATGACTATTGACTATTTATTAAAGAATGGATAAAGTTTTAAATAATCCACTGAAATAAAATAATCTTTTAAAATTGTAGATTTCATTTTGATGCTCACAGACCTAAAATCGAGTTGTTATTGAGGCTAGCAGAAAAGAGCAATGTATTGTAGTAAATGTCTTCATGGCAGGAATTATATGTTCTCTGTTATTTATTTATTTTTTGCATCCTCACATGGTTGGACATAGTGTTATGTATATGTACCATACTTAGTAAATACTTAGTGAATGAAATGATTTTTGAAGACACTCTAACAGCAAAGCATGTAACTAAATTCTATCAAGTGAAGGGAAAGAGCTATAGAGGGGATGGCATGGCCTTTTGATGAAGAGCTGGCTTCTACATTTGAAGACCAGCCTTTCTCTTTGCTAATGTTCACATTGCAAACTGCAGTGCCTTATACTTTGGTCAACCATGATAACCGATGTTTAGGAGGGTGATGGTCTTGGGTACTGCAGATGCACAAGACATTTGAAGTCATCATATCCTCTCCCCCAATTATACTTAATATAGTATGAGATGAATACTGTATTCTAATTTTTAAAAAATTAGTAATTCATTTGTGCTATATATTAGTATAGTTCATACAAACATGAACACCTATTTTTTTCCTTACCATCTCAATAAACAAATGATTTTGAAAAACATAATGACTCTTGTTCCTTTTTTTCTTTTAAGACAGGGTCTCATTTTGTCACCCAGACTGGAATGCAGTGGCAAGATCTCGGCTCACTTCAGCCTCAACCTCCTGGGCTCAGGTGATCCTCCCCCCTCAGCCTCCTGAGTAGGTGGGACTACAGGCGTGTGCCACCACACCTGGCTAATTTTTGTATTTTTTGTAGAAACGGGTTTTCACCATATCGCCCAGGCTGGTCTCAAACTCCTGAGTTCAACAGATCCATCCACCTTGGCCTCCCAAAGTGCTGGGATTACAGGTGTGAGCCACCATGCCCGGCCTTTTGTTCCTTTTTGTTAGTCAGTGGTATGGTCTGAAAGTCTGATTCCTCCGAATTCATATGTTGCAATCCTCACTCCCAAGGTGAGAGTATTAGGAGGTGGTGATTTTGGGAAGTGATTAGGTCATGGAGGTGAAGGCTTCATGAATGAGATTAGTTCCCTTATTAAAGAGGCCTAAGAGAGACCCCTCACCCCATCTACCATGTGAGATTAGAGTGAAAAGAAGCTGTTTATGAACCAGAAAGTAGGCCCTCCCCAGACACCAAATGTGCTGGTGCCTTGATCTTGATCTTGAACAGAATAAAGTTCTGTTATTTATAAGCCACCGAGTTTATGGTATTTTGTGGTAGCAGCCCAAACAGACGAAGACAGTCAGTCAGCATTACTTATGAAACACATACTGTATATTTGAGCTTTTTGCATTTGAGTCTTTAAGGCCTCCTTATTGATTAATCTGCAAGGTGGTTCTTTAAATAAGTTATCTTCTAATCACCACTAGTGACTTCAGGGTTGGTAGACTTTGTAAGGAGGATAACACCTCTCATAGGAAGCCTGTAAAAGTTGTCAGATATGGTCTATTATCCTGATTAACAAACATTTAGTGGGTGCTTATAAAGTATTGGGGAAGTTTTTACAATCCATCCACATTGGTAGATGAAAAAGAATAGAGAATGCTGTGCAGGAATGAAGAGAAAGTGTTTAGAATTGTGGTTTTGTATTCTCCATGCCCCTCCCTCCTCCTCAGTGTCAGTGAGCAATAGAGGCTTGGCTACTGTACAGCGCTCCAAGATGCCTGTTTGAAAGAGAGATTCTTACCTTACAGGAATCCTTCTGGCCTTTGGCATCTCCTGCACAGACCATGTCTTTGGTGATAAAAGGGTCGCCGTTGTAGTAACTTTGGCTGTTGCAAAGTTTTCGACTTAGGACAGTAACAGTGACTTCTCGCAGGGTGTCAGAAGGTCTTAATGAATCTGGATCGGTGGCTCCCCAGCCAGTAACCTTGCATTTGGTTCCAGATCTAAGAGAGGTTTTGGATCTTATGTGGAGCATCTTGACATGTTTATTGAGTTTTGCGGCTGTTTGAAGCTGACAGATTGAAAAAAGATGGAATTATTTCTTTCCCAGTAGTATTCTGATGCTAGCCTGTGCGTCGTATGTGTGGTCCCTCTGTCTTAGGCGGGCGTCCCTGTTCTGGGATCTACTTTGGTGGTGGCCTGCAGCTGCATTTGTGGTTGTTGCTTTTCTGACCATGCTCTCTACTCCCCGAGGAGCTCACTGAGGCTTGGGGCGGGAGCTTATAGAGAGCAGGAATTTGTTCAGTCTCGAGCAAACTGGCCTTTGCCCTGCATTGGATGGTTTTGTGTGGAATAACATCCATAGGTCATGACTTTGAGGGCTGGGCTGCTTCCTGCCGGATAGGACCCTTGAGTATGGTCTAGACCAAGTTCGGACTAAATTAAGTGTGGTCTAGACTAAGCTGTAACTCACTGCTGAGCCCCCGAAGTCACTTGGTTGGCTCTGTTGTATAAACAACTGTTGTATTTTTTTACTTGCTAATGAGAAAAGCATTTGGGAGAAAAGCTTTCAGTGTGGATCCTTGGGCCTGTTAAGATGTTCCCCTCCTACATATGTTGAGTATCAGAGTTGCTTTTCCTTGTATAAACACAGCCCTGGTGCATTTGTGATAAATTCTTGTTTCTTTCAAGACAGTATATGGAATAACATGGGCCCTTATAAAATATATCATAATCACCTCAAACATGGGGAGGGTGCTAGCAAAATGCATTTTGTAGGTGATTTAACTAATTGAGCCATCCTGTATAAAAATGTTGACAAAATAGAAGGAAGACAATGCTACTACCTACCTTAACCAGCATGATATCATTTGATTGAGGATCTGATGTAACTCTTGAGAATGGTATAAATTTTTTGATCTCCAGTGTTTGTTTGGAGGCCTCATTCTTTGAGAGAGAGTGTGCGCCTAAAACCACAGTGGGAGACTGGCCTTTGGTAAACCTAAAAAAAGCAAAGACAATGAAAGCAGCAGAATGATTTCCAAATCCCCCAGTGGGGAGTGGTGATGGTCGAGAGGGTTGTATACACAGAGAAACAAGGGCTATCTCCAAGGTAACCTGCCTAAGATTAGGTGGAGTGACAAAGGTCTTAGTGGAGCCCAGCATGAATTGATATTAAGGGCCAAATGACTTGCCCTTAATCCCACCCTAAACCAATTCCCTGGCATTGCAAAAGAATATCAGAACTTGTATCCAACTGGGGGAAGAAAAAGGAGTGAAATCCTAATTGACTTAGATCAAGTTTAAAACAAAATTATGTTCATTTATGTAAAAATAAAGCAAATTATATTCCTTGAGTTTGTAGTTTGAGATTTACACCAACTACCATTAAAATTTGTTTATTGTGGTAAAGTATACATAATGGTATAAGAATGGTAAAATTTACCATTTTAACCATTCTTTAATGTACAGTTTGGTGGTATGAAGGACATGTATATTGTTGTTCATCCACCACTATCATCTCCAGAACCCCAGAACTTTTTTTATCTTCCCAACATTAAGTGTTTTAATAATTAAGGTAGCCAGGTGTGGTGGCTCATGCCTGTAATCCCAGCCACTTGGGAGACTGAGGTGGGAGGATCATTTGAGGCCAGGAGTTTGAGAGAAACCTGGGCAATACAGTGAGACCCCCATCTCTAAAAAAACATTAAGGGGCACACTGGTGCATGCTGGGCATGGTGGTGCATGCCTACAGTCCCAGCTGTTTGAGAGGCTGAAGCAGGAGGGATTGCTTGAGTCCTGGAGCTGGAGGCTGAAGTGTCACAGCCTGGGTGACAGAACAAGGCCCCATCTCTTAAAAACAAACAAACAAACAAACAAACAAACAAACAAAAACCACAAAGATCCCCACCCTACACTTGCTCACCCACATGCCTAGACTTCATCTCAGGTCAATGTGGGGAAGTAAGGCCTATTACATGACAGTCAGATATGTCCATATGTCCTGTCCCCTCAATTAGAACAAAGATTTGGACAAGAAAGGAAAACTTTCCTCAAGGTAAGAAAACAGTGCTAATTTAAAATGAAGATACTTTAAGGTTAGTAGCCATTCCATCGGGGAGATTTAGAGGATACGAACTGGTGAGTGAGGTGAAGAAATAGGTTTGTTTTTTGGCTTTCTTTTTTAACGTTTTTTTTTTTGAGAAGGAGTCTTGCTCTGTTTCCCAGGCTGGAGTTCAGTGGCGCCATCTCGGCTCACAGCAACCTCCGCCTCCCAGGATCAAGCGATTCTCCTGCCTCAGCCTCCCGAGAGGCTGGGACTACAGGCTTGTGCCGCCACACCTGGCTAATTTTTGTATTTTTAGTAAAGACGGAATTTCATCATGTTGGCCAGGGTGGTCTCAATCTCCTGACCTCAGGTGATCTACTGGCCTCAGCCTCCCAAAGTGCTGGGATTACAGGCGTGAGTCTCTGTGCCTGGCAAGGTTTGCTTTTTAAATCTCTGGTCATACACAGTTCTAGTACCAGTGTTTCAACAGTGCCACAATTGATCTGATTTACTCTTTGTTGGATAAAATTACATTTACAGCAGTGATAAAGTAGAAATAATTTTTTGGAGATTTTGGCAGAACCGTAGAGCCATTTGTATACTACAGATACATTCCATTACAGTGTCTATCTTTATGAAGTCCACCTCAGATCTTTTAATTGTATTTGTTTGTTTACATGTAACTATTTCTTTGCTACTTGGAAAAGCTACCAAAGTAGATTGCAGTAAAAACACACATACTCATGCATATAGATTAATAAAGATTAATAAAAGTTACAAAGAGCACAGAAACATACAGAAAAAGGAAGACATGATTGTTTCAGATTTGAAAATGGCAAATGCCTGTGGTAGAGTGGGTTTGCTTATGGCAGAGCTGTGACTGCCTGGAATGACCACTTTTTGGTTTCTACCAAAAGAGTTTATTTTTATTTATTTTGGGAATTCCAGCTCTATTTGTTGAAAAGTTTGCCTATTGCAAAATCAGGACCGGGTGGAAATTTCTCATAGGATGTGGACTGGATTTCCTAGGATTGATTTGAATTCAAATTCAACATACCCACTAAACCCAAAACTTTGTAGGAGAAGGATGACATAAAAATCTTCAGGATGAATGCTCTAACAGAAAGGTGGGCACGTGCCTAAATGACTCACACAAAGAAGGCTATGAGGTACAAATGAGAGGTATGGAGGGTGGATTCTCACTAAGGGAGGGATGCTGAAAAAATGTCTGGGTTTCTTTCGTCTTTTACTAATTTACTCGGCTAGTTATTGCCTTTGAAATGTTTTGGTTATTTTTGTCTCCACTGGGACATGTTAAGACCAAAAACAACCCAAGCAGACCATTATTCCTTCTGACCTTTCAATTTCTAGATATCCTTCAACTGTAATCTGTGCTACTCAGGTCAAATTTTCTGCCCACAGGGTACCTGGAATTACTTGAGTTCTGGGATGCCACCTCCTTAGCTAAACTGAAGTCTGAATTCACACAAAGAGGAAGTAATAATGCCAGTGTTTTTCAGTTGCACAGCACAGGATTTCCCCAAATGCAGTCTTCAGACTTGCTTCAGAATCACCTGGAGGTGTTGGTTTAAAATGTGGTTTCCGGAGTCCCACCCTGAGCTTTCCTGGAAGAGATTCATATATGGAGCAGAACTACAGTGCGGCTTATAGTGGGTCTGCTGAAGACATCTGTAAACATTGTCTCCATTGAGCCTAACAATAACCTTTTTCAAGGCTGGTAAAGCTGACGGGCTGTGTATTCCTTACCAGTAAAAGATTGTTCTCTGACTGGTCCAAGGTGACACACCTCATAAATAGGGGAATCAGGACCCAAATTTGGCTTTTGGTGACTCCCAGTCCAGTGCTCTTTCCTCAATCCCTCTTTGAACCCCGTGCCAACCCCCTTCAAGCCTCTTCTTTTCTCTGCCAGCGCGCCTGGACACTCAACAGTGGTTCTGCTTAGACCCGCCCCTTGAGGTCTGGCAGCAAAGGCAGGGTCCCTATGTCTTGGAGATTTCTCTTGCCTAAGAGAGAGGGAGAAGAACTTGGCTGTCAGAGAGGGAGGTCTTCCCAGTCTTATCTCGTCAACATCAGATTAGTTCCTTGGTTATTACCATGGAAGGCACAGATAATTGTATAACAATACTCGATAACATCTATTAAGTTCTTTGTGTTCTGTGCTAAGCATTTTACAAAGCTTCCCTCATTTAAACCGCACAACAGCGTGGTGAGATAGGTATTATGACAATCCCCATTTTATAGATGAAGAAATTGAGGTTCAGGTAAACGAATAAACTTGAGGACCTTTGCCTCCAGGAGGCAAATTCGGGCAGGATTAAAGCTCAGTTGGCTTGAATCTAGAGCCTGAACATTGAACCATTTTGTTCCAGGAGCCTTGAGCATTTGAGATGGAGTGAGGCCATGTGGAAGGGGCTGTGGAAGGTTCCATCTAACAACTTGCTAGGCAGGTTGGGGCAGGAGGAAGTGCTCTGTGAGAGGGGCCTGGGAGAGAATCAGGAGAACAGGGTACAACAGCTGGTGAGAGTTTTGCTTCTGGTAAGTTAAAATGCTGAAAATAAGTTTGTACAGGACATTTTTTATCAATTTCCTTTTATATTTGACATGGCAACTAATAAAGGGGCCAGAATATTGAGGGAGGAGATGTGTGGATGGCTGGTGAGAAGGGAGCACTCCCAGGTTTGGCCCTCTTCAAAATTTTGCTGAGAGAGAGGCTTGGGGCAAACTATTCCCACAGGATACTGGGGAGTACATTTGTGGGAAGCCACCATTGAGCTATTTTGTAAATATTTTGAATTTCATAAAGCTTAATATTTTTCCAACCACCGATCTGCCTACTTTTTACACCCAAGTGTCCTGTAGAGGAAATTTGATCTACATATTTTGCAGTTCTTTATACCCCAGCCATTTAAAATGATATTTAGCAATAGTTTGTTTTAAGAAAAAAAAAACAAAACACAAAAAACTCCAAGACCTCTCTCCAGTCTTTTGTCAATAATCTCTTTCCCCAATTTGGGAATCCGCTTCTCGTGAGTTAAATCCACTTGACAAAATTTAAAATTCAACTTAGTGATATTATTTAATTTCCTATAACACTTTATGGCTAGTGAAGCACTTTTTCATACACCATGTTTCAGGCCTAGCCAAAGAAAGAAAGAAAGAAAGAAAGATCTTTCAGTGTATTTCTTTCTTTCCATCCAAAGTTTGTTGAACATTTAGAAGTCAAGCTCTGTGTCTGGGGAGGTTATAGACCATTTGAATGTGTATTATGAGCATATTTGAAGATGTGCATATTTTGCATCAAATGAACATTCGCTGACAGTTCCCCACTCTGTCTCTCTGATCTCGAGGGGGCAAATGCCCTGGAGAAGAGAGAAGTGATGGGGATGAGAGTGTGATTTCTATGAGGGCAAGAACCCTGTGTAAATGAAGTAACCATATTAAATTGGAAATCAGTGGCTTGCTATTTAGAGATAGCAGAAGATCTCCCAGTTTGCAGGCTTCAAAACTTCCAATTTGTGATCAAACAGTTCCATTTAAATGGGGTAATCAGACAAAACCCCCAAAGCATAGAAAAGCAAATCAATTCAATTGTTCTGTTTAGATATAGACAATGCCTGGAGAGCAAACCATTACAGCTAAGAGAGATCTTTAAGTGAAAGAAAAGGAGAAGGCTCCATTTCAGCTTATTAGGTAAGAAACATAAGGAAACATATATACAAACAAAAAACAAAACCAAAAACCCAAGCAAACAAACAAAACAACAAATACCAAATTAGTTTTCTACTGGCATTTCCTTTTGTGATGGTTGCAGCATCCCAAGAGGGGTTTTGTGCTTTATTAGCTGAAGTAAGAGAATCCTAGGCTGAAATGGACTTTGGAAGGTTTTACTCTGTCTTCAGAAAAGCTTTCATTCTAAGTATCCTAGAAAATAACTCTCTCATTATCTTTCTCTTTCTAGAAGTCATCAATAACTTGTTTTTTTCCACCTAGGAAAGTTGTAAGTGGTGAGTAGCTACTGTTAGGTAGCTACTGTTAGGAGTGGCAAAGTAGGCTTCTCATGCGTATAATACTAATGATAATAGCTGCAATTTTTTTGTGCTTACTAAATGTGCCAAGCATGCTAAAATACTTAAACAGATACTATTTAATTCTCAAAACCCACAAAGCAGGTATGATATGATTATTACCCCTTTGTAAAATGGGGAAGCTCAGAGCACAGAGCAAGCTCAGGTTGTCTGATTTCCTTTTGAGCAGTGTGATCTAACAAGGTCAAGAGTACTGCTGCTTCAAGTATTACTGTTGCTGTGTTCCCTGCATTATACAGAGGACTTGAATTTGTCTAATGTCTTGCCTGGGAAAAGCAGCTCAGTTCTCTCTGAAAAGGAAAACCCAAGACAGAAAGCGTGGATGTGGAAGAAGGTAAATAAACGCCACCAGTTGGTCAGTAACCACAGAAGCTAACAGTAGATCAAATTCTCATTCAGGAGAGGTAAGCTTCTCTTGTACCTATAATAACTTTCAGAAAAAACACATGTCTGGAAAAGTGTGGAGGACTCACCGATATTGGCAGTGGGCTGCTGTCAGCACCCACTGTGGATCAATCAGAACACCTCCACAAACGTGATGTCCGCCATACTGGATGGAGGCCATAAATGGCCTGGAATGAGGTGACACTTCTTTCCCTCCAATAATTTCCATATTGAAACCTACAAAAGTAGACCAAAAGGTTTCACACAAAAGATCTAAACTACTGTTTCATGTAATTCTTCCAATGACAGTCACTATATTATTTTCAAAGCTTAAAAAACAACAATAACCCTACCTAAAAGCTACAATAATTTTACTGATGAAAAATTTGTATAATACATTACAGTTCAGAAAGATAGGAATGATTGTGAAAATAATTTTCATCTATAATATAACAATATAGTCAGTAGAAATTCATTTAATGTTTACATGTAGATATAGGAGATACTTACACACATGAGTCATATAAGCCCCAACTATTAGGAAAAACAGAGAAAAGGAAGAAAACTTAGTCATTTTAAAGATTTAGATTTAAGAAGCCCAGATGAAATGTGTTGATCCTGTGATGAAGGAAGAAGATTCTGAAGACTGAGTTTTGTTCTTGTAAGTTTTGACTTTCTCACCACAGGTGCTCTAGGGGTAAGATTTTTTTTCACACCTAGGTGTAAACGTTATGTATCAGTTTGGGGACTTTCAGGTCTGTGCTTTTAGCACTTTTTTGTTTTGTTTTGTTTTGAGACGGAGTCTCTCTCTGTCGCCCAGGCTGGAGTGCAGTGGCGCGATCTCGGCTCACTGCAAGCTCTGCCTCCTGGGTTCACGCCATTCTCCTGCCTCAGCCTCCCGAGTAGCTGGGACTACAGGCGCCCACCACCACATCCGGCTAATTGCTTTTAGCACTTTTTTGGGAGAGGTATGTATGCCATAAAGAACTCATATCTGGAGATACCATCTCTAATACCTGTATCAGAGTACTTATGCTATAAAGAAAATTTATACTATATGTGTATATAATATTTATAAATGAAAAATATCCATGCCATAAGAATGTAATGAAGTTGCAGACAGAGTTCAAAGATGTCCATTGCTCTCAAGCAATACTTACTATTTTTCCTGGCACAAAATGGTGCCTATCATATTTCATTCTTCTCTCTTTTTCATTTGGACATAGATTTATGATGAAGAGAGACATGGACCTTGCACAGATTATGGTTACTTCACAATGTGGCTTAGCTAAAGCCTGAGCACCAACCAGAGAAAACCATATGTTTTGCAGCAAACATCCCTACTCATGTCGTTTCTCTAAGTTTGCCCAAATTTGGTTAAATTTTAGTTACATTTTTGTGAGATTTCATAATGTTGTTAAAGGTGAACATTGGCAACTATTTTTGATTCAGAGTCTCTCTTTTACTCATTTTTAATTGAAAATGGCCATGTGTTTTTCCAGGGACTTAATAATAATGTCTTTTAAAAATAAAGGACTGCATTTTGTAATTCTTCCCAGGAACAGATGACAATGCATTGCCAGGCCTTCAATACAAAAGGTATTAGACTCAAGATTCTACAAGATTCTGTTTGTGCCAGACACTGATCAGCAGTGCAAATATAAAATGAATACAAACAGATCACGCATCAGAATGCCAATCACTTCCTAGTAACACTGATCAAAATTTGCATTAAATCAACAGATCTTTCTTTTAAGAGGTATGCATTTTATCTTCCATTCATTTTAGAAAGGAGAATTAAAATCCAGAGCTATTATGCTCGGCAGATTGCAAGAGACTCCTTTCAAATTGTTTTCTAGCACAAAGAGTAGGAATAATAAAAAATAATACTATAATTATGTATTATTCATTATAACTTAATAATATATAAGTAAAATACCTTATTTCCAAAATTCTTTTTATATGATCATTTATGGTTTCATGTCTATGTCTTTGAGGAAAGCAGGACAACTTATGTTACAATGGAAGAAATAAGTTCCAAGAGGCTAAGTAATTTGCCCAAGGCAACACAGCTTATGACCTAGACCAAATCACCTGCCTGACCTCCCTGTATGTTAAGTTGTATGTGAATGAGTACCCTCCCAGAACACAGAATTTTATAAAAAACCTGCTTTCCTTGTACAGGTGTGTGGCAACAGTAAAGCTTTCTACATGTTAAACAGAATGAACAAAACCAACGCAGAGCAGTGACTTCCTGTCAGAGCAGAAGGTGAGATAAGGAGGAGCCAGATTAAGAAAAGCCACAAGCTTAATAAACCAAACTTATTACTCCCACTCAAATGTCCCTGTGAATTTTCAAGTCATCTTTGTCACTGTTGATGTACCTTGGATGCTCTACTGTGTGCCATTGTTCCACATTGGAAGGCAGACAGGATGGCGTCAGTTCCCTGCTACATCCCAGTGATGCTGGGATCGTAAGGAAGATGGTGTGTGACAGGTAGAAGTGATCCAAACTCTAAGGAAGAAATAAATTGTAAAGGACGAAGCTTTGTGTGTGTGTGTGTGTGTGTGTGTGGCGGGGGAAATGGGAATGGTTACAAACATCTCTCAGCTGCTTATTTCTGAGTAGTAAGGATTAATGTCCACATAGCGTTGTACAAATTGCTGAACGTTTTTAGCTGTATTTCCAGGGAAGTGGTTGTCATTAGTCTTGTTTTATGGATAAATAAACTGAAATTCAGGGACTTGCTTGAGATTACCGAGCTAGCAGGTGGCCCTTAAGCTCCTATGTGCTGGCTCCCGGCTCTATGTTCCTTTCAACCTGGCTACATGCCTGCCTCCTTTGAGAAGTCCCTGGGGGTTTAGGGGCTCTGAGACACAAGCTAGCTGTGCAGAAGAGAAAAAGGATTTAGCCATACACACTGCGTGTAATTAGACATGGGTGAGATTTAGTTCAGTTGGGAAGAGTCTCATAACTCTTTCTTGTAGCTGACCTAGAAAATTCTGAGAATCATGTTGGTTAATAGTAATGAGTTATTTGGTTTTGGCTTTAGACCGATTTGCCAGTTAATAGTATCATTTGTTATTATATTCACGATTCTGGATTTGAGAACAGTGGGCTGTGTAACATGATGAGCTCGGCGATCTAATTTATTTCTGGGTGTTGGTTTTTGTTCTGTTGAGTCTGCTGCAGGGAGGGCCATGTTTGCTTTGGATGGCTTTACAGCAACTGTACCGGACTGAGCAAGTGCAAGGCTGTGCTCAGAGGAGGGCTGGCTTCACACGTCATAGCCTTGTGGCTCTTCTTTGCTGTGTTTAGCTGTCTTTCTTGCTGCTCTTAGAGATGTTTTGTTTCTGCTTCTCCTGTGTTTCAGGAGACCCTTATAGAACAGCTGTGCCACTGCTCCAAAGGCCTCGTGTGGTTCTATCCCTTGGACTGCCTTTCTTCAACAGCCCAGACACCTGCTCTGTCAGATTTATAAGCCACACCCCCTAGAGCCATGCCAATCAAAGCATGGCCCGCAGACCTGTGCCAGTCTCCGAACCTCTTTGTTACCGATTTGGAGCAAGATGGGGACAGAAATTGAGAGCCAGAGTTTAGAAACTGTAACAGCGACTTAACATGGCACTGTATTAATTTATTTTATTAATGAAATAAAATTTGTCCAATCTAATAAAAATTGGGTGTGTATTTTGTATGCCTTTGTTTTTTATTTAATTACTTTTTTCTATTTATTTGTGTTGTATAAACGTATCAGTTCACAATGGGCTGAAACTAAAAACAAACAAATTAACAAACTAAAACTCCAAACACATTGGTCTTTCCCACAGGTAGTCTGAGAAACACTGCTCTGTAGACATAAGTGCAAAGCAGATTTGTTTCAAGCTCTTCCCATTTATTCCCTTTTACATTCCTTTGAAAAATGTTCTCAATATCAAGTTTTCCCAAGCTATCCAACCATCCCCAGCCCTTGGCACTTGACATCAGGATTTGGCAGAATTTCACTGGATCCCTCCCTTGTAGCCCACCACCCTTCAGGCCTTGACTTCTGTCCAGTAATGGCTTAGCTAATTTGGTAAATGTATCTGCTAACACCCATAGTGAAACTATGGCAGCTTTGAAAATTGGGCTTGGGAAGGATATTGGGGTGCTATATAATGATATTAAGTCCGAAGTTCTCAAGAAAATGTAAATCTCACCTCAGATTACAGCCATCCCTCCCACTAGGTCCTTAAAATGAATGAGCTTAAGGGCAGTTGGCAAGGAAAGCAAAGTACCCCTCAACTCAGAGCTGGGGCTGTAATAAGGGTTGGGGCACCTGGAATACTGCCTTTTCCTAAGCAACTTAAATGTAAATACTTCAGAGGGCTGCTCTAGGGCCTCTTCTTGGTGGAATGATGGTGGTGGCAAAGGTGAGATTGAGGGAAATTTGTTTTGTCTTCCTCTATCTCAACTTTAAATCAGAATATATTTTGCATGTTAAATCTTCCTTTCATAAATATGAAGATACGTTTTCTAAACCATCATTATTGAGTTAAGTCACACAATAGTACTTCAACTTCCTTTTCCTTTACTCCTCTCCACGTCAGCTATGAAGTGACTGGAATGGATGAGAATTGCCTTAAGTGCAGGATCCTCACATATGGAGTAATCAGGAAAATACCTTGAGGACTTGGCAAATAGGGATGTCCCAGCACTGCTGGTGCTGGCTGCCTGGTCATACACTGTCCCTATCTCAACTTTGTCTCCAGGCCTTACACTGCCCTTTTATGACTCCTTTTTCTTTTCTTCTTTAGAGCAGGCTTTGATGTTCATTTTAACTAAGTTCAAATGTTATGGGTGGGATGAGGAAAGTGCCACATGGGGTGGTCCCTGTGATGTCGCTGGACTCAAGACAGATCACTCACATTGTCCGCAATTACTTGTCCTGAAAGATTTGCACATGTGGAAATCCTTTCAACAGTAATGACTGCCAAAGGAAGGTTTTCAGCTCCAGGCTCGTAGGTACCCTTGCCTTGCACAGAGGAAGGTGAGGACTATATGAGCCTACCAGTATTATAGGGAGAAAACGGGTAAATATGTAGGCCAAGTTAAGGGAAAAATACCAGAGAAGGACCAGGTAATAAAGACCAGAGGAAAGGTGGAGGCAGGAAGGGAGGGAAGAAAATAAATACTGTTGAATAAAGAAGGAAAAATGATCAATTGAGGATGGGAGGCCTTATAATGGAACACTTCCATTTATATTTGAACATCTCAGATACACTACTGTGATACAGTACTGTGCCCCAAAGCCAAATATGTTATCATTGTTTTACAATAGAAACAGATACATTACAAGAAATAATCTCATCATGCTGAAAGCAATTAAATTGTTTAACTAGTCAGGATGATTTTACAAAATAAACGAAGTCACAGCAGGCAAAGTAGTAGGAATTTCAAAATGAACGACCACATTCATTAATGAGGGAAACACAGTAATTGCTATGGTCAAGCTGGAACACAGCAAGTGTTATCGATTGATTCAGTATTCACTAATTTTCCATTGAGAATCAATTCAAGTAGAAATCTAGATATGATATACTTTTTCCAAAAAGTGACCAAACAACACACACACATACACACACACACATACAACCTTCCCCTCCCACCCTTTTTTCTATTAGGAAATGAAATAATTATATACACTAAATGAGATGGTAAATTAAAAATAATGTTTAAGAGAGGAAGGCATAAAGGAAACTATCAATAAGTTAGAGCATAGAAGACTTTTGTAAGGTAGAAAATACCATAGGCAATATCCAAAGACATATGGCAAAATGCTTGTCACTTACATTGAAAGCATTTCCCCCCAAAGACAATATCTTTAATATATGAAGGGTCCTTATAAATAAATTTAACAATAAGTGGGCTCAATGTGAGCAAATCAATATGAAGACAAATAAAACAGTATTTTAGTTAAACTACCTCACTAGGGACCTGGTATATAAATGATATTTAGAAATAATTTTGATGACTATTACAGGATAAATAATGAAGCACATTTTACATTTTTGCAAGGCTTAATAAACATAAGTTTGATATGCTAAGAACACAACTGCTATAGCAAGTATTTGATAAAAAGGCTGCAGGCTGAGAAGAGATTATCAACAAAAGCATAATCTTCTAAATTTTTTTTTGAGAAGTTACCAAGTATCTTCTTTATTATTTTTAATTAATGAATGAATTAGTTTATAAATTTATACCACATTCAACTTATTCTACTAGGTATAAGCAAATCACATTGAGAATTACAAAAATTCCAGATGCATAGATCGTTCACAGACTATATATACTCCAGTAGGAAATATGAAGGACTTAAGTTGTTAACCATAATACCACATAAGGACAATATGAATGGGAATATTCAGTGCATTAGTTATGTTACAGAAATATGTGCAAATAAGTTTAAAATTAAGGCTTTGATGTAAATATTATAGAAAATACAATCATATATTTGAATTGCTAGTTACACTAGATAATCCCAAACTATATTCTTTTTTTTGTAATTTTTTTTATTATACTTTAAGTTCTAGGGTACATGTGCACAACATGCAGGTTTGTTACATATGTATACATGAGCCATGTTGGTGTGCTGCACCCATTA
Source organism: Homo sapiens (assembly GCF_000001405.40). NCBI lineage: Eukaryota > Metazoa > Chordata > Mammalia > Primates > Hominidae > Homo > Homo sapiens. The sequence continues at coordinate 55,018,252 of NC_000005.10, read as the reverse complement.
ACTCGTCATTTACATTAGGTATATCTCCTAATGCTTTCCCTTCCCCCTCCCCCCACCGCACAACAGGCCCCTGTGTGTGATGTTCCCCTTCCTGTGTCCAAGTGTTCTCATTGTTCAATTCCCACCTATGAGTGAGAATATGCGGTGTTTGGTTTTCTGTCCTTGCAATAGTTTGCTGAGAATGATGGTTTCCAGCTTCATCCATGTCCCTACAAATGACCTGAACTCATCCTTTTTTTATGGCTGCATAGTATTCCATGGTGTATATGTGCCACATTTTCTTAATCCGGTCTATCATTGATGGACATTTGGGCTGGTTCCAAGTCTTTGCTATTGTGAATAGTGCCGCAATAAACATACGTGTGCATGTGTCTTTATAGCAGCATGATTTATAATCCTTTGTGTATATACGCAGTAATGGGATGGCTGGGTCAAATGGTATCTCTAATTTTAGATCCTTGGGGAATCGCCACACTGTCTTCCACAATGGTTGAACTAGTTTACAGTCCCACCAACAGTGCAAAAGTGTTCCTATTTCTCCACATCCTCTCCAGCACCTGTTGTTTCCTGACTTTCTAATGATCGCCATTCTAACTGGTGTGAGATGATATCTCATTGTGGTTTTGATTTGCATTTCTCTGATGGCCAGTGATGATAAGCATTTTTTCATGTGTCTTTTGGCTGCATAAATGTCTTCTTTTGAGAAGTGTCTGTTCATATCCTTTGCCCACTTTTTGATGGGGTTTTTTTTTCTTGTAAATTTGTTTGAGTTCATTGTAGATTCTGAATATTAGCCCTTTGTCAGATGAGTAGGTTGCAAAAATTTTCTCCCATTCTGTAGGTTGCCTGTTCACTCTGATGGTAGTTTCTTTTGCTGTGCAGCTCTTTAGTTTAATTAAATCCCATTTGTCAATTTTGGCTTTTGATGCCATTGCTTTTGGTGTTTTAGTCATGAAGTCCTTGCCCATGCCTATGTCCTGAATGGTATTGCCTAGGTTTTCTTCTAGAGTTTTCATGGTTTTAGGTCTAACATTTAAGTCTTTAATCCATCTTGAATTAATTTTTGTATAAGGTGTAAGGAAGGGATCCAGTTTCAGCTTTCTACATATGACTAGCCAGTTTTCCCAGCACCATTTATTAAACAGGGAATCCTTTCCCATTTCTTGTTTTTGTCACATTCATCAAAGATCAGATGGTTGTAGATGTGTCGTATTATTTCTGAGGCCTCTGTTCTGTCCCATTAGTCTTTATCTCTGTTTTGGTACCAGTACCATGCTGTTTTGGTTACTGTAGCCTTGTAGTATAGTTTGAAGTCAGGTAGCGTGATGCCTCCAGCTTTTTTTTTTTGGCTTAGGACCGTCTTGGCAATGCAGGCTCTTTTTTGGTTCCATATGAACTTTAAAGTAGTTTTTTCCAATTCTGTGAAGAAAGTCATTGGTAGCTTGATGGGGATGGCATTGAATCTATAAATTACCTTGGGCAGTATGGCCATTTTCACAATATTGATTCTTCCTATCCATGAGCATGGAATGTTCTTCCATTTGTTTGTATCCTCTTTTATTTCATTGAGCAGTGGTTTGTAGTTCTCCTTGAAGAGGTCCTTCACATCTGTTGTGAGTTGGATTCCTAGATATTTTATTCTCTTTGAAGCAATTGTGAATGGGAGTTCACTCATGATTTGACTCTCTATTTGTCTGTTATTGGTGTATAGGAACGCTTGTGACTTTTGCACATTGATTTTGTATCCTGAGACTTTGCTAACGTTGCTCATTAGCTTAAGGAGATTTTGGGCTGAGACAATGGGGTTTTCTAAATATGTAATCACGTCATCTGCAAACAGAGACAATTTGACTTCCTCTTTTCCTAATTGAATACCCTTTATTTCTTTCTCCTACCTGATTGCCCTGGGCAGAACTTCCAACACTATGTTGAATAGGAGTGGTGAGAGAGGGCATCCCTGTCTTGTGCCAGTTTTCAAAGGGAATTCTTCCAGTTTTTGTCCATTCAGTAAGATATTGGCTGTGGGTTTGTCATAAATAGCTCTTATTATTTTGAGATACGTCCCATGAATACGTAATTTATTGAGAGTTTTTAGCATGAATGGCTGTTGAATTTTGTCAAAGACCTTTTCTGCATCTATAGAGATAATCATGTGGTTTTTGTCTTTGGTTCTGTTTATATGCTGGATTATGTTTATTGATTTTTGTATGTTGAACCAGCCTTGCATCCCAGGGATGAAGCCCACTTAATCATGGTGGGTAAGCTTTTTGATGTGCTGCTGGAGTTGGTTTGTCAGTATTTTATTGAGGATTTTTGCATTGATGTTCATCAGAGATATTGGTCTAAAATTGTTTTTTTGTTGTGTCTCTGCCAGGCTTTGATATCAGGATGATGCTGGCCTCATAACATGAGTTAGGGAGGATTCCCTCTTTTTCTATTGATTGGAATAGTTTCAGAAGGAATGGTACCAGCTCCTCCTTGTACCTCTGGTAGAATTTGGCTGTGAATCCGTCTGGTCCTGAACTTTTTTTGATTGGTAAGCTATTAATTATTGCCTCAATTTCTGAACTTGTTATTGGTCTATTCAAGGATTCAACTTCTTCCTGATTTAGTCTTGTGAGGGTGTATGTGTCCAGGAATTTATCCATTTCTTCTAGATTTTATAGTTTATTTGCATAGAGGTGTTTATAGTAGTCTCTGATGGAAGTTTGTATTCCTGTGGGATCGGTGGTGATATCCCCTTTATCATTTTTTATTGCATCTATTTGATTCTTCTCTATTTTCTTCTTTATAAGTCTTGCTAGTGGTCTATCAATTTTGTTGATCTTTTCAAAAAACCAGCTCCTAGATTCATTGATTTCTTGAAGGGTTTTTTGTGTTTCTATCTCCTTCAGTTCTTCTCTGATCTTAGTTATTTCTTGCCTTCTGCTAGCTTCTGAACGTGTTTGCTCTTGCTTCTCTAGTTCTTTTAATTGTGATGCTAGGGTGTCAATTTTAGATCTTTCCTGCTTTCTCTTGTGGGCATTTAGTGCTATAAATTTCCCTCTACAAACTGATTTAAATGTGTCCCAGAGATTCTGATATGTTGTGTCTTCGTTCTCATTGGTTTGAAAGAACATCTTTATTTCTGCCTTCATTTCGTTATTTACCCAGTAGTCATTCAGGAGCAGGTTGTTCAGTTTCCATGTAGTTGTTTGGTTTTGAGTGAGTTTCTTAATCCTGAGTTCTAGTTTGGTTGCACTGTGGTCTGAAAGACAGTTTGTTATAATTTCTGTTCTTTTACATTTGTTGAGGCATGCTTTACTTCCAACTATGTGGTCAATTTTGGAATAAGAGCAATGTGGTGTTGAGAAAAATGTATATTCTGTTGATTTGGGGTGGAGAGTTCTGTAGATGTCTGTTAGGTCCGCTTAGTGCAGAGCTGAGTTCAATTCCTGGATATCCTTGTTAACTTTCTGTCTTGTTGATCTGTTTAATGTTGATAGTGGGGTGTTAAAGCCTCTCATTATTATTGTGTGGGAGTCTAAGTCTCTTTGTAGATCTCTAAGGACTTGCTTTATGAATCTGGGTGCTCCTTTATTGGGTGCATATATATTTAAGATATTTAGCTCTTCTTGTTGAAATGATCCCTTTACCATTATGTAATGGCCTTCTTTGTCTCTTTTGATCTTTGTTGGTTTAAAGTCTGTTTTATCTGAGACTAGGATTGCAACCCCTGCCTTTTTTTGCTTTCCATTTGCTTGGTACATCTTTCTCCATCCCTTTATTTTGAGTCTATGTGTGTCTCTGCAAGTGAGATGGGTCTCCTGAATACAGCACACTGATGGGTCTTGACTCTTTATCCAACTTGCCAGTCTGTGTCTTTTAATTGGAACATTTAGCCCATTTACATTTAAGGTTAATATTGTTATGTGTGAATTTGATCTTGTCATTATGATGTTAGCTGGTTATTTTGCTCATTAGTTGATGCAGTTTCTTCCTAGCATTGATAAGTCTTTACAATTTGTAATGTTTTTACGTTACATGCTTTCTTCCAGTTGATCAAATCAGCTACTGAAGCTTGTGCATTCATCACATAGTTCTCATGCCATGGTTTTCAGCTCCATCAGGTCATTTAAGGACTTCTCAACACCGGTTATTCCAGTTAGCCGTTTGTCTAATCTTTTTTCAAGGTTTTCAGCTTCTTTGCATTGGGTTTGAACTTCCTCCTTTAGCTCGGAGAAGTTTGATCGTCTGAAGCCTTCTTCTCTCAACTCATCAAAGTCATTCTCCATCCAGCTTTATTCCTTTGCTGGTGAGGAGCTGTGTTCCTTTGGAGGGGGAGATGTGCTCTGATTTTTAGAATTTTCAGCTTTTCTGCTCTGTTTTTCCCCCATCTTTGTGGTTTTATCTACCTCTGGTCTTTGATGATGGTGACATACAGATGGGGTTTTGGTGTGGATGTCCTTTCTGTTTGTTAGTTTTCCTTCTACAGTCAGGATCCTCAGCTGCAAGTCTGTTGGAGTTTGCTGGAGGTCCACTCCAGACCCTGTTTGCCTGGGTATCAGCAGCGGAGGCTGCAGAACAGCAAATATTGCTGAACAGTAAATGTTGCTTCCTGATCATTCCTCTGGAAGGTTCGTCTCAGAGGGGTACCCAGCTGTGTGAGGTGTCAATCTGCCCCTACTGGGGGGTGCCTCCCAGTTAGGCTACTCAAGGGTCAGGGACCCACTTGAGGAGGCAGTCTCTCTGTTCTCAGATCTCAAACTCCATGCTGGGAGAACCACTACTCTCTTCAAAGCTGTCAGACAGGGACATTTAAGTCTGCAGAGGTTTCTGCTGCCTTTTGTTTGACTATGCCCTGCCCCCAGAGGTGGAGTCTACAGAGGCAGGCCTCCTTGAGCTGCAGTGGGATCCACCCAGTTTGAGCTTCCTGGCCTCTTTGTTTACCTACTGAAGCCTCAGCAATGGTGGGCGCCCCTCCCCCGAGCCTCGCTGCTGCCTTGCAGTTCAATCTCAGACTGCTGTGCTAGCAATGAGTGAGGCTCCATGGGCGTGGGACCCTCCGAGCCAGGTACGGGATATAATCTCCTGGTGTGCCATTTGCTAAGACCATTGGAAAAGTGCAATATTAGGGTGGGAGTGACCCGATTTTCCAGGTGCCGTTTGTCACCCCTTCCCTTGGCTAGGAAAGGGAATTCCCTGACCCCTTGCTCTCCTTGGGTGAGGCGATGCCTCCTCACCCTGCTTCAGCTCACACTCAGTGGGCTGCACCCACTGTCCTTCCCCAACTGTCAGACGAGCCCCAGTGAGATGAACCCAGTACCTCAGTTGGAAATGCAGAAATCACCCATCTTCTTTGTTGCTCACACTGGGAGCTGTAGACTGGAGCTGTTCCTATTTGGCCATTTTGGAACTGCCCTTCAGTCTTCTAAATTTTTAATGTTGGTTGATGAGTCAGTTGATTGAATAATCTGTACAACAAACCCCTATGACACAAGTTTACCTATGTAACAAATCTGCACTTGTAACCCTGAACTTAAAATAAAGGTTAAAAAAAAGAATAAAAAGACCAGAACAAGACTGAACTTTGTTTAAATTCGTCTATGTCTGTTCTTGTACCAGTACCATGCTGTTTTGGTTACTGTAGGCCTGTAGCATAGTTTGAAGTCAGGTAGTGTGATGCCGCCAGCTTTGTTCTTTTTGCTTAGTGTTGCCTTGGCTATTCAGGCTCTTTTTTTGGTTCTATATGAATTTTAAAATAGTTTTTACTAGTTCTGTGAAGAATGTCAATGACAGTTTAATGGGAATAGCACTGAATCCATAAATTTCTTTGGGCAGTATAGGCTTTTTAATGGTAAATGATATTGATTCTTCCTGTCCTCCAGGTATTAAGCCTAGAACTCATTGGTTGTTTTTCCTGATCCTCCCACCCTCCACCCTCTGAAAGGCCCGAGTGTGTGCTGTTCTCCTCTGTGTGTCCATGTGTTCTCATCATTTTGTTCCCACTTACAAATCAGAACATGTGGTATTTGGTTTTATGTTCTTGTAGTTTGCTAAGAATAATGGCCTCCAGCTCCATCCATGTCTTTGCAAAGGACATGATCTCGTTTTTTTATGGCTGCATAGTACTTCATGGTGTATATATATCACATTTTATTTTTCCAGTCTATCATTGATGGACATTTAGGTTGACTCCATGTCTTTGCTCTTGTGAATAGTGCTGCAACAAACATATGTGTGCACATGTCTTTATAACAGAATGATTTATATTTCTTTGGGTATATACCCAGTAATGGAATGGTTGGGTAGAATGGTTATCCCAGCACCATTTATTGAAAAGGGAATCCTTTCCCCACTGTTTGTTTTTGTCAGCTTTGTTGAAGATCAGATGGTTGTAGGTGTGTAGCCTTATTTCTGGGCTTTCTATTTTATTTCACTGTCTATGTGTCTGTTTTTATAACAGTACCATGCTGCTTTGGTTACTGTAGCCCTGTAATATAATTTGAAGTTGGATAGCATGACACCTCCAGCTTTGTTCTTTTTGCTTAAGATTGCCTTGGCAATTCAGGCTCTTTGTTGGTTCCATATGAATTTTAAAATAGTTTTTTTCTAGTTCTGTGAAGAATGTCATTTGTAGTTTGACAGGAATAGCATTGAATCTATAAATTGCATTATAAAATTAAATCTATAAATGGCAGTATGGTCATCTTAATGATATTGATTCTTCTTGTTTATGAGCATGAAATATTTTTCCATTTGTTTTTGTCATTTCTGATTTATTTGAGCAGTATTTTGTAGCTCTTCTTGTAGAGATCTTCACCTCCCTGGTTAGCTGTATTCCTAGGTATTTTATTATTTTTGTGGCAATTGTGAATCAAAGTTTGTTCGTGATTTGGCTCTTGACTTGTTTGTTTTTGGTGTATAGGAATGATAGTGATTTTTGCACATCAGTTTTGTATCCTGAGACTTTGCTAAAGTTATTTATCTGCTTAAGAAGCTTTTGGGCTGAGATGATGGGGTTTTCTAGATATAGGATCCTGTTATCTGCAAATAGGGATAGTTGGACTTCCTCTCTTCCTATTTGAATGCTGTTTATTTTTCTTGCCTGATTGCCCTGGCCAGAACTTCCAATACTATGTTGAATAGGAGTGGTGAGAGAGGACATCCTTGTTTTGTGCTGGTTTTCAAGGAGAATGCTTCCAGCGTTTGCCCATTCAGTATGATGTTGGCTGTGGGTTTCTCATATATGGCTGTTATTATTTTTGAGGTATGTTCCTTTAATACCTAGTTTATTGAGAGTTTTTAACATGAATGGATGTTGAATTTTATTAAAAGCCTTTTCTGTATCTGTGGGGATAATCATGTGGTTTTTGTCTTTAGTTCTGTTTATGTGATGAATCACATTTATTGATTTGCATATGTTGAACCAACCTTGCTTCCTGGGGATGAAGCCTTCTTGATTGTGGTGGATAAGCTTTTTGATGTGCTGCTGGATTCAGTTTGTCAGTATTTTGTTGAGGATTTTTTGCATCAGTGTTCATCAAGGATATTGGCTTGAAGTTTTTGTTTGTTTGTTTGTTTGTTTCCATCTCTGTCAAGTTTTGGTATCAGGATGATGCTGGCCTCGTAGAATGAGTTGGGGAGGAGTTCCTCCTTTTCAATTTTTTAGAATAGTTTCAGTAGGAATGGTACCAGTTCTTCTTTGTACATCTGGTGGAATTCAGCTGTGAATTCATTTTGTCCTGGCCTTTTTTTGGTTGGTAGGCTATTTATTACTGCCTCAATTTCAGAACTCATTATTGGTCTGTTCAGGGATTCAGTTTCTTCCTGGTTCAGTCTTGGGATGGTGTATGTGTCCAGGAATTTATCCAATTCTTCTAGATTTGATGGCTTATGTGCCCAGAAGTGTTTATAACATTCTTGGATAGTTGTTTGCATTTCTGTGGGGTCAGGGGTAACATTCCCCTTTTCATTTCTCATTGTGTTTATTTAAATCTTCTCTCTTTTCTTCTTTATTAGTCTAGCTAGTGGGCTATCTATTTTATTATTTTTTTCAAAAGACCGGCTCCTGATTCACTGGTCTTTTGAATGTTTTTTCATGTCTCTATCTCCTTCAGTTCAGCTCTGATTTTGGTTATTTCTTGTCTTCTGCTGGCTTTGAGGTTTGTTTGCTCTTGGTTCTCTAGTTCTTTTAGTTGTGATGTTAGGTTGTTAACTTGAGATCTTTCTAACATTTTGATGTGGGCATTTAGTGCTATAAATTTCCCTATTAACACCGTGTTAGCTGTCCCAAAGATTCTGGTATGTTGAATCTTTTTTATCATTAGTTTCAAAGAACTTGATTTCTGCCTTAATTTCATTATTTACCCAAATGTCTTTCAGGAGTACTTTATTCAATTTCTATGTAATTGTATGGTTTTAAGTGAATTTCTTAGTCTTGAGTTCTAATTTGCTTGCACTGCTGTCTGAGAGACTGTTTGTTATGATTTCAGTTCTTTTGCATTTGCTGAGGAGTGTTTTACCTCTGATTATGTGATCAATTTTAGAGTAAGTGCCATGTGGTCATAAGAAGAATGTATATTCTCTTGTTTTTGGGTGGAGAGTTCTATAGATGTCTATCAAGTCTGCCTGACCCAGAGCTGAGTTCAGGTCCTAAATATCTTTGTCTAATATTGTCAGTGGGATGTTAAAGTCTCCCACTATTATTTTGTGTAAGTCTAAGTCTCTTTGAAGGTCTTTAAGAACTTACTTTATGAATCTGAGTGCTCCTGTGTTGGGTACATATATATTTAGAATACTTAGATCTTCTTGTTCAATTGAACACTTTATCTTTATGTAATGCCCTTCTTCATCTTTTTTGATCTTTGTTGGTTTAAAGTTTGTTTTGTCACAAACTAGGATTGCAACCCCTACTTTTTTCTGTTTTCCATTTGCTTGGTAGATTTTCCTCCATCCTTTTATTTTGAGCCTATGTGTGTCACTGCATGTGAGATGGGTCTTTTGAAGATAGCATACCAATGGGTCTTGCTTCTTTATCCGCTTGCCACTCTGTGTCTTTTAGTTGGGGCATTTAGCCCATTTACATTTAAGGTTAGTATTGATATGTGTGGATTTGATCTTGTCATCATGATATTAGCTGGCTTTTTGCAGACTTGTTTATGTGGTTGCTTTGTAACATCACTGGTCTGTGTGCTTCAGTGTGTTTTTGTAGTGGCTAGTAATGGTCTTTCCTTTTCATATTTAGTGCTTCCTTCAGGAACTCTTTTAAGGAATTTCTGGTGGTGATGAATTCCCTCAGCATTTGCTTGTCTGAAAAGGATCTTACTTCTCCTTCACTTATGAAGCTTATTTTGGGGTATGAAATTCTTGTTTGGAATTTCTTTTCTTTAAGAATGTTGAATATTGGCCCCCAATCTGTTTTGGCTTATACAGTTTCTGCTGAGAGGTCCATTATTATAGTCTGGTGGGCTTTCCTTTGTAGGTGACCTGGACTTCTCTAGCTGCCCTTAACATTTTTTCTTTCACTTGGACCTTGGAGAATCTGATGATTATGTGTATTGGGGATGATCTTCTTGTGGAGTATCTTAATGAGGTTCTCTGCATTTCCTGAATTTGAATGTTGGCCTGTCTAGCTATGTTGGGGAAGAATGTAACTGACCTGATAGAGCTGAAAAACACACTATAAGAATTTCATAATACAATCACTGGATGATATCCTGAAATATGTTTTCCAAATTGGTTCCATTCTCCCCATCTCTTTCAAGTACACCAATCAGTCATAGATTTGGTCTTTTTACATAATCCCATTCTCCAGTTTTTTGATGTTTTGTTCGGTCCTTTTTATTCTTTTTTCTCTATTCTTGTATGCCTGTCTTATTTCAGAAAGACAGCCTTCAAGCTCTGAGATTGTTTCCTCTGCTTGGTCTATTCTGTTACTAATACTTGTGATTGCATTATGAAATTCTTGTAGTGTGTTTTTCAGCTCTATCAGGTCAGTTACATTCTTCACTATACTGACTATTTTCTCTGCCAGCTCCTGCAATGTTTTATCATGATTTTTAGTTTCCCCCCATTGGGTTACAATGTGCTCATTTAGCTCAGTGAACTTCATTAGTATCCACATTCTGAAGCCTGTTTCTGTCATTTGAGCCATCTCAGTTTCAGCCTGGTTCTGAACCCTTGCTAGAGAGAGGCTGCAGTCATTTGGACAAAAGAGGGCACTCTGGTTTTTTGAGTTTTCAGCATTCTTGTGCTGATTTTTTCACATCATTGTGGGCTTATCTATCTTCAATCTTTGAGGTTGCTGACCTTTGGATGGTTTTATTTTTATTTTATTTGAACAGTCTGGCCACTTTTCCATTGGGCTCCTGTGGTTTGCTTGGGGTCTGCTCTAGTCCCTAGTTACCTCAGATTTTCCAGTACCTGGAAGTATCACAAGCAAAGGCTGCTGTGAAACAGCAAAGATGGCAGCCTGCCCTTTCCTCTGGGAGCTCTGTCCCAGGGAGGTATGGACTTGTTGCTGGTCCAAATGCAACTGTAGGAGGTGGCTGGAGATCCTGGCTGGGACTCTCACCCTAGTCAGGAGGAATGGGATTGGGAACCTGCTTAAAGAAGCAGTCTGGCCATGCCTTTGTAGAGCAGCTGTGCTGTGCTAGGGTACCACTTCTGAACAGGCTGGAACATCTAAGTCTCCCAAACAGCCTGCCCATACCCCCAGGAACTTTGTCCTAGGGAGAATTCATACCACTGTAGGCCAGAGAACATTGGCAGGGATGGCTGGAGGCCCCAGTTGGAAGGTCCTGCCGAGTGAGGAGGAACAGATTGGGGACTTGCTTAAAGAAGTAGTCTGGCCACATTTTGGTAAAGCAGCTGTGCTGTGCCGGGGGTCCCCTTCCATCCCTGGTTGTTTTGGACTCTCCAAAGCCTCCAGGATGGAACGGCTGAGTTGCCCAAACAGGAAAAATGGAGGCCCATCCCTTCCCCCAGGAAATCCATCTCAGGTGGTTGTGACACTGTTGCGGGTGGCTGGCTGGAATTCCAAGTGGTGACTCTTATCCTGTGAGGCACTGTGGAAGTGGGGCCTCCAGAATGTCACTGCTTGGCCCCCTGGATTCAGCCTCTTTCCTAAAGGTATGCACAGAGGACTAACCTCCCACTTTGCTGGGTTACTTTTCCTGGGTACTTTTGCCAGGAAGCCCAGACTGGAGTATGTAAAGCTCCTGGGCCTCTGTGCATGCCTGAGAGGCTGATCTGCCGAGACTCCCTGTAGTTCTGTTTGTCAGACTGATGGCCCTGGTGGAGTGGGTTCATGAGGGATCTCCTGAGCTGAGGGTTGCAAAGATTTGTCGGAGAAACATGATTTCCTGGGGTTGCACATTTACTCACCACTTCCGTGGGAGGAGGAAGTTCCCTTGGCTCCATGTTGCTCCTGGGTGGGCCATCATTTTGCCTTGCTTTTCTCTGTTCTCTGTGGGTTGAATTGCTTCTTTGATTAGTCCCAATGTGAGTACCTGGATGTTTCAGTCGAAGGTGCTGTGTTTACTTGCCCCTTTCATTCCTCTCTGTGAGAGCCACGAACCCTAGCTGCTTCTAGTCGGCCATCTTGATCACTCACCCTCTTTTTTTTTTTTTTTTTTTAAGAGATGGGGGTTCTCACTATGTTGTCCAGGCTGAACTCAAATTCCTGGGTTCAAGTAATCCTCTGCCTAAGCCTCCCAAGTAGCTGGGACTGTAGGCATATACCATCTTGCCCAGCTTTAGTTCTGGTATATGACTTCTAAGGGCCTTTGAACACTAAGGTGTACTGTTAATAACCAAGGGGTTATGTGGTATGCTAAGTTTCTGGGACTTTCTGGACCACAGAACAGTTCTTTTTATAGAGCATGGTTTTCACAGATTCTACAGAACTCAGGATGGAAGACACTGTGAGGATTTTTCCCACTCCCAGAATGTCAACCATCAACTGCATTGTGGATTTGTTTTTCTACCTTGACCTCTCTTCATAATATTGCTCCAATAACTTTTTCTTCTACTGCTCTCCTCTTACTTCCTTACTGTTAAGTAAAAATTGATTATTTTCTACTCACTAACTCCATGCCAGTCAAGCACTTACCCTATTACTCACGTGTTATGGGAAATGCCACTTTCTCCACAGTGTTTTCTGATCATTCCAGATGGAAGTGCTTTTTCCTTTTTCTAAAAGTAGTAGGGACCCATAGAAGTGACAGAGTCAACATCTTGCACAATATTATTATATTTTCATATTTTCCCTATTTATCTCTCTGTTCATCTCTGAGATTGGTAACTTCCTGAGGGCTGCATCTATGCACTTTGTACCAGCAAGAAATACTCTGAACTGCAAATAACAGGGAATCTAACAGAAATGGACTTAAACAATGAGGAAATTCCTTTTATCGCATAATAAGAAGCTCAGAGGGAAGGTGGCACCAGGGTTGATCAATACAGTGCTCAATGTTGCTATCAAGACTCTGATGTGCTTTCCCAGTCCTCATACTCACTAACCTTGTGTCCCAGGTGTCACATCTGGCCACAACAAGGATAAAGGGAAGGAGGGAGCAGCTGTTCCTATAGGTGCCTTTTAGGATTGCACATTTTCCCAAGAAGCACCTCTCCCCTCTCACATCTCACTGGACAGAACAACATCACATGCTTTCCTGAAGCCAGTCACCAGCAAGGGAATAGAATTTTCCATTGGACTGACTTAGACATATCCGCCGAGTTGGGATTTGGGTCATCATCAGTGAGGAAGACAGACATGAACAAAATAAATGTTCCATTAGCAAGGTTGGGAATAGCATATGTTACACCTTAATATTCCTCTGTTTAGCCCCCACAGAGTACACTGTACATTCTATAGACTTGCTAAGTGAGTAAACAAACGGTTGTGCCAAATGCATTTAGTCAAGATTTTATAACTTGTCATCTGTCGACTACCTTTCCTGACTTTCTATGGGGAAGATTAAAAATTTACCTTACAGTGGAAATATTCACAGGTGAACATTTATAGTTGTTAATTGTATATTCTAAATACTAAAGCCTTTTCTCCCTGTATTCTTTACACCAGTAATATCAGGAACTAGGGATATAATAGAGTCATTTTGAATAAAGGTCTCCAAGGGAATTCACAATGATAAAATAAAAATAACATAAAATAGATTCTAAATTAAGATTTTCATTGTTTTCCTCAACAAAATTTTAATGTTGAGAAGCTTCTTTTCTATTTGCTTATGTCCAAGATAGCAACCATATTTCACTGTAAGTGATTTGATGCCAATAGTTGAATCAGTCTGTATTTTAACTTAGTATTTCCTCCAGACATTCTTTGAACATGTGTCAACAGGAAAGAACATGTTTCAAAATCCACTTCTGCCCATTTCTCTCTTAATAAACAAAATGAAGTTTCAATATCTGTCTTTTAGTTCCCTCCATGCTTTCTGAAATTTGCCAAAAAACACAGAATTACCAGAACTGGTCAAATCGATTCAAGATCAAATTTGGAAGCAGGTGATGAATCCTGCCATCTCCACTCTCAGTGTTTCTGTTTCTCTGAACAGTCCTCTTCTGCAAGGGTTTAATTGTCAGCAAATATCCACCAACATCTCACTGCTCAAGAATAATTTAAAGTGTTGTCACTTTTCAGTGTATTCTCATTTTATTTAGTGTTTCTTAAATATTAAAAAAAATTGAAGATTCAGAGGAAGGATTTCCACTGATGAGATGCCCAGAGTGATGACAGGGATGGAGATAGTTTGGATTGAGAATATTCCTTGTTCCTGTTAAATCACACCACATGGGCATCACCTGCTTTGAGTATGTAACAATCTGGCACTAGGCATGATGTTTTGTTTTTGCATGTTGTTGGGTCACAGATGAGCCAGAAGCCTTTGTGTGGTTGTTGCCCGGGGATATTTAAAACTGTCACACTGGAAGGACTAAGCAAATGCATTTTCTGCCCAATGTGTATGTATGTTATGCGGAAGATGACTAGAGAAATATTTTAAAGTTTGGATTTCAGTCAGAAAGTACTATTTTCACTAACATCAGTTTTAAACACCTCTCTGAAGAAGCAAAGAACCTAAAGAGTGAGGCCCCCAGGCAGAGGATGGAGCATCCAGTCTACAGATTGCATTCACATGCACATATACACATGCACACATGAGCGCACACAGGTATACAAGCCATTTCCAATGTAATAAATAGTAAGACTAATGGAAGTCGGGCAGTAGCATAGCATGATGTTAGGGAAGAAGGTCTAGTCCCAGAGTGGCACTTCCCCTATGTTCCTAACTTGCTTTAAGAACAAAGTCTTCTGGAGTCAGAGTCAGAAAAATGTCCTCGTGACTCACTCAATAGGACCCAAGGACCCAAGCCAGCAGGTTACAGTACTGGCTGATATTATGCAAAAAACAAAAACAAAAACAACCCAAATCAAAGCCAAGAATGCTTGTTGTGGAATCCAAACCGAAGTGCTCAAAGTGTTCTATAAGACAAGGAAGTTTTCAATAACTCATAATTCAGGGAGGAAGGAAAACTCTTCTAGCAGACAAGTCACGTTCCATCCCAGACATCTAGAACACTTCCATTGTTTATTCTTAAGGCTTTTATTCCCAGATGTTGTTTTGTGAATGTGTCAGAAGAGATCCAGGGAAGGGAGACTGCTGATGAGGCAGATTATGTGCATCCAAATGACCAATACACTTGCAGAAAAGGGTCAGAAAACTGATGGGAAATCTCTGGGTCAAAAACTAGCAGATGGTAAACCTATCTTCCATTTTAGAAATAACTTTTTGGGGGAAATCCCTTCATTTTCAAATTTTAAAGTAGTAATAACAATCACTGGCAACAATTGGCACCCTGAACTATATTTTCAACTTACTAAATAAAGATTACTCTTCTGATGGGAAAACAAGGAATAAAAGAAGCAGGCAGCCAGCATTTTGCCAAGTAAATCAGAGCAAAGCCAAGACTCCGTAGCAATTTAGCAATGAAGGCTCAATCCCTGCTGAAATTTATACTATAGAGAGAGAGTCAAGTAAGTCCCGGACATAAAACAAGATCAACAAGGAACATACATAGAAGGATTATCAGAATGTGGGCAATGCAAGTAAGAGACGAGAGATAATTCAGACAAATCTACAACAGGGATTATTCTTTTATTTATTTATTTTTTAAATTATACTTTGAGTTCTAGGGTACATGTGCACAACGTGCAAGTTTGTTACATATGTATACATGTGCCATGTTGGTGTGCTGCACCCATTAACTCATTATTTACATGAGGTATTTCTCTTAATGCTATCCCTCCCCCTTCCCCACATCCCATGACAGGTCCCGATGTGTGATGTGTATTGTTCCCTGCCCTGTGTCCATGTGTTCTCATTGTTCAATTCCCACCTATGAGTGAGAACATGCAGTGTTTGGTTTTCTGTCCTTGCAAGAGTTTGCTCAGAATGATGGTTTCCAGCTTCATCCATGTCCCTACAAAGGACATGAACTCATCCTTTTTTATGGCTGCATAGTATTCCATGGTGTATATGTACCACATTTTCTTAATCCAGTCTGTCATTAATGACATTTGGGTTGGTTCCAAGTTTTTGCTACTGTGAATGGTGTTGCAATAAACGTACGTGTGCATGTGAATTTATAGTAGCATGATTTATAATCCTTTGGGTATATACCCAGTAATGGGATGGCTGGGTCAAATGGTATTTCTAGTTCTAGATCCTTGGGGAATCGCCACACTGTCTTCTGCAATGGTTGAACTAGCTTACAGTCCCACCAACAGTGTAAAAGTGTTCCTGTTTCTTCACATCCTCTCTAGCACCTGTTGTTTCCTGACTTTCTAATGATCGCCATTCTAACTTGTGTGAGATGGTATCTCATTGTGGTTTTGATTTGCATTTCTCTGTTAATCAGTGATGATGAGCATTTTTCCATGTGTCTGTTGGCTGCATAAATGTCTTCTTTTGAGAAGTGTCTGTTCATATCCTTTGCCCACTTTTTGATGGGGTTGTTTGATTTTTTCTTGTAACTTTATTTGAGTTCTTTGTAGATTCTGGTTATTAGCCCTTTGTCAAGTAGGTAGATTGCAAAGATTTTCTCTCATTCTGTAGGTTGCCTGTTCACTCTGATGGTAGTTTCTTTTGCAGTGCAGAAGCTCTTTAGTTTAATTAGATCCCATTAATTAGATCTATTTTGGCTTTTGTTGCCACTGCTTTTGGTGTTTTAGTCATGAAGTCCTTGCCCATGCCTATGTCCTGAATGGTATTGCCTAGGTTTTCTTCTACAGGTTTTATGGCTGTAGGTGTAACATTTAAGTCTTTAATCCATCTTGAGTTAATTTTTGTATAAGGTATAAGGAAGGGATGCAGTTTAAGCTTTCTACATATGGCTAGACAGTTTTCCCAGCACCGTTTATTAAACAGGGAATCCTTTCCCCATTTCTTGTTTTTGTCATGTTCAGCAAAGATCAGATGGTTGTAGATGTGTAGTGTTATTTCTGAGGCCTCTGTTCTGTCCCATTAGTCTATATCTCCGTTTTGGTACCAGTACCATGCTATTTTGGTTACTGTAGCCTTGTAATATAGTTCGAAGCCAGGTATCATGATGCCTCCAGCTTTGTTCTTTTTGCTTAGGATTGTCTTGACAATACGGGCTCTTTTTTCATTCCATATGAATTTTAAAGTAGCTTTTTCCAATTCTGTGAAGAAAGTCATTGGTAGCTTGATGGGGATGGCATTGAATCTATAAATTACCTTGGGCAGTATGGCCATTGTCACAATATTGATTCTTCCTATCCATGAGCATGGAATGTTCTTCCATTTGTTTGTGTCCTCTTTTATTTCATTGAGCAGTGGTTTGTAATTCTCCTTGAAGAGGTCCTTCACATCCCTTGTAAGTTGGATTCCTAGATATTTTATTCTCTTTGAAGCAATTGTAAATGGGAGTTCACTCATGGTTTGGCTCTCTGTTTGTCTGTTATTGGTGTATAAGAATGCTTGTGATTTTTGCACATTGATTTTGTATCCTGAGACTTTGCTGACGTTGCCTATCAGCTTAAGGAGATTTTGGGCTGAGACAATGGGGTTTTCTAGATATACAATCATGTCATCCGCAAACGGGGACAATTTGACTTCCTCTTTTCCTAATTGAATACCCTTTATTTCTTTCTTCTACCTGATTGCCCTGGCCAGAACCTCTAACACTATATTGAATAGGAGTTGTGAGAGAGGGCATCCCTGTCTTGTGCCAGTTTTCAAAGGGAATTCTTCCAGTTTTTGTCCATTCAGTATGATATTGGCTGTAGGTTTGTCATAAATAGCTCTTATTATTTTGAGATATGTCCCATCAATACCTAGTTTATTGAGAGTTTTTAGCACGAAGGGCTGTTGAATTTTGTCAAATGCCTTTTCCGTGTCTATTGAGATAATCATGTGGTTTTTGTCTTTGGTTCTGTTTATGTGATGAATTACATTATTGACTTGCATATGTTGAACCAGACTTGCATCCCAGGGATGAAGCCAACTTGATTATGGTGGATAAGCTTTTTGATGTACTGCTGGAGTCGTCTTGCCGGTATTTTATTGAAGATTTTTGCTTCGATGTTCATCAGGGATATTGGTCTAAAATTCTCTTTTTTTGTTGTGTCTCTGCCAGGCTTTGGTATCAGGATGATGCTGGCCTCATAAAATGAGTTAGGGAGGATTCCCTTTTTTTCTATTGATTGGAATAGTTTCAGAAAGAATGGTACCAGCTCCTCCTTGTACCTCTGGTAGAATTTGGCTGTGAATCCATCTGGTCCTGGACTTTTTTTTGTTGGTAGGCTATTAATTATTGCCTCAATTTCAGAGCCTGTTATTGGTCTATTCAGGGATTCAACTTCTTCTTGGTTTAGTCTTGTGAGGGTGTATGTGTCCAGGAATTTATCCATTTCTTCTAGATTTTCTAGTTTATTTGTGTAGATGTGTTTATAGTATTCTCTGATGGTAGTTTGTATTTCTGTGGGATCGGTGGTGATAACCCCTTTATCATTTTTTATTGCATCTATTTGATTCTTCTCTCTTTTCTTTTTTGTTAGTCTTGCTAGTGGCCTATTTTGCTAATTTTTTCAAAAAACCACCTCCTGGATTCATTGATGTTTTGAAGGATGTTTTGTGTTTCTATCTCCTTCAGTTCTGCTCTGATCTTAGTTATTTCTTGCCTTCTGTTAGCTTTTGAATGTGTTTGCTCTTGCTTCTCTAGTTCTTTTAATTGTAATGTTAGGGTGTTGATTTTAGATCTTGCCTTCTTTCTCTTGTGGGCATTTAGTGCTATAAATTTCCCTCTACACACTGATTTAAATGTGTCCCAGAGATTCTGATATGTTGTGTCTTTGTTCTCATTGGTTTGAAAGAACATCTTTATTTCTGCCTTCATTTCATTATTTACCCAGTAGTCATTCAGGAGCAGGTTGTTCAGTTTCCATGTAGTTTGGTTTTGAGTGAGTTTCTTAATCCTGAGTTCTAGTTTGATTGCACTGTGGTCTGAGAGACAGTTTGTTGTGATTTCTGTTCTTTAACATTTGCTGAGGAGTTCTTTACTTCCAACTATGTGGTCAATTTTGGAATAAGTGGGATGTGGTGCTCAGAAGAATGTATATTCTGTTGATTTGGGGTGGAGAGTTCTGTAGATGTCTATGAGGTCTGCTTGGTGCAGAGCTGAGTTCAAGTCAACAGGGATTATTCTTGTATTAGTTCTTTTTCATGCTGCTGATAAAGACATACACAAGACTGGGTAATTTGCAAAGAAAAAGAGGTTTAATGTACTCACAGATCCACGTGGCGAGGGAGGCCTCACAATCATGGCGGAAGGTGAAAGGCTGTCTTACACGGTGGCAGCTAAGAGAGAATGAGAGCCAAGGGAAAGACAAAACCCCTTATAAAAACATCAGACATTGTGAGACTTATTCTCTACCACGAGAAGAGGATGGGAGAAACTGCCCCCATGATTCAATTATCTTCCACTGAATCCCTCCCACAACACGTGGGAATTATGGGAGGTACAATTCAAGATGAGATTTGGATGTGGACACAGCCAACCCATACCAATTCTGTTTTCTCGAATTCGCTAGTGAATACAAAGTATATATCTGAACCTGCACCATTATACTATTTTGGAGTATGTATATATACACATATGGGTATGTTTATATATGTGTTTTTCAAGGTAATTGTTTAGTAAACTTGATATAAATGGATTAAATTATTATTAACAGGTCCTTTTACTGTTTAGCATCTTGATTTAAAGAAATAGCTCATGTAGGATGACTCTCCAGGCAGAACAAAACCCACCTGAGTATGGAAGCAAATTATAGCACTTCTTTTCCTAAGCATGGAAGTCCATTACAACACTTCTTTCAGGATGTTGTTTTAACAAAGCACATAAACATGTCTGGATGGATCACAAGTGTTAGAACCACTGTGATTCCTCTTTCAATCAGATCCTGTCAGAATTATTATTATTTTTGTTTGAGACAAGGTCTTGTTGTGTTGCCTGGAGTACAGTGGTGAGATCTCAGCTCACTGCAACTTCCATTTTCAGGGCTCAAGCAGTCCTCCCACATCAGCCTTCTGAGCAGCTGAGACTACAGGGATGTACCATCATGCCCCGTTAATTTTTGTATTTCTGGTAGAGACAGAGTTTTGCCATATTGCCCAGTCTGGTCTCAAACTCCTGGGCTCAAGTGATCCTTCTGCCTCAGTCTCCCAAAGTGCTGGGATTATAGGCATGTGCCACCATGCCCGGCCCCTGTCGGAAAACTGAATCTCACTCAGGTGGTTCAGATAAGAGATTTAATAAGGGGACAACTCACAGACGGTCAGGCAGGGCTGAGGGACTTGAGGCACCCAGTGACATGCAAAGGCAGGAAGCTGCTCCGGATAGCCCAGCAAGAGCTGAGCTGTGGAGGAGGGGCTGCTCAGCAGGATCTGTAAGCACTGAGGGGTACAGGCCCTGCTAGAAACGAAGGCCAGAGCATAGGGAAGAGATACCATGGCCCCGGTCTCCTCCTCTGATCCTCTGTGGGTGTCTCCTAAAGGCCAAACCCAGCCAGATGCCAAGGGTAGGGGTACCTGGGTGATATAGTCCATAGAGGGCATAAGGCAGGGCAAGAAAGAGTGGAGATTGGATTTGCGGTGGGTAGGGACAAATGGAGAAAACCCACATGATACTTTAGAAATTTGTTATTTGTGCTCAGATAGAAAAGTCCAAATCCCTTCTCTGGCCATAGGCAGGGCCTAGATGGGCAATGTGGGTGGTAGGTATGTGACTGTATGGAGCGGCCCTCATCTGGTAGAGGTGATGGTTAGCTTGTTAAATGTGATTGGCTGTTCTCGCCTGAAAAGATGGGCCTCTCCATGGAAGCCTAGATGCGCCAGTGCTTATGACAAACAATCCTGGTCAGCCTATGATCAAGCCAGGAGAGGGGCTGGTGCTTCTCCCACCACAAATGCTGCCTTGGGGTATTCTTCAGCTAGCTTACACATCCTGGAGCCGCAAGCCTCAGTTTCAGCCCCCACTGTGCCGGGAAAGAGCAGCCTCTCCTAAGCATGCATGCTGAGTGATGGTACAGGGCTGGAGTTAGGTACTGACACGTCATGTTAGTCTTGTGTCCCATTTCTGATCACACCAGGGAAGGAGCTGGAAAGCTGTACAGACCAAAGTCTAGTTCTGTTTGACTCCCTGTTCATTGCTCTACGTGGGTCACAGGGAAACTGATCCTGTCTCCCCTGGGAACTGCTTTGTCAGATCTTGTGTGTGTGGACTACTTTGCCATTTGCTCTTGTTTGCAAGATGCTGGGGCTGAAGCTCAGGATAGCATGGCTGGCAGCAGGGCTCCCACAGCTGACATGGACAGTTCTCCTATTCCCCAGACCTCTAGCCAGCACCTCCTTTAATCAACTGCATGCCAGCTCATGGGGCCAAGACGACTGCACACCACTCAGCTATGATGTTTTGCAAAGTGAGATGATCAGTGGGATGAATACTGAATGTTGTGACCCAGCATGTTTGGCATTAATCCCTCACCTGTGGCTCAGTGGGCAGACTTCACAATGGGCTGACAAATTAAAAAGGAAAAGCAAAATAGACGTGCCCATGAAAAACACAGTTACATAATTGCCCTTGAATAAATTAGTAATATTTATTTGTGGTGCACTGCAAGTTGCTCAATGATGTCCGTATTTATTTCTGACTGTTTTTCAAATGGCTCAATTTTGTCTTTCATCCCTCCATTGGAAATAAGGCTTTGACTTCCATTCATTTTGTTTGGGGGGAAGGTATTGTGGGGAAAATGTGGCTTTTCTATTGCACTGAAGCCCACTTTGTCAGGGATCCAAGTGGCTATAGCAACTAAGTCTCCTGTTGAATCTTCCTCTAGACTCAATCCCTGAAAATTAGTTGGAACAGATTAGAGAGGGCTCTGTGAAATGCGTCTTTTGGTTTCAGAGGGGCAGTGAGCTGGAAGGCTCATCCGTTCTTTGATCCTCCATGACTTCTCTGATCCTGCAAGTCCGTGTGACTCATCTCATACAAGGTTTTGTTGTTTTACTCCCTTGGAAACTGTTGGACTGTTATAAATAAAGCCCACTCCTAGCTGTCTTGAACTTCAGCCTCTCAACTGGATTCTGCAGACCTCAAAGCCCCTAGAATCCTGGACGAATGCTGAGGACTCTTTCCAAATATGTAAGGCCATGTCTGTAGAAACAAACCACTTTGTTTGGTGTTAAATTGATTTTTCAACGGGTTGATTCAAGCTTCATTCCCTCCCTTGCTCCCAAGTAAATTGAATCAAAGGGTTTGGTGGGTGGAAACACAGCTTGAACTTCTGTCACTTCCCAGGGACCATTGTGTATCCGCTTGGGTGCTCTAAGGAGACCAGGAATCACGGGGTCATGGGGAGCTGGGGCAGCAGGGATGTCTCTTGGAGGCCCTGCCAAAGGCCATGTTGTCATCAACATATTTTGAGTGCTCACTACTTACCAGGCATTGAAGTAAGTATTCTCGTATGTCTCTTTTTGCATCTTGGGAAATAGAAGTCCAGAGATTTAAACATTGTGCTCAGTTTGTACTGTTAGTAAGTTGTGTACTCAGGATTCCCACTCGGATGGTCTGCCTTCAGAGTGTATGCTCTATATTGTGAAGTCAATTTGCTGCTTCCACCTCCCTTTAATTCCTGATGGAGGAGGCAGGGGTCACAGGGAGTGGTGCACTTGGTACAAGAGAGGGTGGTAGAGAGGAAGGTGACTTGATAAACTCCCACCCACTAATGTGTTAGTGATGCAATGTTACAGTGACCTCTGGCATTTTAATTTTAAAAGTAGTTGAAGAGGCCAGGCATGGTGGCTCATGCCTGTAATCCCAGCATTTTGGGAGGCCAAGGTGGGCAGATTGCCTGAGGCCAGGAGTTCAAGACCAGCCTGGCCAACATGGTGAAATCCTGCCTCTACTAGAAATACAAAAAAATTAGCCAGTCGTGGTGGTGGGCGCCTGTAATTCCAGCAACTCGGGAGGCTGAGGCAGGAGAATCGCTTGAACCCAGGAGGTGGAGGTTGCAATGAGCCAAGACTGCGTCACTGCCTTCCAGCCTGGGTGACATAGCGAGAGTCTGTCTCAAAAAAAAATTGGTTGAAGAGAGAGAGCCCTCCTTAAACACCACTCCTTGAGACCTTGGGCAGGTGGGAGGAAGCCGAAGGAAGGGGATGAGGACTATCCCATTCACTTTCCCATGGAGGGGTGGGCTCTATGAGGCTGGTCTTTGAAGTTGGCTTATATTTTTTCTAGACACTATGTCATTCATTGAGCATCTACTATGTGTAAGACCTAAGCCAGGCATTGTGAAAACCACACAATGATCATAAAACGATTCTTGCTCATTGCGAACTAGAGGGCCCCTGCATGTAGAAGACTGTGCAAGAAGTCCAGAAATGCAAAATTTGGGTTGGGCAAGGGATTAATTTGGGCCTGGAGGAAGTTGGTGAGGACATCAAAGAGACACTGGCATGCCAGCCTTGCCCCTTGAAGGGTGAGGTGTTCTGATGGGTGGAGAAGATTAAGCAGGTGGATGAAGGGGAGCAGGCCCAGGCCCAGGCCACATTTATCATAATTATAGATGACAGTGAATGGAATATTTGTGTTTCTCCCAAATCTATATGTTGAAATCATAATCCCCAAAATGATCGTATTACAAGATGGGGTCTTTGGCAGGTAATTAGGGCATGAAGTTGGAACCCTTATGAATGGAATTAGTGCCCTTATAAAAGGGGCCCCAGAGACCTCTCTTGCTCCCTTTCTACCATGTGAGGATACAAGGATAAGTTGGCAATCTGTAGCCTGGAAGAGGTTTCTTACCAGACCCTGACCATGTTGACACCCTTATCTCACACTTCGAGCCTCTGAAACGGAAACATAAGTTTCTGTTGTTCATAAGCCACCCAGTTTGTGGTATTTTAGTATAGCAGTCCAAACTGACCAAGGAATGGATACATTTGCCTACATTCTGGTCCATTTTCTTTCTTATGAAAAGAAATCCTTAGCAAGTTATTAGACTGTAAATACTAATGTTAATATAATACAGTATACTACTGTAGAGAGATTTTAAAAGAACAAAAAAGTTTAAAAAATATTTACTTGAAAATAAATTATAAAATTCTAAGCCATCAAATATTTAAAAACTCTGTTTTTTTTTTGGCAGTTGAATAAACAATTCTCCCTGAACCACTTCTTAAATTAGATGTTTTCTAGCTCTAAGCTCAGAGTTCTGGTGTATTTAGGGCTTGGGGAGTTTTCTGGGGCCACATTTATTGGTCCTGCTTCTCCTTTCTACCTCTTCTTTTCAGGTATTGAAGGTTTCTGATCAGCTGCATGTTATAATTGTCCTAGCAGTGGGACTGTATGTGGAAGGAAGCATTATTCTGTGTTTTGAAGTCTTGAA
Organism: Homo sapiens; assembly: GCF_000001405.40. Lineage (NCBI taxonomy): Eukaryota > Metazoa > Chordata > Mammalia > Primates > Hominidae > Homo > Homo sapiens. The sequence continues at coordinate 54,994,281 of NC_000005.10, read as the reverse complement.
CTCTCCTAATTGAATGTGAAGTGCTCTGGTATATATCCTATCCCTCAAAGGGGAAAGGCGCTCTCCTTCAGCAGGCTTGTGTGGCTTTCACATTGCAAGTGAACGGTTTTGAAGGCTCTCCATGGGTAGGATTATTTGATCAAGTGAATCCCTCAAAGTTCTGTTATTGTTGTTGTTGTTGCTGCTGTTGTTTCTATGGGTGTGTGTTTGTGTGTGTTTGTGTATGTATATGTATGTATTTCAAGCAATTAGGAAGAGGTTACCATAGGAAGCATGCCACACATGTTGCCCCCTCTTCCAAATAGCATTACTCAGTGATTTTTTTCCCTCAGGCCCCTTCAAAGTGTCCTTCAATATTCCCTGGTAAGATCAGATGCCCTGCATTTTCTTGTTTTTAGCATAGGTTCTTGTCCAAATATGGGATACTTGAAAATTTATGGCCTCATTTAAAGTTTTGTTATTTTAAATTAGTAAAATGAAGACATTAATGCTTAAAAAAATAGCCTGGGTCATCAAATTATCCATTTGTAATAACTCTGATCTCTCATAGACCAGCTTTCTAGACTAGGCCACATGAAGGTTGAAAATTTTATTTGCTGTCTGGAGAACACTCTGAATAGAGAAAGCTCAAAGCACCTTGGATTCCTTTCATTCTTCGGGTCATTGTTTGGTGTTTTATTCAATGAGTACTTCCTAAATATGTTTACAGAGGAAGACAGGCTCAGCATGTTATCTGTAAGTGGCAGTGTACGCTCAGACTCATGATATGCTGTTAGAAATGTTAGCTGAAGGGAGTATGTGTTTGTGCAATTTGAAACTGAGAGTAGAATATTAAACTTGGGTTTTTACAGCACATATATCTTACCACAAAATACCTCTAGTCAGATCAAGTTAGGATGATGTTTGTTAGGCAGCTTGTAAGAGTAAGGTCTTAGATTTCATCATGTAAAGTCCTAGTAGGAGATTAAAGATTGATAAAACAGAATACATTCTACTACTAGGTAAATTGATGACGGGTCAACAAAAATAAAAACAGATCTATCTATTTAGGCAACTATCATATTTCATTGCATCTAAGATGGCATCAGTGTGATATGTACCATTATTTTAAGTGTATCATTAAAGAAAAAAATTCTTCCAATTAATCTCTGATATAATGCTTTTGTAGCACTAGAATTTTTTTATTTTAATTTTTTATTTCCATGGATTTTTGGGGAACAAGTGGTGTTTGGTTACATGAGTAAGTTCTTTAGCAGTGATTTGTGAGATTTTGGTGCAGCCATCACCAGAGCAGTATACATTGTACCCAATTTGTAGCTTTTTATCCCTCACCCCCTTCCCACCCTTTCCCCTGAGTCCCCAAAGTCCATTGTATCATTCTTACGCCTTTGCATCCTCATAGCTTAGCTCTCACTTATAAGTGAGAACCTATGATATTTGGTTTTCCATTTCTGAATTACTTCACTTAGAATAATAGTCTTCAATCCCATGCAGGTTGCTGCGAATACTGTTAATTCATTCCTTTTTATGGCTGAGTAGTATTCCATTGTCTGTCTGTCTATCTATCTATCTATCTATCTATCTATCTATATCTATCTATCTATCTACCTATCTATCATTTCTATCTATCTATCTATCTATCTATCATCTATCTATCTATCTATCTATCTATCTATCTATCTATCTATCTATCATCTATCTATCTATCATCTATCTATCATCTATCATCTATCTATCTATCTATCTATCTATCATCTATCTGTCTATCATCTATCTATCTATCTATCTATCTATCTATCTATCTATCTATCTACCATAGCTTCTTTATCCACTCATTGATTGATGGGCATTTGGGCTGATTCCATATTTTTGCAATTGCAAAATGTGCAGCTGTAAACATGTGTGTAGCACTAGAATTTTTACTCATACTTATTGAAAGGACCCTTTTAGGGCTTATATGGACATAGATTTTTATAATTTAGAACTTTTGTACCTTCAAAAGAAAGAAAAATATAAACTCAACAAATTGGTTAAAATATTCCTAAAATGTCTCCACATTCGTATCTGATCCTCCTAAATCACATGTAAATGCCATCCATGTTTATTTCACATAGTATTGTCTTCTGGGTCATCAAAATCATTGATGATACAACATTTTTTAAAAGAGAACTCCACGATTGTCTTTAAGATTCTCTTCCCAGAGACTGGCACCCATCCTGCAAATTTTAATGTGCACATGTAGTCAGTGACAATTACATCATGATGATTACATCTCATCTTCATTGATGTTAACATGTGAAGATGTGTATTAGTGAAATAAGCTAAAAATTCATGAGCGTAATATAAATAAAAATCCTAGGTCAATCCCTCAGAGACAGACTTTTTCTGTCAGAAGTCTTCAGAGTAACGTTAAGTACTAATTCACTAACCTGAAGAGATGTGACTGGGAAAAACTGTTAGTTTAGAGGTTCCTCAAATTTTTGGGTTTGTCAGAATCAACTGGCTTATTTGTTAAGAATGTTAACTCCCAGACCTACCCCAACCCATCAGATTGGAATCCCTGGCTGTGGCATTTCTGACAAACTTCCCAGGACACTCTCATGCAGGTGGTGTGGAGAATTGTTTTGAGACACACTTGCTGAGACCCGTCACAGGCACCCTCAGCTGTGCTGCACTAAGCTCTCAGATCACAGGCTTGGAGACTTCATGAAGTCCGTGGCAGCCAAAAAAAAAAAAAAAAAAAGGCTTCATCAGGAACTGCCTAGGAAGAAAGAAGCCAAAATATTTTGACGCCAAATTAGAGTGAGTCTGAAACTGCCAAATCCTGAAAATGTCCTAAATAAGGGGCTTGGAAGTTATGTTTCTTATTTCTCTTCATCTAGTGGTTAACTTTTTTTTGAACATTCAATCATTTATTCAACTCACATGTCATATAAACGGCTAAGGCCATTTATCACTGGACAAACTGATGAGTTTGGTGAGGGTGGTCCTGATTAACATTTTATTACATTATAAAAGGGGTCAGTTTAAGGTTAGGCAAAGGAAATTTCATGTCATTAGAGAAGCAAAGTAGCAGAATCATTTCCTATGATTCTTGTGTTAATCAGAAATTCTATCTTTCTAAAATTCCTAGTGGAAATTCCAAATATCTTAGCAATAACTTCTAATATGACTTTAAAAATCTATGTTCTCTAGTTCTAGTGTCTAAATGACTTCCAATGCCTACAGTAATTCTTTAGTCATGTAGGAAACTGGTGACACTTTTAAAAACTCTTTTAGCAGAGAAGTTTAGTGAGCTGTTTAGTCATCCCATGCTTGGATGGGGCGAGGCAGGCTGCTAGGAGGGGTGGTGGAGTTTTCCTAAGGAAGAATGTTGAAACTCAGTCATCATGGTTTGCTGTGAATTAAGTGAATGAGAAACTAGACCATCTTGCAGAATGTGAGAGGAATGGAGGAATGCGTGAGACCTGAGAGAGCCACTGGTTTATTTTCTCTCATGGTTTAATTTGTCTTATAGAGTAAGTAATAATGTTTTACACCTGTACAGTAATTTAGTTGGCATCATGTTTTTAATCCACATTCTCCTTTGATCTCAACATCTCTTTGAGAAAGGGAAGGCATTTCTCTCCCTTATATTTTATTAAAAGAAAATGACTTAATGTTAATGAGGAGGCTGGTTGGTGCCTTACCCATAGCTGATTATGAAACTGGGATGCCAACCTACGTCTTCTGGTCCTGAGTTCAGAGCTACTTTTGCTACTCACATTGCTTCTCATGTCAGGGTGGCACATGGTGCTTCTGGATGTGGGTTCATATTTGCAGCTAGAGGGATGCTGTGTGAAACAGGAATCTCTTGCTGATGGAGTCCGAGATTCAGAACCTGATTTGAGAAGGAGCTAGCTGTTAGAAAGAAAAGCTTGCCTTGATGCCCCACATTAGAAACTGCCAGAACTGGGGGCAAAGAGGAGAAGAAGGCACCTCAGTGAGTAAGAGCTCTTCATGTTTCCAAGCCAGACTTCCTGGCTCTAAAAAAGTTCCTAGCAGCGTGAACCCAAAGTTGAAGTTTCTAGATTTGAACAGGGTTAAAAAACAACCTGACTCTGTGGCTGCTTCCTCAGAGGCTCCATTGGAGTAAAAATCTGGATATAGTGCCAAGTTCTCTGAGAGGTGCCCAGACATTCTGGGTTTGTAGCAGACACTGCGGGTGTCCTGTCCTTATCTTCTTGCAGTCACTCACACACCCTCACACTCAGGGCTCCTGCAGAGCTCTGTGTGATGGCACCCCAGCTGCCTACGAGGTTGACCTGCTCATCAAGACAAATCAGAGAGCCCCCATATGGGCAAGAAGCCTAATTAAAGCAGATGCATTTCACTTTGCTCTTCTAAGCAGGTGTAGTTTTTGAAAATTGCCTGTAAATCATATATTGGTACATTCAATTCCACTTTGCTATTAAAATTGTCTTTATTAAAAATAGAAACTTAAAGAATTAGAGAGATTTCTTTTGGGAAAATATTTGCTCCAAGACATAAGATCACATTTAAAGAATGAAGCCAATCTTCAGAAATCAGACGCTTGATAATAATAGTCACGATGGTTTCATATCTGTTGCCCTGTTTGGCCCTCTTATTATTGAGGTACTGAGGAGAAAGGAGAGGTCTAAGGTATGTGGCATGTGACTTGCCTAAGATCACATATCTTGGCAGTGGTAAAGCTGTTTCTAGGCAAACTGTACTCAGGGCAGGAGGCTCTGGGAAGATTCCTCAGGCCCTGGGCTTTGACAGCTGACCTGTGACTGCCGTGAATCCCAGCCAGTTTGGCAGAAGTATTTCACCAAGTTCTATTGGCTATGAGGGGCTCCCATGAACTTTCCAGGGTGGATGTGATATTGCCAAGCCCAAGGTCAACAGGACAAATTTGGTTAGCTGTGAAGGAACTGCCGCAATGGGACTACAGTCTTTGCTCAGGCTCCATCCAATCCTCGATGTCTCTTGGATTGGATGTGCTGTTTCTTGACACCTCTACCTCATTCCCACAAGTAAACACATTCTGCAGCTTAACCTAGCCTGCCCTAGAATCTGGGCCTCACTTTGCTTCTCCTGGTGGAAAGAGAAAGAAAGGGAACACATTGATGCCCGTTTAACTTACTATCATCTGAAGATGATTCTGGGAAACAGTTGGTTCCTTTTATGTGTTTATTAAGTATTAAGCTCCTGCTGTGGGCTAGACCTTGCAGTAGGCACATGCAAAATTGCTATCAGCTAGTGTCAAAGCAGGAAGACTTTCAGATGGTATCAAAAACCACAACCAAAACTAACCTAAAAACCAAATCACCTAAAATCTGCATGTAAATGTCTCCACTTGCTCCTCCAAACTTTATGCCCTCAAGTCTGCCTTTGTAATTCAATTTAAACCAGACTTCTCTGGTAGAGCTGGTTTGTTAGGAAGGCACAGTAAGTACGGTATAATTCGCTTTACCATAAACCACCTTCTGAGAGTCTGGGATCTGCCCAGAGCCTTTCCACTGGACTACTTTTACCTATCCAGAAAAAAATCCTTGTTATTTGGTTAGAAGCAATCATAATGTACAAAATAAACACAAAATATTAATGCACATTACCAAAGCTTATTTTCCTAACACAATACCAGCTTTAAGAAAAAAATCAAAGTGGCATTTTAAGTATACAGGGTATACTGGGTTAAATAGATATTTGGTTTTATCATTTCTCTGCCCCCATTGCAAAACACCATATGCTGCAACATTTGGATCCACAGATGGTATGGTTTGACCCACCTTAGTTTGAACTTACATTTTAGGAGTTGTGAAAATCTTGTGCAATTCCTCTTGCCCTTTCTCACTCTGACTTGACAACTGATATACAGGCAGAGCAAGATGAGAGATGTTCCAGTCCCCAGCACAAAGCAAGTGAAATGGGTGGACCTCATGCACTCACTATCAACAGCTCTGCCATCATCTTATTGCTTTTTAATGCAGCTTAGAGTTGGCTCCTTGGTTGCTCGTGCTCCCATTTCCTAACCCTTTGTGGTCATTGCTAACTTTCCTAATGGAATTCATTGATCTGGGCTCAAGGCTCTGGGGAAGACAGAAATCACTAGATAAAAATCTTACAGGGATTGTGTTGGGACAAATGGTTTTTGTTGGGTCTTGGAGGGATTGAAGGTTCCCCTAAAATGAGTTGTTAGGCACTGTGTATTGAGATAGTTCCACCACTGGTGAACTCTATTGGGCATATTTTCTGCACTTACCTGTGCATTGTAGTTTGGTTTACTATTTGGATTTGGTACTCTCAACTTACATTTGTTTAGTTGTCATTTACTGAAGGTATTATCAATTTGGTTTCCCTTTATCTTCCATAGTGGAAGAGTTTCATGTCTTTATGTGCTATTCAGGAGGACGAAATCCACTCCATTCCTTCTGTATTACATCTAGTATAGCTTACCATGTCACCCACCTTGGGCACCTGTTTGGCACCTGTATGTATTTGATTTTACAATCCTTAATCCAGTCTCCAGAGCTTGTTGGTCTCAGGGCTGGAGTCCTGGCTTCACCATTTGCTAACTGTGTGATGATGGACAAGTTACTTACCCTCTCTAGGCCTCAGTTTTCTCATATCTAAGATGGGGATAAGAATAGCACCTAGCTCTTGAGGTTGTTTTGAAAGTTAAATGTGGTAATCTACATAAACTGCTTAGCATGGCATCTGGCACACAGTCAGATCTCTGTAAAGGTTAGATATTATTATTAACCACTATTCCAGTTAACTACTCCTCAGAAAGTGGTGTTCAGTAACAAGGGACATTTTCTAGGGTCAGCCTAAATTGCGACCTAGGCCATTGGAACTATTGGCCATGAAAGCACAATTATGTATTGTAATAGGCAATAGAATATGTGGCTCTGACATTAGACTAACATCCATCCCTTCAATATAGGGACCTTAGGCAAATTAACCTCTTTCTTACTCAGTTTCTTCTTTTAAAAAATAAGCATGATAATAGCAGCCACTTCATAATATTGTGATGAGGTGCAAATGAGTTAATGCATGTAAAGTGTTTAAGCTATTAACTCAACAAATATTACCCATTACTGAAAACATCAGAGTGTGCCACCTGCTAAGTAAGTGCTTCTGGGGAGATAGAGTATTTCAAATTGGATTGTCATGAAAAATTTGGAAAATTTGAAAGCTAAAACTCTTGCTTTCATTTCCTACTGCCTCAATTCTCTGTATTCTGAATTTACTCCCTGTGTCCCCCTAAAATTGCATTTGCAAAAGCCGATCTTCAAGTTACATCCAATGCCCGCTCTGCCTCATCTTCTATGGGAAACAAGAATTTTAGAGGTCAGGTAGCCTAACACCATCAATTCTCAAAAGAGGAAGCTGAGGCCAAGAGAAGTCCTGTGAATTTCTTACAGCTCATTTGTGACAGACCAAGAATTACCCACTTTACTGGGTTGTTATTTACTAAGTGACAGTGAGTCTATATCTCTTTTGACAAGTGAGGTGGGGGCATGGAATTCGGCATGTGGTTGGTGTAAGAACTCCCCTCTCTCCTCTTTAACCTTACTTAATAAGACCCTGGCACAGTTGATATTTTAAGAGGGCTACTCTGTTTTCCCAGAGGGACCTAGGCACGGTAACCCTCTTAGCATGCAGACCTTGTTTCCTGAGGGGTAATGTTTCCCTTCCCTGTGACTTGTTTCTTGGGGGCTGTGTTCTGATTTTCCTGCTGAGCCACTTGTTGCCTTGGGCTGGCTGCCGCGCTTGGCAGTTTTTAGTGAGGGCTCTGATAGATGCCAGGAGGTGAGGGGAAGGGCTCTGGGTGGACTCCGTCATTGGACAAGCAGACTTAGTGATGGATGAGCCTTCCCCTGAGGAAGTTTTGGATCAGAAGTCCAACTGATAAGTTTTTCCAGAATTGAGTAACCCAGAAGCAGTGCCGAAAGGATCTTACCTCTCTTGTGGCTTTTTGTATTGATTTTAAAAGAAATTCTCAGAGGCAGTTCCACATTGTACTGGAAGCACAGCTATATCCACAATAGGCTTAGATATATGTAACATGAATTGCTTTAGAAATAACATTTGAGGAGAGGGGTGAGAGGAAGGAAGAGAGGGTCTTAAAAAATAGCCCTATCAAAATATTTTCTTTCTTCTAAGTATTGAAAAGACACAATATAACCCTTTCTTCTTTCAAATGATCTCATAGCTATTTGTTGAGGGGAAATACCAAATGTTTATTATTTTTTTTGAAGAAGCTTCTTCGGTCCTGATGATTCATGTTGATATCATTTTCCTCCTGACTACAGAGGCTCTGAGACAAAGCTACACCTCAAGTGATATGCCAGGGTCAGAACAATTCCCGTCCTGAAGGAGGGTGTGCAACCTTCTTTATCCCTCCTTCACAGACGTCCTTGAGCCCTTGAGACGGATGTGAGTGAGTTTTTCAGTCCTCATGCAAAACAACCATCTAAACATAACAGATGACATCAGCTTGGGCTTTTCAATTCCTGGATGGCAGCAGCGTGTTAATCCAGCCTTCATCCTGGATTTCATAAACCAAAACAAGAGAGCCTGGCAGGAGGACAGCGCTGCTGCTGGGTTGAGGAAATTGATGACGGGAAAGCATGCGGGCAACCCAGTGTATAAAACTCATAAACGTGTAGGCAGAGGCTCAGCTACCAGTTTGGACGGCTGCTTCCCACCAGCAAAGACCACGACTGGAGAGCCGAGCCGGAGGCAGCTGGGAAACATGAAGAGCGTCTTGCTGCTGACCACGCTCCTCGTGCCTGCACACCTGGTGGCCGCCTGGAGCAATAATTATGCGGTGGACTGCCCTCAACACTGTGACAGCAGTGAGTGCAAAAGCAGCCCGCGCTGCAAGAGGACAGTGCTCGACGACTGTGGCTGCTGCCGAGTGTGCGCTGCAGGGCGGGGAGAAACTTGCTACCGCACAGTCTCAGGCATGGATGGCATGAAGTGTGGCCCGGGGCTGAGGTGTCAGCCTTCTAATGGGGAGGATCCTTTTGGTGAAGAGTTTGGTATCTGCAAAGGTAAAGAGTGACCCCTTACCTCTCCCCTCCCGGGGCATGCTGAGAGCTTTTAGCCAGCTTGGGAGGTGAGGTGGCTTTGCTCCTCAAGAGTAAGAGGGAAAAGGCAGGTGGATTCTTGACAAGGCACCACACAGGTATTGTCATGGGTAGAGACTGAAGGATAGCTCCAAGTAGCAACTGAAACCAGTGTGCAGGAAGGCACAGAAAGAAGTGTGGCATTTTACTCGTTGCCTTAGGAGATCGCAAAAAGAAAGCTGCAATGGAAGATTGTGTTGGCTCCTTTTCTGGAAAACTTTAGAAACTTGACAGGTAATCTGTTAAGGATGGCTTAGGTGCTCTCTCCTCTGCGAGGCAGCGATTACAAAGGTCTGCACTAGATAACCTCTTGGAATGGTTTCTAGCCCCCAGATTTAGTGATTCTTTGATCTTGAAAGGGTCCACAGGATGGAGGGCCACTCTCAAGATCAAATATTTCTGATAAACACAAATGCACTTTATGGAATAGAGTGAGCTTAAGTCATCTAACAAAATAACTCACTCTTCAAAGAGGGTCCCCTGAAGCATAAAACAAACCTCATCTGACTTTATAAAGGTTTTGGTCATCTGGAAAAATAGCAGATGGTGTTAAGACAAGGAAAAATAACAATAGAGAAAAATAAAAACTGGAAGTCTGTAAAGAATGAGGTTGACCACTTGTACACTTAAAGAAAAACTTCGTCGGTTGAAATTTTAGCTAAATAATGTAGTTAAGCATTTGTAGAATTTATTTTAAACATAGTAACTAGTTTAAAATATTTAACATTTTAAAAATGTTTAGAATAAAAAGAATGATGATTTAAAAATACTCTACGTATAGATATCTCATGATCTTATTATGAAGAGCTATTATTAAGAAGCAACACATGCTATAACCCCATCCATCAGTTGTGTAATACCAGGAAGCTTTCAAAATTATAAAAAGGACTGAGAAATTTCTAAATAATTATTATGTTTTATGTATTTAATACATTTTTTATGAATAATATTTATCCAGTATTGTGCTAATCTCATTAATTCTCCTACTTCTTAGACATATAATGTATAAATTAATCATCTTTTAATTTGCAAGACATACAAAATTAAAAAAACAAATTCTTAAAGTATTAGGAGAGTTTTATTTTTTGCTTAGTTTATTTTTGTTTATATACAATAAGAAATAGAATATTGAGAAAATATTTTGTTTGGTGAACACATATGCATGTTTCTTTCAACTGAATAGGATCTGTATATTTTGTAAATTATGGGGCTTATTGACCAAGAAAACAGTACTTCACATAAGGAAATTAGGGAGGAAGTGGTTAACACAATCATACTTATGATATAGCATGTATATGCAGTGGATTGCTTTTTCTCTTGGCATAATATGCCTTTGTACATGTGATTGTAAATGTACATTACATATGGGCAAAGAAACAAGCTGTGTGGCATCTGGAGTCTTTAGCACTGTAGTATTCTACTGAATGATCAAGATACTAAAAAGATCTTTAAGATTGCTTCTTTTGGCTTTCTTCAGGTTGCTGATGAATCTAGTTTTAAGCATTTTTCTCTCTGCTGGAAATAGGAGACTTTGTGAGCCTTAGCAACTCGAGATAGAGATAATACATTTGGCAATCATCTCCCTTCTTCAGCTTTTTAAAAGAACATCCACGTGAAAACTGTAAACTTCAGCTGCGTATCCAAATGTCTTCTAAATATTCAGATGTCTGTGAACATCTTGCCCAGATTAACAATCAGCAGCCAACACATATTTAATGAACACTTACTATCTGCCCAGCACTGTTCAGTACATCAGGGGATACACTAGAAGTATCTCTGGGAATTTGGCTAAAGTTTTAGTTTTCAATATCGCTGCAGGCACAGTCAAATCCTAATCCTGTGTGCTTTTCTGGAACAGGCCTTTGCAGGATCCCTTTTTAAGATCTCTTCTTCCCAGCAAAGAGAACAGTGTTCAAAACCAGGTTCCTCTGTGATCTGAACCATATTGAAAAGAGCACTCATAGATCTCTTTAAAAAAAGATAGCTCATTGATGATCTACTTGGTCAGTTAGTGGAGTATTAGACTGCTAGAGACTCAGATGGCTCACAATTTGTTCTTTACCCACCTGTGATTGTACATTTACAAGGTATTTTCACAACAAGAGAATATTCTATATCTATTCTGCTGGCTTTTAAAGGTTGGTTAGTCTACTGAGATGCTGTTTATCCTAAAAACAGCATTTTAAATAATTTTATGCATTTTAAATAAACGACTTTGTCCTCTTTATTTCAATGTAGGATGTTTTGGCATAAGTGTAAGCACTGGAGGTCTAAAAGCTTCTAGTTCTTGGTAGGTGTACAAACCCTCAGGGTGTATAAGCCCTGAGCTTTCTTGCTCATTTAGCATCTTGCATGTTAGCCTTGCAGAGGATTTTACTAGGGAGCCCTCTTAACTACTGAGGGAGTCAGGCAAGTTGTATGACATGCCGTTTCGACAAATAAGGAACTTGATAAGGGTTGGAGCAGATGGAAGATTGATTGCTTCATGGTGAGCTAGGATGATAGCTCTCTCCCTGGTTAGTTTGAAGCCCTTTCCTATACACTTAAAATAGTAAATTATCTGTGAATACAGTAGATTCAAAGATAGCATCACATTTTAAAAACTCTTTGAGGAGCTGATGCATATATGTCTGTTCAATTTCCCACCTTTGCTGAGCTGTTACAGAGGTCATCTGTGAGAATTTATTGGTATCTAAGCAGAACATCACCAGAATGAAGACTGGTCCAAGGAGACTGGCTGTGTGTAGCTGTCTTCAACTTAACTTTACATCACAACACTAAGCCCGAGGCATCCATTATCTGTTCTTAATGTGTGATTTCATATTTATGACTCAAAGTTTCAACTTTCAAATCCTGGGTTTGGAGAATTGGATTTTACTTTACAGTCAAGGTTCATGAGGTTGGTTCAAATCGCAAGGCTATGCACCCAGGGCTGTTAGGATGGAGACGTATTTACAACAAGCAGCGTCCTCTCCAACCTTTCCTTTGTCCCCAGACTGTCCCTACGGCACCTTCGGGATGGATTGCAGAGAGACCTGCAACTGCCAGTCAGGCATCTGTGACAGGGGGACGGGAAAATGCCTGAAATTCCCCTTCTTCCAATATTCAGTAACCAAGTCTTCCAACAGATTTGTTTCTCTCACGGGTAAGCACTGATTCTGGTATAAGCATTGGAAGAATAGTCTCATTTCAGTGTGAATAACTTAGAAAATATCTGTGAGTAGAATAAGATGTGGATTGGAATGATTTTATTTCCTTTGCTTTACTCAGGGGAACGGTGGGTGGTAGCTGAGTTTGGTTGCTGTTGCTGTTTTCTAAAAAGAGCCCATCAATAATTTTGAGGTTTACATATAATTTCTCATAAAGTTTACCTGGTTTAAATATGATTTATAGGAGGATAAATATGATTGATTACCAAAAATCTGTAATAAAAAATAACCAACTGAGATACACAAAGTTCTTTAAATTCTTCAGTGATCTGTTTTATATATTTACTAGACAAAACTATTTATCTCCCAACTTCACATAGAAAAAGTACTGTGAGGAATTTATTGGATAAGCTTTAAGAGTCAAGATAGAAAATATAGAACGTTTCTTTTTTTTAACCAAATGAAAGCATTTAAGTGTAATAATTCCAAGTGTGTGTTTTTATGGATTTTGGAGAGGATAAGAAATAGTATGTGATTGAAATTTTGGAAATGAATGAAACTGTAGTAATACGTGCTGCTTGTTAGTCCGTGTGTATTTCTTATACAGGTGTTAGAATGTGAGGAATACACAACCTATGAGATGGTGCTATGTACATATTTGTTTATTTTGTTGAATAGCTGGCCAGTACAGGAGAGTTCCATTAAACTGAAAGTAGCTCATTTAAAGCAACATACATCACTAAAGCTTAGGCCTCCATTGCACAGAATGGCGATTGTAGTTAATAATTCTTATATATTTCAAAATTGGTAAAATAATAAATTTTAAATGTTCCCATCACAAAAAATAAGTATATGAGGTGATGGATATGCTACTTAGTTTGAGTTCATCATTCCACAGTGGAGATATATATCAAAGTATCATATTGTACCCTAAATGTATACAATTATTATTTGTCAATTAAAAACTGTATTTAAAATTATAAAAAATAAATAAATAATAAGCCCAACATATAGTCACAGAGATGGCTAGTATCAACAAATGATATACTTTTTCCCACCACAACTATAAATAACAATTCAAGTCCATTTTATTTAGTTTTTGCTTTTGGTCTTTTGCATTTCAAGTTAATAAAATATAAACTATTTGGCAAAGGTGCTTGTTTTCTAATTTTACCTCCTTCTTATGTATGGGTCAACTAAACACATTAAAATGAAGCGGAAATATCGTGCTTTTAAGTGAATTATTAGTTTTAAGTATGGTGATGCCCATAACAATACTTACATTATAGGTTACACAAAAATATTTCCACATCAAAGTTAGGCATTGAGATTCTTATCAGAAATATTTGAAAAAAGCAGTCAGTTTCTCTCTTTTCTGACCTAGGGTATTTCCTTTCATTAGCTAAAGGTGCAACCAGCAAAAGATGATTTTTAGTGTGATCTTGGTAAACCTTAGTCAGGTTCAGGATGGAGAGCAGAAAACCCTAAGGACCTCTTGGGGAGGCTGCCTAGGGTTCTTTGTAGTCTACATGTGTCTTTGAGACTACATGAGACTTCCAGGTTCATGCACTGGAGTTTACAGGAGAAGGCTTGGGCTTCACTCCTGACACAGGCTTCACATCACCTCTGCACAAACCTGTTTGGGCCCAGCCTTTGAGAGCAGGCTAAATGGCTGCAAGCTTCACCAGCACTAGGACCCCCAGAGCACGAGCTTGTCTTCTCCAACTTTCCACCTGCTGGCTACAGCACTCTTGTCAAATGTGCTTCCTGTCCACAGTGTTCCACTTGGTGTTCTTTTTTTTGGCAGTGAGCTTCCCAAGTTGGGAATTCACAAGTAAGTTTTTGTGTACGAGGGTCTTGGGGGAGTAAGATCTGGAATGTTTCATGGACTTACACACATTCGTCTGCTGGGCCACGCTAATCTTCTTAAAGCATTCCACATCAGAATGTGCACTGCCAAAGCAAGCACACCTCACTACTCCTTGAAGTAGAAAATTTCATTTTAGCAAATTTCAAATATTACAAACTTTTCTCATATGTAGAGTGAGAAGTGTCTTTATGAACGTTCTACCCATTGGTCTGCCTTTTGCCTTCTGGATGCAGCAAAAGTTAATCTGTCTTTCATACCAGTTAGTGTAAGAATCTAACTTGAGACCTGTTTGTACAACATTTGCCTATTCCATAAGTATTTATTAAGTGCCTACTATGTGGCAAGCACTGTCCTAAGTGCTGGAGATATAGCAGTGAGCAAAATAAAGTCCCTACCTTTGTGAAACTGGAATTCTAGTGGTGGAGTGAAATAATACACAGGAAAAAAAGACAAATACATGTAGAAGATAATGTCAGGTGACGATAGGTATACAAAGATAAGTAATTCAAGGGGTGCTATTGTATATAGAGGTGCTCACTGATATAGAGCAGTGAATACAGTTAGCATGGAATCTTAAATTGATTAAAGATTTCATTGTAAATTCCATGTAAAACAAAAATAAAGCAAAACTGTGTTGTCTTTGAGCTATAGATGTTTGGACATGATTTGTATTCCGTCTACTTTCAGAGCATGACATGGCATCTGGAGATGGCAATATTGTGAGAGAAGAAGTTGTGAAAGAGAATGCTGCCGGGTCTCCCGTAATGAGGAAATGGTTAAATCCACGCTGATCCCGGCTGTGATTTCTGAGAGAAGGCTCTATTTTCGTGATTGTTCAACACACAGCCAACATTTTAGGAACTTTCTAGATTATAGCATAAGGACATGTAATTTTTGAAGACCAAATGTGATGCATGGTGGATCCAGAAAACAAAAAGTAGGATACTTACAATCCATAACATCCATATGACTGAACACTTGTATGTGTTTGTTAAATATTCGAATGCATGTAGATTTGTTAAATGTGTGTGTATAGTAACACTGAAGAACTAAAAATGCAATTTAGGTAATCTTACGTGGAGACAGGTCAACCAAAGAGGGAGCTAGGCAAAGCTGAAGACCGCAGTGAGTCAAATTAGTTCTTTGACTTTGATGTACATTAATGTTGGGATATGGAATGAAGACTTAAGAGCAGGAGAAGATGGGGAGGGGGTGGGAGTGGGAAATAAAATATTTAGCCCTTCCTTGGTAGGTAGCTTCTCTAGAATTTAATTGTGCTTTTTTTTTTTTTTTTGGCTTTGGGAAAAGTCAAAATAAAACAACCAGAAAACCCCTGAAGGAAGTAAGATGTTTGAAGCTTATGGAAATTTGAGTAACAAACAGCTTTGAACTGAGAGCAATTTCAAAAGGCTGCTGATGTAGTTCCCGGGTTACCTGTATCTGAAGGACGGTTCTGGGGCATAGGAAACACATACACTTCCATAAATAGCTTTAACGTATGCCACCTCAGAGATAAATCTAAGAAGTATTTTACCCACTGGTGGTTTGTGTGTGTATGAAGGTAAATATTTATATATTTTTATAAATAAATGTGTTAGTGCAAGTCATCTTCCCTACCCATATTTATCATCCTCTTGAGGAAAGAAATCTAGTATTATTTGTTGAAAATGGTTAGAATAAAACTATGACTCTATAAGGTTTTCAAACATCTGAGGCATGATAAATTTATTATCCATAATTATAGTAATAATAACCTTAATAAGCATAAGAAAAACAGAGTCACTCTGGATTTCAAAAATGTCAAAAAATGAGCAACAGAGGGTCCTTATTTAAACATAAGTGCTGTGACTTAGGTGAATTTTCAATTTAAGGTAGAAAATAAGTTTTTAGGAGGTTTGTAAAAGAAGAATCAATTTTCAGCAGAAAACATGTCAACTTTAAAATATAGTTTATTTTCATATTTTTTTCTTTTAAACTTGGTTGATAAGTGGAATTAGGAGTATATTTGAAAGAATCTTAGCACAAACAGGACTGTTGTACTAGATGTTCTTAGGAAATATCTCAGAAGTATTTTATTTGAAGTGAAGAACTTATTTAAGAATTATTTCAGTATTTACCTGTATTTTATTCTTGAAGTTGGCCAACAGAGTTGTGAATGTGTGTGGGAAGGCCTTTGAATGTAAAGCTGCATAAGCTGTTAGGTTTTGTTTTAAAAGGACATGTTTATTATTGTTCAATAAAAAAGAACAAGATACAGCTTCTCTGTGTTGATTTGTGATTTTGTTAAATTGCTAAATGTTATTTTAACAATTCATTCAATAAATAAGAACTCTCATTCATATTAAAGGACAAGCTCTTCAACAGAATTTTCTGCTCTGGATAAGCCTCTTCTATCAAAACAGGGGGTCAGGATATTTGCTTCTCTGCCTCACATTTTTGGTCTACTCATTTTTTAGAGTTTCCTAAAAGTAGGTCCCAATATATTAACTCATTCTGCAAAACAACAACACAAGGTAAACACTTCTGTTGACATCATTAGTTAGATGCAGAGCTCAGGCTTGAAATAACCATTTCTATTTTGCTACCTGTATGGCTCTTGAGGTCCTAGACTTAGAGCATTTTTTCTTCTTTGTTTTGTGTTCTCTTCCTGGATTTTGTCATTTTCAATGGTAGAAACTTTGCTATTAAACAGCTACTGAGTACTCCTTTGCACTCTTCCATGTTCTATGGGGAAACCCCTTATAATTAACTCTCAATCAGTTGTTAGCTGTTTTACTGAAGATTACAGCTCTAAAAATGTCGAACAATTTTTACTTTTATCAGTTTAAGTTTCTCATTCATAATTAATACTAGCATTTTATTTTCATTTATTTTCTAATATTTTTGAAGGGGGTTGCTTTTAGAAAACATAGCCAAAGACAAACCTTTCAGTACCTATGAAAGAAGAGAGTATTTTACAGCTTTGAAGCTTGAGTATCATATTCAAGAACAGTCTATGTTCATTCTGCCTTGTGGGCAAATTATGGAAACATTTTAGGTGAATCGATAAAAATGCTAAAAAAAGTCTATATAAGAAAAAATCCTGTTTGCTCGAATTGATATATTTTGTAAGATGATAGAAATTGGGTGTGAATGAGATACAAAGTTACATGAATGTCAGATATTTACATTTTCATTAACTGAAAATCTCTATTTTCACCTATGGGCAAGAAAGTTTGAGGCTACTCTGGTAGGGAGTGAGGTTATTTAAAGATCTGCCCTCTTGGTTTGAAGCCCGGGCCACAGTCCAAATGCTTCTTTGAGGAAGTGTGGAAAAAGAGCTAGACTGGAGCAGGACTGGCCTCTGTTTCTGGTGCTGCAGTAACCACCTGTGCAATCATGGGCAATAAAATCAGATGAAAGTGGGCCCATTTGCTCTGAGTGGCAGGCATGTTTTCTAGCTGCCCAGCTTTATGGTGCTGGGGGCTCTTCATGGTTTTCACCCCAAAAGCTAGTACCTGTCTATCCCAAATTGCTCTGTAGTCTTACCACTAATCTTCATAGCCGTGGTCTCCAAAATCTTTGGATCTGTACACCCCTGACTGCACACTTTGCTAGTGCAAAATTTTTTTGAGCATGTAATTTCAAACTATATACACACTATCGTATTAATATATTGCGTTCATTATAAAACATACACTCCAACTAGACATTATTAAAATGAAGAGATAAGAGATATAAATAGAAGTTTTGAAATTTTCTTCCCACACTTCAATGTACCATTCCAGAAAACACTTGGGAAACAAGAAAATTCCATAGATCAATGGGCCTAATCTCATTTGATATTGGAGAGAAACTAAGCTGAGGCATAATAAATATTTCTGGAATGAATGGATGATTGGATGAATGAATGGGTGGATAGGTAGATAGATGAAGGTAGGAAAGATGGATGGGAAGAGGGATGGATGGCTATTGGATGAATGGATGACTGAAGGGATGGTTGGTGGAAGGATGGATGAATGAATGAAGGGATGGATGGATGAGTGAATGAATAAAAGGATGGATGGGTGAAGGAATTAATAAATAAAGCTTGTAACAGGCCCTGTGTCTTCACCAGAGCAGCAGCTGCTCAAGAAGAAGACAGGCTTTCCTTCCCTTTCACCTGTCAGATCCCCATCTGCCCAGCTACTTATCCATCCTGTTGGGTTGTGAGGTGATTGAAAATGTTGGGGGCCTACACAGTTAGTGAATCTGACAAATAGGGCTGTTCAAGACAACAAAGACAGGAAGTGCTTCTCCCTCAGGCATTGGGGATATCACCAGTGGTAGCAAAAACAGTAAGGTAATTCTCATAGTCAGACCAGGTTGTCATTTCCTGTGAAAGGCAATTTGGGAGGACTGCCTTTGCGTCCTGCATTTTATTCCCTCTTTCATCCTGGTCTCCCTAGGAGTAATGAATCTATAGATGTCATTCAACACCATACAGAAATTTAGAGGGAGAAGTGATTATTTCTGATTTCCCATCAGTTATCCTAGTCATTAAACTGAGAGCTAGCATTAAAAGGGTGTCTGACATAGGGTAGTGGTTCTCAAACTTTAGCATGCATCAGAATCACCTGAAAGCCCTGCTGAAACACATATTGCTGATTCAGTAGGTTTGAGGTGGGGTCCAAGCATTTCCCATTTTAACAAGTTCTCAGGTGGTGCAGATGCTGCTGGTCTAGGGATTTATATTTTGAGATATAAGAAAATCTAGATTTGTCTAGAAAAGAGATAAACTAAGGGGTGATCAAAACTAATCATTGTTGGCCTTATGAAAGAATGCATTGCAATGTATCATAACTAGCTGGTATACTTAATTTTTTTGAAAACTCTTATTTTAGAGAAGGAGGCAGGGTCTTGCTCTGTTGCCCAGGCTGGAGTGCAGTGGCACAATAATAGCTCATGCTAACTTCAAACTCCTGAGTTCAAGTGATCCTTCCCCGTCAGCCTCCTGAGTAGCTAGGACTACAGGCACACACCACCACACTCAGCTGATTAAAAAAAATTTTTTTTATAGAGATGGGGTCTTATTATGTTGCCCAGGCTAGTCTTGAATGCTTGGCTTCAAATGATCCTCTTGCCTCGATCTCCCAAATCACTGGGATTGCAGGCATGAACCACTATGTCTGGCCTGTTTGAAGATTCTTAACTGTTTAAGCTGCCGAGAAGTCAGAGAAACTTTAAGCTAAACTGTGGGAACTTTGTGAGGACAAATAGAGGAAGAACACAAAAGGAGGATGGAAGTAGAAGAACCAGAGACTTGGGAAGTAATGAAGTAATATAGTCTCATAGAAAAAAAGACATTCAAGAAGAGTGAATGGTGTCATGTGTCATGGAAAGAAAAGGCAGAACCAGAGTCCTTAGGTAGTCCCTTGTGACCACAGTGGAGCAGTGTCCATGGGGAGATTGGGTGAAAGCCAGACAAGGGTGTGAATGCTGCATGTGAGGTGAGCACTTTTTCAGAAGGTTGTCTGGGAAGGACAAAGGTTTAGTTTGCAATTAGAGAGAAAATGGAGTTACAAAGGGAGTTTCTTTCTGTTCACCCCAAAGCCCCACCCCCATGGTTAGAAAGACACCATTCTAAGGTCAGGACCATCAGTCAGAAATGAAGATAGAGACTTTCTGTAAGTGATGATATAGTTTGATTTGCTTACTTGAATTGGTTTATAAAATTCCACTTGTATTGACTTTTGAGACATAACACTCACAAAATAGATGCATTTATACACTTCCCAGCCCCTGAGAGAATATAGGCATGCATGGCAATGTCTTATTGGACTCCAGAAGGAGGCCTCAAGGTAATCTAGTTTAAACCTTTTATTTTACAGATGAAACACCTAGATCCAAATAAATTCAGTGATAAAATCTTGTGCATGGTGGTGAAAATTCTACTAATTAACATCGTCCCACATTTAGCCATTTAATTTTTAAAAATGAAAATATTAAAAATTTTTAGTTTATGTATTCTATATCTTAAAATACACATATATATGTAGGTTTTAAAAAGTATACATTCTTTTTTTTTTGAGACAGAGTCACACTCCATCACCCAGGCTGGAGTGCAGTGGCACGATCTTGGCTCACTGCAACCTCCGTCTCCTGGGTTCAAGCGATTCTCGTGCCTCAGCCTCCCAAGTAGCTGGGAATACAGGAATGTGCCACCATGTCTGGCTAATTTTTGTATTTTTATAGAGATGGGGTTTTGCCATGTTGGTCAGGCTGGTCTTGAACTGCTGATCTCCAGTGATCTGCCCGTCTCGGTTTTTCAAAGGGCTGGGATTACAGGCATGAGCCACTACACTCAGCCCAAAAAGTATACATTCTTTTGTGTAGAAATTCCACTTCCATGATTTTATTCTAAGGAAATACTTTGTTAAAGTGTGCATAAGTGTATATACAATAAAAGTTACAACATTTTTATAGTATTGGAAAATTGCTATTGGCAAATAATCTGAAAAGGTCATTGATACAGCATTGGTTAAAAAAAAAGACAGTATAGCCAATAATTGAATATAATTTAGATATTGAAAATGATGAGGTACATATATCATGATTGATGATGTACAATGTGTTAATTCCAAAGCAGAGAGAGACCATATACTGAGTTCTGGTCATTGGTCAGGTAGTGTGGCTGCCAGAAGGAGTGCACATCATCTTTCTTGACTATACCACAATCAGAGTGTGGACTCCTAGATTTTCATGACTCCCCTCTCCCTAATTTGAGAGCAGCTGTTTTTTAAAGTAATACTTTTATCAGATTTCCCTAAAACATTCACCTTAATATTCATGGAAATAACAATTCTCTTGCATTGCTAGCTTACTGATGTATGTAATATTTAATTAAGTTATATAACAGTGATAACTGCACAAACAGGTTTGAGAACAAATGCAGCAGACTCAGTATGCTTTTAAAATTTTTTTAATGGACACATAGTATTTGTACATTTTTATGGGGTGCATGTGATATTTTGCTACATGAGTAGGAAGTGCAATAATCAAGTCAGGGAATTTAGGGTATTCATCATCTTGAGTGTTGGGTGCATGTGGTATTTTGCTACATGCATAGAAAGTGTAATGATCGAGTCAGAGTATTTAGGGTATTCATCATCCCGAGTGTTTATCATATTTATATGTTGGGAACATTTCAAATCCTCTCTTCTAGCTATTTTGAAATATACAGTACATTATTGTTAACTGCAGTCACCCTACTCTGCTATCCAACATTAGGGCTTATTTATTCTGTCTAACTCTATGTTTGTACCCATTAACTGACCTCAATCTTTGTCCCTACCGCTTGCTCCCAACCATTCTCCACCCCTCATTCTACTGTCTACTTCCACAAGATGAACTTTTTTTTTTTGCTCCCACTTATGAGTCAGAACATGCAATATTTTTCTTTATGTGCCTGGTTTATTTCACTTAATATAATTTATAAGCTGTTGGTAGGAATATAAATTTGTACCGCCACTACAGAAAACAGCATGGACATTTCTCAAAAAACTGAAAATAGAACTACCATATGATCCAGCAATCCCACTACTGGGTATTTATTTATCCAAAGGAAAGGAAATCAAAGGAAAATATATCAAAGGGATACCTCCATCCCAATGTTTGTTACAGCACTGTTCACAATAGCAAAGATATGGAATTAACCTAAGTGTCCATCAACGAATGAATGGATAAATAAAATGTGATATATAATGTGTATACATAGTATATATAATGATACATATCATGATATATATGATGATATATACCATGATATATATGATGATATATACCATGATATATATCATCATATATATCACATTTTATATATCATGGTGTAGATCATGGTGTATATATATATATATATCACATATATAATATATAATATATATGCATATATTATCCATATATATATAATGGAATACCACTCAGCTATACAAAGAATGAATTCTGTCATTAACATCGACATGGATGGAACTGGAGGACACTATGTTAAGTGAAATAAGTCAGGAACAGAAAGACAAATATCACATGTTCTGATTCATATGTGGGAGCTAAAAAAAAGTTGATCTCTTGGTATATTTTTAATTCAACAGTGGTAGTGCAAGTAACAGGTACATCCCGGGTGGGGCGGGGTTGGGGGGTGCTGCCAGCCTGGTCCATCAGTGTACTCCATGTCGATACTTTTGTGTTTTGGGGGAGAGAATGGACACGGTTGGTGATTTCAGTGAGATGATTAAGTGAAGTTTGCCTAAAAGCACTTCTACTGTATATTAAGCAAAAAAAGGTAAGTTACAATGCCATATGAATAGTCTTATTTTTGTGAAAAAATATTTAAACGGCTATAAATCCAGGTGTTATCAGTGACACTTATTTTATTCTTTATATTTTTAGCTGTTTTCTGAAATTTTTGCAGTTACTTTTATAATTAGGAAAAAATGGAGCTCTGTCCAGTTTTTGAAAACGTAGACTGCAATGTCAAAACAAGTCAGTGGCTTACTACACAAAATGTGACTTAAGAACATGATCCTATATTTCAGTAGTTTTGAGACGTATTTTTTCATCTTGGCACATTGTTAGATATGGAAATAGAATTTCAAATTAAGTAAATGTAGAGAATTCTAGTTTTCTAGTAAATGCTAGAAAGGCTACAAAGCACATGTGCATACACTGCAACTCTCTTCTGGAAAATATCCTTGGTTCAACAGAAGCAATGCCTGTGAATCCTTAGATTATCTGGACCAAAGTACACATTTTAAATTACAATGTACCTTCTGCACCTATGCGCAGAAAAGCTATCTGCTTCAGTGGGCGACCCAGGCTACCAGGGTTTTAAAAGTATTTCCTGACACCTGTGAAGTTGGTAAATATTTCCTGTTTCTGTTGTGTCTAGAGAAAACAGGAATTAACAACTTGGAAGCAATTATTAAACACACATCGTGAATGACCTCTCCTAGACAGTTCCCACTATATGAGGTTCCCATTTTCTTAAAATCTATCGTAACATATTTCTCCTAAGGGAGAAAAATAATTGTCATAATAATCGAATAGTTGATTGAGTGGTGGAAGATGAACCTTATACCCAGGAGGAATGGTACCTATGTTAGTTATGAGATGTGTGGAATTTAAATATAAATCCAATTTTACGTTTTCCAAAGTAAGCAAAACCGACTAAGAGAGCAACAGATATCCTACTGATGGCTCTGAGCTAACTATACATAATTAGCCTATTTAAAAAATATTTTTGATCATCTTAAAGTACTGTGGAAGGACAAGGACTCTAGCGTTTTTGAGTCAGAGGGAGGCAGGATTCACCCACTACACTACTCAGTAGCTATTGGCCTCAGATGGGTTATTCAACCACGATGCCTCTCAGTGTGTTGTGTGTGAAGTGTGGGTAATGGCTCATGTGCAAAGTTGTAAGAATCTTTGCACATGTTTTAGATATGCCAGTGAATTCTAACACTGTGTCTGCCATATCCTAATCTTTCCAATAGATGGCAGATAATTTGTGTTATTATAAAAGCCAACCTCATTTTTTTTGTATTTTAAGTGTCCAATAATTTGCCACAAGACTGAAATATTTAAAATATTTTACATTTTCTATTCAAGAAGGCTAGATAAAAAGATTGAAGAAAATCTACTAACTTCTTAGCAAACTTGAAGATATCCATAGAAAGAAAATTGCAATGAGTGAAATTCAATTAATATCATCTGAAACTCTCACAATCCTACAAAAGAAGTGACTATTTTTAAAGAACAAATAGTAGCGTTCTATTTAAATCTCCACACAATTATTAGCATGCTCTTGAGAAAAAAAAAGGCACAATGCTTCAGGAGAATGCAAGGGACCCCTACAGATGTGGCACACTTCCCTGTGTGTTATTTTTAGTCTTCTATTCCTGCCTTTTATTTTGGGACTTGGCCCGCTTCCTTTGTAGTTTCCCCTTAAGTTGCTCATACCTTTCTTTCTTATATAATGCATTTTAAGCTACCCTTTTATTTTTTTTTTCACCTCTCAAAGGAAATTCAAGGAATGTTGGCCAGTTCAGGAACTCCTGCTAGTCTTGGCACCAGTAAAGTTCTTGGTTTGAAAACAACCTAGGAAATCCAGGATCGTGGTTGACTTTCCAGTTATTTAATGCATCAGAGCTGCTGACAGATCTGAGCCTGGAGACACGTTGATTTTGAATACCATTTCATGAAATTGTTTTATGGCTTATAGAAACTAGAGGAATTTGAAACTGGACTCTTTTCAATAAATTGATATAAAAGCAATATCCAGTTTTAAAAATTAGGAGAAAGTCGAGTAAGTCTAGTTCAGGGCTATTTAATCTTTTACCAATTAGCACTTAGTTAGACAGTCTTGGTGGAGGAACATTTATTCTGCACTATGTCAATGGAAGCAGCGTGAGAAGATGAAAAGTTATGGTTCCGTCTTTAAGAAGCCCTGTGGAGAAGCTGTGGAGATGGAACATAGAAAACTGGAATAGCTGTAGAGACGGAACAAAGAATACTGAAAGGCAAAGGTGCATAGTTTAATCATGTGCCGTAGTTTATGTTTCTTTGGATGCAAGTAAAACAAAACAGAAAAGTGAAAAAACTGACTAACTTCAACAACAATGTAATTTATGGGTAGGTATAGAATGCCTCCCAAAATGGTAACAAAAACAAAAACAAACAAAAAAACCACCTGTTGAATCAACTGGTTCGGAGAGCACAGGGCAGCATGGGTGGTGCAGGTGCCAGAGCTAATAGATATTTTTGCCAGATTGTTGCCGCTGAGATAAAGAACTACAGTTGCTTTCTTTGTGTTCCAGTGCTGCTCCATTGCTCCAAGGCTCTTTGAAGCTCCTCTTTGGGTTAACCTCAGGCCTGGTGGCCCATTTTAGTGAATAGCTCAACTGTGACAAATATTCTTCCTTGTAGACGGATTTCATTTTTGGATGTAGTCAAAACCACTTAGAGTCCTGTCTGGCCAATGAGATGTTCATTAACTTGGGCAGTACTGTTTTGGTGAAAACCAAGATGTATTTAGGGGAGGAAAAATAATTTTCTGTCTACCCTGTATAGTTCTTGGCTGGGACTCTCTGTGACAAAAGACAGATCAATAACAGAAAAACAAACAGCAGTTTAATAACATGTATACATGGGAGATAACCCAGAAAAATGAGTACATTTTTGGAATAGATCTCAAAGAGGTGTCTTAGACTTCAGGCTGAAATACCATCATTTGCTGAAACAAGGAAAGAAGAGTGTGGGGAAAGACCTGGTGAAGATGAGATAGATGGCCAGGAAAAGCACTGTAAAATGAGGGCTTGTTTTGCAGAGGTAAATTGATGCCTTCTCCGTTGATTATGCATCTCTAGTGATTTAGCTGTATTTCTCTTCCTGGCACAGAGACAGAAAGACACCCTAACAAATGCAGACTTTCCTTATAGATGTAAATTTCTCTTATAAAAATAGGGCAACTTTTCAGAGCTACTCCTGTGTCGGCTGTTTTCCAAAATAACCAGCTCAAAATAATCCTTGTGCCACAGAGGCATATTTAGGGTGACATATTCTGGTCTTCTACAGTAATCTTTAGGGGTGGCATGCCCTGAACCCCATCACATATATATAAGATGATAATTAGGAGTAGAATTTAGGCAGGAAGGAGTGCCTTGGGGGACCAAGAAACTTGCCCTGTGGTTTTGTGGAGTTAGGAAATAGGGGCCCACCTGAAGTCACCTGTGTTAATGGCACTTTTGGAAGAAGCACCAGTGTGTTCCTCAAATGTCTTTGGAGTTGGATGAAGCTCCTCAATGGATGGAGCGGGGGCATAGATAGAACCAGTGTCGGGGGAAGGGCTGGGCCATCGGGGGATGGTTGGGGGAAGCAGTCACCCTTTGGCTGCCCCTTCACTTGTCTCAGTATCTGACCAGTGATTTTTTTAAACTGAAATGATTTATTTGGTGTCAAAGACAAAAACATTATTATTCACAATTGCCTTAAGACAAAATTGTCTTTTAAAAGATTTATTTAATATCTATGATTTTCTCTTCTTTCTCTTGAAGTATATTTTTAAAAACTCTCTTCCTGTCAAAGTCACCTAAATGGCTGCAACTTATGCTCAAACAGGACAGACAACATATAATATAAATATATACATATTGAGAAAGAGATTGATAAAATAAAGGTGATAAAACATTAAGATTTAAAGAATCCGTACAGAGGGTTTATGGGTCGTTTTTTCCTTTCTATTTTTGAAGATTTTCTCTCTTTCTGTAATTAAGTCAAAATAAATGTTAGAAAATGATCGTTGATATTTTGTTCACCCATTCCATGTTGCTTCCTTTTCCTCCTTGTCTTTACAATAAGTATGTCAATATAACACCTGTGAAAAACTTTGAAAAGCTGCTACTCCTACGAAATATGCTTGGAATGGTACTGCCCCCTTGCTCCATGCCCTGTAGTTTGAAGGAGGCCCTACATATGCTGTGCCCCATCCCTGAGTCTGCATGGGAGCAGTGACACCCAGAAGCAGCAGGAAAGGCCGAGGTCTGCCTCATTAAGGTGCCAGAACACCTGCTTTTGCAGGTGGAAGTGAAGCAGTGCCTAGGAGGACCATGTCAAGACTGGAAACCATCATTCTCAGCAAACTATCACAAGGACAAAAAACCAAACACCGCATGTTCTCACTCATAGGTGGGAATTGAACAATGAGAACACATGGACACAGGAAGGGGAACATCATGCACCGGGGACTGTTGTGGGGTGGGGGGAGGGGGGAGGGATAGCATTAGGAGATACACCTAATATTAAATGATGAATTAATGGGTGCAGCACACCAACATGGCACATGTATACATATGTAACAAACCTGCACGTGGTGCACATGTACCCTAAAACTTAAAGTATTTAAAAAAAAATACTGGCTCCAACTCCTGCAGCAAGTAAAGGCAATGATTAGAGGTGTCCACACCCAAGTGAGATAATATGCCAGGGATGCTGGGGAGGAGTTCCCAGGGTAGATGCAAGGCTCTTTTTAACCCTATGATCACTGTCACTTGTAAAGTACCACACCTAGTCAATGGTTATCTTCTTTTATGTGCAATTACTTTCCGGGCAGTAAAAAGAAGGAATTAGCTATGTTTATCTATTTTGTTCCTATTCAAGCAAGATTAATAATCAATTTTCAGAGGAATACTGTAGTTGATAACTGTTATATTTCTATACAGATGGTTCTTTGATGATGGTTCAACTTATGATTTTTTGACTTTACAAACTTGTGAAAGCAATACCCATGCAGTAGAAACCATACTTTGAATACCCATACAGCCATTCTGTTTCTCACTTTCAGTACAGTATCCAATAAATTGCATAAGACATTCAACACTTTATTATGGAATGGGCTTTGTATAGATGATTTTGCTCTAATGTAAGTGTTGTGAGCACATTTAAGGTAGGCCAGGCTAAGCTGTGATGTCCAGCAGGTTAGATGCACCAAATGCATTTTCAACTTATGATATTTTCAACTTACAATGGGTTTACTGCGGTGTAACCCCACCATATGTAGAGGAGAATTTGTGTTTCCATCTTTGTGGGTTGGTAGCAGTTACAGAGACTGTCCTGGTATGTCAAGGTTGTAATTCTGAAATTCTGGAATCTCAGGATGAGTGAGAATGTTTAGACCTGCCTTAGCTTGATGGGTGAAAATTCAGATGGAAAAACAGGGTCAGAATTTTCACTTCTCCCAGAGGCTGTTTTCTTGTCCTTGAGTGTGGACTCAGCTGCCCTCATTTAGTCTTTTATGTGTTTTGAAGTAAGGAGAGAAAAGGTACGAGAAAGAGTCCGTTTCCTGGGGAGGAATTGGGCCCGGCATCGGGGTAAATCTTCTCAGACACATTGTTTACTGACCAGGAAGTTGGAATGTGTGTGGCTTTGGGATTTCTTTGTAGGGGGCGTTTTGTTTGTGAGTTTTGGAATGATGCACCTTGGGTATGATGAAGAGGACTTCACTCTATGCTGTGGGAAAAGTTTTGCCCTTAATGTCTTGAAAACATGAGCTTGTTTTTCTGAAAAAGCTGAGTACATCCTCATTCCTCATTGTCACAAACAATGTGACATGGACCTGGAGGCAGGCCAAGGTTTTCTATGAATAGAACTTAGCAAAGAGAGTGTTAGAAAGACTTTGGATTCACATGGCAATCCTGGATGCCTGATCCCTAGAGAGGAAATGATCTACCTGCCCTTCGAAGGTGGAAACTTCGAGGATCCCCTCTCATCCTCTTACAAGCCATGGCAACCACTGTGTTATGGCTGGCATAACATGCCTTCCACATGGCTGAGATGATGTTGGCTTTGCTGGGAAGCATTTGCTTTTGAGCTGTTTTTGCAGAACTAAGATGGATTTTGAAGGAGAGAATACATGTTAGAGAAAAGCTGGGGCACAGTTGATGGTGCGGAGCAGGGCAGTGCCATCTGGTTGGTCCTTCATCGTGCTGTGCAAATGCCATGCTTTTGTCTAGGCTTGTGTGATGGCAAGAAACAGAAAGCCAGTCAGAGGGGCCAAAGTTAAAAAAAGAAAAGTGGGTCGATGGGTAGTTTTGAGGATACAGAAAGCTTATGAAGTATGGCTGGTCCTATGGGAACTGGAGAAGTGACAACTCCTGTCTCTCCCTCTGTGGCCCAATGACCATATGACTGTTAGCTTCTTTATGCCAGGCCCACTCTCCTTTCTGTCCACTGGGCTTTTCTGCTTAACCATAATCTTAATAACAATAATCACATAATACCTATAATAATAGCTAACACTTACTATTAAATCTGCACAAGCTCTGTTCTAATGCTTCACATGTATTTGTGTGTTTAGTCCTCACAACAACCCCATTGAGGCAGGTACTATTTTTATACCCTTCTCAGATGAGTACAATGAAGCATGTGGAGGTAGAGAAGCTTACCCAGGATCATGTAGTTAGCGTGTGGCAGAGTTGGGTCTCAGACCCAGGCAATTTGGCTCTGTTTTGGTTTCCCATTACCTTAGCTTGGACAGGTGTTGCCTTGTTTCAGCAGTAATTTCTTTCTCAACTCCATATAACCTTTATATTTCTAGACTTCCTGCACATTGTTTGACTAAAGGATGACCACTGAGTATATCACTATAAATTTTTGAGAGAAAAATTCTACTTGGTAGCAGGTCAACTAATTCATCTTTCAAAAAAAATTCATCTATTGCAGCTCTTTCACTGTGTATTCCAGTTATTTTTTGGTGCTATGGCAACAGAAACCCAGTATAAAAACCATTTGATATGGTTAGGTTCTCTGTCCCCACCCAAATCTCATCTTGAATTGTAATTCCCAGGTGTTGAGGGAGAAACCTGGTGGGAGGTGATTGGATCATGGGGTAGTTCCCCCCATGCTTTTCTCATGATAGTGAGTGAGTTCCCATGAGAGCTGATGGTTTTATAAGTGTTTGGTAGTTCTTGTCTTGATTGCTTCTATTTCCTGCCACCCTGTGAAGAGGTGCCTTCTGGTGTGATTGTTAAGTTTCCTGAGACCTTCCCAGCCATGTGGAACTGTGAGTCAATTAAACCTCCTTTCTTTATAATTACCCAGTCTCAGGCAGTTCTTTATGGTGGTGTGAGAATGAATTAATACACCACTTAAGTTTTAAAAAAGGAATGTATTGGCTCACATTACTAAAATAGGTACAGCTGGCTTCAGCTTTGGCTGAATCCACAGGCTTCACTTACCTTGTCTGATTCCCCATCTCTCAGGAGAAAGTGGGTCTACTCTGGTGACTGTAGAACTTTCTCAATAGCTACAGCAGAAAAGTCCTAGAAAGTACTCTGGTGGGATAGTCTGAGTGACTAGGCCAGGACTGGGAGTGGGGATGAAGAATTGTCCATGGGAAAGAAGAGTTTAGATTCCAAAGAAACATGGAAAGAGTGATAGAATGAAGCATGGCAGAGACAATACCTGTTAATTCCAGAGCTCCCACTGTGACACAATCAGCTGTACCCGGGTATGAGGTAGGGCACAGTTCACATGGTACCAAATAAATTTAGGACAAGAAGGGCTATAGCCAGGAGGAAAAGTCGACCATAAGGGGGTATGGGTGGGGCAAATGTGTGAAAACATGCCTATCACAGCTGGCATGGATGTATCCAAATAGGTGAGTGCTGGGAAGTACATTGTGGCACCTGACCTTAGGAGGAAGAAATACATAGTTACTAAGAGGCAGAAATCTGGTCTGTGTTGCACGACTAACTAGGGGTGTGACATTGGGCAAGCAGCTCAATCTTTTTGGGCCTCACTTTGGTTATCTGTAAAATGAGGGGCGTGGTTAATTGACCTCAGAGGACCCCTTCAGTTACAAAACTCTATTATTCTATCATGTAGGTCTTGAATTATACTTCGTTCCTCTGAGCTACAGTGATCATCTCATTATTCTGATTGAAAGGCTGAGTCCAGGGAGGACTTGCGGGGTGGGGTGGACTCATGAGCATATCATGTAGTTGGCTTCACATGTAGCACAATTTGAGGACAACACAATCGTCACCTGTCCTTAAAATTTCTCCCTCTGTCTATCACAGTGCCTGAAGCCCCAGCATTGATACATTTTTAGGTTTTGAGTCACTGATCCAAGTTATTTCCCACTACACTTGTCTAGCTCTCTCTGATCTCACTGGCTTTAGTGAAGCTTGTTCTTTTGCTTATATTATCCTGACCCTGATCCATTGCTGAGTTCACTCTTAGCCATTCTTTAAATTTCAGTTCAGTTCTTCATTTTTAAAGGAACTGTTCCATGGTCTCTGGGACTCAGCTAAACCCCTCTCTGTTATGCTCTCCAAGCACCACGTTGCTTTTCTGCAGGCATCTATGAGAGATGCTATTATTTATCAATTGCTCACGCACTAGGTCTTCTCATAAGAGCATTAGCTCCAGGAAGATAGAAACTGCATCTGTTTTTGTTGACTGCTTGTCTCTAGGAAGTGGCACAGTACTTGGCATATAGTAGAGACTCAATAAATATTCATTTAATTTTTAGTTTTAAGGTGGCTTAAACACTATGGAATTTAGTTTTAAGGTAGTTTAAACATCAGGGAAAAAATTTTATATAGGAATGTTTCCCTTCTGTGGGTTTTTCCTCAACTTAGATTTCACAAGTGTGGTCTATGATTGGCTAAGAGCAATGATAGGTGATTGAAGAAGTTTCCAGAACTCACTCCCTTCCACTTAATCAAGAGCCAGCAGATGTGATCAGGCTTTTCTTCCTTGAGTTTCACTCCCTTCCTTACACACACACACACATACACACACACACACACATATTGGTTTACAGCCACAGTTCCTGGCTCATTACTCCCATAGCCCTTGTTCCAGTCTTTCGTTACACTGTTAGGTGTGTGAGGTCTCAGGGGCAGCCCTGGACCTTCTCCTGCCCTCCTTTCACCTTGCCTAAGGCAGGACTCTAATGTTCCCTGCCTTTCTGATTGTGGGCCTTAAGCCCCTCCCAAGAGAGGGTCCTTCCTTATACCTCAGGGGAAGGAATGCTGATGTCATGAAGCCTTCTTAAAAACCCAAGAGGACCAGGGTTCAGTGAGCTTCCAGATAGCTGAACATGTGGAGGTTCTTGAACCCAGGGCACCAGGTAGGCTCCATACCCCTTTCCCCATACCTTGCCCTACATGTGTCTTCATCTGTATCCCTTGTAATCCCCTTTATAATAAAGTGGTAAGTGTAAGTAATTATTTCCTTGAGTTCTGTGAATCCTTTCAGCCAATTAATCGAACTCCAAGAAGGAGTTTTGGGAACCTCAACTTGAAGCCAGTTTGTCAGAAGTTTCAGAGGCCCAGACTTGCGACTGGTGTCTGGGGGGTGTGGGGAGCAATGTTGGGGACTGAGCCCCCAACAGGCCAGATCTGACACTATCTCTGGGTAGGTAGCATCAGAACTGAATTGGAGGACACCCAGCTGGAGTCTGCTGCTTGGTGTGTAGGGAAAAACTCCACACATTCTGTGTTGGGAAGTCTTCTGTGTTGATGATTGTTGTTGTGGTGGTGTCAGAGTAGAGGGAAAATGCAGTTAGAAAGAGAGTTTTTCCCCATACACCCTTCAGTAGAAACCCCTAACTGTAAGCATATTGCAAGACCCAAAGACTCTATTAAGAGACCCCATATCCAACCTTCCTTTGGCAAGATCTGAAAACCAACCTGCCTCTTCTGCAGAAGGCTAACTTTCACAGTACCAGGGCATGCTTCCGAATTAGCTAGTGCTCAATGATCAGAGCTAGAGACTGGCTGTTGCTAATAGTGGCAATGAGAGGCAGAGCAGAGCCATCTTTTCATCCACACATCTTTGCACTACACAAAGACGAATCGCAACCTCCATGGATTCTTGAAACCTGTGACATGCCATTTAAAGAACAGACACCAGAGAATACAATGGTGTCATTTGGGTTTGTCTCATTTCCTTCCATCCTCAGATCTAGGAGGATATCAGGGAGATTGCAGATCTCCAATGGTGAAGGCTAAGTGGGAACGTTAGTCCAGGGAATTCTCTTCTTACACGGAATGCATCCTTTTTTTTGGAGTGCAGTAGTCAGTGTAAGCTTTGTGCTTATCCTGCTGAAATCACACATGAACCCTTTCAGTGAAAGCATGTCTACATATCCTGGTTTTATCCCTTGGAGTTCTCAGCTCTGTATTTGAGGTTTTTATAACTGAGAGGTAAGAACAAATATTTCCCCAGGCCTGGCCATGTGTTTGGATAGTAAATTATACTAAATGTGACTTTCAGGGGGTGTCCATGATTCATAAAATCCTATTTCTTCCAGGCCCTCATGTGCCTCTTAGCACCTGAGCTGCTTCTCAGGGCTCCAAATGTGGCCCTACATGTCCAGTGTCACAGCCTACAGACTCAGTTTCTGAGCCACAAAGCCTTATTCTGGCCACAGGGCTGTAGTTCACATACATGGACAGAGCCTCTCTCCCTCGATTCCAGACACTATCTCTGAGGTATTTCTCTGTGTCAGGCACAAGGATTGAACCCAGGATATCCCCCTTTCAATGGCCAGGTAGACTTTCACCTTTTTTTCTTCTTTTTACCAGCTTAGTCTAGGAATCCTCTTGATTCCAGGATTAACCTGGCACTGACACTACCCAGAGCCTGCCTTAATGTGGGCCCCTTTCTTTTGGTCCCTCAGCTGCCATCCTTCTCGGCAGCAGTTTAGTCCTTTGCCTCGTCCAATTCAGCCAGCAGCAGACAAAGCCCCTCCCCTTCCTCCAGCTGCTTGAGTCAGCCCTGCCTCTTCCTTGGAATGGCTCTTCCCTTCTCTTTCCCAGAAAACTGAGAAGTCCCAGTTTTCCTCAGAATTCCTTCTGTCCAACGGACTTGAGATTTGTGTTTCATTTCTCCTTAAAATTTCCTGGACACTTACGTTGCGATTTCTTTGTTTTGAATTCGTAGGTCAGGATCCCCAAATTCCAGCTATGGTTTCTCTGAGTGGTGCTTCTGTTGTTGGTCTTGGTATTCTCTCAGCATCGAGCAGGTTTGTGTTGAGGCTGTTCTGTGCTTGGTGTGGAGCTTACAAATCTAAAGTCATGGCTCTGGGAGGGGAAGAACATGCTAATGTGGACAGCACCAAGGCAGCACTGGAGGGCTGTCCAAAGCTAAAAAGGATGAATACGGTTGTGCAGGTGTGTGCAGTGGCAGTTCCGGCACATTGCCCAGAGTCCCCTTCAGGAATGAACGACTTACTTTCCTATTTGCTGGGAGAGCTTCCAGCAGGCAGATGCCCTCGGTTGTCCCTTGTAGGACTGCCACTGCTAAAGAGAGCCTTTCTGCTGGGGCTGACTGTGTCCAAAGACTAACCAACATGGGGATCTAAAGGGCCAGTCCCCTTGTTCCAACTTGAGACAGTTCTGAATGATTTTCTCATCTCAGAACTCTCAGTAGGGTCCCCTGAGGTCTCTGTGGAAACTGTATCACAGCTCAACTTCTTCCCCCGCCCAATCCTGCTTCTTTCCTTTCCAGTCCCTTTCCTTCCACAGGTGTTACTCCAGGAGCACATCCTGATAAACCACCTGCATGCTAATCTCCATCTCAGAATAGGAACCAGGGAACTGGCCTGGGGGCTGGTGGGGGTTTGGATACAACCCTGGTTTGCTTGAAAACCTGTATGCCAGTGGGGATGAACAGCTGCCCTTTTTGTAATCATTTGCCTGGAGTGGGTACCTTTTTTACAACTCCTCTGCCTGGAGGGGGCGCCTTTGTGTAATTCATCAGCTGGGAGGAACCACCTTTGTAATTTATCTGCTTAGCAGATATTCTCTCGCAATTTGCATTAAGCTACTAGAAAGTGTCTCTTGCCAACTCAAGCTCCCTATCTCCAGGGAGCAGGCCTATTACTGAAGTTTGGATAAATTATTTAAAAAAAGATAAAAATATTTCTGGGAAAAAAATCAAGAAGGAAGTAAAAAATAGTGTCTTGAATTTGAGAGAAAAAAATAAACTCAAAGGAAATTCCATAGGTAGTTCATCAGAGCTCAGGTCCTTGGGTTTTTATTAATCTGGAAGAGAAAAAAGGCAAAACGGAAATCACTCTTCATATTTGAAGGCAGTTCCTGAGATGGCAGGGAAATGGCTGAGGAATCCATTGCTGTTTGCTATTTAGGCACAATCAAAAAATATTTTTCAGTGTTGTGTAGCATCTACTGGATATTGTGATAGCTCACCACTATACCCATGGGCTCTTGGCAAACAATAGACAGGAACAAGAAAGGCACCACAATTCCACTGGGACTAGTTAAATTTAATTTTAGGCCAAGTAAAAGAAACTCTAGATGGAATATCCAAATTGTCCAAAGAGTAAAAATAGAAAAGTTACTTTGTAAAGAGGACTTAAGACAGTGAGATAGGTTTGAAAATTTACCTTGAATGGTTACTTGTATGTGTTACCACCCTGAACAGAATATGAGCTTCTTAAAGGCAGGAGAGGTTGTTTTATATCTTTGATAAACGTGATCTAGCATTTCATCCATGTTAGAAGAGAAATAAGTGTTTAGTTATGAATGAATGAACAAATGAGTCCTGCCCCTCCTGATCAACCCTACTTTTTTTTACAAGATGGCTTTTCACTGATTTATTCATTCAATAAATTTACTAACTGCCTTCTGTGAACCAAATAGTGGATCTACAAAAATGAAAAAAAGGGAGCTCACAGTTCAGGAGAAGGACAGACAGTCATAGAGAGAGGATAATAGAGTAGGATAAGCTCTGAAGTGAGGTGTGTGCAGGTCTACCAGGGATTCAGGGAAGCATCTTAGAGAAAGTGAACTGATATTTGTAGGGGTTTGACGAGGAATTGTGTAGGTCGAAGAAGTATGAAGCAGAGGGAACAGCAAAGGCAAAGTCATGGAGATTTGTGAGATTATGGCACGTGTGGGGAATTTCAAGTCATCTGTATGATGCATGGGTCTAGGTGACAGAGAAATTTAAGATGAAGCTGCAGAGGCAGATTCAAGACAGACTGTGGAAAGTCTATGGTGCTATATTAAGGAGGTGAATTTTCTTCCATAGCCAGCAGGAAGAAGCTGAGAATGAAACAGTGGTGATAATGGCCTATGTACAGGAAGAAGAGGTAGAAAAGAAGCAAGATGAACAGTTTTGAAGACCACTGATCTGACTTCGGTCCTTAAAAAAAAGATTTAAAAGATATTTAGGAGATAGAATCAACAGGATTTGGTGAGCAATTGGATGTGGGTCAAAGGAGGGGGAAAAGCTGAGGATGGATTTTTATCTTTGATTTTGGATGTCTGGGAGGATGTTGGGGGAAAATGTTTGGGTGTTTGGGGAGGATGTAAGTTGGGGACTGAGAATGAAATCATATAAATTCTATTTTAGACATGATAAGCACCTACAGATCATACAAATAGAGATGTTTAGAAACACAGCTCTGTAACTCAGTAGAGATTGGGGCTAGAAACCTGGATTTGCTACTGATCAGCGAAATTAGGGACTGATGCTTGAT
This sequence comes from Homo sapiens, assembly GCF_000001405.40. Classification (NCBI taxonomy): domain Eukaryota; kingdom Metazoa; phylum Chordata; class Mammalia; order Primates; family Hominidae; genus Homo; species Homo sapiens. The sequence continues at coordinate 54,958,098 of NC_000005.10, read as the reverse complement.
AGTTTTATTTCTCCTTGTTTTTATGGATGAAAACTTTGGCAACTTAATAGACACCCTTAGTTGTCTACCCAGGAGCCATTTTCTTCTTATCATTTGCTAGTAAAAGTGCAGCATCGTTTAAGTAACTACCCTCAAGGAAGACTACCCTACCCTCAGTTCAGGGATAAAGCCTAATGCATCTCCCACATCACTCATGATAATTGTGTTGTTCTACTTGCCGAGGATTAGTTGGGGGTGTCTAACTTGCCCAAGTCTACCAAATGAGACCTACTAGAAGTGTGGTGGTGTGGAATCCTGCAAATGATCACAAAGAAAGAAAAGCCCTTCTTCTCCATTGGATATAGTTGTGCTTGGGTGGCTTGGCAGCCATCTTGCTCCCAGCTGGAAGACAAGCAACACACAGAGGTGAGTAGGGCCAAAGAGGAGGTAGATGAAGGGAGCCAGCGCCTGCTCTGCCTTTGGGCTTTTAATCCTCAGTATAGCATAAAAGGTTATATTGTAATTCTAGATCATAGATTAAACCAGTTTAGTTGGGATTTTCTTTTTTTAAATTTCCTTTTATATTTTTATTTTTTCCATTTGCCCCAATCAGAAGGATAGTTGGGATTTTGTATTAATTGCAGCGAAAATCATCCTAACTGAATTATTGGTTTGCTCTGCATTAGGTAATGGGTAATCTCAGTCTCCTAAAACCTGATCATATCTGAGTGACAACAAAATCAAATGTCCAAGCCTTCAAAACTAAGAACTCTAAGTCCCATGGAGCAGAGATTGCTCCAAAGGTTGCCCTCCTGTTGATATATGTCTGGGTGATGAGCTGCCTTACCCAGAGAGCATGAATTCTCTTTTCTGTATTACTGTGGACCTTCTTCAAACTGCATTTGGCTTTCATTGCACAGTAGCTCTGTTTCAGCAGACACAAGGAAAATCCAGCTCTGTACATAATTGCATAATGATGAATTCAATTGTATATGTGTATAGTAGTGTAACAGACTCAGAATGACAGGTGAAAAATAATTCTCTTCACTTTGCCAAGGTACATATAATTCAGGACTAAAACAATGAGCATGATGAGTAGTAGGGCTGGAAATTTGAGCTGTCAGGCTATTTATTATGTGGTGAGATGGCCTCATATCCAGAGATGGATAACCACAGATAACAAAATAATACAGTTCTCAAAGCTCTTCTAAATATAATACCTTTGGGATTCTTACACAAGGCTGTCAGATAGGCTGGGACACAGATCTTTATCTAGACTCTCCAGTGGGGAGTTAAATGGCATGTCTGAAGCTATGTGGCAATTTGTGGCCTATACTGTCCCTCTGGAGAAACTTAGAGTTGCCAGAAGTGACCCATTTACTGGGAAGGCAGAGATCTACTGGTGGGCCTTTCTGCACTGTTAGTTAATAATATCTGTGGAGATGTGGCCCTGGGCTAGCCATTGAGGAAGAGGCCAGACAGGAGGTGTGCTGGGGTTAGGTGACCTGACATTTAGGAGTACCAAGGAGGTGTGAGCTGGGGGTGCTTCATGACTGCAGATGTGCCTGTTACTGATACTCACGTTCATCCTCTGCAGGCCACATTAGATTTGATCAGATCTGGACGAAGAAGCATAAAGTCGTCTTTAGCAAGATTTCAGATTAGGAAGGAGAGTGTGTGTAGCCAGCCACAGCAAAGAAAGCAGTTATCTTGGTTAAGAATCAAATTCTTCATCAGAGAGGAAATCAGTGCATTGACTCCTAATTCTAATATTAGATTCAGAGACTTTATTATTTTTTAGCAGTTTGCAAAAAATGGAAGTAAAGTAAATATTTTTCATGTGTTTGGGATCAAATGTTAGGGTAAATTAAAACTTTGCACATTACTTTGAGTGCTTTTAATTTTTTTTCAAATGAGTTTTGCCAAAGGACTGATTGCATTAGAAAAAAGCTTGACCAAAAGATCCATAGATAAGACGTATTTTGAATTTCCTATCCTATGGTTTAAATGGAGAATCTTGGCATATATTTTTGTGGTTCTCTAAACTAGTCATTAAATTTATATTTACTATCTCCAGTCTAGTATTTAGTCCATAAACAGTGTATTGCAAGAAGTTTTTAATTTTGTGTTTCAGTGTTTTTCTGAAAATAGAATATATTTATAACTTAATAGGCAAGAACCAAAATTGCTGTGTAATAACATTGCCACCAACATTTAAAAAATGTCTCCAGAGATATCAAAAACTTTAATCAAAGAAAAACATATTAAACATTTCAATTACAAAGATATCTTTAACAATTTAAATGAATTCTCATTTCATGTTAGTTTTTTTTCCAGTTGAGCTACATTTAAAAGGAATATGTTACTGTTAAAAATGTAAGTAGATTTTTCTTTATGTTGTTGAATACAAAAGTGGTAAATGACCCCTTTCAAAATGGCTTAATAAATCCACGTTCAAGTAATTCCAGCTGTTAACAACATATTTTGAGAAAATAAAAAGATATTGTCAGATTGAAAAACAAGATAAATATCCCCATGAACAATCCTCATGAAATGGAAAAACTTAAATGTCATGAGCAGGGCTAAAGTCTGCTGAGTTCTGGGTGGAGCTTAAGGTTTGACTTCTGCAAGGATAAGGGGGACAAAAAGAATTGGTGCAAGACAGGGAACAGAAGTCAGACTCATTTGAAATTAAAGAATAGGGAAGACTTTCGCACATGTGAAAAAAGGTTGAAACCTCTGCCAGGGACTATTGTCCAAGAAAGCTTTGGAATCCTACGAGCCAAGCTGCCCTTTGGCTGGCTGGCTGGATTTTCATTTCCTCCAAAAATTGTCCCTGTGCTAGATTCCTGACCTGCCAGGCTCTGTGCAGGGCCAGTGGCACCTAAAGGAATCAATTACAAAACCACTAATAGAGAAGATTGCACAGAGAAGGAAGAGAGAGAAAGAGGAAACAAAACACACAAACAAAATCCCAAAGCTTTCCACTAAAAAATATGCCTATGGCTGAGCACGGTGGCTCATGTCTGTAATTCCAGCACTTTGGGAGGCCGAGGTGGGTGTATCACTTGAGGTCAGGAGTTTGAGAACAGCCTGGCCAACATGGTGAAACCCCATCTCTATTAAAAATGCAAAAATCAGCCGAGCATGGTGGCACAAGCTTGTAGTCCAAGCTACTAGGGAGGCTGAGGCTGGGGAATCGCTTGAACGTGGGAGGTGGAGGCTGCAGTAAGCCAAGGTTGTACCACTGCACTCCAGCCTGGGCAATAGAGCAAGACTCTATCTCAAAAAAAAAAAAAAATTGCCGTGCACCAGACTTTCAAAATAGATGCTAAGAAAGACATCCAATACAATCAACAATTGAAACATAAATTTGCTAAATATGGAATTAATTTTATAGAAGCTGAGGACCCTAATTAGACTTACTTAAATTTTTACACAGGAATATGTATATATGCATGTGAGTAGAACAGAAAAAAAAGAAAAAATGTGTTAAGAATGGATGGTTATGAGAGAAAACCAGTTAGAAATCTTGAAAATATGAGAGATAGTTATTAAAATATTCAGTAGATGAGCTAAACCCTCAACTGGATACAGAGATAGAATTATGAATTAGTACATAGTTCTGAGAAATTCAGCCATAATGAAGCATACGCAGACAGATAAAAACCTTAATGAGCAGTGAGGAGCCATATTGGAGGCTCTCAGTCTCTTCTTCATTGATATTCCTGAAGAAGAGATCAGGCAGGGTGCCGTGTCTCAGGCCTGTAATGCCAGCACTTTGGGAGGCCAAGACAAGTGGATCCCTTGAGGTCAGGAGTTCAAGGCCAACCTGGCCAACATGGCAAAACCCCGTCTGTACTAAAAATACAAAAATTAGCCAGGCATGGTGGCATGTGCCTGTAATTCCAGCTACTCCAGGATGCTGAGTCAGGAGAATTGTTTGAATCTGGGAGGCAGAGATTGCAGTGAGCTGAGATTGCACCACTGCACTCCAGCCTGGGTGACAGAGCAAGACCCTGTCTCAAAAAAAAAAAAAAAAAAAAAAATACTGGGCGTGGTGGCTCACGCCTGTAATCCCAGCACTTTGGGAGGCCAAGGTGGGCAGGTCATGAGGTTAAGAGATTGAGATAATCCTGGCCAACATGGTGACACCCTGTCTCTACTAAAAATATGAAAATTAGCTGGGCGTGGTGGCATGTGCCTGTAGTTCCAGCTACTCGGGAGGCTGAGGCAGGAGAATTGCTTGAACCTGGGAGGTGGAGGTTGCAGTGAGCTGAGATTGCGTCACTGCACTTCAGCCTGGCAACAGAGTAAGACTACGTCTAAAAATAAAAAAAGAAGAAGAGATAAAGGAGGATTGTAGAGAAGAAGTAAATAAAGAGTTAAAGGCTGAATCAAAAGGGATAGGAGTTCTCAGATGAAAAATGTATTCTAAAGGGTAAAAATAAAAATAAATATATCCGCACTTAGATATAGTGTAATAAAACTGCAGAACATTGGAGAAAATAATTTTTAAGTTTCCAGAATGAAAAGACAGATTACACTGAAAAAAATAGCCATTGATATGAAATAGTTATTGGTCTGGCAGCAGATTTCTTATTGACAACAATATATTCTGTGGAAAACTGGAATAATACCTTCAATGTATAGGGAAAATGACTATCAACAAGACTTTTTATACCCAGACAAACTATCATTCAAGAATGAGGGCAAAATCATGGCATTTTTCAGACATACAAGACTAAAGGAATTTACCATCCATAGATCCTGAAGGAAAGAAGTGCTACTTTACTTCAACCAAAGGAAAAGAAAACCCAAAGAAAACTCGTGGAGTTAAAGACACAATTGTAAACACAGAAATCAACTTTTAAAGTTTGTAAATTTGATTAAAAACTGACATAAAATAATCATGAATTGTATGTTTGTGTGTATACATATGTTTTAGAAAAGGTAAAACTAAAACTAAATTTTGACAATATTACAATAGGAGGTAATGTTCAAAGAGTAAACTATGTTCTTACATTTACTTAGGAGGATGGAGCAACTTTACACTCAGAATAATTCAGCTAGTTTTAAAAACACTAAACCACGAAAAATAAAAAACTTACCAAATAAAAAAGAGAATGGATAAAGGAAACGTTGTCATCCTTTTCAATTGTTTCTACCTTCTACTGAATTTGTAAGTAGAAAAAATTTTAAAAGATAGTGGGAGACATAAATTAAAATATATCAGTAATTATGAGAAACGTAAGTGGACTCACGAAGTCTGTAAAAGCCCCAGTTGCCTCTGCAGTGGCTGAAATACAGAGGGCAGAGACGATTTGAGATGGTGCACACGAGGTGTTAGATACAGATCTTGACATCGCATTTTCAGAGAAGTTATCTTCAACTTTCCATACAGCAGATGCAGATTAACCAAGTTGAAACAGAGGACCACTTTAATGGTTTTGATCATTGGATTATCCACCTACTTCATAAACCTACACCTTCTTGTCCCCTATTTGAATTGTGAGAGCCTACAGTAATGTATGCCTTTTAAGCAAACAGTGAAACATTTTAGAAAGAGGACAAGAGATTCAAGTTGCGAGTAGGAAAGGAAGTCAATAAATATGGGTAGATATTGCCAAAATTAAATTAAAACCATTTCAGAACATTCACTGTCTTTTGGTTGATTTTAGCATTTGATTGAGAAAAGAAAAGATTTGATTGGTGCTATAGTTTGAATATATGTGTCTCCCCGAAATTCATATGTTGGAACCTAAGACTGAATGTTATAGTATTAAAAGGTGGGACTTTCAGGAGATGATCAAGTCATATGGGCTCTGTCCTCATGAATATCAGTATCTTTATAAAGGGTTTGAGGGAACTAGCGAGGCCCCTTTGCCATTCCATCTTTCCTGCCAACTGAGGACACTGTATTTGCCCTTTCTGCATAAAAAGATGCAGCAATAAGGCACCCTCTTAGAAGCAGAGAGCAGCCCCCATCAGACACCAAATCTGCAGGTGCCTTAATCTTGGACTTCCTCCAGTATTGTAAGATAATACATTTCTGTTGTTTATAAATGACCCAGGTATTTTGTTATAGCAGCACAAACAGACTAAGACAATTGGGATAGTGTGCCACCACTCATTATGGAGGGCCCTCACTGCAGAGTTCATGTACATCCCTTCTTGGGAGACTGGCTTGCCTCTTACCTGTAGCCCATTCACACTTGCCTTTCATTGAGCATAAGCCTCTGGTCAAATCAGCTGTGGCAAAAGCAGCTAGCTTGGTTTCACTCAGTGGCAGTCGTAAACATTATAGCAACTTCGGCAGATAATTGCCATTTGTAGCCTTTTTCACTTAAAAAGGCAGAATGACTACAGGCTTTCAAAGGCCTTGTGACCATTCTAGTATACCTTGGCTTCTCTCTAGTCCATGGCATGGCCTGAGCATGCTGATTGCCGGCGCTGGAGGATTTCCCCCACTACATCTGATGCAAACCTGACTTGGATGAAAAAGTGGTAAGAGACAGTAAAGAGGAGGACTGGTGTAAAACACATTATTACTATTTTAATAGCTGACAGCAGAATTTCCCTTAGGGAAGAAGCAAAAAATAGTGGATCCCCACAGCCTAGAGGTACTGACACCAAGGCTTTACGAAAGAGAGAAGAAGAATTCTGCATGAAGAAGGAAGGGAATTTGTCTCTCTCTTGGGAAGAGAGAAGGTCATTTGATCTCAGCCTAGTGATACAGTGCTGCTTCTCCAGCTGTCTATACAGCCTGTTACTTCCGGCATTCTGTTCTTCATGTGAACAGTTCCTACTTACATAATGACCTCTAGGCTAGAACTTCCTAGGTCAGTTATACACCAAGATCTAAGCATTTTAGAAACGGAGATGTTAGCAAGTTTATCTAGGCAATTAAAATAATGTTCCATTTCGTAGACTGAATAGGGTGGGAAAGATGAGACAGCAGAGGAAGAGAGGAACCAGCAAGATGTAGCAAGGCTGGGTTCAGGTAATGTGACCAGTCATGAAGCTCAAACCACTCACTGGTGGGTTAGCTGGGAACATTTCAAAGACAGTGATGGTTGTGATTTAATTTGCAGTTGTTTGTGTTGTTCCATTGCAAATGTGTTTTCCATCACCTTCAAACAAACCCAAAAGCTTCAGCAAAGTCTACCTTGCTCTCAAGCCCCTAGGATGAGTGAGGTTTTACTAGGTGGAACTCAGCAAAGGAGCTAATATTATGTCTGAGTGAACCCAGTACAACCAGAAGCAGTGTCCTAAAAAGCAAAGATGTGATTTTGAAAGGGCAGACATCTCGGAGATTGATTTAAAATTCTACAGGCTGGGAAATTTAGGGGTTCTAGGCACCTCCGATCTTGGCAATCTGATGCCAGAAAACACTCTTCTTCTGCTTGCAAAATGGGAGCAAAAACCCTGGGCCTTCAAGGTTCCTGTCATTCAACTATGCTACCATTTCTTCCTCCTTACTGGTCACCTACCAGCCTCCGGCTGTCTTCCCCTCCATTGCTGATGACTTGGACTCTTGGCTCACAGGTATCCTGTTAAATTGTCACCCTGGGTCACTTTATAACCTTGTGGACAATCCATCCAACACTGGGACCTCTCACAGCCACCACCGTCTTATCTACAATGCCTTCTCTTCTTTTTACCCAGTAAATCCACAGTCTACTTTGGACCAAAATTGCTCATAACTGTGTTACCTTCCAAATCACAAATTCAGATAATTTGCTGTCTGACTACAGTCTGTCCTCCTTTCAATCTGCCCAATTAATCACATCATGAATACTCTTAAGCCATATCGGGACCTTCAGTTTCCAATCCACTGGCCTCTTCACATCTCCACTTCCTTCCTTATTCATCTGGGATTTCATGGTACATCAATTTTGAAAATCACATCAAAACAAAACAAAACAGCTCTTGCCAATTTCTCAAATTTGTTTGGACCTCTGGCTTTTTGCTTCATTCATCTGACAAAACCCTCACACAGGAAACACTCAATTGTCCGGCCCTTCAGGTTGTCAATTGAGGAATAACTCCTACTTGAGATCTTTCTGTACATGGACTTTAGGTGTTGCTTTTAACTGATATAGTGTTGAAAATAGAGTTACACAATTGTGTGATCTAGGGTGGATGTTTAAATACCGCAATCCATATCAGTCATTATTTATATCCAAGCTGAATTTTTTTTTTTTTTGAGATGGAGTCTTGCTCGGTCACCCAGGCTGGAGTCCAGTGGCATGATCTTGGCTCTCTGCAACCTCCGCCTCCTGGGTTCAAGTGATTCTCCTGCCTCAGCCTCCCAAGTAGCTGGGACGACAGGCACCTGCCACCACCCCTGGCTAATTTTTAGTAGAGGCAGAGTTTCACCATGTTGGCCAGGCTGGTCTCGAACTCCTGACCTCAAATGATCCACTCACCTCGGCCTCCCAAGTGCTGGGATTACAGGTGTGAGCCACCGTGCCAGGCTCTGATCTAATTTTTTGATCTCACTTCCCAAGCCAGGCATCTCTCACATTCTCCATCCCTTTTTTTCTTACTTCTCTTTCTCCCTCAACACATCAAATAATTATCAAATCTTGTTGATTCTAAGTCTAAAATCACTCTCAACTTTCAACCTTTCTTCTTCCCTGCTGCTACTGCCATGGTTCAATTCTCTCATTTCTGTTACAGACAATGGAAATCACTTCCCAACTGGCTTTACTGCTTCCCATCTCTAGCCTTTCCATTTCTTCTTCATTTTTACAAAATGCACAACAGATTATGCTATTTCTGCTGCTAAAGTCTCTAATGAACCACCAGTACTTGCAGTATTCTTAGTGAAGCTTAAAATCTTTTACATTCAGTCCCCTAGAAGTCTTTCCAGACCTACCTCCTACTCTCTTCCTCACACACTTTTCACCCTGGCTGCAACACATGATTCTGTGTTCCTAAAGTACACACTGGACATCAGCACTCTCCTTGTCACTGCTCACATTGTTTCCTTGATGATGAAGTCTCATAGTCTTCATCTGTTCTCACTCTACTTAGCCATCAAAACATATATCTGTATATATACATATATGAATATGAATATATATACACACACACACACACACACACACATACCTAGATTCTCTGGTGTACATATGTGCATATACACTCAGTGCGTGCTGGTAAATGTCTAACAACCAGTTCTCAGGGGGAAAAATCCCCAACTAGTTTTGTATGATGATTTCTATGGTATAAATATTCTACCATGGATGATTACAGCTACCTGTATGCCACTGGACTTAGGGCTGGGAAGAGACACATACCTTGGCCTTCTTGAGCCAGTAGAAGCTGCATCCAGCACACCATTATTATGTACATTTATATAGACATATATTTACATATATACATCCAAGCAGATCTTTCTTTTGAGTTCAACTTTTAAATTCTTGTTATTTTTATTTTTTTTAACTTTTATTTTAGTTTCCGGGGTACATGTGCAGGTTTGTTATGTAGGTAAACTCATATAATGGTGGTTTGTTGACGGATTATTTCATCACCCAGGTACTAAATCTAATATTGGATAGTTATCTTTTCTGTTCCTTTCCTTCCTCTCACCCTCCACCCTCAAGTAGGCCCTAGCGTCTGTTGTGTCCTTCTTTGTGTTCATAAGTTCTTATCATTTAGTTCCCACGTATAAGTGAATTGGTTTTCTGTTTCTGCATCAGTTTGCTAAGGATGGTAGCCTCCACCTCCATCCATGTTCCTGCAAATGACACGATCTCTTTCTTTTTTATGGCTGCATACTATTCCATGGTGTATATGAACCACATTTTCATTATCCAGTCTACCATTGATGGGCATTTAGTTTGATTCCATGTATTTGCTATTGTGAATAGTGCTGCAGTGAACATACACATGTGTCATTATGATAGAATGATTTATATTCCTCTGGGTATATACCCAGTAATGGGATTGCCGGGTCAAATGCTATTTCTGTATTTAGCTCTTTGAGGAATTGCTATATTGCTTTCCACAATGATTGAACTAATTTACACTCCCACCAACAGTGTATAAGTGTTCACTTTTCTCCTCAACCTTGCCAGCATCTGTTATTTTTGGACTTTCTAGTAATAGCCATTCTAACTGGTGTGAGATGGCATCTCATTGTGGTTTTGATTTGCATTTCTCTAATGATTGATCTTAAGCTTTTTTTTCATATGCTTTTTTGCCACATGTATATCTTCTTTAGAAAAGTGTCTGTTCATGTCCTTTGCCTACTTTTAAGGGGGTCTTTTTTTCTTGCAAATTTGTTTAAGTTCCTTATAGATGCCAGATATTGAGCTTTGTCAGATGCATAGTTTGCAAAATTTTTCTCCCATTCTGTAGGTTGTCTGTTTACTCTGTTGATAGTTTACTTTGCTGTGCAGAAGCTCTTAAGTTTAATCAGATCCCATTTGTCAATTCGTGCTTCTGTTGCAATTGCTTTGGGCATCTTTGTTATGAAATCTTTGCCCATTCCTCAAGCATGTCTTTGTATTTATATCAAGTACGTCTAGTAGTTTTGTTGTAATAACTTGACAACTCATATTTAATTCTTTTTTCTAGCAGTTCAGGCCTATTTAAAAATATCTTCAACTTCTGAGATAAAACAATGAAAGATGGCATTATCTAAGTAGGAATTGAAACTCCATCCACTAAAATAAGAGGGCAGGGGAGAGAGAGAGAGATAGAGAGAGAGAAAATGAGAGAGAGGAGAGAGAGAGAATAAGAGAGAGGAGAGAGAGAGAATCCAAGAGAGAAATTATCATATCTATTTTTAATTTTTTCTGTATTAAATATTTTAACTTAGTTTTCATCATCTTCATTAAAGATGGCATAGAGACAAAAAATATCACTGTCTGCTTTATTTTAGAGTCCACCTCTGTTTTCTATCTCCTACTCATTAGATTCATGCATGACAGGTCTTTCTGTAAAGCACCAATGGAGGTTAACATAAAGAAAGGCAAAATGACTGAAAAGTCATAGGGATTTTGGAAAAGGTTAGAACAGCCTGGCTAAGCACAGAGTCCCTCAACCCCTAAGTGGTTTGAAAAGCAAAACTTGGATGTTTCTTTCAGGCTTGATACAAGGCTTTTTCCTTCATAAATTTCAGTTTTGTGTATATATTTAAAATTTCTCTAAAGAGAAGTGTCAGAAAAATTGAGAATATATGTTTCTGCCAAAACACGAAACTTAAGCAAAGATTTTGCAGTTAGGAAAAATTATTACCAAGTTTATTTCTGTAACTTTCTTATTCTGGAAGAGTGATAATTTGATTTAGGCCATTCAGATATAAATATGTTTTGATTTTACAAGTTGTGCATTTCCTACCAGGAAGCTAGAGATAAATTGTGTTTCTATGTATTAAGATATTATTGTCAGGCACCCTTATTTAAACAATTCACTTTGCAAATAGAAGGCCAAACAGAAGTCCAATGCACACTGATATCTTTTTCCCTGTAGATATCCATTACTTTCTGGACTTCAGCCATGACGTATATACCCATGGTTTGGAATGTTGACAATTTAGTAGGAAGTTCTGGTATTGTAACATCTCTGTTCAAAAAGCCTCCCTTGGCCCCATTGCTTCGAGCAGAGATTCTACTCCTCTGCCCTGTGTGCCATGGGATCCAGGCATGCCACAAATTGGTTACAGATGTGCTGAGATATTGATCCCCTCGGCATTTGGGGCAGCTCCAAGCTATGGTGCAGCCAAAGGCAAGCTCATCCATTCACCCCAGTGTACTATACAGACATGGTTATTTTCTATGTGTGCCATGACAAGGAAAAGGCCGAGAGGCCCTGGCTCTGGATATAAGGTCTAAAGTGTGCACAACATTCAATGCTGTTTCAATCTTGTCCATGCTCTTCTCTTCCAGCCCAACCTCTGGCACCTCTCCTCATACATAGCCCTTTTCAAACTTCCAGGTCTACCCCCACCTCCATTTCCTAAAACCCTTTACTTTGCCTCCCATGGTTTTACTCCTTCTGTTCATCCACTGTTTCAAGCCCTTCTTCCCCATCTGCACCACAGATATCTAAGGACTCTTTAAAAGATAGGGCTGATGCCCCCCACTGCATGAAACCATCAGAAACTCCCCAGCCTGAAACACTTTCTCCTTCCTCTGTGCTTCCATACAGGTTTGCTTGTTACCCTCTTAGGCTCTTGTCACATTCTGCTTCAAGTGATAGTTGTGTGCTTGTTTTTTCTCCCTGTTAGAGTGTAAATGGCTCAAGAGTAAAGACCATTGTGTTTATCATTTCTCCCCTCCTCGTGCTAGCTGGATCTTGCACATTCAATCAAGGCTTATTAAATTGAATTGACTATGCAAATGCAAGAAGGAGAAGAAAGTCATTTATATTTATTGTACCTCTACCACATGCCAAGCACCATGCTGGCACTCTAAATGGGACAATGTATGCAGTCTTCACTATATCCCTTTTGAGACAGACAATGTGCAGATGAAGAAATTGAGGAATAGTTAAGGTAATTACCTCCAAGAAATAAATTTCACGCTGGAAAAAAGGAACTGTAGAGCAGTGCCCTGTTCAGGTGTCTAAGAACTTGGCTCTGTGAACTTCAGCCTGACCATGTAAATCTCCCAACAGTGGGAGGGAGCAACAGGGGCTTGCTGGAAGCCTGGTCAGAGATTTTGCTGTGTGAACTGCCTTGCTGGTAGAGTCCTGGCAAGAGTTTCATTTCACGAACTGGAAAATAAATCATTCTTTCATCAACAGGGAGATCCTTTTCCTAGAACCAAATCTGAGGTGACTAGTACAAAAGGAACAGAAGAAAGTTATTTTTCTTTTTGCTTGGAAAAGAATATTTTAGTGAAGCTTGAGTGGAAAAACAGAACGAATGTCTATAAATGAGAAATGCTCTATTTGGATAAATGTTCCCTCTGTTCTTTCTTGCTACACTGTGATTTTATTTATCCTGTTATGTTTACATTTATTTATATTACTACTTATTTAACAGAGTTTTTTAAAAAAATAGACAATTTATGTCAATTATTCCTCAATAAAGCCAGAACAATGAAATAATGGCTGTTTGAAATAGCAAAAATAATAATACCTTATAGCATTTATAATATAAAAGAGGTACAAAATATAAAAACAGTAGCAAAAAGGAAGAAAAAGCTATAAATTTTTATAAAATTCTTAAGCCATAAAGGCAGCAATTTAGAGTAAACCGAAATAAGTAAGAATCATATTCAAATCTCTAGGATAACTACTAAAACATTTCAAAATATATAACTAAAGAGCTAGTAGAGAAGAAAAGATGAAAAAAAATTTAATTAATTTAAAGGGCGGCAAAAAGTCATGATGCTATGAAGGACTGAAACAGAACATTTTTCCTCCTAGTTCGAGCGATCCTCCTGCCTCAGCCTCCTGAGTAGCTGGCACCACAGGTGCATGCCACCATACCCACCACGCTCACCATGTTGAGCTCAAGCAATTCGCCTGCCTCATCCTCTCAGACTGTCAGGATTACAGGCATGAGCCCCCGTGCCCAGCTGAAACAGAACATTTCAACTCAGGTGCACAGACTTTTGAACAAAATACCCAGATTAGATGATTTAAGTAATTAGATTACATTAGTTTTAATAAAGAGCTTCAGTGTGCAATGTTCAGAGACCCCTACTGGCCAAGATTTGTATGGTCTCGATCAAGCATTTGTTGATGTTCAGTATTACTTTATACATCTCTAAGCTGAAAATTGCATCCTACGGTTGATGATGAGTTGACGAGTCCAGTTTTCCTTGGGCTTTCCATACATTGAGAAAATCAGTGATTCAATTTGTCCTTTTATGGGACTCCCAGGTGCTGTGGCTCTCAGAACCTCATGGTCAACAAAGAAAAGTAACTGAACTAGCGATAATAGCCACTTGCATTTGTGTTGTGCTCTGTGACTCACTTGGCGCTGTCACACCTATCACCCCATTAGGCCTTCACAAGCAAGGCCTTGTAGAGTAGGTATTCTTAGCAGCACCGTACATGTTGTAGGAGTGAGAAGCTGTTGCTCAGAAAGGTGAAGTAGCTTCCCCAAGGTCATATGACTCAAGGTAAGTGGCAGATCCAGGACTCAAAATTTGAACTGGAGAATTTTTCTGTTTTCTCTTTAGTGTATTTAAGGAGTCACCAGGCTAGAGGTAAGTCTGGGAGTGGGAATGAAGGTGATAAAATTTGAGAGACTGTAGAAGGACGGGGTTTGATGCCAAGGGTAAACATATCATAAAGGGAATTTTCAGACAACTGACTTCTATATTTACATGCTATAATATTCACCTAAACCTGTGCTTGTTTGACATTTTAAAGGAGGGAGGAAGAATGACATTATGACAAATACATTTGACAATTTGCATCAGGCAAATTGTCAGTCAGCCACGATGAGCACTATTCCTGCAGGATATACTGTTGCTTCACAATACCTTTTTATATTCTTGATTCATTTTCCAGGCTTACCAGCTCTACATACTTTATACACTTCTGAAGGGAATAAAACCTGAGGAGAGGAGGTGTTAGGTTTAAGGGGGCCACCTTATTGAAAGTAAACAATTTTCAAACATAAGAAAAGTTTAGCTGCAATTTCCGCCAGTAAATGTACTTCAAAAGGTATTAGCTTTCTACTTATTGCATGTTGAGTCTGCTTCTTAGAACAGGGCTGCCCAATAGAACTTTGTGTAATGATGAAGATGTTCAGTGATCTGTGCTGTCCCATATCATGGCCTCTAGCAAATTAATCAAATTAATTTGAATTTAAATAGCCACATGTGGCTGGTGGCTACCACCCAGGACAGCATAGTTTTAGAAAGTTGTTTGCTAATGTCAGTTTTCAGCTCACGTTTTATAGCATATTGATATAGAAGACAGGATTTAGAAAAACCACTACACTTTCTGGAATGTTTTTGAGGATAAGGATTCTCATTTCTCAATTAAAAGTAGACATTGAAAATCATGATGAATGTATATTTGAGTAATAATAAAGAGAGACGGAAAACTTAGGTACATTTAATATCTTTCCAAGTGTTGTGAAGTCTCAATTCAGTAATTAAGTACTACAATTTTCTACGTTAGTTGGCAAGAACACTTAGGCTCATGACAGTGTTAACTAACATAATTACTTCATAATTGAAAAGTCCAACCTTGGATTTCTGTACTTCAGAGCTTAGAAAAATCAATGATTTCTTATCGATCCATCTCTTATAATTTTTTTTCTATTTTACTACAGTCTCTTTTGAGACTGTGGAATTTCTTCTACAAAGTATAATGTGTATTTATTTACTAAGATAGCTATCTGAAGCATGTGGGAAAACTGAGAGAACGAATGAATGATAACCAATTGTCTGCTTATACAATTTCACAGTGTTTGGCCTTGCCAGAGGGGCCAGTCCCTGATGAAAACACATACGTGAGGTCCCCAGATGAGATCCCATGACTGTGATAATTGTCACATGCCTGTTTATTTTTCCCTTGAGAAACTGAATGCTTAAAAAAAAGATCACAACTAAACAAAAGCATATCAATAACAGGAAACTGTTGGTGAGAAATACCCTGACGTTCCTGTAAATTCACGTCACCAGATTCCCCAGGGACAAAGGTGCATGAACTGCATGGGTAAATAATTATGATTTAATACAGAGACCTTGCAATGCTGTTTATAGTAAAACAACAAAAAAGAATTGTTTCTGGAGGCGCAAATAAGCAAATAATAGAAACACATATCAATATAATCAGGAAGTGGTGATGTTATGTCTAGGTCAGCTACTGAAAACAATTTGTAATCTATCAAAGTATCTCCTTTGCAATTGCAAGCAGCAGGAGGTGGGACCTTAGGAGGAAGAGAATCCCCCATCCATAGGGTGATTAGAAATGGTAGAGGAAGGACCGGGTGCTCTGGCTCACGCCTCCAATCCCAGCACTTTGGCAGGCTGAGGCGGGCGGATCATCTGAGGTCAGGAGTTCAAGACCAGCCTGGCCAACATAGTGAAACCTGTCTCCACTAAAAAAATACAAAAATTAGCCAGGTGTGGTGGCACATGCCTGTAATCCCAGCTACTCAGGAGGCTGAGGCAGGAGAATCGCTTGAACCCAGGAGGCAAAGGTTGCAGTGAGCCAAGATCACGCCACTGCACTCCAGCCTGGGCAACAAGAGTAAAACTCCATCTCAAAAAAAAAAAAAAAAAAAAAAAGAAAGAAATGGTAGAGAAAATGGGATATTCATCCTGGGGAATTTCTGAAAAGGTTTCTGCATCATGACACCTGTCTGTTTGCAGGATTTTATTCCCAAGGATAATGAAAGGGAGATCAACAAGTTTCTCTTTCCTTCTTTAAGAGGATTTCCAATTAGAGGGCAATGTCAGCCTTGTGAATGTGTGCCTACGGGTATATGCATGTCCCAACTAAGAAAAGAAATGAGTGGCAGTGCTTCAACATATTTAAGGCCTTTTCCCCTCTTTAAAAAATTATAAATGATTTTTTTTGACAAAAATTGGAAAACCATATTTCTAATTTTCCCCAGAATTTACTTACTATAGAAAGCATTATGGCCTTTGTTAGGTAGCTGCATTTTATTGGGAATGGGGTTGGGGTGGGGGGTTTGGAGAAGGGAAACAGAGGGTAGCAGGGAAAGTTAACCAGAATTCTTACCTGAAATCTGCTTTTTTTTGAGGTGGTGGGATAAAACTCTGGAAGCCTCATTTTTGAGTTCTAGGCAGTTCTTAAAAATCTACCCATTTATGCAGCCAAAAGTGATCTCTGTTTGTCCTTACTGCTATTTCTCCAGTTCTTAAAAGATCCTGTGGTAGGAAGAATAATAGGTTCCCCAAATGTCCACATCCTAATCCCGGAAGCTGTGAATATGCTACTTTACATGACAAAGGGGACTTTGCAGATGTGATTAAATTAAGGACCTTGAGATCGTCCTAGATTACCTGGATGGGCCCAGTGTAATCATAAGGATCTTTATAAGAATCACAGAAGAAATAGGACAATGGAAGCAGAGAAAGAGATTTGAAGATGTTATGCTGCCAGCTTTGAAGATGGAGAAAGGGATCACGAGCCCAAGTCAGGTGGCCTCTAGAAGCTGGAAAAGGTACACCATTCTTCCCTAGAGCCTCCAGAAGGAAGACAGCATTACCACACCCTGATTTTAGCCTGGTAAGACCCATTTTGGACTTCTGACATCAGAACTATAAGATAATAAACTTGTGTTATTTTAAACCTCTAAGTTCATGATAATTTTTATAGCAGTGGTAGGAAACTAACACCAATCCAAAATACTCTTTTATGTTAAATGGCAGTGTTAGATCTGTCAAATTATTTCTCAATTTTATAGTCCTAATATTAGAATATTAGGCTACACATTAGAGTCATCTGGGGCGCTTACAAAATACCAACGCCAGAGCTCCAACCCCAGTGATTTAGATATAGTAGGTCTGGGGTGGAGACAGTGAACTGGTATGTAAAAAGCTGCCGCCTGGTGCAGTGGCTCATGCCTATAATCCCAGCACTTTGGGAGGCCAAGATGGGTGGATTGCTTGAGCCCAGAGCATCCTGGACAACATGGTGAAATCCTGTCTCCACAAAAAATACAAAAATTAGCCAGGCGTGGTGGCGTGTGCCTATAGTCCCAGCTACTTGGGAGGCTGAGGTGGGAGGATTGCTTGAGCCCGGGAGGTAGAGGTGGCAGTGAGCCAAGATTGCCCCACTGCACTCTAGTCTGGGTGACACAGTGAGACCCTGTCTCAAAATCAATCAATCAATCAATCAAATAAAATGAGATAAATAAAAATTTAAAAAGCTGCCAGATGATTCTAATGTTCAGCTAAGATTGAGAGGCCTCTTGTTAAGGGACTACCTCCTTTTTATATTCTCTTGGGTGTTCAAGTTCAGGGAACGTGACTTTGATCAATGTAAATAAAATTGATCATTTCACCTTTGCCAGGGAAGTAAAAATTGTAGTCTATTTTCTTTGATCTTTAACATTATGTTTGATTTTTGTCTCTATCTGAATACAGTATAATACATTTCCTGGGAGTAGATACCTGGGAGGCAAAGCCTCCTCAGCCTTCCTTTCCTCCATATTCTTTGGGTCTCAGTTTCTACTCAGATGCAGCTGAAAATGACTCCCCCAGCCAGCATCCCTTGCAACAGGAGTATGACACTTATGTAAAAGAAGTGTTGAGTTACAGACACTAAGTAGCAGGAGTGGTGTCAAGGGTCAGGGAATGATGCACAGAAAAGATCCCACCATCCCCTGAGCCTATGTAGTCCTTGACAGAAAGATAGAATTGTTGCTTATAGTCCCTGCTGGCTCTGTTTCTGGTATCACAGCGGAAAGAGACTTGCACCAAGCACCAGGAAAACTGTTCTAACCCTGGCTCTGCTTCCTATTTTAATAGTAATAGCTCCTTAACACTGCCTACAGGTACTAGGCTGAGTGTTTCACGTAGTGATAATCTCATTTAGTCATTTCAATAACCTTGGAAAAAGGGTACCAATATTGTCAATTTTACATTGATACATTTGAGATTTTGCAGGTGCAAAAACTGAAATCTAGAGAAGGTAAGGAACTTAGCTCAAGGCCCCACAACTAGGAAGTGGTGAAGCTGGCCGGGCGCGGTGGCTCACGCCTGTAATCCCAGCACTTTGGGAGGCCGAGACGGGCGGATCACGAGGTCAGGAGATTGAGACCATCCTGGCTAACACGGTGAAACCCCGTCTCTACTAAAAATACAAAAAAATTAGCCGGGCGTGGTGGCGGGCGCCTGTAGTCCCAGCTACTCGGGAGGCTGAGGCAGGAGAATGGCGTGAACCCGGGAGGCGGAGCTTGCAGTGAGCTGAGATGGCGCCACTGCACTCCAGCCTGGGTGAGAGAGCGAGACTCCATCTCGAAGAAAAAAAAAAAAAAGAAAGTGGTGAAGCTAGAGTTTGAATCTAAGCTTGTGTAATCCAAAGGTCATAGTCTCATAAAATTGGAGGAGGCAGTAGGTTGTAGTGCTGGAGTGATCCTGGACAAACCACTTTTCCTTTCAGAGCCCCACTTTCCTTTCTTATAACATGAGAGGCTTGTGAAATACTCAGCATAGTGCCCTAAGGCCTCTCCAACTTGGCCATTCTGGAAATCTGTGGATTAGGACCACTTCTTTAGGGCCATACTCAGAGACAGGCAGACATTTTTTTCTCCTCCCCAGGAAGCTCTTCTAGGGGCATTATGGCAGGCACTCTTCCTACCCATGACAAGACTGACTTCATGGTGTCCCCTGTCATGCTGAAAGGCTCTTTGCTACAAAGCCTCCAAGTGGGTTGAACTAAAGGGCTTGATAACTCAACCACATGTTGTGGTAACACAACTGGGATGGCCAACGGTTTGTGGAGTGGCTACTCAGACAGCCAGGGCTGGACATGGGGGCCTTTGTAGGTTGCAATCACATAGAACTGAGCCTCTTTCTGGATGCTAGCACACTATTTTGGGGTCTTTATAATTGTTTAAAAGCAGCTGGAGAAGAAGACATTACGATTTTTAAAAAATTACCAAGTAGAACAATACACAATAGGATTTTTTTTTTTAACCTTTGAATTTGATTTGTATTCTTGGTGAAATCCCCATCTGAACTTTACCAAGAATCAAAAGAATTCTTATAGGTATTAATAACAATAGTAGTAATAATAACCAAGGATCCATAATGAGAAAGGCATGGCTCGTGTCTTTTGGAAAATCCTGATCCACGGTGACAAGAATCTTTAAAATACATTCCAAAAGATCTTGTTCTGAGATGATGTCTCATCACTTCCAAAAAGTTACATTAAGAGTGAGAGATTCTTAGTTTTTGCTGATATTTGTTTCATATACAGAATGTGCCCCAATTCTTCGGCGTAAAATAGAAAACAAGTGGTATCTCCTGGTGGACCCTTGCGGCAGAGACTACAGTGGTTCATGAATATCGTGCTCTCCTTCTTTTCCTGGCACATGGCTGACTACATTCCCAGCCTCCCTCACTTTTAGGTATGGCCACGTGACTGAGTTCTAGCCAACTTAATGTGATTGGAAGTGATGGGTGCCACTTCTAGGCCTGGCCCAGAAAAGCCTGCTGCTACCTGTAAAACTTATTCCTCTTTCCTCATGTGAATGCAAATGTCTATGAGACCTTTGAGGACAGAGCCACAAGATGGGAGACATCCTGATCTTTGAAGGACTGTGTGGAAGGCCACCTGCTGACCAGGAACTTCTGGTCTGCTAAGCCCCTGATATTTGGAGTTTATTTGGTCCAGTAGCTAGCATTACTTACTGTAAAGAGTTCCATCCTGAGTGAGCGAGGCACCTTCTTTGGGGAAAGGTTGAGAAACCTCTTCCAAGGAGTTGGGAATGGAAGAGACTGAGAAGACAACAAAACTGAAGTGATACATAAGTTTTCTCTGTTGATGTTTCATGTATTGATGACAATACCACCTCTCTCCCAAGTTCAACTCAGGTTAAAACAGAAAACTCAGGGAGGCGAGTGTGTGATGGTCAAGAGACACAAAGGCCATTTTCTTAGTTTTCCTCAGTACTCTGGTTATGGCTTCGAAGACCCCGGCTTGCTCTCACTTGCTCTTGTTCTTTCTCTCCAGCCCCCCATCTGACAACTGCAAGATCAGTTCAAGGGCGTGCAACTGTAGTCCATTAATTTGATAGAAATTGCTGAATGCACTACTGAAAGTGTGGCAATCACTATCTAGTTGCTGCTGACAATCGCATGAGAAGGGAATGCCCAGCTTCCTTAGGTTAACTCCTGCCATTAATCTATAGCTCATGGACCAGGTGAAAGGATCATGGATGGGGAGATGTGGGTTTCAGCCTGAGGGAGAAGCCCTTGCCTTGAAAGTGCATAGCTATCAATAAGCCCAGGAGGAAGGAATAGGATTATGTGTGGATCAGTTCATATTACCTTCACAAGAATACCTTGTTCTAAGACAGACTCTCTGTGATTCACATGGCAGCACACTCCTGGACTCCTAGAGCCTTACCTTTTGGGCAGTCCTCTTTTGCCTGTGCCTACAAGCCACCCAATATTTTAAGGATCTGGATGGAATCTTATCTCCTAAATCGCTAATTTAGCCCTTGTTAGGAGTTGAATTGTGTCTTCCCTCCTGCATTCATATGTTGAAGCTCTAACACCCATTAACTCAGAATGTGACTGTATTTGGGGAAAGGGCCTTTAAAGAGGTGATGACATTAAAAGAGGTCAGTTGGGTGGGCCTAATTCTATCTAACTGGTGCCCCTATAAAAAAAGGAGATTTAGAACCATAGAGAAACATCAGGAATGTGCACGCGTAGAAGAAAGACTGTGCGAAGAACAGCAAAAGGTAACCATCTGCAAGTCAAGGAGATTGTCCTCAGAAGGAACCAAACATGCCTACACCTTGATCTTGGACTTTTAGCCTCCCAAACTGTGAGAAATAAATTTCTGTTGTTGAAGCCACCCAGTCTGTGGTGCTTTGTTACGGCAGCCCTAGCAAACGAATGCAGTCGTCCTGCACCGTACATCTCTTGGTGTGTACGTAAGTATATGCAAACAATCACAAACAATCAGACAAATAAGAGCAGAGTAACCCATTCCCCTGCTTTGTCTAACATTTGATCCTGCTTGTTAGGCATGAGCTGGGTTGAGTTTAACAGACAAATTGAGGTTCTGGTTGTTTTAGCGTTCACTTCCTGAGAACATTGTTGACAATTTCATGGCTCACTGCCTTATCTAGTTAAAACAATTCAGGCTTTCCATCATCTCTATATTTAGAAATTATCTGATGTCAAAATATAATCATTTGCCTACTAGATTTCTAAAATTTGGAGTGGGAGGATAGGATCAACTTTTTCTTTTTTTTCTTATTTACTATGTATTGGAGACCTTGCAAGCATGTATTTTTTTGTTTGTTTTGTTTTGTTTTCTCTTCTCACGGCTGGCCATCTGGCTGTTACTGTCATTGTTTGGATGTTACAGGTAGGGAGAATGAGACTCAGGAAGGTTAACAACTTGAATTAGGGCATTATATAGTAATGACAACACTGGGTTTTGGACAGAAACTGTTTAGCTTCAGTGCTTTTGTCTGTGAGTGGCCACCTCAGTTGATAAGTGGCAAAACTTCGTTCGTGAAATTCTTTTAGATAACACTTGCTTTAAAAATAATCACTTTGTAAATTTCCAAAACATCCATGGCAGGTAGATAAGTAGCAAAGTGATCTTCATTATATAGCTGAGAAAAAATAAGGCAGAGAGAAGCCAAGTGAATTTGCTCTAATCACCTAAGAAATGTGTGATAGAGATGGGAATATAGATATCATCATGATGACTTCTAGTCTGGGTTTCCTAGTCCTTGAAGAGTATGGAATCCTTTGGTGTAGTGTGGGAGTCTTTGTACCTTCTTTCAGTGTTCATAAGCAAAAGCAAAAAACCAAACCCAGATTATGTAAGGAAGCACAGGCTTCCAGAGCACTATACTCCCATGGTTTCCTCCTACCTCACTTTTTCTCCTTCTCAGGCTCTTTTGCCAGATTCTCCTCCTCTCTTAATGTTGGCGCGTCCCTGGCTCTGTCCTTGCATGTCTCCTTGACGCACACTAACTCCCTTGGTCACTCCACCTAACCTCATGACTTTAAATACCATCTATATGCAACCAAAGTGTATTTCCAGCCCAGACTTCTTTCCCAAGAAAAGAGGATAACCTCACATCCTCCAGACTCATGCATCCAACTGCTCACCTGATATTAAATTTTGGATTTCTAACAGACTTCTCAAAATTACCATGTCCAAAACTGAAGTCCTAATTTTCCACCCCCATGCCAGTCAGGCCTGGTCAGAAACAACAACAGCAGCAGCAGCAGCAACAACAACAACAACAACAACAACAACACTATGCATTTCAATACCGGGAAGTTTCATAGGTGTTGGAAGAGCTGGAAGTGCAAAAGGGAAAATGGAGGAGGTCTGGAAGTAATAAAGGAAGAAGGAACAATACCCAGAGGTCAGAAGCTGCATGCACTCCCACACTGGAGCTCACCAGCTTGCCATGCTGGAGATGCTGTTGTGTCAGGTCTGCATCTTCAGGATCAGTGCTGAAGCTGCCAGAAATCTGCCGCCCCTGCCTGGGCTGTTGGCTTATGGAATCACCCCTACCCACCTTCATGTTAGCAACTACTGGTAACTACCACATTACCCCAGAAGTAGGAAGACTTTCTTTTCCTGTCACCTTCTGATCTCCCAGTAGTGACTCCTAACAAGAAGCCAAATTGCAAGGGAGCCTGGGAAATGCAGTTTGCAGACTCCTATCCCCAGAAGTACTGACAAGAGTATAGAAGGGCAAGTGCGGGGCTGAGAGACAACAGTTAATATCCTAACCTGCTTTCTTCTCATTCTTCCCTGTCTCAATTGAGGGTAATTCCAACCTTCCAGTTACCCACATCCAAGATTTTGGTGATATTCTTGACTTCTTTTTATCCGACACACAATATCCAATCCATTAGAAAATCCTATTGGTTACCCCTTTGAAATATATCCCTTCTGATAGATCCAATCTGATCATTTCCCATCACTTCCACTGCTGCTACCCTGGCTGAGCCAACCTCTTCTTTTGTCCGGATTGTTGCAATAGCCTTTTAACTGGTCTCCTGGCTTTTCTTGACTCCTACAGCCTTCTTACCACAGCAAGCATAAATCAGACTATGACTCTACTCTGTCCCAAACCTTTCAATGGGTCCTCTTTTCTCTGTGAATAAAAGCCAAAGTCTTTAACATGGTCTATAAGGTTCTATCATTTACCTTCCCCCTGCTGCCACCCCATCACTCCCCTGTCCACAGGGTTAATGTCCTGTTAATTTCAGCCTGACTGCTCTCAGCACTCCTGTTCCCCTTTCTTTTTTCTATGAGCATTTATCACTTTCTCACAAAGTATATAGTTTACTTATTAATTATATTTATTGATTATTGTCTTTATCCTCCTGATAGAATGTAATCTCCACAATGGAAGGGATTTTTGTTTATTTTGTTCATGGATGTATCACAAGCACCTAGAATAGTGCCTGATACCACATAGTGAGTGCTCAATCAGTATTTGTCAAAATCAATATCAAGGGTTATAGAAAAACACACATATATGTATGTATATGTATATAAATTATAATCTATTATAATGCATAGATACAGATTATAAAGAGATGTTTGTAATACATGTTTTAAAATATAATTATTGATGTCTATTCCAAAACCTCCCCTGAATGAGGAGGGAGAAGGAGAAGGGGAGAGGGGAGAAGGGGAGAAAGAAAGCAGGGAGGAGGAGAGAGTAGGAGAGAGAAGAGGAACAACCCCTTAAAGATATTACTCAAGGAATGTCCAATCTAATAACATCTGCCTTTCAAACCATATCTCCCATCCTTATAACTATTCTCCCTCATCCCCTGTCCTTGAACACTTTGGGCTTTCATATTCATCTGGACTTTGGTTGGGTCAGATCTTCAGATGATGGACACAACTGATCCTCTAGGGTTTCTCTTGGTGTGCTGGTCATAGATAGAAGCCATAATTTTAGATAACTTAAAATCTTCATGATGAATTTGCACAGACAGTATAATTTTCTATGCTGTACCATCACCTGAGTTGCACACTAGTTACTAACTGACACTTTAAAATAGTTATTGATATCTGTCGGGTGTTGTACTTGTTTGGGTGTATGTCCTATCTCCTTGGGGAGGAAAGTGTTGAAGCAGCTGGCCTGTGATCCATTTTCTCTCCCCATTACTGGGGGATTCTCCCAAGGGAAAGAGAGGAAGGCAGGAAGCTCACTGAATCTCCTTGTCAACGTGATAGACTAATGCTGTTTCCTAGGAGGAGAGTCTTTTTCTGTGGATTGTTCTTAATAGGATGTCTTTGGTTTGCTTAGGAAAACACACCTAGGATCTACAGCTTTATGAAGCAACATTGCTTGGAGATTGTCTTGTAAGCTATACAATTCTCTTGGATATAAAATGGAGCTATATCACTTCTCTTTTTTCTGTTGTGTCAGGCAACCTGTGGCTCTCACTGACAGGCGTCGTCTATGCTAGGCAAAAATGCGCATGTCTAATGTGGAAAGAGAACCCAGGGAGCCATGCGGGATGCCTCAGATCTCTTTCGGCTTTGCTTCCTGAATCCTTATATCCTTGAATTATTAATAAAGCTTGATGTTGGGTAAGATCTCTGATTCGTGTAAATTTGGTTTGAAGATTCACTCCTTTGTGTTAGCTCACTCTCCTACTAGAACATAAACCCTTGGAGAGCCAGAACTCTACACAACTCATCTCTATGTTATGTGAGGCTGGCATTGTGTCTTTAATATGGAAGCTGCTCAATAAATAAATACAACACAATAGGCTAAAGGATTGATGGGGTATAAAAAACTCAGAAGGTAAAAAACTGATGGGAAATGTAGGAAAATAAATTTATGCAAAGACAAGTGACACACTTGCCAATACACTGACCATTTCTGTACCATTCTCCCTACTCGGGTATAATGTATTTTAAATAAAAATGTGGTTTATCTGCACATTAAATTTGACATTGATGTATATGAGAGCAATGAAAACTAGAAGATGGTTTTGGCTTTTAAAAGTTCTTCCATTTAAATTTAATTGTAAGCCTCATGGACATAATTTGTTTGCTGCTTAACTGTTTTGGTTCATAGCAGGTCATCAATCAATGGTTGTATCTAGTAGTAGCAATTTTGACTTTCCTCAGCCTTTACCACATTCGTCATTTGCAGTTCAAATTGATTCCCATAGAGAAAAAGTAGTTTATATTTTCCCCCAACAAACAAAGCAGCTTGTCCAGGCAAGAAACCTCAGTTTCAATTTGTTCCATTGTGGTTGTGAATGTAAGTATGATAGGGCATGTTCTCACCTTTACACAGGGCAAAAAACTCATAGGTGTGGGTTTGGTTAGTAGTTTTATTTATTTTATTTTATTTTATTTTTTTAAAATAGGTGCTGTGTGTCTCTAAGTATCTCCTGTATTGGTCTACAGTTGTGTCCCAAATCAAAATCACCAACTCTACTGTCACTCCTTTGTACTAAAAGGCTGTTTTTCCTCTAGAAGGCTATCTGTAAGCACTCAAGTATAATCCAAAAAGGGCAAACAAATAATACGTTGACCTGTTAACAGGTAGACTGGGCAATGTCTCTTTCGGGTTCCCCCAAAGTCAGGCCCTTTGGGGACTCTAACGCTGACATTTTATTTAAGAAGAGATTCCAGGGAAGAGGTAGGGGAAGAGGAGGAAGTCAGACAGTGAAGGGAGAAAAGCCAATAAAAGTTGTACTAAAGAGAGAATTACTGCTGTTGGCAACGGGGCCTTCCTCCAGCTGAAGATCCTTCAGGAAATGTAAAAAATGCACTTCAGGACTATTCCATTGAAAGCTGGGTACTTATCACCTGATATTCACTCCTCACTGGTTGAGGGTTGCCCTTGGGGCAAGATGCTGTGTGCATGGGCTAAGCAAGATCCTATGGCAAAGGAGAAAGTCCCAGGCAGAGGACAAAGGATGGGGGTACTCAACGTGGACATAATGAGTGGGACCATTCATCAATGCAGCTGTGGGTAAACTTGAGGAGGGTTGAAAGGATAGGGGTTTGGGCGTCAGCAGTGTCTGCATCAGTTGGTTTATCTTGTGATCTAGAGCAAAAGTGTGAAAGACCAGAGCAGAGATCACCTATGAGTTGATTTAGGGAGAGGGGACAGAATGAGGAAGAGAAAAGTGAA
The DNA here is from genome assembly GCF_000001405.40 of Homo sapiens. Classification (NCBI taxonomy): domain Eukaryota; kingdom Metazoa; phylum Chordata; class Mammalia; order Primates; family Hominidae; genus Homo; species Homo sapiens. The sequence continues at coordinate 54,931,328 of NC_000005.10, read as the reverse complement.
CAAAGTTTGGAATAAGGTTTCTTGAAGAGAGAGAGTCGAGGTGAGCTGTCAGTGTTGGAAGCTCTGAGTCTGAGAGCCCTGAAAGATAGAAAGAAACTGTGGAGGACACACTTCATAGGTGGTCTGGTACCTGCTCTGACACTTTTGGTCTTCCTGAACTTCGGAGATTCCTTGAACATAATGGGAGAGTGGATTGTGTGTAATGCAGAGCTTTGTGAAGTCTCCCTCCCAACCTCATCATGGTGGATTTCTCTCTTTGATTGGTCACCTTGGCCAGTCCCTTGATTCATCCCTCATCCTGAGCTTGCTTGGTTCCTTAGCTCTCTCTCTGGTGGGCTGTTTTGGCACATCTGTGTGGGTGTGGAGTCAAGGGGATGAGACCTACCTTTCCATACCATGACTGGGTGGGAGGCACAGCACCAAAGCTGGTTAACACTTCATACCCAACTTATGTTTTCTCACCCAGCTCTTGAACTTTCAGGATGACTTGAGCCCGTTGAATGCTTTTTTTTTCCCAACAAAAGTGTAGTGTTTTCTTTATACTGATACATCTACTTTTCAGTGTGCCTTGCCCGTCCTTTCTCCTGAATGCCTGTTTTAAGGTTTGACACAAATTCCACCCAGCCTTCATGATTCCTTACCTAAAATATAGCTGTAGCTTCTTAAGTCTCTCTGCCTTTCATCCTTCTTCATTCCTCCCTCTTCTATCTATTCTTTATGCCATCACCAGATTAATTTTTTTTTTCTAGCAGAGCTCATATCACTCCATTTTCTTGCTCAAAATTACTCATTGGTTTTCCAGTGCAAGCCAATTTAAGCACAAATCCCCAAGCCTGGAAATCAAGTTTGTTCATAATATGGCTCCAGCTCAACCTTCTTAAATGTTTCCCACCATGTCCCACTGTTACATTACATCAGTTATTGCAACTATCCTGTGGGCTGTTTATCCCCAATCTGTAGACATTTTTTGGTTAGCAGACTTCTTTTCTTAAATTATTAATTAGTTGCTCATATTTAAACACTGAGGCATTACACACACACACACACACACACACACACACAAATTTGGATTTCCAGCTTCTTTTGAAACATTGAGAGATCTGGTGACACTGGGTCCACATCTTCACACTCAACTGAATATGAGTAGTGGCTAGACTGTCATGAGAACCTGTGTGCTGGTCCCTTGCCCACTCACATCAGTTATTTACATAACCTTCTAATACTCTAAAGACACTTGCAGCCCACTTCTCTAAATGCCCCAATTTATGCCCAACTGTATAGCTCATTGTCCTGAAAATACGCCCTAATTTTTTTAGCAGATGCAGTCAGTGCCCAGCTTATATACCCAGGACACTCACCATTTCCTTAACTATGAGTGGCTTTCCATTAAAATCATCTGTGACTTTGCTGAGGAATTCTTTACCCAGGAGCATGACTGTCTCACACAACAGGTAGGCCAGAATACAAGAGAGTTGATGACCCTAAAGGCAGCCTACAGTCAATGACAATGGAGGCAAATAGACAAATACTCCAACTCGTTCACCCCCAAGTGAACAAGCAGTCTCCCAGAGGTCTTCCCTGGGATCAAGCATTATCTGCCTACAGCAGTAACTTGCTAGTGTAACATACATTATTTTGTATATTAATTATTAATTAATTTATTTATTTATTTTGAGACAGAGTCTCACTCTCTTGCCCAGGCTGGAGTGCAGTGGCACTATCTCGGCTCACTGCAAACTCCACCTCCTGGGTTGAAGCAATTCTCATGCCTCAGTCTCCCAAGTTGCTGGAATTACAGGTGTGTGCCACCATGTCTGACTAATTTTTGTATTTTTAGTAGAGACAGAGTTTTGCCATGTTGGCCAGGCTGGTCTCAAACTCCTGACATCAAGCGATCCACCTGCCTTGGACTCCCAAGTGCTGGGATTACCGGCTTGAGCCACTGCACCCAGCCTCATGTGACATACATTAAATTGACTTCTTTCCTTCTCCTCTCTCACTTCCTCACTCCTCTACTGAGCTTCCTGGGCTCACCTCTCAAATTAACTATCGTACTCAAATCCTTGTCTCAAGTTTGGCTTCTGGAGGAATGTGGCTACCACACTGGAGCTAAACCAGCAATCACCCTATTCCCTGATACAATGTCCTCCTCCTTTCTCTTACCCTGCAACCTTCTGTCCACAGTCCCTTCTGTCCCTCTGAATAGAACCCAAATATTTCCCAGTCATGAAAGTTTTCCTGATCACTCTCACATGTGGATTTGCTTAAGCATGGAACGCTGATGAGCCCTGCCTAATAATGACACATACACAACGCAGGAGTGAGGAAAGTGGACCTTTATCAAATGGGACATGAGAGCCAGTGGATCATTAACTACTTTTCAGCTACGTTTCCCCTCCAGGATGAACTGTTTTGAGAGGTTATTAGGGTTTGCATAGGATAATTCTGTGGGATTGCTCATCAGTCACATTCAGTAGGAGCGAATTTGATAACCTATGTTATGTGTCGGCTCTTCCGTCCCTGCGTAGCAACCCATGCCCCTTGCTGCTGCTCTCTGGGATTGTGCTCCTTAATATTGTAGTAATACACAAGGCTTTGCTTTAAAGTCTGATTTATGAACCCCCAGGCTAAGACATCTATTATATAATTGACAAAAACAGTTCTTTGAGTGACACAATTATGTGCAATTAATTTTTGCACCTAACATTGTGCCTACTACTGTGTCTTAATATTTAATAATATTAGTTGAATTCTCCCATTAAAAAGTATTCATTTGCTGCACATCAATCAACAAGTGGATAAAGAAACTGTGATATATATGTGTGTGTGTGTGTGTGTGTGTGTAGATATGTGTATATGTGTGTGTGTAGATATATGTGTGTGTGTATAATAATGGAGACACTTGTTCTCCATTATTATATTAACTTTTTTCTTGTGACCATATTTTCTTTTCCAATTTTCCCAGGAACTATACTTCCTTCTGGAGTTCTGTATAGAGACATTGTAATTTACCTAGAGGGAATGTGGTGATTAATCTACCGTAAAAGTGCAAGAAGTAGCACTACAGATTGTATAAAAATAACAGAATTTGAATATCTTATTCTAATCCCTGAAAACAATTGAGTGTGTTTATATTCTCTGGCTTAGACCTCAGGATCACAATAAAATTCAAATGTAGTAAAATGCATCATTGATTGGAATGGGCGAGTGTAAACCCCACTCTGACTTGAACACCAAAAGTGATATCCCCAGCTTAATAAGGCCTATATGGGGTATATTGTCACAGAATAATGCATGATTGATAAATTTTTAGTATCTATATTTATTCATATTATCTTGAAAGTAAACATGAAGTTTCTGGGGCAGAAACAGATTATTATTACAGTAAGAACCATATCATGGTGGAATGTCTGCAAAAATGCCAGAGTAAGGACCTCTGAAAATTTGCCCCTCCATAAAGGCTTTGAAAAAACTGGCAAAAAGATCTGAATCAACTTTTTTAGAACTTTCAAAATTAATCAAAGGCTTGCAGAAACTTGGGGAGCATTTTGTAGAGAAAAATGCCTGATTCCCAGTAAGGCAAGTGAGTTTTGTATCATTTTAACATGTTCTATTCTCATTCCCTGCTCCCAGCTCAGTGGTAGCCTTGAAAAATAACAGCCTGCATGCCTGGTACTGGAGAAAGTAGAATGAAGCTTGAGTTATTTCAAAGCCTCATTTCCAAAGAACAGTTATTATTTGACTCATCTGGTGTTTCTTGGAAGGCCCCACTTGAAAGGTTTGCCTTTATTTGACCTGACTCAAGTTTTCATAGTGCTAAAAGCTTTTTTCTGGGGTGATTTGTCAAAAACATTTACAGGCAAATATAGGCAGGCACTCACGTCTGCCTGAGGCGATGGGTAACAATTAGGGTAAGCAATAGACAAACCAAAAGCTTAAAAGTAAATGTTGAAGAATGAATTGTCCATATGGGCTTTAAAAAGCCCCAACATATTCCTGGGACTTTAGAAGGCCATGTGCATATATAGCGCTGTGTATATGCTCATAAGAGGCCTGAAAAGGCCCACAGTTCTCACTTCTGTCTCACTTTGAGGTTCTGCATAAGTAGGATATAAAAACTAAGGCAGGATTATAAACTGCTTGATTGAATGTTGAAGGTGTGCCCTAACATGTACACGGAGCCCCTCAGCAAATATTGAGAGATTTATTAGTCTAGCCATTTAATAAAATCTCTGTTCAATCATTAGCTGATCAAAAAGCTAATTGAATAAAAACTTCAGTGGCAACACATGACAATACAGATTTTACAAATTTATTTAAGAAAAGTCACTGATTTTTCTAAAATAATTTTGTTGTCACAAACAACAACTACAATAAGTTGTGACAATATACAATAAGTTTATATTTTAAACCCTGAGGAGAAGGGAGAATCTGATTTCTAGAGTTGCCACATTATATTATTTAAACATTAAGAATGCAAGAAAAGTTATGAGACATACAAAGAAACAAGAATGTATGACCCATACACCAAAAAATCAATCAATTGAAGCTATGCTTAAGAATTCTAGACATTGGACTTACTAGACAAAGACTTTAAATTAGGTATTTAATATATGTTCAAAGAGCTAAAGGAAACCATATCAAGGAACTAAAGGAAAACATGAGAAGAATGTCTCAGCAAATACAGAATATAAATAAAGAGATAGAAATTATAAGAAGAAATTAAATAGAAACTCTAGAGTTGAAAAGCACAATAACCAAAATAAAAAATTCACTTACAGGAACTCAATAGCAGAATTCAGGAGGCAGAAGAAAGAATCAGTGAGCTTGAAGATAGGTCTTTTGAGAGTATGCAGTCTGAGGAACAAGAAAGAAAAAATAATTTAAAAAAATGAACAGACCTAAGAGACTTGTGAGACTCTGCATACCAATATATGCTCAATGGGGTCCTAGAACAAGAAAAGAGAGAAAAAGGAGCAGAAAACTATTTGAAGAAATAATGGCTGAAAACTTTCCAAATTTGATGAAAAACATTCATCTATACACCCAAAAAGGTCAACAAATTTTAAGTAGAATAAACTTGTAGACATCCACACCTATGCATATCATAGTCAAACTGTTGAAAGTCAAAGACCAAGGGGGATCTTGAAAGAAGCAAAAGAGAAGAGGCTTATCACATATGTTATAGTTTGAATGTGTGCCTCACCCCCAGTGTGAGAATATTAGAAGATGGGGCCATTGGGAGATAGTACAGTTTAGATGAGGTCATGAGAGTGGAGACCCCATGATAGAATTAGTGCTGTTATGAGAAGAGGAAGAGACACTGGAGCTTCCGCTATCCACCATATGAGAATACAGCAGGAAGCTGGCCACCTGCAAGCAAAAAAAAAAAAAAAAAAAAAAGCCCTCACCAAACTCTGGTCATGCTGGCACTCTGATCTCAGACTTCTCAGCTTCCAGAACTGTGAGAAATAGATGTGTTCTGCTTAAGCCACTTACTCAATGGTATTTTGTTACAGTGGCTTGAGCTAAGACATTGTGCAGGAATCTTTGATAAGATTAGCAGTGACTTTCTTACAAAAGACCAGGGAGGACAGAAGGCAAGACGATGATACTAAAAAGTTCTGAAAGAAAGAAAGAAAGGGATGAAGGAAGGAAGGAAGGAAGAAAGGAAGGAAGGAAGGGAGGAAGGAACTGTCAACCAAGAATTTTATCTTCTGCAAACTATCCTTCAAAAATAAAAAAAAGCTAAGATATTCTCAGATAAAAACTGAGAGAGGTAGTTTATAGCAGACCTGCTCTACAAGAAATCTAAAAATAGTCATTCAAAATAAAAAGACACTTCACATAACTCAAATCTACCTGAGATAATGAAGAGCACCAATAAAGGTAACTACAGAGGTAAATGTAAAAGATAGTATAAATGTATATTTTGCATGTAACTCATTTTCCTCCATCTGATTTAAAAGACAACTACATAATGCAATAATTATAAATTTATGTTGATGGGCACACAATGTATGAAAATGTAATCTGTAACAATAACAGCATAAAGGAGGAGGGGGACATAGAGATAGAAGCAAATTTCTTGTATACTATTGAAACTGAGTGTTTGGACAAGGTTGTTATAAATTAAGATATTAATGTTAATTCATAGGCAACCACTAAGAAAACAACTAAAATATATATAGTAAAAGAAATAACAATTCCAGCACTTTAGGAGGCCAAGGCGGGCAGATCACTTGAGGCCCGGAGTTTGAGACCAGCATGGGCGACATGGTGAAACCCTGTCTCTACAAAAAATACAAAAAATTAGCCGGCTGTGATGGCATACACCTGTATTCCCAGCTACTCAGGAGACTGAGGTGGGAGGATCAATTGAGATCAGGAGTTCGAGGCTGCAGTAAGCTGTGATTGTGCCACTGCACTCCAGCTTGAGTGACAGAGCAAGACCCTGTCTCAGGAAAAAGAAAAGAAAAAAAAGAAAAGAAAAAGGAAATCATAATTGAATTAAAATTGTACACCACAAGAAAACATCTATTTAACACAAAAGAAAGCAGTAATGAAGAGAGGAACAAAGATTAAGGCATATAGAAAACAAATAGCAAAATGGCAGGCATAAATCCTACTTTATCAGTAGCTACATTAAATGTAAATGGGTTAAACTCTTCAATTAAAAGTCAGAAATAAATGAATTTTAAGAAAAATACATATTTTATGCTGCCCAAAAGACACTTATTTTGGATTCAAAGACACAAATATGTTAAAAGTAAAAAGATGACAAAAGATAAATGATACAAACAGTAACCAAAAGAGACAAGTGGCTTTACCAATATCAGACAAAATTGACTTTAAAATAAAAATTGTTACTAGAGACAAAGAGAGGTCAATCTATTAAGAAAATATAACAATTACAAATATATATGCACCTAGCAACAGAGCCCCAAAATACATGAAGCAAAAACTGACACACTTGAGAAAAGAAATAGACAGTTCAACCATAACAGTTGAAGACTTCAGAACCCTATTTTTTTATTTATTTATTTTGCAGAAACTTATTGCCCAGAGCTGACAGTACCCTACTTTCAATAATGGTTTATCCAAAGTAGAAAGATCAACAAAAATTAGAAGATTTGAACAACACTATAAAGCAACTAGACCTGACATCTGTAGAACACTCTACCCAGCAATGGCATAATACACATTATTCTTTTTTATTATTATTATACTTTAAGGTTCTGGGTTACATGTGCAGAACATGCAGTTTTGTTACATAGGTATACATGTGCCTTGGTGGTTTGCTGCACCCAGCAGCCAGTCACCTACATTAGATATTTTTCCTAATGTTATCCCTCCCATAGGCCCTGACCACGCCACAGGCTCTGGTGTGTGATGTTCCCCCTCCCTGTGTCCGTGTGTTCTCACTGTTCAACTCCCACTTATGAGTGAGAACATGTGGTGTTTTCTGATCTTTTGATAGCTTGCTGAGAATGATGGTTTCCAGCTTCATCCATGTTCCTACAAAGGACATGAGCTCATCCTTTTTTAATGGCTGCATAGTATTCCATGGTGTATATGTGCCACATTTTCTTAATCCAGTCTATCATTGATGGACATTTCGGTTGGTTCTAAGTCTTTGCTATTGTGAATAGTGCTGAAATAAGCATATGTGTGCATGTGTCTTTATCACAGAATGATTTATAATCCTTAGGGTATATGCCCAGTAATGGGATGGCTGGGTCAAATGGTATTTCTAGTTCTAGATCCTTGAAGAATCACCACACTGTCTTCCACAATGGTTGAACTAATTTACACTCCCACCAACAGTGTAAAAGCGTTCCTATTTTTCCACAACCTCTCCAGCATCTGTTGTTTCCTGACTTTTTAATGATTGCCATTCTAACTGGTGTGAGATGGTATCTCATTGTGGTTTTGAGTTGCATTTCTCTAATGACCAGCGATGATGAGCTTTTTTTTCAAATGTCTGTTGGCTGCATAAATGTCTTCTTTTGAGAAATGTCTGTTCATAACCTTTACCCATTTTTTGATGGGGTTGTTTGATTTTTTCTTGTAAATTTGTTTAAGTTCTTTGTAGATTCTGGATATTAGCTCTTTGTCAGATGGATAGATTGCAAAAATTTTCTCCCATTCTGTAGGTTGCCTGTTCACTCTGATGGTAGTTTCTTTTGCTGTGCAGAAGCTCTTTAGTTTAATTAGATCCCATTTGTCTATTTTGGCTTTTGTTGCCATAGGTTTTGGTGTTTTAGACACAAAGTCTTTGCTCATGCCTATGTCCTGAATGGTATTGTCCACGTCATCTTCTAGGATTTTTATGGTCCTAGGTCTTACGTTTAGGTCTTTGATCCATCTTGAGTTGATTTTTGTATAAGGTGTAAGGAAGGAGTCCAGTTTCAGTTTTCCGCATATGACTAGCCAGTTTTCCCAACACCATTTATTAAATAGGGAATCATTTCCCCATTGCTTGTGTGTGCATCAGATTTGTCAAAGATCAGACAGTTGTAGCTGTGTGGTGTTATTTTTGAGGCCTCCATTCTGTTCCCTTCATCTATATATCTGCTTTTGTAGCAGTACCATGCTGTTTTGGTTACTCTAGCCTTGTAGTATAGTTTGAAGTCAGGTAGTGTGATGCCTCCAGCTTTGTTCTTCTTGCCCAGGATTGTCTTGGCTATGTGGGCTCTTTTTTGGCTCCATATGAAGTTTAAAGAAATTTTTTTCCAATTCTGTGAAGAAGTCATTGGTAGCTTGATGGGGATAGCATTGAATCTATAAATTACTTTGGGCAGTATGGCCATTTTCACAATATTGATTCTTTCTATCCACAGCATGGAATGCTTTTCCATTTGTTTGTGTCCTCTCTTATTTCTTTGAGCTGTGCTTTGTAGTTCTCCTTGAAGAGGTCCTTCACATCCCTTGGAGGTTTTATTCGTAGGTATTTTATTCTCTTTGCAGCAATTATGAATGGGAGTTCACTCATGATTTGGCTCTCTGTTTGTCTGTTCTTAGTGTATAGGAATGCTTGTGATGCACATTGATTTTGTATCCTGAGACTTTGCTGACATTGCTTATCAGCTTAAGGAGATTTTGGGCTGAGATGATGGGGTTTTCTAAATATACAATCATGTCATCTGCCAACAGAGACAATTTGACTTCGTCTCTTCCTATTTGAATACCCTTTATTGCTTTCTTTTGCCTGATTTCTCTGGCCAGAACTTCCAATACTATGTTGAATAGGAGTGGTGAGAGAGGGCATCCTTTTCTTTTGCTGGTTTTCAAAGGGAATGCTTCCAGTTTTTGCCCATTCAGTATGATATTGGCTGTGGGTTTGTCATAAATAGCTCTTATTATTTTGAGATATGTTCCATGGATACCCAGTTTATTGAGACTTTTTAGCATGAAGTTGTGTTGAATTTTATCGAAGGCCTTTTCTGCATCTATTGAGATGACCATGTAGCTTTTGTCATTGGTTCTGTTTTTGTGATGGATTACGTTTATTGATTTGAGTATGTTGAACCAGTCTTGCATCCCAGGTATGAAGCCAACTTGATCGCGGTGGATAAGCTTTTTGATGTGCTGCTGGTTTTGGTTTGCCACTATTTTATTGAGGATTTTCGCATCCATGGTCATCAGGGATATTGGCCTGAAATTTTCTTTTTTTGTTGTGTCTCTGCCAGGTTATGGTATCAGGGTGATGCTGGCCTCATAAAATGAGTTAGGGAGGATTCCCTCTTTTTCTATTGTTTGGAGTAGTTTCAGAAGGAATGGTACCAGCTCCTATTTGTACCTCTGGTAGAATTCGGCTGTGAATCCATCTGGTCCTTGACTTTTTTGATTGGTAGGCTATTAATTACTGCCTCAATTTCAGAACTTGTTATTGGTTTATTCAGGGATTCGACTTTTTCCTGGCTTAGACTTGGGAAGTTGTATGTGTCCAGGAATTTATCCATTTCTTCTAGGTTTTCTAGTTTATTTGTAGAGGTGTTTATAGTATTCTCTGATGGTAGTTTGTATTTCTGTAGGATCGGTGGTGACATCCCCTATATCTCTTTTTATTGCATCTATTTGATTCTTCTCTCTTTTCTTCTTTATTAGTCTGGCTAGTGGTCTATCTATTTTGTTGATTTTTTCAAAAAGCCAGCTCCTGGGTTCATTGATTTTTTTGAAGGGTTTTTTTTTTGTGCCTCTATCTCCTTCAGTTCTGCTCTGATCTTAGTTATTTCATATCTTCTGATAGCTTTTGAATTTGTTTGCTGTTGCTTCTCTAGTTCTTTTAATCTTGATGTTAGGGTGTCAATTTTAGATCTTTCCTGCTTTCTCTTGTGGGCATTTAGTGCTATAAATTTCCCTCTACACAGCACTTTAAATGTTTCCCAGAGATTCTGGTACGTTATGTCTTTGTTCTCATTGGTTATTTCTGTCTTCATTTCGTTATGTACCCAGTAGTCATTCAGGAGGAGGTTGTTCAGTTTCCATGTAGTTGTTTGGTTCTGAGTGAGTTTCTTAATCCTGAGTTCTAATTTGATTGCACTGTGGTCTGAGAGACTGTTTGTTATGATTTCCATTCTTTTGCGTTTGCTGAGGAGTGTTTTACTTCCAATTATGTGGTCAATTTTAGAATAAGTGCAATGAGGTGCAGAGAAGAATGTATATTCTACTGATTTGGGGTGGAGAGTTTTGTAGAGGTCTATTAGGTCCTCTTGGTACAGAGTTGAGTTCAAGTCCTAAATATCCTTGTTAATTTTCTGTCTGTTGATCTGTCTAATATTGACAGTGGGGTGTTAAAGTCTCCCACTATTATTGTGTGAGAGTTTAAGTCTCTTTGTAGGTCTCTAAGAACTTGCTTTATGAATCTGGGTGCTCCTGTATTGGGTGTGTATATATTTAGGTTAGTTAGTTCTTCTTGCTGCATTGTTCCCTTTACCATTATGTAATGCCCTTCTTTGTCCCTTTTGATCTTTGTTGCTTTAAAGTCTATTTTTATCAGAGATTAGGATTGCAACTCCTGTTCTTTTTTTTTTTTTTTCTCCTTTCCATTTGCTTGGTAAATATCCTCCATCCATTTATTTTGAGCCTATGTGTGTCTTTGCATGTGAGATGGGTCACTCGAATACAGCGCACTGCTGGGTCTTGACTCTACTTGCCAGTCTGTGTCTTTTAATTGGGGTGTTTAACCTGTTTACATTTAAGGTTAACATTTTTATGTGTGAATTTGATCCTATCATTATGATGCTAGCTGGTTGTTTTGCCACTAGTTAATGCAGTTTCTTCATAGTGTCAATGTTATTTAAAATTTGGTATGTTTTTGCAGTGGCTGGTACCTGTTGTTCCTTTCCATGTTTAGTGCTTCCTTCAGGAGCTCTTGTAAGGCAGGTCTGGTGGTGACAAAATCACTCAACATTTGCTTATCTGTAAAGAATTTTATTTCTCCTTTGTTTATGAAGCTTAGTTTGGCTGGATATGAAATTCTGGGTTGAAAATTCTTTTCTTTAAGAATGTTGAATATTGGCCCCCACTCTCTTCTGGCTTGTAGGGTTTCTGCAGAGAGATCCACTGTTAGTCTGATGGGCTTCCCTTGTGGGGAAACTCGACCTTTCTCTCTGGCTGCCCTTAACATTTTTTTCTTCATTTCAACCTTGGTGAATCTGATGATTATGTGTCTTGGGTTGCTCTTCTCAAGGAGTATCTTTGTGGTGTTCTCTGTATTTCTCCTGGATAATATCCTGAAGAGTGTTTTCTAATTTGTCTCCATTCTCCCCATCACTTTCAGGAACACCAATCAAATGTAGATTTGGTCTTTTCACATAGTCCCATATTTCTTGGAGGCTTTGTTTGTTTCTTTTCACCCTTTTTTCTCTAATCTTGTCTTCTCACTTTATTTCATTAATTTGATCTTCAGTCACCGATATCCTTTCTTCCACTCTCAGATCACTGCTGTGCTGGCAGTGAGAATTTCAAGCCAGTGGATCTTAGTTTCCTGGGCTCCATGGGAGTGGGACCCGCCAAGCCAGACCACTTGGCTCCCTGGCTTCAGCACCCCTGTCCAGGGGAGTGAACAGTTTTGTCTTGCTGGCATTCCAGGCACCACTGGGGTATGGGGAAAAAAATGAGCTCCTGCAGCTAGTTCAGTGCCTGCCCAATTGGCCACCCAGTTTTGTGCTTGAAACCCAGAGCCCTGGTGGGGTAGACACTGGAGGGAATCTCCTGGTTTGCAGGTTGTGAAGACCGTGGCATAAGTGCAGTATCTATGCTGGAGTTCCTCAGGCTCAGAACCTCATGGCTTCCCTTGGGTAGGGGAGAAAATTCCCTGACCCCTTGTGCTTCCCAGATGAGGTGATGCCTCACCCTGCTTCAGCTCACCCTCCATGGGCTGCACCCACTGCCCAACAAGTCCCAGTGAGATGAACCAGGTACCTCAGTTGGAAATGCAGAAATCACCTCTCTTCTGCATCGATCTTGCTGGGAGCTGCAGACCAGAGCTGTTCCTATTTGGCCATCTTGAATCCTCCAACCTACACATTATTCTTTTTTTTTTTTGGATTCTGTCAGATTTCTTTCTTTCTATTTATTTATTTATTTATTTATTTATTTATTATTTTACTTTAAGTTCTAGGGTACACGTGCACAACATGCAGGTTTGTTACATATGTATACATGTGCCATATTGGTGTGCTGCACCCATTAACTCATCATTTACATTAGGTATATCTCCTAATGCTATCCCTCCCCCCTCCCCCCACCCCCCCGCAGGCCCCGGTGTGTGATGTTCCCCACCCTGTGTCCATGTGTTCTCATTGTTCAATTCCCAAATGTGAGTGAGAACATGCAGTGTTTGGTTTTCGGTCCTTGTGATAGTTTGCTCAGAATGAAGGGTTCCAGCTTCATCCATGTTCCTCTAAAGGACATGAACTCATCCTTTTTTATGGCTGCATAGTATTCCATGGTGTATATGTGCCACATTTTCTTAATCCAGTCTATCACTGATGGACATTTGGGTTGGTTCCAAGTTTTTGCTACTGTGAATAGTGCCACAATAAACATACGTGTGCATGTGTCTTTATAGCAGCATGATTTATAATCCTTAGGGTATATGTCCAGTAATGGGATGGCTGGGTCAAATGGTATTTCTAGTTCTAGATCCTTGAGGAATCGCCACACTGTCTTCCACAATGGTTGAACTAGTTTACACTCCCACCAACAGTGTAAAAGCATTCCTATTTCTCCACATCCTCTCCAGCACCTGTTGTTTCCTGACTTTTTAATGATTGCCATTCTAACTGGTTTGAGGTGGTATCTCATTGTGGTTTTCATTTGCATTTCTCTGATGGCCAGTGATGATGAGATGTGTCTGTTGGCTGCATAAATGTCTTCTTTTGAGAAGTGTCTGTTCATATCCTTTGCCCATTTTTTGATGGGATTGTTTGAATTTTTCTTATAAATTTGTTTAAGTTCTTTGTAGATTCTGGATATTAGCCCTTTGTCAGATGGGTCCAACCTAAGGCACATTATTCTTAAGTGCACATGGAAAATTATCCAGAATAGAACATCTTTTACAACATAAAATCATCTCAATAATTTAAAAAGAATTGAAATCATACCAAGTCTGTTTTCCAATGACAATAGAATGAAATTAGAAATCAATAAAATAAAATATTCTGGGAAACTTATACATGTGTGGAAATTAAGAGCAGTTTTACATTACCAGTTGGTCAAAGAAGAAATCAAAAGAGCAATTCAAAAATTATTTGAGATGAATGCAAATAAAAACACAAAACACCCAAATTTATGGAATCAGCAAAAAAAATAATGCTCAGAAGGAAATTTATACTTGTAAATATCTACATTTAAAAGAAGAAAAATCTTGAGTCAATAATGTAAACTATTACTGTAAAAAACCAAAACTAGGGGACATTACTGAAATACAAAGGATTATAAGAGAATACTAATAACAAGTGTATGCCAACAAATTAGATAACCTAGGTAAAATGAACAAATTCCTATAAAGACACAAACTACCAACATTGACTCAAGAAGACACAGAAAATCTAAATAGGCCTATAACAAGTAAAGAGATTGTGTTATTCATTTTTTTTAACTCACGAATTAAAGTTCAGGACCAGATGGCTTTACTGGTGAATTCCACCACATATTTAAACAAGAATTAACACCAATCCTTCCCAAGCTTTTCCCAAAAAATGGAAGAGGAGGGAATTATTCCCAATTAATTTGATGAGGTCAGATTACCATGATTTCAAAATCAGATAAGGACATCACAAAAAAGGAGACTACCTGCCAATATTACCAATTAATAGAGATGCAAAAATCCTCTACAACATACTAGCAAGCTGAATCTAGCAATATATAAAAAGAATCATATACCACAACCAAGTGAAATTTATCCCAGGAAAACAAGGTTGGCTCACCATATGAAAATCAATCAATGTAATACACTATATTAATAGAAAAAAATTGAAAGAAAACCATGATAATCTCAATAGATACCAAAAAATACTCCAACAAAATTTAACACCATTTTATGATTTTAAAAAAATTACTCAGCAAACTGGGAAAGAAGAGAATTTGCTCAATTTGATGAAGGGCACCTATGAAAAACCCACAGCTAATACACTTAAAAGTGAAAGACTTAAAGCTTTCCCCTATGATCAGGAAGAAGAGGAGGATGTTTGCTCTTACCACTTCTGTTTAGCATCATGCTAGAGGTTCTAGCCAACACAATTTGCTCTCACCACTTCTGTTCAGCATTATACTAAAGATTCTAGCCAGTCTGATTAGGTAAGAAAAGAAACAAGATGCATTCAGGTTGGAAGAGAAGGAATAAAATCAATTTAAGAGAAATAAAACCAATCTTTATTTGAAGATGACATGGTCTTACAGATTTAAAAAAAGCTCTAAAGAATTCACCAAAAACCTGAGCCAATAACTGAGTTCATTCAGCAAGTTTTCAGGATTTAAAATTGATGTACAAAAATGGGTGTATTTTTGTACAGCCAATAATGTACAACTCAAGAAGGAAATTATGAAAACAACTCCAGTTGCAATAATATCAAAAATAATAAAATACTTAGAAATAAATTTAACCAAGGAAGAGCAAGACTTACGTACACTGAAAACTAGAAAACATTGCTGAAATAAATTAAAGACCTAAATAATTAGAAAGACATCTCATGTTCATGGATTGCGATACTTAATATAGTTAAGATGACAATACTTCCCAAATTGACTTACAGATTCAATATAATCCCCATCAAAATCCCCATGCATGTACAAAAGAGGCTTTTTGCACCACAGAAGAGGAACCCCCAAATTATGAATCTGTCCGTTTCTGTAGGAGCATGATGGCTGTTTTTCCCTCCCTCTTTCTTAGAGAAAGAGAAAAATCTGTGCTCCCTAGTCATTTATAGTCTTTTGAATGTAAATAAATTCTTACAGGAAGAGAAAGGGGAAAGTTCCTACCCTGGAATGTAAATATTTGGCTCCTGAAGATATAAATTTTATTTGTCCTGTTAATGGGAACAGATGGCTTCAGATCTAACACCCTTTAACTTCTAAGGTTTGTCCTCTAAACCGGGTTTTAGTTTCCTTTGCTTGGAAAGCCTTATCTGTGCATAAAAATGAAAATATACTCTGTACAGTCCTACAGTTTGTTTGACCTGGTTCAGCAGGTCAGACACAGCCTTGGCTCACTGGGCCAGATGACGGCCATTACAAGAATGCTTCAGGATATGCAATAATTAAATAGCTTTACACCTTGATTTGTCCAGGACAGTACCAGTTTACACCTGCTGGAGCTCAATTAATGCTTATTAATTATTTTAGTGCTTTCTTTCTCTCTCAAAAGTGTCCCAGTGTGGTGAGTAGTTATGCCATCAACCAACACAACATTCTAATGGCATCTGTTTATATGCAGAAGGTTAAAGGAATGAAGGAGGGAAGGTTATGGACCCTGCACCCTGGCTAAACAATTGTCAGCTACAGTGAGTCACATTTTCAGAGACCCTGAAGTTTCATTCATACAGCCAATATTTCAAACTTGATCCCATACTTTGATTACAATTAATAAAATGAACCGCGTATAATTGCCATTTTCTATTGAATAAGTCATCTGGTAGGGAAAGTCTAAACTTCAGAAAATTATAGGATAAGGTAGACAACTTCAGCCAAAGAGAATAGCAAAGGTAATAGCATGAAATAGAGAAAAAAATGAATCAGTACTGAATCACAGGTGAAAAAAAAAGTGCCCTTGGTCCATTTCAGGGATGTAAAACAGGAGAAAAAAGAAGGAAATTGTCCCTGAAGTGTTTGACATTTGGGAAAGCCCAAAAGCCAGTGGATGCTGACTCTGATTTGTGCTTTTCCTCAGGAAACACTTTGATATTAATGATGTGTCTGAGATAATATTAGATTCTTTGTATTATCTGAGTTAAGCTCTGCTACTGTTGCATCTGAAGGAGGAACAAACCTTTTGCTGTTCAGCAGCAGAATGGTGAGACATTGAGGAGCTTATCCCAGAGGCTTTTTTAATCCATAGATTTCCTTCATAAACCCATGAAAGGGCTTATTTGTGGCAACATCTTTCTGAGGGTCTCATCAATCTCATTTGCCTCTTAGTTTCTCAAGCGGTTTACCTAGACTTTTACTGTAGATTGATCACATTTAGTTGTCTATTTATAATATCTATCTTATCACCTTACAGAGCAGGAGGTGAATGAGCACAGTTTGTTAAAATGAAATGGAAGTAGTAAAATAATTTTTGTGCCTTTATTTCCAGAGAGCTAGAATAATCTCCCTAGGCTTTTAATTTAGAAATACCTACCCCACCACCTGACTCCCTTAGCAATCAATCCATGGCTAGAAGATGGTGGCCTGCATGTGGCAGCAAGGGGAGAGCTGGAGAAGAGCTATAAAGAAAGGGAGTGCCCAGCTGTTAACTCCCTGCTCCTTGACGTTAGGCATTTCTTTAGACATCCTTTGTGCAATAATAGGACAATGGAGAACTCTGAGTCCTCATTTTAGATTCTCCATTCACTGTCTTTGTCTTTGATTCAACTGTACATCTGAATGAAGTCTAGGGATGCCAGGTGGTATGCCCCAACAGAAAGCCATCCAACCTTTTCAATATCAAAAAGATGCAAAATAAGTCATAAAGTTGCTCCATGGAGGGAAGCTGCTCAATCAGGATTCCTGGTGGTGAACTGCTGAGAGAGCCGAAAGGAAATTTATTTGCATTATTTGTTATAATAAGGAACCTCCTCTACCAATACACCATTTGGCGTCTTCATTCTGTAGACAGATTTTTTGGATGTGGTTATTGAAAATGGTTGCCACAAGCTCCAGGCTGACCTGTTTCCAACAGGGAGAGAACTGCCTTCTCTCTGTCCACATGTCAATGTCAAAACAGTTCTAATTATTATTGTCCTATGGTCCTATTCTTGGACCAATTATGGTGTTTACAATGATGAAATGGTATAACTTAGTGGTTATGAGCAGAAACTCTGAAGCGAGACTACTTAGATTAGAATCCAGGCAATATTATTTTCTACCTGGAATACAATGGACTGGCTACTTAAATTCTCTATGCTTCAGTTTCTCCATCTGTTAAATAGGAATAATAATAGGACATTCTGGTATTATTATGAGGAGCAGATGAGTTAATATGTACAGAGTTAACATATTAACAAATGCATTAATATGTACAGAGTTTAGCACAGTGACTGGTTCACAGGAGAGCAAGAACTTGTATAACATTGCTCCAGCTGGGACATCTGTCTACTCCTGTGGCTGAATGTGTATATGCTGAGAGATGTAATAGAAAGAAATACCAGGAATAGAAGTGTTTTGCTGTTCACAAACTACTTTTTACATCTATTTTCCCATTTGCTTCTTGCCCCAGTCCTACAGGAGGTCACATTATTTTCTCCATTTACAGATGGGGAGACAGAGGCAAAACTACCCCTAGATCACACAACTAGTGAAGAGCAGTGACAAAAAACTTGAACTCAGGATTTTAGAACTTTCCAGGATTCTCTGAGTTGTGTAGAATTGTCAGAGAGGTGGCCTGAGCTGCTGGATAATGCAGCCCATTCCAATCTATGATTTGAAGTAGTTCTCAGGAAATGACTTACTAGGTGCATCGTTCTCTGCACCCCAGGGATGTGGCATCCAGGGACACACAGGACCATGCTTTGCTTCTGTCTGTTTAGGCACTCATTGTTGGGGGGCGGCCATGGTGTTTCATCTCTGGGGATATCACCTGGTTCTCAAAAGTCTATCTGAAGAGTTTCATTAACTGAGTTGCACAAACAGGTTAGAAAAACAAAATGAACTGGATATAGAATACAATCTCTAATTCAAACATGATTTGGACGCTTTGCTGTTGCTGTTGTTGTTAAAGAAGCTAAAGGCAGCTTATTAATGCCAATCAATTTACATATAGTCCAGGGAGTCTTTATACTATGCCAGAGTAGCTTGAAGCTAGAGGCAAGAATTTGGACTTTAGTATCTGACACAAGTTTCTCTTCTTGTTTTTGTTTTGACTTTGGCCTTTTGAGCATCACACTGATTTTCTTTCAGGACACATAAAGGCAAATAGACCAACAAAAAGAAGTTACTGAGATTGGGCCTTAAATTTAGAGATGAGGAAAGGGGAATACTTACTTGAAATTTCTTAGAACTGCGTGACAATGTAGAGTACAGTATGTGTGGTGGAATCTCCAAATATGGCGGCCATCACTTTCTTCTCTCTCTGTATGTGTGTGCTGCTCCATCGATCAAGAGATGGAATCCATTTCCTTTCATCTTGAATCTGGGCTGGCCTTGTGAGTTACTCTGACCAACAGAATTGGCAGAAATGACACTTAGCCAGTTCTAAACCTAGCTTTAAGAAGTTGTGCAGCTTTTACTTTCCTCTGGGAAGCCAGACTCCCTGCTCTTAAAGAAGCACAGGTTAGACCACTGTAGGAGGAGTGACTATATGGAAAGCAAGAGTCCACATGGAGGGACCAGACATGGGAGTGAAGTCCTCTAGCTCAGCCCACCTGCAGCAGAGGGCAGCTGAGTCAGTGACTCCAGCCAATGCCTTGCAGAACAGAATTGCTCAACCAAGTCTTAACTCAAAACCGGACATGCAGACTTGTGAGAAAGAATATATCATTATTGTTTTAACTAGTGAGTTTTTGGGTGGTTTGTTACAGAGCAAGAGATCTTTCTGCAACATGGGGTATGCCCCAATAGCCTCTGAAGGGAAGACAATCTGGTCCATATTCTTGATATTAATCCCCAGAATAATGACAACAGTGCAAAGCTAACCAAAGCAAATAGAAATTTCAGAGGGGCAGTAGCACTAGTAATACCTCCAAGGCAGGAGCCCTTAGGAGCACACCTCCTTTCTATTTTTCTCTTCTGAAATAGCATCCTCTGATGATGGCATTTGCTGACTCCATTCAAGCAAATCCCAAATCTTCATTTCAATGCAATTAAAAAATAGTTATGGAGCCTCTTCTTTGTGCCGGGTACTTTCCTAGGAGCTGGAGGCAGAGCCCTGGACTTCAGAGACAGGACCTGCTCAAATGGATCTGAGACTCTAGGGGGGAAGCCAGAGAAGAAATTACAAATATGGTGAGTGTCATAAAAAGGGAGGTACAGGGAGCAAAAAATGGGAAGGTTTCTCTGAGGTAGTAGACTTTAGGTTAAGGCTGGATGAGGACTAGAGCTTAGCCAGGTGAGAGGGTCTGTGGAGGGGGGTGGGGGTCAGGCAGAGGCAGTGGGAAGAGCTGCAGAGATCTCCACTCAGGCCTAAGGCATTGGGGCCCAGCTCTGCAGAGCTGAAGTAAGATGGCCTCACACAGTCTCCCAGAGGCCAGGTGCGCTGTGCAGCTGTTTCCAGGCACTCCTTGTTCTCTCTCTCCTTCCACAATCAGGGCCTATTCAGGAGTTTGAAATGGCTGTGTGGTTGTTTCCTTTCTTTCTAGTCCAATAGTCTTTCCCTTCCAAGTCTAGATTCTGCTCTGATTCTCGGGGCTCCTCAGGGTACTTGATGTTCCCATTCAGTCAGGGTCCCGTGGGCTTTGTAAGCAGGGGTCCTGTGACCAGCCTTTTCTTTGGTCCTGGGTATGTGGCTTTTTCATTTCCCCTGAGTTCAGTCTCCTTTTTGAATCAGCATACACGGTGGACTCATTCTTATTCTCCATCTCTGTCTCATTCTCTTACACACACACACACACACACACACAAGTGTCAACAATATCTTTTAAGTTGAAAGCTCATGGAGGAACAAAGAACACCATGCCCTGCACTCTCTTTTTCTTTTCCAGCCACTAGAGACTGCTTCTAGAAATGTTCAGGCTCTCTGAGATATTTTTAAGTTATCAAACATGGACCCTACCACTTAGCTAAGATTATAAATCTGTAAGTCATATGCCTTATCTGGGATTCAGTTTCATCATGTATAAATTGAAAAAAATATGCCTGTCCCTTTAAAGAGTTGTTGTAAAGAATAAAGTGATTTATATTCATGAAAATACTATTCAAATACTTATCTTATTTTTCTTTCTGGTCAGAGAATCCAAAGTAGCCTGTGTCTCATACAAGCATGAATCATGATATTGAAAAGGTTAAAACAACAACTGCAACAAAATACACCAGCCAGATGGAGGCTGATGTCTGTGAAAAAGCAGCTTCAGCTGTAGCCAATGATTTTAACTTAGGAGGTAAACACAAAAAGGCTGGGGCCCCTGAACAAGGTACTTGGTTGGTGGTCAGAACAGCACTGCAGACAGTGGAAACTTAATGAAGACTTTCTGCTTCTGTGGATGCAGACGATGGCAGTGAAGAGGATGATCATCATCAAAGGTCATCTCACAATTGAAGGTCAGTGCATGAAAGGGCTGTTGAGGAATGCAAGGATTCAGCCATTTTCCTGATGATGCTCTTGGGAGGTCTTCTCATGTCTAGATTCACTGAGGAGTGGACAATTATTTTCCACCCATCTGGCTCTACTCTTTGGCTTTCCAATTTACTGCCTGACTACAGAGCCAATCAGCAGATATTTGCAGTGGAATCTCGCGAGTTGGCTGAACACTGAGTCTGAAGCTGTATTTGGAGTGCCACAGGCAATTAACCACACATCTCTCTTTCAATGAACCAGTTTTCCAGGGACTCAATGGTGGGCTGATATCTTGTGAAATAATCTTGTGGGTTTGTACAGAGGGTAATGGGCCACATCTCATGATTCAAGACACATGGCCACCTTGAATGTACAGTCATAATTCCAGGCAAATAATCAGAAGTGTCTTAGGGGAAAGTCAGGTGAAACAGGATAGTCACTGCATCATCAAGCAGTACTAACCCAAGGCCTGTTCGACATCTCTGGTTGCAGCTGAAGTTCCTGGAGAAAATATATTGAGCTTTTGATGCTGCCAGGGTACAATTTAGTAAGTTGTTAACATGTTCCAAGAAATTACCTAGTGTTCTATTGACAATTCACATGTAGGGATTAGTTTAATTCTTATTTTAAAGCAATCTTTGTTTCCCTAAGAGGTCCAACAGGGCTACAATGATAATAAAATACTAATCTGTGATTCAGCATCCACAAGCAAAATCACGAGGTCCTTAGCAGTGCCCATTGCCACAGACTGAAAAATAATCCTCTCCTTTTTCCAAAGGCATCTAGGATCTGACATTTGCTCACTAATGGTTCATGCTGCTTTCTCCTTTTACCTCTGTCACCCTCACTGGGGCTGCCAGTTTCTAGGAGATGAGGCTGCTTAATGTCTTGGCCAAAGACTGGCCTCAGGAGTCAGAGGATGGGTTTATCCCCCAGCTTGGCTGTGTGACCCTGGGTGAACCACCCACCCAGCCTCTCTGTGTCCAAGGTTGGTGCCCTGTCCCTTTCTCTCATTATGTTCTTGCCCCTGGCAGTGCTATAGTTACAGCTGTTAGTCTGTACGGGCTCAATAATTCAACACTCATTCAACAAATATTTACTAACTGCCCACTGTGTGCCAGATGCTGTTCTTAGTGCTTGCTGAAAAAACATATACATTCCTGTCCTCATGGAACTTCTAGCTTGCAGGAGGTGGACTATACACAAGTAAACAAAATACATAGAATGTCAGAGGGGAGGAGAGCTGGGGAGGAAAGGAAAGCAGGGGAAAAAGAGCCAGTGAGGGGTGGGGTCACTGACATTTTAAAGAGAGGATTAGAGAAGCCTTCAAGGAGAAAATGACATTTAAGCAAAGCCCTAGAGTAGGGAAGAGCATGAACCATGAAGATTAGGGGAGGGAAGCTTTCCAGGCAGAGGTTACAGTGAGGGCTTGTAGGTTACACCTCACAATGGGTGGGGTGAGGCTGGAGGGTTTGCAGTGCAGCCAGGAGGCTGATGCTGCTGGAGCCAAGAGAGCCCGAGAAGAGACAGTGGTGGAAGAAGAGTTCTGAAAATTAGGAGTGTGTTACAGAGGTTGTGCCAGTGCCCACTGGATGGGCTGTTCAAGTCTTCATCAGGACTTTTTCTCTGAGTGTGTGTTTGGTGGGGGGTTTGGGTGGGGACGGTGGATGGCAGGGTTTTAGCTGAAGAGAGATCTGAATTATGTTTAAAAAGATCATGTTACCTGCTGTGTTGAGAATAGACTTGGAGGAGAGGGTGGTGTTGCAAAAACAGAAACAGCCAAACCAGTTAAGAGGCATCTACCATAATCAGGACAATACACAGTGGTGGCTTGGACCAGGGTAGCAGGGTTAATAGTCAGATTCTGGATTATTTTTAAGGCACAGCAAACAGGATGGGTAGGACAACTTCCCAAATCAATATTTCCAGTTGATCACTCTCCCAAGGGCCAGCCTGATGGTGTTAAACCACTACTGGACCACTCCACCTGAATGGCTTCGCAGAGCTCCAACTTTATCATGCCCCAAACTAGCACCCTCTAACACTACACCCACCCTAACCAGCTCTCTTCTTATTTTTTTCTGGATATAGCTCTTTAGAATCCTATGAGTCTTCCTTACTCTCCATATAGAATAGTTGATACATTTCTAAAGATTATTTCCTCGTCGCCATTTGAATCTAATCTTTTCTAATTCCTTTCTAATTCTACTGCCATAACTGTAGTTAGACTTCCCTTATCTCGCTCCTCAAGACTCAATTCCACAAATCCCGAGTAGCTGTTATATGCAAGGCACTGCTGGAAGTGCAAGGAGTCAAATACAACCCCAGTCCCCTAGGCAGTTAGCTAATAATGAGATGAGACCATAGTGAGAGAGGCAAGCACCAAGCTGGTCACCAAGCAGCCACCTCAAGGCATGGCCCCCATTTCCCTGATCACACCACAGAAGGGGCTGGTGCTCACACCACCCGCAAATGCTGACCTGGAAGAGGGCCCGAGCCCTGTCAGGTTGCTATTGCATCCCAGCTCTGGCTGAGTGCTTCCTTGGTCTGCAGCTTAACAGACCTGCAGCCATTTTCCCGGAAGACAGAACTCACTGTAGTGCAAGGACCACATCTCTGGATTCACTTACATCAGGGCTTGACTCTCAGTTCTGTCATTCATTCCCTTCAGGCCTTTGAGTGGGTTGCTTACTTTTCTCCAAGCAAGTTTTCCGAAGCTTAACGACTATAAATATAAAGTGGCTTGCACAGACTTGGCATTTGACGAACAGTAACTAATATTAGATGTCACTGTCTCCCCCTTCTGATCTACCTTTCACAGTGCCACTAGGTTCATTTGCCTAAAACACAGGTCTTACATTATTGTATTGTCTGCATGGTAATTTACCATAAAAAATGCCTTGATACAAGGAATGTGATGCATGTATGTTAGTAAATTTTAACCCACATCTCTTTTTGAGTTTTTGACATCCTTAAGCATTTTTACTAATAGAAATCATCTAATCTTCTCTTAAAGATAAGCAAATGGTAGGAAAAAAAATTTTTTTTCTCTTCTTATATCTTTTTAGATTAATTAGTAAATCTGAAAGTATTTATTATATACCTGATAGGTCCATGGACTGGGCAATAGAAGATAAGAAAGATATAATATTTGTCTCCTGCTTTTAAGTGTCTTTTAAGTTGAATGGGAGAGACTAGAGTCATATAAAACAATTAGAACAATATATTTGGAAGAATAAAAGGAGTTTCTATGGGAACCGTGAAACTCACACTGTGTACTGAAGATTGGATAGATTGAGATAGGTGGAAGGCAGAGAGAAGAAATTCCAATTTGGATCAATGATGCTGTAGTCTAAGCTTGTCCAACCCGCCCACATGCAGCCCAGGACAGCTTTGAAATTGGCCCAGTACAAACTTGTAAACTTTCTTAAACATTATGAGACTTTCTTTCTCTTATTATTATTTTTTTAGCTTGTCAGGTATTGTTAGTGTTAGTGTATTTTATGTGTGGCCCAAGACAACCCTTCTTCTTCCAATGTGGCCCAGGGAAGCCAAAAGATTGGACGCTCCTGGTAGTCTGTTATCTTCAACTCTCTGTTGTAGTCTATTTTCTCATTGACTGTCTCATTCAGCAAATTCTGTACTGAAGGTTTAGCTTTGTTAAATACTCTATTGAATTACAAATTGATTTGTGATCTTCCACAAACCTCCTTCTGCAATACTTGGGAATTTCAACCCTCTGTGTCATTTTCTACTACGCTTTGTTGAAAGTAGGACCTGTGTTGGACAAACAAAGCCTGATAAAAAAGCCGAGTTACATATCAGCTTTTCCTTCTCTGGGAGTGTCAAACACCCAAGTAAAGCAGTTTTCCCCATGGAACCCAAACAGCTTAGGTTTCCAGTTTTAAATCAGGAGATTTCTGTTATGCAATTTATTCCCACTATTTTTCTCATTTCACATTGGAATGTTGATCTTAAGCAACTGTCAATCCTACAAAAATACACAGGGCATCTTTTAGCACAGTATCACTTTTTATTTCATTTGGCTGGTAAAGACAGCTTTGTACAAGGGAATTTAGAACTTGTCAACCGAATTTTGGTTAATGTCACTTGAGTTTAAAGAGACTAGATTCCTGTTTCCCTTCATTTTCCTAGAAGTGAGATCTAAATTCAGTTTTATTTCATAGAGCTTGCTGGACACAGGGCTGGCTCCAAAGACAGCACTTAAAGTAGCAGACAGTTATTTTCTCAAAGCCTAATGGCGCCCTCAAGCGGCACATTCCATTGCAAGATTTTCAATCTCATGGCAGTCTTTTCAGAAGTTTTGTTTCTTAGAAGCAGGATAAATTTTTTTTTGAAACATTAAAGCAATCAGTTAGGTTTATTATTTTTAAAGATGACAATGCAAATTCCTCCTTATTAGTCTTCAATCCCTGAAGGTTCAAGATGTTTCTTGCCTCCTGCTGCCATGAGAAGGAAACTTAGAGGCATGCGGTGATGCTACATGGCACGGCCGGTGGATGATTTCTCAGAACGTTCTCATGGGAAGGGTGGGTGCACTCTTAGAATCAGTCATTCCTGCTGAGTTGATGTTTGAACAAGGGAGGGGGCTTGAGAAACTAGGTAAAAAAATGCTTTGAAACTAAGCATGTTCTGGCCTTCGTTTTCCTACACATACAGTTTTAAGAAGGCGCAGTGATTTATACTTCACAAGGTAGTAAATAGTGCTGAATTCTTTGGTTTCCTCTGAAGCATCAGTGATCAAGTTACTGGTGGGATGAATGAACCACTTTGGTGATTGTTTTTCCAGGGTGACTTTGAACACAAAATCTTTGAAGTGTTCTAGTGGATGGATTCAGAGCTTCCCACAGGCTGGCAAACCATTCATGAGACCTCCTCACATTCCCCAGTTCAGTAGGAGTGAGGTGGCCTATGTGAGAGGTAGGAGAGCCACAGGCTGTGGGTAGTCCAACATCTGTTGCATGGGTGTTTTATTAGTCACTTGGTCAAAGAATCCTCCCTGAGAGGCTGGGAGGATCTGCATCTCCCTCAGTCAACTAGGCTGAGTGGCCTGATTAAAAGTCAGCACACACCTGGCTTGGTACATGCAGACACCATCTGAAGTCTGGGAGGGCAAATTGCTTCTGACAATGTCAGTCACGGGAGGGACCTGGAGTGACTCTCACGCTTACACCTTCTCACTAACTTTGGCATTTTATACAGATCCCACAGAAGAGTCAAAGCAATTATCTAAGAGCTTAAAAACTACAGAAATGAGAAAGAAACCTTTCAAATTATCATTGCTTTGATAATGGAGCATCAATTTCAATGCAATGTCATGGAGGTTTATGCACAAGTCAGGAGGTGCACTGGTTTAGTAAATCAGAAGGATTTTGTTGTTGCTAAGCTCATTAACATTCCCGGGAGAGCAATGAAGATACCACTTTGCTGGCTATGGCCTTACAGGTGACCACATTGAATGCAGATGAAAAGAAGCCAAAAGAGTCAACAAAGAGAAAACACAAATTCAGGTGTGTTTAGTCGGTGTGAAAGATAAAGAGTTCCCTGATTCTCATGTTCCCTCTTCAGGGAAGGGAACTGTGTACCTTCTCCTTTTTTTTTATTTTTTATTTTTTGTTCACATAAGATTAATTGCATAAAGTGAAAATCCACTGGAAGATTGGAGGAGTTTCATCATGAAGGGTGAAGGCTCGTGCGCCATACTTTCATAAATGTGTGTGCCTGGGAGGAGGGGACAGAAAGGACAGGACATCCCTGCTAGCTCTTCCATGGAAGGCTGAGCAAATAACCAGGGAAAGGATAGAGAACTGGAGTCACTCTTTGGGATTTAGGCTCATGATTCATACTGGCCACTGGAGGGTGCCCCTCTGCAGTCATCACTGCTCAGAAGCCCAGACTCAAATTCCAATGGTACAGATGCACCTTTTTAATGTGTTGCAGAGTTTCTCAACTTCAGTACTATTGATATTTTGGCCCAGATAATCTTCATGATAAGGGGGCTGTCCTGTGCACTGTAGGATGTTTAGCAGCCTATCTGACCCCTAACCACTAGATGCCAGTAACACCTGACCACCCAGTGATGACTATGAAAAATATCTCCAGATAGTGCCAAATGTCCCTGGAAGGCAAAACTGACCTTGATTGACATCAGTCAGTCCATTGTTCTATGGCTCAAACGCCCTTTCCCAAAAGATTCTTGTTTGGCCTGGAGTCAATGGACACAGCATTAGAAAGAAACAAAAATTGCTTTGGCCAAGTCTCTATTCATTTTCCAGTTAAACCCCAGCTACAGGATTCCCAGCCTAGGTGGCTTTGATCAAGTCTATCCAATATGATATAGGTGTCCATCCCACCTTCTCTCTCTGCAGCCATTCCATCCCCTCTTTTCAGAGCTCCTCCTCCAAATCCTCCAAGAGTGCAGATTACCAGGAAGTGAGGCATTTTGTAAACTGCTTTACACTAAGGCGTGTTTGTCACCTGGACTACTGCAGGGGATCATCATGCTGAGGGATGTGCACATTTAAAAGGAGGGAATGGCCTGACAGAGGGTATTGTCTAAACTTGCTAAATACTAATCTCTAGCAGCAGGATGCCAGGCACCATGTTATCTGTAAAATGGAGGACATTAATAGTGTTTCCCTCATAAAGCAACTGTGTGGAGCGAGTAAAGCACTTACAGCAGTGCCTGAAAAAAGTAAACACTCCTGAAATGCTAATCGTCCTGTTTTTGTTGCTGTCATTACCATTAGTATTTTTCTTATCTATCCAAGAGACATGTTTGGAAAGAGGTATGATAGCTTTGAGCTTGACCAACTTCCCATAAAGTTATCCTTGTCTTTAGTCTCTAACCTCTAATGCTGCATCTGGATACTTGAAACAAAACCACCATTAAGCAGAACTTAATGCTAAAAAATGAATCCACCTTGAAATCCTCCCCCCTTGAATATACCTTTGAATATTCTACCCTGAGTCCAAAAATCATTGAATAAATGAATGAATGAATGAGCTATAGGTAAAATGGAAACAAATATTTGTGAAGAACCTAAACTATGCAAGGTGCCATGGGGCCATCTAGAATATTAGACATAATTTTATGACTAATAAAGATACAGGCACTCAAATCACCAGGTCACCCCGCAGGGTGTAATGAAAGTTGAGAAGAGTATAAGGTGTACGGGAGTGACAAGGCTGGAGAGGTGACTTTCCCACACAGCAGTTTGGTGGAAAGGCACTTGGGAGTTGAGGGCAGGGGAGAGGAGTATTCTAAGCCTTTCTTTTGGGCCCTTGGGTTTTATTGCATTACCAGGAAGCAGCTGCCCCTCAATTACAGAGCCAGAGATGCAGTGCAGTGAAGTGTCAGTTTCACATGTGCCATCTGTAGAATCTGAAACCTCAAACTCATACAGAGACCACAGAGCACTTTCTGAGCCTTCCAGTCATGCCACCTGCATTCATGTTCTTTGTGGTTTCTGAGAAATGCTGCACAGTGAGCAAATGAACTAAATCACAAGTTGTGCTGAGCCAGAGAAATAGGAGACTTCTTGGAAGTACACAGCTGTTGTCTAATTTTCCCAGTCTCTTCCAATTCAAGCAGAGAAGTGTGTTGAAAATCTGTGTGTGTGCATGTGTACGCGTGCCAGAGAGAGGGGGAGAGAAAGAGAGAATGCCAATTGCTTTATTTTGGAAGGAAGATGAGGGCTACCCAGAAGTGAGAAACATTAGTGTTTATTCCTATTTTAACAGCAGACATTCAATGTTCTACGGCCTGTAGGTTAATTTACTTTAAAATAATGTGTTTAAGATAGATAGCAGATTTTAGGTACTTATCACAAACAAAAAAGAAAAAGAAAGGTAACAAAGATGATGGGCATGTTACCTCATTTGATTGTAGGAATCACTTCACTATGCATACGTGTATCAAGATAAGTATATCAAAACACCATGTTATACACTTTAATATATATAATAAAGCAACAATAACAAATAACGTAATTTGTATAAACTATATAATTTTTGTGTACAAGTTAAATCCATCATTTTAGAGGTGATTAATAGTCTTTGAAATCATGAGGTTATTAATTAGCTATGCAGAATCCTAAACAGAAACTTAAACCTCAAAAGCGAATTTCTTGGCACTTACTGAAATAAAGCCTGAGAGCATTAGTAAGTTAGCAGAAGGGATGTCAGAAATAATTTTAAGTGCTGAAATTCATGGAAGCTTAGTACAGGACTCACTGTCCTTTCACGAACATTCAGTGGCATATGTGAATGAAGGTTAAGAATCTGGTCAGCCCAGGACTTTAACGACTGCTTTCCAGGTTGAAAATTCCTTGGCTTCTTCTTTCACGGGCTTCATGGAGGATTTTTGTCACCAATTTGACTACAAAGATGAGCATTCACTCACCCTGGAATGTGCCTTTCATGTAAGGGGTGATTGTGCAGCTAAGGCAGAGAGTGGGACCTCTTCTGCTACATGCAGGCTGTGGGACTGAATTGTGACTTTAGGTGGAATTTGCCCCTTTTGTTGTTCTGCACCTGATGGTGAGAGTGTGGTGAAGGGAACGTCTAACTCCACCCACTTAGAACCTCCAGAGGATCATCAGCTTTTGATATTTACCAGAAAAATAGCCTGATGTTTGCTGAATGGCCAAATGGACTTAGGCTAGTTTGCAGCAGTGCAAGCAGCAGCTGCTCGATGGTAACGCAGGACGGGGAGCTGGTGAAGACGTTTTGTTCAAAAGCCTCATTTTGCAATACAGGCTTTCTGAGGAGGAGGGAGGCTGGACTGTGTTCTGTGAAGCAACTGTCTGATACAGTGAGTCACAGTCAGGAGGGTCTCTTGGCTTCTGAGAAAGGTTTAATGATGAGCCATGAGCTGCAACCTCCCTGGACAGAGGATGTGGACACGCCACAGCTGTTTCTGGGCTACTGCTGCATCAGACGCCGTTTACCCAGCAGCTGAGCATGACAGATGCCTTGTAGGTACCGGGCACAGTGCAGGTACCTACAGTACCTTGTATTTACCTTGACTCAGGGTATGGGAGGTAGCATAATGTGGTGGCTAAGGGCTTTGGTTTCAGAGACTTGGCTTTTCGTCCTGACTCACTGATAGGAAAGGAAGAGAAGCAGGAAGGAAATTCACTCCTTATTCCATGGGTTCTTGAGTCAGAACTTATTCTTTCTATTTTGTAAAAATAGAAGCTGTCACCCCATTACTAAATAGGAAGGAGGGATGATGGGGTTACAGGGCTAGAAGAATGAGAGAAACCCTGTGTCATTCAGAATGTCAGCTCCCGCAGTTTTCGCAACTGCTCCTGTTACTGTGTGGCCTACGATGAACATCTGTATGGATTGGACTAATGGACTAATCCTGCATCTAACCTTGGCTGAAGGAAGTACCTCGTATGGCCTTGAGTCTCCAGAGCTGCCTGTCAGAAGAAACAGAAGAAATCCCCACTGGCTGCTGTCAATCCACTGACTTGCTTTAACTTTCTTCCTTCATTGTAAAGTCTTGCTCCCAAATGCTCTGTGAGGACACTCGTTGAAGTGGCTATCATTGATTTATATTTCTGTGTGAGGAATTCCAGCCCCTTTCTTCAGGGTAGGTTTTTACTCTGAGAAATTATGAAGATGGCAGAGGAATAGAAGGGTCCCCATGGGAACAAAAGCAGGACTGGCATTTGGGGGTATTAAGATACACACTTTACTGACTTCTAAATTTTCCTTGAGGTCTCTGAGTTCTGCTGTAAAATAGTTTGGCTGGCTTTCCATTACTCTCCTATGAAAATGGTAAACTGACAACTTCAAATAGAAAAAAATTTCATATTAATTTCTTCATTTCTTCATCAACTACTTATTGAGTACATGCTGTGTCAGCTGCTGGTCCAGACCCTGGGGAGATAACACAGCATCGATGGTCACTTGGATTAGAGCAGCAACAGAGATGGAGAGAAGCAGATTGATTTGAGTCATGTTTAGATGTAGGGCTAACAGGACTTTGGGTATAAGGAAAAGAGATGAATGAGTGTTGATTCGTAAGGTTTGGACTTGAACCATGAGATAGATGGTGGTGCTATTACAGAGATGAAGGGGATGAGAGGAGGACCAGGCTTGCAGAGCAGAAGTCAAGGCTTCCATTTTTGTCACATTAATTTTGAGATGACTATTTGACAACTGGGGGAAAATGGCAAGCAGGCCTATCTTATTCAGTTCAGGCTGTCATAACATAAGGCCCCATGGACTGGGTGGCTTAAATAACAAACATTTTATTTCTCATAGTTCTAGAAGCTGGGAAGTCCAAGATCAAGGTGCCTGCACATCCAGTGTCTGGTGAGGGCATTCTCCTTGGTTTGTAGACAGCTGTCTTCTCATCGTATCCTCACATGGTAGAGAACAGAGAGAGGAAGCTAGCTCTCTGGTCTCTCCCAATAAGGAAACTAATCCCATTAATGTGGGCTCCATTTTCAAGATCGAATTACCTCTCAAGGCCCCCACTCCTAATACCATCACATTGAGGGTTAGGATTTCAGCATTTGAATTTGGGCAGGGAGGTGGGGGAGAAGGCCAGACATTTGGTCCATAACAAGGGCTTTGGATACACAAGTAAGGCTGAAACCCAGGGGGCCCCTCAGAACCAGAAGTATGAATTTGGGAGTCCTTTCCATGTAGTACTTCAAACCATGGGGCGGGAAAAAATTTGTAGATGGAGAAGAAGAGAGCAGGTAGGGCTGAGCTCTGAGTGCAGAGATGGCTTAGAGGACATGGAGCTAGCAGAGGAGACTAAGCAGGTGCAGTCACTGAAGTGGGAGGTTAACACAGAGCCTGTTGCTTTATGGAAGCCAAGAAAGGAAAGGATTTCAAGGAAAGAGCAGTCAGTTTGAATGCTACTGAATGTAGGGCGAGATGAGAACAGAGAGTACCATCAGGTGTGGTGATTGGCGCTTTCTGCTCTCATCTCATCCTACCTTCAGTAGCTCAGCAGGAAACAGAAATTATACTGCCCTGATTGAATGGGTGCAAAGAGAAGGGGACATCATGTGCTTCAAAGAGTTGGATCAGAAGAGTTGGGGGGAAGTTAGGTATGGTGAAGGGACTATAATATCAGGAAAGGGATTTTTAGGATTAGAATATCCTTTTTAGCTGGAAAAATAGAGAGGGGGATATTGAAGATTGCAGGAGAGAAAGAAAAAGAGAGAGAGAGACGCCTTGAAGAAGCAGAAGGGAATGGGATCTAGAGGCAAGTGGAGGTTTGCCCTGAATAAGTAACTCTAGTGCCTGTAACAAGATGCCGGGTGCAGGGATGACGAGGCTGGGTTGAGGTTGGTCAAAAAGAGACTAAACTCCAAAAGAGGTGAGAAAGCGGAGACAGTGAAAGGAAATGACGCTTTCCAAAAGAAGACTTCTTTCTCTGTGCTAAAGGAAAGGATACATGTTGGGCTACGGAAATGGGATGGAATTTGGAGTTAAAACACTTGAGTCCCAGGATTGAGACTCATCTTAAGCTACTGAGTGTAGCTTACCTGCCCAACAGATTTTTCTGAGGGGAAAAAAGGGGCAATTCACCTACTCAAAAGAATCAAGATGTAATTATTTTCTTAGAATATCTCCACAATTTGATCATGAGGGCTTATCAAAATTTCATGAAAACAGACATTGCATGAATACTCTTAGTATCCACTTATTCATTCATTCATTCATTCCACAGATAGTCATTGAAAACCCATTATGGCCCAAGCACTGCTGCAGGCATTGGGGTTGCTCAGTGACCATACCAAGTCTCTGCCACATAGAGTTTACATTAGAGTGGGAAGGAAAACTATAAATAAGGATCTATGTATACCAGATGGTTATCAATGTTGTGGAGAAAAAGCAGCTTATGCAGAATGGAGGAGCTGTTATCTATGGTGACTATGGGAGTCCTCACCAGTTAGAGTACATTTAAGCAGAGACAGCAGCATGGGACAAGCCATGAGGACGCAGATGCTCCTCATTTTACAATGGGGTTATGTCCCTAGAAGCCCATCAGGAACCTCATAAGCCTATCATAAGTTGAAAATATTGTTAGTCAACAGTGTGTTTTCAACTTACGGTATTTTCAATTTACAATGGGTTTATCCAGATGCAACCCCATCGGGAGCTAAGGAGTGCACTGAATGTGCATCACCTTTGCACCATTCAAAGCAGAGACATTGAATGTTGAACCTTGCTAAGTTGGATGCTGTCTGTATTATAAGCATCACAAGCAGAGGAAACTGCAAGTGTAAAGAGCCTGTGTCCTTGGGGTGTTTGTCTACTATGAGATTGACTCTTCTTTTATACTCCACTCCAGACATATGTGGCATCTTTTTATTCCTCAGAGCTTCAAGTTTGACAAACTACTATATAGAAAGAAGAATTAATGTCTAGTGAAATAATACATTGCTAAAGTTTGACTAGGAAAAGTATGTAATTGCCACTCCTCCCATATGGCCCTTTGAAGTTTGCTAATTTAGGACTATAGTATTTGCATCCTCTAGTAATCCCTAGATTTCCCCTTCCCTGACTACCACAATATCCCCCAACCTCCGCCTATGAATTACAAGATTCCTGCACCCCTCTTGATGCATAGGGCAATACTCAGGCGGTGGAGGAGGGGATGGAGGAGGGGATGTCTTTGGTTGTATCAGTATGTAAAGAAAGTCTGCAGTTTTCATGTGTTAAGGGTCTGGGTTGTGCTGTTTGCTAGACACCTAGATACTTCCTTCCCTCCTTCCCACAGTGCTGTCCTTATGGTAAATTCTGAGGCTGTAACCTCAGAATATTTTCCACAGAGCAGTAAATGAGAGGGAGGTGATAGAAGGTCAGAGGTGGGTGCGGGTCACTCAGGGCTTTGTAGACCATCGTCTACAAAGAGCACTGGCTTTTCCTCTGAGAGATACCTCAAACCACAGTGTTTAAGATGTTCTTACCTGTGTGGAGGAGGAAGCATGGATAGATGCCATTGTCCCCATGCTACCCAATCACCAGAACTCTCAAATCTTAAGTATCTCTAGCCTGCTACTTCACCTGCCTAGAAAAACCCCAACCCTGGATCAATACTATTTGCATCTTCTGGGTCTGATGTGGGGTCTGCATTACAGGAGAAAATGCCACAGTTGTGCAGGCTGACGAAACACAAATCTTGCCCTTGCATGCACACGCGCGCGCACGCGCGCGCACACACACACACACACGTAATAGAGTGACCATATAATTTATTGTTCCAACTGGGACATTGTTGAGAATGAATAATTATAACAGAGCAATAGCCATAAACTAGGACTGTCTTGGACATACCAGGAGTAATGGTCAACCTACTCATAAACAATTGTACATAACAGGGGGAAAGGGAAAGTTCAGACCAAGGATAATTCCAAACCTTCCAGGCTTGTGTTATGCCCATCTACATTTTGCATGCCATTCCATAGAGAAAATTGAAGCTTCCAAGCTCAGTTTCTTGTACTCTGACCTATAAACTTGTCATATATTCCAAATTCATCCTCCCTTCCTCCCTTGTTAAGGGTAAACCTCCACCTGCCTCTGGACTCCATTCCCTTCTGCCTCTTCAAGGCATCTCTCTCTCTCCCTCTCTCTGGTAATCTCCAATATCTCCTTCTCTATTTTTCCAGTCTAAAAGCATGCTCTAATCCTAAGAATCCCTTTCCTGATATAATAGTTCCCTCACCATAGCTAACTTCTCTCCTACTCTTCTGACCCAAACTCTGTGAAGCACATGATGTCTCTTTCTCTTTGCACCCATCCAATCAGGGCAGTATAATTTCTGTTTCCTGCTGAGATAATAAATCTACTTTCATCAAGGTTAGCTCTATAGCTGTAGCCTCCAAATGGTCAAAAACACTGGAAAATTTCCATCCTTATCTTACTTGACGTCTCGTGATGCCTTTAGCATTGCTGAGTGATTCTAAGGGACATTCATGACTTCCTCATCATCCATGGTTCTCTTGGTGCCTCTCTTAGGCTGCTTGTTTGTTGTCCCCTCTGTGGTCAATCACCACCAGTTGTTGAGTTAATATCACATAAAAATACCGGTGGAGAATCTCCAATCTGAAAATCTGCAATCTAAAATCCTCCAAAACTGGAAACTTTCTGAAGGCCGACATGATTTCTCAAGTGGAAAATTCCACACCTTACCTCATGTGAAAGGCAATAGTAGAAAATGCAGTCAAAACTTGATTTCATGCACACATTAAAGTTATTGTATAAACTTACCTTTGGGCTATGGGTATAAGGCATATATAAAATACAAATGAATTTCCTGTTTAGACTTGGGTCACATCCCAAGATATCTCATTAGGTACATGAACATATGTTAAAATAAAAAAAAAATCTGAAATTTGAAACACTTCCGATCCCCAGAATTTCAGATAATGGATACTCAATCTGTATAAACATTTGGCTGTGTCTACTTCCTGCAGATGGCACCAGAGACACAGGATCATAAGCAGGTGGACCGAGAATTGGCTGTGGAAAAGCACGCAGTTCCTAGCTACTCTGCAGGCTGAGGTGGGAGAATCATTTGAGCCCAGGAATTCGAGGTTACAGTGAGCTATGATCACACCACTGCACTCCAGCCTGATTGACAGAGTGAGACCCTGTCAAGAAAGAAAATGAAAGAAAGAAAGAGAGAGAGAGAGAGAGAGATAAAGAGAGAGACAGAAGCAAGCAGTTCTCTTTATTTCTGACTTGAAAACACTCAGATCTCTGAATCTGGAGGGGCCAGGGAGGTCTCTTTAGTATACATTTCTTTCCAAGTCTCACTCAGTTGTGGGACGAAGGTAGGACTGAGTCATATGTGTAAATTGTATAACAAGGAGGCAAGACAGCTGTAAATGATTCTTTAGAAAGCAGAATGCAACAATTTTAAATCAATTTTCTAGTTTTAAGATAGCTGAAAATAGTTTCCTGTGGCTTCTTGTACTTCTTTCACTAGGATTACTAGAGGCAGCTTTGTGTTAGAAATGCAAGTTCAGCAGAAACATGTCTTCCCCTAATGAGGCTTGGTGCCTGCTGGTATTATGTCTGAGCCCCTGGGGCTGCTTCATGGGGAAGGGTAGTAGAGGCACTCTCTGGCTTTCCAGTGGCTGAGAAGTTCACATATTAAATGGCCTAAACCACCAAGGGTTCCGGATGGGTCCTAAGTCCATATAGACCTTGTGGCTGGGTTTGTGGGGAGCAGTTTACCACTCAGAGCTGGCCATGTGGGCCCCCTCATTGCTCGATGGGTGGCTTCCCCTCACAGCCTGTGGACTGAGGAAGACTTGATTCTGAGCAAAGCTAAGCAGCAGATGAGACAATCAGAAGCAGAGGGCTCTCCAGTTGTAGGGAGTTTATAAGAATTCCCTTTGTGGCTACAGACAAGAGCCATCTTTGCATGTTCTGTGTTGCTGAAAGTGCTCTGTAAATGTTCATTTGTGATGGCCCGAAGGTTCAAGTCATCATGGAATGTCAGAGCTGGCAGGGACCTCAGAGACCAATTAGCCCAGTCTTCTAATTTTATTTAAGAAATGTTTCAAAATGCAATAGTGGTTCAACCCCCATAATTGCATCAAGACATATGATATAAAAAATTTTTACATTCCTAAAATGGCAAGCTATTTGTCACTGGCAGTGAAACAAGAAGTGATAACCAGGTAAAACATAAGGGTTTTTAAAAGTTAAATTCCTCAAATCTATATCACACCATCAGCTTCCAGAACTTCTCCACTCCTCTGTTAACCCATTGCCAGCTGATTTTGTCCTCACCCTCTACAGAAAATTTTCTTTCTTTTTAAAATTTTTATTTTAGGTTCAGTGGTACATGTGCAGGTTTGTTACACAGGTAAACTTGTATTGCAGGGTTTGCTGTACAGATTATTTTGTCACCCAGGTGTTAAGCCTAGTGCCCAATAGTTATTTTCTCTGATCCTCTCCCTCTTCCCACCCTCCACCCTCAGGTAGGCCCCAGTGTCTGTGATTCCTCTCTATGTGCCCATGTGTTCTCATCATTTAGCTCCCACTTATAAGTGAGAACATGCAGTATTTGGTTTTCTGTTCTTGCGTTAGTTTGCTAAGGATAATGGCCTCCAGCTCCATGTTTCTGCAAAGAACATGATCTCATTTTTTATGGCTGCATGATATTCCATGGTGTATATTTACCATATTTTCTTTGTCCAGTCTACCACTGGTGGGGATTTAGGTTGATTCCACGTCATTGCTATTGTGAATAGTGTTTCAGTGAATGTGTGCATGTGTTTTTATGATAGAATGATTTACATTCCTTTGGTTATATACCTAGTTTTATAGGATTGCTGGGTTGAATGATAGTTCTGTTTTTAGCTCTTTGAGGAATCACCACACTGCTTTCCACAATGGTTGAACTAATTTGTATTTTCACCAGTAGTGTAAAAGCATTGCCTTTTCTCCTCAACCTTGCCAGCATCTGTTATTATTATTATTATTATTTTACTTTTTAATAGTAGCCATTCTGTCTGGTATGAGATGGTATCTCGTGGTTTTGATTTGCATTTCTTTAATCATTAGGGATATTGAGTTTTTTTTATTATGCTCATTGGCCACATGTATGTCTTCTTTTGAAAAGTGTTTGTTCACGTCTTGCCCACTTTTTAATGGGTTGCTTGTTTTTTTTCTTGTAAATTTGTTTAAGTTCCTTATAGATGCTGGATATTAGAACTTTGTCAGATGCATAGTTTGCAAACACTTCTCTCTCATTCTCTAGGTTGTCTGTTTACTCTGTTGATAGTTTCTTTTGCTGTGCAGAAGCTCTTTAGTTTAATTAGATCCTATTTGTCAATTTTTGCTTTTGTTGTGATTCATTTTGGTGTCTTTGTCATAAAATCTTTGGCCATTCCTAGGTCCAAGATGGTATTGCCTAGGTTGTCTTCCAGGGTTTTCATAGTTTTGGGCTTCACATTTAAGTCTTTAATTCATCTTGAGTTGATTTTTGTATATGGTATAAGGAAGGGGCCTAGCTTCAATCTTCTGCATATGGCTAGCCAGTTATCCCAGAACCATTTATTGAATAGGGAGTCTGTTCTCCATTGCTTGTTTTTGTCAGCTTTGTTGAAGATCAGATGGTTGTAGGTGTGCGGCCTTATTTCTGGGCTTTGTATTCTGTTCCATTGGTCTATGTGTCCGTTTTTGTGCCAGTACCATGCTGTTTTGGTTACTGTAGCCCTGAGGCATAGTTTGAAGTTGGGTAGCATGATGGCTCTATCTTTGTTCTTTTTGCTTAGAATTGCCTTGGCTATTCAGGCTCTTTTTTGGTTCTATATGAAATTTAAAATAGTGTTTTCTAGTTTTGTGAAGAATGTTGTTGGTAGTTTGATAGGAATAACATTGAATCTATAAACTGCTTTGGGCAGTATGGCCATTTTAATGATATTGATTTTTCCTATCCATGACCATGGAATATTTGTCTGTTTGTTTGTGTCATCTCTGATTTATTTGAGCAGTGTTTTGTACTTCTCATTGTAGAGATCTTTCACCTCCCTGGTTAGCTGTATCCCTAGGTATTTGATTCTTTTTGTGGTGATTGTGAATGGGATTGCGTTCCTAGTTTGGCTCTTGGCGTGGCTATTGTTGGTGTATAGGAATGCTGGAATGATTTTTGTATGTTGATTTTGTGTTCTGAAACTTTGCTGAAGTTGTTTATCAGCTGAAGGAGCTTTTGGGCCATGGCTATGGGGTGTTCTAGATATAGAATCACGTCATCTATAAACAGGGGTAGTTTGACTTCCTCTTTTTCTGTTGGGATACCCATTATCAGAAATAGTTTTCAAGGTGTTATCAGAGACCACCCAATGGGCTCTTCCCAGGTTTATCTCTGGGACCACAGTCAGTCCTTGAAGCTCTCTACTCTTTTAACTTCAGAGACCCAGCACTGTCCTAGTACTTCTTCTCTCTCTCTCTGACTATACACCACCCTTCTGGTGACTTTAGGCTTCATGAACCAGCCCCTGGATAAGCTGAAAGCAAATGTTCAGGATGTTTCTAAATGCCAAATCTTTGATCTGGGCTCTGAATTCTAAAATTGGCAGAAAGATAGGCCTACCAGCCTTACCCACAATATTATACTGTAACCAGAAGTGGCTGGAATCATAGTTTGACATATTAGTTTAGTTTTTCCTTTTGTGAGCACCCTTTCACTTATAATTCAAACAAGTAATCTTTGTGCCTATGAATCTCATACCCATAAGCGTTTAGGTTTTTGTAACATAAAAGCTACAATAGCTCAGGGGCTCTTTCAACTTTCTCCTGGGCTGCAACCCTCTATGAGCCAAGAACAAAAACACAGCCAAAAGCAGAGGGAGAGAGTAGGTTCTTCCCCATGTCAAAAGAGATTATTTTCCAGGGCTAGGGAGAAAAAATGACTAGGCATGGTTGGGGGGGAAAAGAAGAGAATAAACGAATGGGGGTTATGAGCTTTCCCTGAGTTGACTCTGAGGAATTTACCAAAGATGCCAGGTGGCTGGGTCTGGCCAAGGATGGAGAACCTGCCTCTTTGTGAGCCTCAGTCCACAGACTGCCCAGTCTCCATCAGAAAGAACCCATCCTGTGCCTGTGCTCTAGGGCCAAGTGTGCTATTTATTCTGTTGCTGTCAAGTGAGGACTTTGCATTTGCTGGCAATCCTCAACGAGATGTTGAATCAAATCCTCAGTTGGTCCCCAGTTTAATTCATTGTATGGAAATTGCCCCTCACAATCCCTACGACCCTTGGAAGATCAAGAAGGGGTGGAGCACTATCCACATGATGAGGGTGTTGCCAGTGAGGAAGAACACACGTGTGTATGTGATGGGGAGAAACTGAGCAAGCTTGAGAAATTGCACAAACTCCTGATATCCTGAGATGCTACTCTTCCTTCTCCTGTTAGCCCTCGGACAGAAGCTGTCTCCTAAGGAGGAAAGAACAGGCTGGAAGCACCAGGCCCTCATGTGCTCCTGCTTTCTAGGCCTTGTACAACATCTCCATTGACCCACTCTTTAAAATCCAACTCACATACCCAAAAAGGCTCCTGCTCTCCTCCTGTTTATCATATGTGGCTTTCCTTTGCAGTTAAGGCTCTTTCAGTGGGGTTCTGTTCCTTGCAAGCAAACTACTATGGTGGAGTAATATTTTATAAATGAAACAAATCCCTGCATCTCCCCACACCCTTTTTCTCCTTGGTGTTTCCATGTCTTTGAACAGTATTCTTCAAGGAAGAGATATCTCATTTTGCTTAAAAGCAACAGGAGTGGTTAACAGTCAAAATGCTGCCTACCATTATGTCTCAAGCATATTTTGTGAATGACCTCATTTAACCTTACAAAATCCCAATGGAGGTAGGTACTACACTATGTCCATATCTCAGATGGCAAAACTGAGGCACAAAGGCTAAGTAACTTGGCTTGCTGAGTGGTGAAGCTGGGATTTGAACCTCTGACCACTCACAGAGTGAGGGGTTATAAAGCCTCCGTGAAAAGCTGCCTTCCTAAATAATGGAGCTGTTACCCCAACTGCTTTTTAGATGCATAATTCTCCTCCTTCTGGTGGTACTATTTTAACTTGGGCCTTGGGGTCTCTCTGGGCTCAGAGGGGGACAAGGGAGCTGAATGAGTTAGGCTCCTGCAGAGTCAGCCTGGCCCCAATCTAGTTCTCTTCTGGTTTCCCAAGCTGCCCTTCCTGGTACCAAATATACCTCAGTTTCCAAGTTATTAGTTCTGGGTCTCTTTGTGGGTAGAATCTCCCATAAAGTGTTTATCTTCCCATAAATCAAGGAAGAGCAGAATCCATTTGCACTTTTCTACTTGGAGAACATTTCCCCTTTTCTACTCAGACCAGCTACCTTGAAATATTCCCCTTGGGGCTAGGCAGAGTTTTCCTTCTAGCCAGGATATAGAC
Source organism: Homo sapiens (assembly GCF_000001405.40). Taxonomy (NCBI): domain Eukaryota; kingdom Metazoa; phylum Chordata; class Mammalia; order Primates; family Hominidae; genus Homo; species Homo sapiens. The sequence continues at coordinate 54,890,474 of NC_000005.10, read as the reverse complement.
CTTTTCTGCACGTGCTCTAGGTCACTGAGTTAATGTCACATTAAGGGGCTGTGTGGGTTCTGCAGAGTAACAAGCGACTTCTCGGTTGCTGGAGGCAGCCAGTTCACCTAGAATTGCTCCACTCTCCTTGGAAAAAGGTTGTGGTTTTTGAAAAATTAGAATCCTTGACAGAGGTCCTCAAGAGATCCCTGTCTTTCCTGAGGCAGCTTCCCAGAAATTAGATAATTTAATCTCTGCAGAAAACTCAGAAGTTTTCATTTGCCCATTCTTCCTTCCTTCTGTTGACTTCCTGGGAGACAGAAAGCATCCTGAGGTACTCTTTCAAAGACTTTTTTTTCTGAAACCAGCAGTGACTTCTGAGCGTCTAACTCATTTTCACACATCAGTGCTCACTGAGGTCACAGCCATTGCCTCAAAGAAATTGGCTCAAATTCAACTATTTGTTAACCAGTCTGGGAGTAGGGTAGGTTCCATAAGAATTCTTAGCATTCCTGGGTAGGCATCTTAACATGGCAAATACAAGTCTTCTTGTCTACATCTCAATTCTGTGCAAATGATACATTTATGTTTTAGTAATCAAACTTATGATTTTACACTTTATTCTGCTGAGTGGCTAAAACTCCATCTTGGTTTATGCAGTGTTTCCTCCTTCTCACTACCCAGCAAGCCAAGAGGAAAAGGATTTCCTGGGTTAGAGGACAGAACAGTCAAGGCAAAATGGTCAGTGCGATGACATTGGTGGGCCTTACAGAAAGTCAGAGCCCCATGGAAGGAGCCCAATCCCACAGCTAGATGAATGGACCCCAAAAGACAGTAAGATTTCCAGACAGAAAATGTCTGTGTGGTGAGTATTAGTAGTCAAGGCCTTACCCAGCCTCACAGAGCTCCTGCACTAGGGGTGGCCCAAGAGCGTTCAGAGTAGCTTGAGAGAAATGGAAAAGGTTGCTGACCTGATGGGACCATTCAGCTGGGAAGGAGGCGGTCTCCATGGAGCCTGCATGGACTGACACCTGAAGACCACGTGGGGTGAAGAATGTCTCAGGGGGGCCTGCACAACGGTGAGAGTGTCTTGTAACAGACAACTGCCACACCCCTTCTTCAGTCATCTTGATGTCTTAGCACTACATAAGTTCCAGGAAACTGCAAAACAACTTGGGGCAGGGGATGCAGGAAAGAATCCTTCAACTGGCTGAGTTGTAGTTTTGCATCTGCAACAGATTGGAAGGTCAAAACAGAAATCAAGTTGATTTTAGAAAAATACTGAAAGTCATAATTTGTGCACACCGGAATCTGTGAAGCTAGAGTTATAGACTAGCTCTAGGAAAGTATGGATTTACTGAAAGAACTCAGAAGAATCTCATGGACATAAAATTCAGGAAGTACATCTGGACTTCATAAGAATGGGAAAGCCACCAGGCAACGATTTTCTGTGGCTTGATTGTCCCTTACGATCAGCTTTTCTCTGGAACATGGTACCAATCTCCTCTCTGCAAAGACCAAGACAGAGGCAAGTGGCTCCTTCTGCTGACTTGTAGTCCCTGTTCCTCCATAGCTTGAATGGAATTTGGATCTCTGCTGGATTTTTATGAAGGTACCACCTGCACATGACTTACTGGTTCTGTGACTGCCACCAGATCATTGCATTCTTTATGCTTCTTGGTTGAAAGTTTTGAGAAGGAATCAGCTTTGACATTCTTGTTTCCCAGGGTCATGCCCTTTAGATGAGGAATTCACCTGGTCCAACTGTGTGGGGTCAGAGGGTGAGGGGCCATGCAAATCTGACACAGCTGCTCAAGCTGGTCACATCAACAATGGTGTATGGGCTGGACAGTTCCAGAAAGGAGACTTTTGGGCCCAGAGGCATGACCCAACTTCCAATTCACTTTTATTAAAATTACTGCTGTACATGTCTTATGTCTCTCTCTATGTTGCAGCTTCCTAGAAAGCAGAGTCTGTAACTGATCTCTGCATGCACCAGGGCATCTTTCATGTGCCTTTTGCATTTGAAAGAGTTCAGTGAATATTTGTTGAATCAATGAATGGCACATCCCTATATTTGTTTTATGCTCTCTATACCTTCATTTCTGAGTGAACCATGTTCAGGCCAATATCTGAATAGGATAATTCCTGTTGCTGGGGTATAGCAGGAGAGTGCCAGTCAAAATGACTAGGTTAGAGTGTGGCCCTTATTTGGGTGGATTTCCTGACCAGACACTACAAAGAAACATCCTTAGAGTCACCACATACATGGGTTTTCCCTAACTGAGCATCTTAACTTCCCGGTATTCTAGATCCATCTTAGCTGCCATGGAAATTGGATGGAGATCACATTCAATCTTTGAAGCATTTAAGTGGTAATTTAGAACTAATTCAAACAAGAGGAGCAAGTGGTGCCCTACGGGGAGCAAATTCATAGTTATCTCTTTTTGACATTTTGAAAGATGTTTCTAAATTAAAAGCTTCAAGTTATTGGCAATCACTACCTTGGTTTGTGTAAAGAAATCCAAACTTTACAAGTTTCCTTGTGTGCCCATTTAAAGAGCTCTATTTAAATGAGGGAGCCATCTGATGCTAATGATAACCAGTTAGAATCATAAAATGTTGAGCCTGAAGGGAATTTATGGATCATTTAGTCCATCCCTCTCATTTCATAAGGGAGGAAGCTGAGGCTGGTGCAGGATACGTGCCTTGTCCCACATCTAGGACCAGAGCTATAAATCCTACCCATCTGGTCCTGTGTTCTTCAGCCCCTAGAAAATCCACACTGCTGTGGACAGCTGGAGGATGCTGGAGATTACTAACATGGAGAACATAAGTAGTCTTTAGCAGTATACATGGCTAAGTACACAGAAAAAAAATGAAACAGTCCTCCATGCTGCAGGAAAGATGAGAGATGGCTCATTCTCAAGAGTGTGTGTCTGAGGCTTGGGATCGAGTCAGGGCTACTCAGAGGCTGGTAGAGAAGGCCTGCAGGCCCAACTGGGCCCCCAGGTATAATTATAGTGCCCAGAATTCTTACCATGAGCCAGGTACTGTTTAATACTCAATCCTCATGAGTTCACTAACCTGCGCAACACACCTATGGAATCAGAATGATTATCTGCATTTTACAAACGAGGGGAGAGTTGGAACATTTAAGTGATTTGGCCAAGGTCACATACCAATGTCACTTACTAGTATCCAAGGCAGAATTTGCACCCAGGTCTTTCAAACCCCTGAGCTTGTGTTCTTAGCCAGAGATAACCAATATTTGAATAGATGCCCCTCTGGGAGACATTGGTGAGAGCTTGGGCCTCTCTGGGTAATCTTGTTCTATGCTGCCTGTGCTTTTACATTTATATGGATACTTGAGCCTGCCAGGATAATTTCTGCATGCTTGGATTGATCTGAGCTGAACTGGCCTTTCAGACCCCAGCAGACTTCCCAAGCTTCACCTCCAGCACTCTGGTAGGACACAGCCCAGGGTGGGGCCAATTTTTGTGCTTATTAACTCACATTCCTTGTGGAGAGGCTTTCCATTTGCTTAAAATGCTAAAGCTTTTGAAGGACTGTAGAGCGTTGGTGTGATTTCCACATTTTAAGAAGGAAAAAGCAGAGGCACAGTGTGTTTAGTTTATACTGGGCTATGTGGGAGACCACAGTGGCTGGGAGTAATAGGTTTGTGTGGAGCCTGGAAAATCTAATCTTTTTCGGCTGGTTCCCCTCTTAGATGCTTGTCAGCCAGCTGATTACTCATTTCTTGCTTGTTGGAGAAACAATACTGATAAAGTGCACAACATTTGATTGGGATGGGGGGGCAGATAGGACACAAAGGAACTAGGAGATGTAGATGAGTCCAGCGAGGCCAGGGGTAGAACTCCACCTGCCCAGGCAGCTTTAAGGGTTCTTGCCAGGGGTGGTTGGGGACCTCTAACTAGACTCTTCAAGCTACTTTGAAATCCTGCTCTAATTTAGTTTGAAGCTAAAGAACTACTGCGACTGTCCTTGCAACCCAGAGAGGAAGGAGTTGTAGAAAAGGAAGCTTGGATTCACCTGTATATTAGGCACAAAACCACCACACATGTCAGTGGAATCTCTCTGCCCCTTTAGCTCCATTCTGAGACTTCAAAAAGTCATAACGAATCCTCACAACCATCATATGAGGTAGGAACTATCACTATGCCCATTTTGCGGCAAAAAGCATGTGGCAGGCCTGGTATCAAGGCACAAAGAGGCTAAGGGACTTGCCCTGGGCCACTGAGGTAAGTCTGGGATGCAAAGTCAGTGGCCAGGTTCTTAACCACAAAATCTGCTCCTTCTACTTCCTTCTCAGAAGCTCCTTCCAACCCCCAACTTTCTTGTTTGGGACTAAATATGCAGTTCCACCAAGTACTCACATTAATGAGCAGGTTAGGTTACCACCATGGGTAATTAGAGCCTAGTCCTCTAGGAGACTATTTAGAACCCACTTTGGTGTTGTCCCACCCCAGGGTGAGGAAATTTGGATATTTGGTCACCAATTCCCTTCCATAATTGGTTGAGGGCTGCTCCTGTGAGCATCCACCCCTGGCCTGTCTTGGGCATTCAAGGGCGAGGCATGGTCCTACACCCAGAGAGTAAGTCCCATGTAGAGAGCTGCAGGTGCTTGCCGGAGAAAGTCAATAGCATGTAAGGCAATCATGAGTGCCAGGCGAATCTGGGCTGAGGACAGTGATCAGCTGGAAGTCAGCTCCTCCTCTTGGGGCTTGCAAATTTATGGCCTGCAGAGCACAAACCATAGCTAGTGTGATGTAAATCATGCTTGGATTGAAGTTAAGAAGGTTCTTTTGCTTAAAGTAATAGAACCCTACCTGAGGTAGCTTAGGTTAAAAGGGGACTTGACTGACTCATGTAATCAAATCCCAGAAAAGATAAGAGTACAGCTGGCCTTGTGGATGAATGGACACGACAGATCTCATTCATCCCAGGCCAAGCTGCAAATCTTTTTGTCTGCTCTCTTCTCATTTAGAGGCTAGCTTATTTGAAAAGGCAGATGGCTTTACCTATAGCTTCCCTGCCTCCCCTCCAAAGAGGAGCCGATCCTTGTCCTTTAGAAGCCTTCCCCAAAAGTCTTTAAATTGAAACTGATTGGTCCTGCTCCAGTCAAGAACCCACTCCTTGACCTATCACTGTGGCCCATGAATGTGGAGGCCAACTCCCATTTTCTACACATGGTCAAAGCAGGAGTAGAAAGTCCCTTAAAGAAAGAGGGTGAGGTTCTCAGGAGAAGGGAGGCTGCTGGGTAGACAAAACATTCCAGCTCAGAAGTAAAAACAGTGGTCTCACAGGTCATGTGCTGAGGAAATGGTCAAAATTTGATTCTATGCTTAAAAAGCACTTCATTACAGAACCAAAAAAGCAAATGAAGGGGAAATGACATTGTTAATTTTATTAGGAACAAAATACCACTAGCATTGATTGTTCTTGTAGCACGTGTTGGCATTTTGATAAACACCCATGTTGCAGAGAACACAACTGAAAGAAATGTTGCCCAGAGGAGCAGATTCTAGAAGGTCCCTGGCGCATCCCCGTCAAGCACTATCCTCTTCAGGCCCTGCTTACGTTAATTTTTACCAGTAGCCGCAGACCTGAGTGGAGGCTTTTCTTCTCTATGATCACGTACCAAAACTCAGGGGCGATATCCACCGGGTGGGGACTCTTGGGTCTTCTGATAGAGTTGCTTCAAAAATTCAGTGGAATAATTTAGGGGCCGTGCTTTCAAAGAAACAAAAATCAGACTCACATTTAAGAAGGAATGATTAGGTTGTCTTCTCTCCTTCCATTCATATTCATCCAACACCTATTTACTGATGCTATGCGCCAGGCAGACACTGAGGATATAGAAATGAGAGAAACAAACCCTCTGCCCTCCTGAAGCTCACCCTGGTCAGGGGAAGCGGTTGCCTCAAGGCCGGATGACTGTCCTACCTTCTCCAGGAATCCTTCTGCCTCCTCCCAACCCTCCAGCCTGCTGCCCTCACTCTTGACTTGTCACAATCACCTGCTCGGACATGCACACTTCCCTCCATCGCAGATTTCGGCCGGGTGGGGCAGGGGCCGTTTACTCTCTGCCCCCTTACTTAGGTGCCACCAGGCCAGTTTGATGCTACCAGCGGAGGGCGGGGGGTAAGGATCGGGGTAAAGGCCCAGCCCGCTCCTTGCGCTGAAGGGGCGCAACAGCTTCAGGATGCAAATGGCTCTCCCCGCCCCGGCCCTGCCCCCGAGATGTTGGGGGGCGGCGCCCCCTTGCCGGGCTCCGGGTCGCGGCGGCGCAGGTAGCTCGGCCGCCGCTGGGGAGTGAGCGCGGGACGCGGGGCCGCCGCGGCGGGATGGGGCGGTTCGGGGCCCGCCGCCTCGTCCTACTGGCTGCCTGCCTGGGGTTCTGCGGGGCGCTAGGAGGTACGCGCCCCAAACTTCCCCTCCTCGTCCCATCCCCGGCCGCGCGGAGCCCGCTTGGAGAGGGTGGGCGAGCGGGGAGGAGGGCGCTGGCAGGGAGACCCCCTCGGCGCTCCTGAGGGCCCCAGGCAATGCTGGGCCAGGTTCGCCCCGCCGCGACCCCGACTTTGACTCGCAGGCAGGGCATTCCTGAGCCGGGCGGCCGGTGGAGGAGACCGCTCGGCCCTGCGAAGTGGCTGGGGCGCCGCCGCGAAAAACTTCCATCTCCCGGTCGGTGCGGCTGGCGCCTCCAGGGCAGGACCTGTTCCTCACCTCCGCGTGGCCTTCCCGGAGGATCGGAGTTTTAAAGTCGGCCTCCTGACTGTATTCCTACGAGCAGAATGAATGATTCCTGCTGTCTTCCCTCCTGATCCTTCTTAGCACTGCTCCTCACCCCGCCCCCGGCGAGTTACTCTGCCGCACGTGACCCGCAGGGCTCGGGTTACCATAAACTTACCGCTGGAATCTTCTTTGGCCACCGGCCCGCTGTCCCATAAGCCCCTCCACCTGTCAGCATAAAATTTCTCGGTTCCATTAGGAAGACGTGCTCTACATTTCTGTGGCGCTTTTCAGAGGTTAAAGATTGCTAATGACATAATTCTTTAGACTTTTTACGTGATTGAGCCCTGTACTTGGTTCTTCCCTCCCTTCACGGCGTTTTAAAATTGAATTCGGTTCAGCAACAGACTCCCTTGGAGACTTTTTAAGAGAACACATTCTAAATCAAAGGCCTTGTATCGCTGTAGTACTTGGATCAAATTCTAAAGTCTTATTCACTGCATTTTAGGCGTAGACAAATAGTGTCCTTGCTGCCTACACTCTTGCTGATTTCATAGGAGCTTTGCAGCACCTTCCAGCGATGACCCACCCCTGGAGTAGAGGATGCCTCACCTTCCCCTTGTGGCAGTGGGGAGGCCGGGCTCTGTTCTCAGCTCTGCTCCTTCCGTCCTGGATTTTCCTGTACCGCTTCCCCGCCCATTCCTGCCTGGTTCCCAGAGTGGATAGCACAGGGAACTGGAGGCCTAGGGCTACTGTGACTGTGGCTTTGAGGGGGAAGATGTGAGTTGCAGGCCAGGGAGATCTGAGAGTGCAGTGAGTGCCACGCGGGGACAGATTGGGTGGTGATGGGCAAGGATCCAGTGATCCAAGTGGTCAGTGTAGGGTGATAGGAAGCATTGCAGTCAGATGGATGTGGCTTCAATCAGGGTGCTGTCCTATATTCTTAGAATTTGGGGAAGTTACTTCTCTGAGTCTTGATTTTTATCTATGTAAAATGGAGATGATGATAGCTTCTTCAGAGAGGCTTAAATAAAATACTATGTAAGACTGCCTAGCAGCCTGAGAACCACTCATTAAATACTCATTTCCATCCTTTCCTACTCATTACCCTCCTTTCCTCCCCATCTGTGCAATTACCTTGGGTAAGTGCCAGTGGATTAGAAATCCATTTAGGGGAGAGAATGTGGGTAATGGAGATTTATTGAATAAAGAATTCCATAGCATATATTTTAGCATATATGCTGTTCTTCATCCATGGTGCCGATGGCATGACAAATATTGAATACCAAAGTCTTATTCAAATCTACTTTGGCATACTTGGAAGAATATTTTCTTGAGTAGCCAGATGCATTATATGAATTTAAGTTTCTTCCTTAGCTCCTTGGGTGATTCAGGCTATTGCCTTTAGGTCGGTTCTGCTCTCAGTCCTTGAAGAACAAAGGGTGACGTGTCCTGGGCTTGGCAAGTTTCATCACGGTGGGAAACCACCTTTGTCTAGTGACAAAATACTGTCTAGATAGAAATATCTTTATTTGTAAATCATCTATTAGTGCTACCAAAACTAGACCACTCAGCACTAGACTCAATCAATGGTTCAATGGTTCAATGGTTCAATAATTTCTCATTGTTTGACTACCTTCTTGTCAGATCTCCTTAGCGTATTACTGCCTTACCTTGTAACAAGGCTGGTGGAGAACTTGTCCAGGAAGAGAATCACCAGCATCGCTTGTTCCTCTGCGTTACTGGTCCTTACATTATTTGTATATAGCTTTAGCCTGTGGTTTGTTTGGAGGAATTTTGTAAGCTCCTGATCATATTTGTCAGGACTTGTTTAGTTACAGTGAGATAATGCAATTAGTAGACCCAGTTATCCAGGCAAACCTGCCGGTGGTGTGTACTGAATGTGGGGAGAGAGAGAGGGCATCACAGTCACTTTCTACATTGTAGAAGCCCCACCCATCCCTTAGGAGACTTGTGTACTGAGCAGATGAAACTCACACTCAGCAGGTGAGGCCGTCTCATGCCAGTTGAGACAGGATGTCAATCAGTCTGTAAATTTCAAATGAAAAAAATCTTCAGTTCTTACTGGTTTTTAGATACAACAACCCCAGAAGTCCTAACATTTTCTTTTGGTTCCAAAGTAAATAACTTGGCATCCCACGTTACCATTTCTTCTCCAAAGCTGTGGTGCCCAAACCCTAATGTTTTCAGGAGCCAGTGAGTCATAGTGAGCCAAGCAGCCACTTAGTGTGGCAGGAGGTGACGCAGAGTGGTGGGTACCCTGTGGTTGAAGCATCCACACCCCATACATGGTTGCTATGTTGTGGGAACTAATGAGTCCCAGGGTGCCCTGACCATCTGGCTTTTCTAGAGAAGCCAAAAAGTCCAGGTTTTTCTTTAAAATCTCCTGGTTTTAACTTTTTTCTTTTTAAATAGGGCTGTACAGGACATACAAATCACCATAAAGCCCTCTCGGCCTTTGCTCCGGAGGCCCTTAGCTACTGCCTTATTGACCTCTGTATTCCCAGCACATAGTCCATTAACCTACAAATAATAGATGCTCATTAAGTACAAGTGACTGAAGGATAGAATGCTCCTGGGGAGTGTGGTAGGCAGAAAACCAGGCCCCCAGAGATGTTCATGTCCTAATCTCTGAATGTGTGAATATATTGCTTTATATGGGAAAAGGGACTTTGTAGATATGATTATATTTAGGATTTTGAAATGAAGAGAGGATCCTGGGTTATCTGAATGGGCCCTGAATATCAGAAGGGTCTTATAAGAGGGAAATAGGAGAGTGAGAGTTGGAGGAGGAGATGGGAAGCTGAGGTTGAAGAGGTGTGATTGCTGGCTGGGGCCACACGCCAAGGAAAGCAGGTGGCCTCTAGCAGCTGGAAAATGAAGAAAATAGATTCTCCCCTAGAGCCTCTAGAAGGAAGGCAGCCCTTCAGACACCTCGATTTTAGCTCAATGGGACCGCTTTCAGATTCTGACCTCCAGAACTTATAAGATAATAAATTTGTGTTAGTGTAAGCCACTCAATTTGTGGCAATTTGTTATAGTAGCAACAGGAAACTTATACAGGGAGTTTTTGTCTTAGTAAAAGAGATAATTCAATGGCCATATAATCTTATGGGGGCATGAGATGGCAGTGCCATCAGAGAGGAATGAGGGGCTGGAAGAGCTACCAATGTTAGGCTGGGGGCTTTAGAGAAGGTTCTGTCCCTGTGGGGAGTGAGTCTGGCTACAGCACTGACTCCCATGCCTGTGGCTGGGGCCTGGCAAACTCCCACACTAGTTGGGCAACGAATACAGGAACACATAATTGCCACACAAGGGGCATACAGGATAGGACACAGGTTCTGTGACACCTAAGAGAGAGTTGTCAGCTCAACCGGGGTAGACTGGGCACCAGGACTGCCTCACTGCACAATTCCAGGGGATGCTACTTACATCAGAGACTCCAGGAACAGCTTCTCCTGGAATTATGCTGGTCACAATCTACATGGCCTTGCACAGTGGACATGGGGTCCTGGGGAATGCCCTGTTGAGAGGAAGTAGGGGCAGGGTACCTGCTGTTTTTCTTTTTGTAACTTCAGGTCCCAGTACAAAACAGTTGCAGGAAAGCTAATATTTGGAGAATGAATGAATAGATGAGAGACTGGTGGGTTGTGTTCTGCAAAGCAGGAAGTCCAGGGCTATAGATTGCTTTGGCTGTACTTGGAAACCCAAGATTTGCATTTTCACTGTGGGCCTGGGCCTAGCACTCTCTCCTCTGCTCTCCTCCAAAAGTGCCAGCAGAGGGATGTGGCACCAGAGCTTCCCCCTCACTCCAGTCTTCTGAATATCTGGTCAACTGTCTGCCCTATAGCCATGGAGCAAGTATTTTAGTAGCCCTGAGTTTTGTGGCAGAGACTTTCAGAATTTTCCCTGTTGGGGTTTGCTTTCAGTGAATAAAGGAGATTGAGCTTCCCAGGGCATGTTTGATGTTTGTGCTAAGTTCTTTCTTTCTTTTTTTTTGACAAGAGAAAACAGGTTTATTTTGCCACCAGTGCATTAGCACACTAACAAGTATAGGACTTAACATTCCAAAGGAATATACCCATGCTAGTGGGAGTCATTTACATTTAAATGTATATACCAATGTATCCATACCTCAGTCAAGATACAGAACATTTCCATCACCCTAGAAAGTTCTCTCCTTGCCTTTTTTTTTTTTTTTCCAATTTGTTGTTGTTGTTCTGAGACAGCGTCTCACTCTGTCACCCAGGCTGGAGTGCAGTAGTGTGATCTTGGCTCACTGCTCCCTTGACCTCCTGGCCTCAAGTGATCTTCCAGTGCTCAAGTGATCCTCCCACCTCATCCCCCCAAGTAGCTGGGACTACAGACACGTGCCACCATGGCTGGTTAATTTTTCGTATTTTTTTTTTTTGTACAGACTGGATTTTACCACGCACAGGCGGGTCTCGAACTCCTGAGCTCAAGCGATCCACCTGCCTCGGCATCCCAAAGTGCTGGGATTACGGGCCTGAGCCACCGTGCCTGGCTCCTCCTTGCCTTTTCCAGTTAATCTTCTTCCCTCTAGAAAAGCAACCACTGTCCTGATTATCTATCCCCATATTATCATATTAATTTTAATTTTTTATATTACAAATTTCATCACTACCATGCTAGTCATAACACTGCTATAAGTCATTAGAAGCTGTTAATGTATTTTCATCGTTCAAATTTCACCTACTTCTCTGGATCCCAGATTAATTGATTTTTTTAAGGTCACATTTGCGTGTTAATCTGCAGGTCTAGCTCATAATCTCTTTGATGAATAGAAGGTATACTAACACAATGTCATACATGATTAGGTAATGTAAGTAACCTGGTCTTTCAGAATACTATTGAATGATACTAAGCTACTTTAAAATTAATTCCTAAAATCCCAACCCTTATATTTCCATGGTGAGTAACATGCATCATCTCAGGGGAGAGTGGCATTTTCAGTTTACAGATGAGAATATGATTCAACAACTAGCTGACTTATACAAAAATCCCCTTTCCATAATCGGTGGTGCCAGAACTAGATTTTTATTATTTTGCTCATTCCACTATCCTAGGCTGCATGTACGCAAGGAAAGAGGCAACTTGTATTCCAAAAATTCAAATTCCTTGTCTCTTCTCTGAAAATTCATAGGTTACCCACTCTTTCCATCCTCCAGCATAGTGTTGAGCACTGTGAAAGCCCTGCGATATTGCAGTGCCCAGAGCCTTCTTGCTTCTCACTCCAGCTGAAAAAGAAAACACCAAGTTGCCAGATTTGGATGGCTTTACTTCATTGTATTTCTCTTTGAAGTCTCTTGGGTTTATCTGTAGAGCTTCACCTACCTCATCCAATGGTATATTGATAGACCCAGGGATTTTTCCATACTCCAGAATTTCCCGTGTCTTTCTAACATCAATTAATATGATATTTTTAGAATTCAATAGGTTTTTTAAGTTCCTTATAAGTGACATCTTTAGAAATAGCAGTATAAAAATTGTGGCAGTTTCCGTTTATTGACCTCAAACTGCAGAGTGCAGCTTCCAGAGTCCAGAGGACAGCCCTGCACATGGTCCCAAGCAGCAGCCAGGACACCACCATGCCCTGCTAATTTTTTATATTTTTGGTAGAGATGGGGTTTTGCCATGTTGGCCAGGCTGGTCTTGAACTCCTGACCGCAGGTGATCTGCCTGCCTCGGCCTCCCAAAGTGCTGGGATTACAGGCGTGAGCCACCTAGTCCAGCTGAGATTCTTAAGGATAGATTTGTAATGCAAAGTGTGGTGTTCCTTTCCAAGTGAAGTCACTAATCTCAGATGACACAACAGAAGTAAGAGCTGCTTTATTAATGCAAGACCTCCTCTTAAGACCTCATCTTAGGACTTTGTGTAATGCAAATAATTTATCACAGAAGTTTTTATTTTTTTAAATTTTAAAAATAAGTTATAATTATGATATCTGCAGAATATATTTGGAAGAATAGCAATACACAAAGAGGCACAATTATAAAATTAGCGAAAATATGATACAAAAAGGTAATTCTAATTTTCAGTGAAAGGTGATCTAAAATCTTTTTTGAAATACTTTCCTAATCAGTTTCCATCCTGCGCTAGTTTTGAACTCACATAGCTATGAGACTGATTGATCTTTCTAAAACCCCAAACAGATCTGTCTCTCTTCAAATGAAAATCATTTGATGCTTGCCTATTGTTTTCAGAATAAGGTTCAACCTCCTTAACATAGTTCATAAGGCCCTCCCTGTCCAAGGGGATCCAGTTGGTGAGTCATTTGCTTGCTCCCCAAAAGTTCAGTGAGAATTTCTTGTCACATATACATCAACAAAACAACACAAAATGAAACCAAAGCTTCTCCTCCCAGGTTCCCTGTCTCAGTAAGTAGATACTAAGCCTGAAACCTAGAAATTGATCTGGATTGCCCCTTTGTCCTCTCCCTTCTCCCTACCCTGACAATCCTATCTAAATATTTCTTGAACACACCCTTTCTCCTCCCTTTCCCTAGACCCAGCTACTTGCTGAGAGTCTGCGTTTCAGCCAGTCATCTCCTAAACTGCAATCTGATCATGAATGTCCCTATTTGCTCCCTATCTAGCCCTCTTTGCGGATGGAGTCTGAATTCTTTAACTTGCTTTCCAAGACCAGCATTTATTTAGTGAGTACTGTTTGCCAGGCACTTGTTCTAGGCACTGAAAATTAGGCAGTGATCAAGACTAACAAAAGCTTCTGACCTCAGAATCTTACATTTTATTTGGGGTGGTGTGGTCTTGGGGCTGGATAATAAGAAAGCAAATAAAGAAAGTAATTAGAGATTATGATAAGGGCCTTGAAAGGAGTAGCCAGCCATCGACCTGTGTGCATTTGCATGTCTGTGTGTGAGGGCACTTTAAACAGAGTGGCCAGAGAAGGCCTTTCAGAAGGACAAGGTGGGGTTTGTTCTCTGACGTTTGCCCCGTGACCCCTCACACACCCCTCAGCCTCCACCCTAGCTGTCCTCCTAACACTGCCCTCAGCCAGACTGGACTTTCAGGTGCTTGTGTTCACCTCTCTTATCAGGGGACCTGCCCCGATAATCACGTAGGTTCTTTTCTATTTTCCTAAGTGTCGACTGGCTTGAGAAATAAAAGGACAGAGTACAAAAGAGAGAAATTTTAAAGCTGAGCGTCCAGGGGAGACATCACACATTGGTAGGATCCGTGATGCCCCACAAGCCACAAAAACCAGCAAGTTTTTATTAGGGAGTTTCAAAAGGGGAGGGAGTATACGAATAGGTGTGGGTGACAGACATCAAGTACTTAACAGGGTAATAGAATATCACAAGGCAAGTGGAGGCAGGGCGAGATCACAGGACCACAGGACCGAAGCGAAATTAAAATTGCTAATGAAGTTTTGGGCACCACTGTCATTGATAACATCTTATCAGGAGACAGGGTTTTGAGATCAACCGGTCTGACCAAAATTTATTAGGTGGGAATTTCCTCTTCCTAATAAGCCTGGGAGCACTATGGGAGACTGGAGTTTATTTCACCTCTGCAATCTCGACCATAAGAGACAGGTACGCCCCGGGGGGGCCAGTTCAGAGACCTACTCCTAGGTGCGCATTCTCTTTCTCAGGGACGTTCCATGCTGAGAAAAGGAATTCATCGATATTTCTCCCATTTGCTTTTGAAAGAAGAGAAATATGGCTCTGTTCCGCCCGGCTCACTGGCGGTCAGAGTTTAAGGTTATCTCTCTTATTCCCTGAACAATTGCTCTTATCCTGTTCTTTTTTCAAGGTGCCCACATTTCATATTGCTCAAACACACATGCTGTACAATTTGTGTAGTTAACGCAATTATTACAGGGTCCTGAGACGATATACATCCTTCTCGGCTGACAGGATTAAGAGATTAAAGCAAAGACAGGCATAGGAAATCACAAGGATATTGATTGGGGAAGTGATAAGTGTCCATGAAATCTTTACAATTTATGTTTAGAGATTGCAGTAAAGACAGGCATAAGAAATTACAAAAGTATTAATTTGGGGAACTAATAAGTGTCCATAAAATCTTCATAATCCACGTTCTTCTGTCATGGCTTCAGTCGGTCCCTCCGTTTGGGGTCCTTGACTTCCTGCAACACTCTCTCCCTTCTTTCCTGTCTTCCTGTCTGCTCCATTGCTCAGGTCTTTCCAGAAGCCATTGCCTGAAACCCTCTGACTCCGCCTCCCTTGATTAGGCCCCGTGCTTCTGTTGTGTGTTTTTCAATTAATAATCAAGCAACTGTAATAACTTGATTAGCAGTCTCTCATGTTCACCATTGAATCCTCAGTACTAAATAAGATGCTTGGTATCACTTGTGGACAGAATAACCCATGCATAGGACGGCCACTTAAATCTGCCCCTTTCCAAGTGAAGTCATTAATCTCACTTTAGAGATTAGGGATAGGGAGAGACACTTTATAGTTGGATTGCTCCTTCCCTTATACCTCAGGTGGCCCTGGAGGTGCTTCTGATGGACCAACTTTCTAATATCACTTGGGTGCACACTCTTCTTTCCAAGTGGCTTTCTTCTTTGGTAGGCTGCAGGCCTCTTTGTTTCATTGATTCTGCATCTTCAACTCCTGACAATACCTGGCACATAGTAGGCACTCTATAAATAGTAAGCCAAACAACAAAAGCATAGAACCAAAATAAAACAAAAAACCGGAGAGATGTAATTTGGAAGAAGGAATGGGAACCAATTCTAAGGAGGATATAATGAATAAAATAATCACCTTCCTGGGAGAAATTGCAGAGCAGTCTAAATGTTTTATATATTTTACCAACGGAAGACTCTGGCTGCCACTCAACCATTTCCTCATTTCTGTAAGCATGCAAAACCAGGAGGTTATCTGATTATTGCTCAACTTTGTTTCACTAATACTGAAATCACACTTTTTCTTCGCTGAATGTAGGGATCACGTTTCTTTTTCCAGGAGCCAATTTCACTCGTGTTTCTATTTGCTCTTTATTATTATTTTGAGACACTTACTAGGGGCTGCAAAAGATAGGATCTACTTAGGGGTATGTGAGGACATGAACTGGCTTTAGGCTGTCAAACCAGGTTTTAACCTAGTTCCTTGCTTTTCCCCAGAGGCAATGGAAATTTCTGGCCACCAGCTGGGACTAGAATTGATTTAGTGCCAGAGAGGTGAAACGTGGGAAAATATAGGGATATTGTTTATTAATGTTACTTAGTCATTCTCAGCGGTAGCTTTTATGATTTAGAAAACATTTCCTGGTTTTGAAAACTTAACAATACAGCCTCTGAGTCTGTCAGAAATTGAGGTGGGGGCATTCAGTAATGGGAAGGCCTGGAGGATAAACTCAGCTGGTCAGTGGGTATGTAATTGCCATCTGTCAACTTTAATGACCTGAGCTCTACATTCTAGTTCTATTAAGTTTAATTATTGATGCATATTTTAAAGAGAGAAAAGGGTGCTTATGCATATTTAGGAGAGTCTGTAGGGATCATCTTCATTTCTGTATTAACTTCCTATCTTCATAAAAAACTGGATTAGTAGTGGGGAAAGCTTGGTTTGTGTCCTAGCTCTGTTTCTAACCAACTGTTGACTTTATGCAAGTCCCTAAGCTTTTCTAAGTTTGAGTTTACTCAATTATAGAATAAGGGGTCTACTAGGTCAGTTTAGTTTGGTTCAATAAATGCTTGCTTACTGCCTGCCTGTTTTAGGTCAGGTTCCCTAGTGAGAAAGCCTGAGTGAGGGATTGTAGTGCAAATGAATCACTGAGTGATTTTTCCCAGTAGAGAACGTAAGGAAGTGAGGGAAGCAGGATAGGGCAGGAGAAGATGCCAAGCGAAGATGTGGTTTCAACTGATGTAACCTCAGCCTGATCCCAGAGGGGAATCTGGAATATGAATGGCAACACAGAGTTCTACATATTTTATAGATCAGTTCCAATCAATCTTTGTCTGTGGATTGCTCTCCAGGGTAGGGGGTGTGATATCACTGGAGCTTTTGGATAAGGCAGTTCAGCAACTGAAGGATGGGGGCACCAGCCTGTTAAAAGGGATCAAAATGGGACACCAACAGAAACTATGACACCACCCGTGTGCCAGGCACTGTGCTAGGTACTGAAGAGATGAGATACAAAAGGTATGGTCCCCGATCTTAGAAAACTTACAGAATAATGCAGGAGATAGATGCATAAATAAGAAATGTTAACACAACTTGGCAGGTTCTAGGATAAAGAAATGCACAGAGGAGCAAAGAGGGGAGGCAGATATTGCAGGCTAGATTCCCCAAAACTTTACTTGGAGCTTGACTACTCTGATGATGACCTCCTGGGTCTGAGTCTCAGCTTCTTTTGCCCTCCTGCTATAGAAGATGAGAAGGACTTTGCTAACAGGAAGGCCTTCTGGCTTTCACACTTAGTTTGTAATTGTCAACTAATCTTTCCCAGCTTTTCCTTATCTTTTCCAAAGCTTCATTCAAGCTTGGCAATAGGCACCCAATTCCATTGTCTTCATAGTTACTTTTTATTTGCCCTGTTTTTAAGAGCTCAGCATTTCATAGCCAGGCCTAACGTATTCCTTTATGCTCTTACACCAAGCCAGCTCACCACCAGTGAAGTTTGCAGTCATTGCCAGGGCTCTCTGTGGTTCACCTACCACCAGTGACAGTGTCCTAATTACCATTTGAGTAGTGGTTGGTCCAGCTGCAAATCTCATCTTATCATCTGCTTTTTCAGACCACTTCCAGTACCAATTGTCACAGGTTGGGCTTCTGGGGAGGCAGAATCTGAAATGGAACTTAGCATGCAGGAGGTTTATTAGAGAGAGCTCATAGGATCAACTCCTATGGAGGGGAAAGAAGCATTCTGGGGTAGATGGAGGAGTTGAATTGTAATTTCATCTCAGTTGAAACCTCAGCTACCTCTCTTGAGAGTTGTGAAGAGGGAATGACCGTTCAGAGCTTTCCAGAGTTGGGGTGAGAGAACACTGAGCCTTTTATACACCCATGTCATATCTCTGGGTCACCCCAGGAAGCAGATAAGGCCTTGGGAAAGGCAACTTTCTTCACCAGGATCAGTCCCTGAAAAGAGATGATAATATAAGGTGGAATAGTCATTGCATAATAAATTTACTAATATATTTCTTTTGTTATTTTCCTCTTAGCATCTTTTTATGGTGAAAGCTATGTGGAGTTCAACATCATAGAAGTTTCCTCTGAGCTATCTCTTCAATTAAAATTTCATACCAGCAAACCACAGGGATTACTTTTGCTTGCAGCTGGGACAAATGACTATTGTATAATAGAACTTAAATCAGGAACCTTATGTGTATGATTTTAAATCTTGAAAATACATATAAGCATATAATTACTGGAGAGAAAAGCAGTTGAGAGAGAAAGAGAACAAAACAGCTACATGTATTGATTGCTGTTATTTCATTAGAATAAAATGATGTGCCATTTGTATAGGTTGGGATCTCCTTCGGTTTTACTAGCATGGCTTAAATATTCCAACTTTAAAATTTCCTGAGTTTAGTATGTAATCTATAAGCATGGGAAGAGTTTTCATGTGCAAATTTCTCTCTTCTTTTTCTTTTGTGAAAGGTCCGATTTTCTCAATAAAACATTATGAAATGAAAAGTGAGATGAGATTGATTAATTATGATTCTTTTTCAGGTGAGAGTAAATTTGGGTACAAGTGAACAAATGCTCCTTTCTGAGCAGAGACTTCATATGGATGACCTGGTTTGGCATTTGGTGGAACTGTGCTATGTTAAGCATAATATTTCCTTTGTTATTGACAAACGTTATGAGACAACTGGCCAAATGGCAGCTGGTGGGATGCATAATTTGAATTTTCAACATGGAATCTATGTAGGAGGCCGCAGGGCACTCAATGTACCTTATCTGTACGGAAAGCTCCCCAATTTTTGAGGATGTATGAAGGATGTGGTATTTAACCAGAGGGAGATCCTTACGTCCCTTAGATCTTACCCTGGTTTTAAGAAGGTTTATGAGGTGTCACTAGGATGCAATGACGAGTTTTTTTTGCAGGGGAGGATGAAGCCATCAATTTCTTTAGCTCCAGATTCTCTGTCAGTTTTCCAGAATGGAAAGTGCAAGGGTAAACACTATTGGAATTTACTTTGCAAACTGTAACTCAGCAAGCCTTGCTTTCATTTCAGTTGGGTAAGGAAGGAGATTTTGTTGCTTTGTAAATAGATGAAAGTCTATTGAAGGCTTATGTAGGAAGGCATAAAAGTAAAACTCAGCTTTCTTCTTTTAGTTTTGTCAGTGACAACAAGTGGCATGTTATTCAATTCAAATTCACAGGGGAGTATCTGGACCTAACAGTAGATGAAAAAAAGGTAAGGAAGTCACTGCCTTTGCAAAGCAAACATTTGTATCTGAAGGAGCCCTTTTTGTGGGAGGTCTTGATAACCAAATGTGGGAAGAAGTAAAGAGGTTAGAACTTGCCTCTGTGCCTGGGAAATTTGCTCGAGGAACCTCTTTCAAAGGGTGCTTAAGAAGCTTGGAAGCCAATTCAGAAAAGAGAGCGTTAAGGGATGCCCTTGTTTTCAAAGATATTCCTGTTGTTGTAAAACTGAGAGTGTTGATAACACAAATCCTTCCATAACAGCGATAGAAAATCTGCATCAGTCAGAAGTTTTCCTTTCCACTGCCGTCCCTGAGGTCATCAAGCCTTTTCTTCAAGATGAGAGTAGCGATTTCTTGGTTTTGAATAACTTGCAGGTCCAAGAAGGTGGACCTTACTGAAACAAAGGCACATGAAACTGGATGTGAAATTTAAGGATTTGGGTATCCATCATTCTCAAATACTATTTAAAATAGAGGGAAGGCCTATTCATGGGTTCCTTCAATTAAATGTACCACCTGAGCAAGTAATGGAGACAGCTTTTACCATGTTAGACTTATGGCAAGGAAAAGTTTGATATGTCCATGATGGTTCAGAAGAACCTATGGATTATTTTACATTTTTGGTTTCTCCCAATAGCAAGAAAGAAATGCCATTATATCTGCAAGAACGTGTTCCACATGTGTTTAACATTATTGTCATTCCAGTCAATGATCCCCCATACCTTAAGGTACCAGAAGGAAACTTGCTTCTTCTATTTGAGAACTCTAAGAAACAACTGACCCCAAGTATGATAGACATGTCAGACCCTGACACAGATTCTTTGAGTCTTTGTATTTCAGTTCTTGGCAACTTCAATTCAGATGCTGGGGTTTTAGAAAATGCAAGTGATCCCGGGAATGCCATTAATCATTTTACACATGAAGATTTAAGAGATGGCAACATTTTCTATGTGCACAGGGGTCATCGAAACTCTCAGATTGTTCTGAGAGCAAGTGATGGAGAGCTGGTTAGTAATACAGCAGTGGTGTGGAACATGGCTGTTTCTTGGGACTTTGCAGTGGCCGTTAGAACTGGTGTGGTTGTAGAACAGGGTGGCACTCCTCTGATTACATGGAGTAACTTGTCAGTGGAGGTTAATGGTGAATGGCATGAGATGGAGACCCGCTCTGACATCACTCATCCACCTCAGTATGGCCAGATTCAGCGGTGAGGGTCAAGTGGGAAATGGAAACAAGTTAGTACCTTTTCTCAGTGTTCTGTTGATTGGAGTCGGGTCCAGTACTATAGTACATTGAAAGAATTGCAGCTAGAAAATGTTACAGATCATTTTAAATGTAAAGTTAACATAGAAGGAAAAGTCAGTGAAGAGCTGATATTTCCAGTTACAACACAATGGCTGAAGTTTATCCTGAAAAATGTTCCTCTAGAGATGAGTCAACTAAACAAGAACATATTGAATTCTGATCATTTGCAGGCTGCAACAGAGGGTGTGGAAGTAGCTGAGAGGGAACTACATTTTAAGTTATTGATCCCATCTAAGAAAGGAAAATTGGTACTTGGCAATAAAGTTCTAAAAACAAACTCAATTTTCAGCCAAAAAAATATTACAGACTCTAAGATAAGTTATGAACCTCAGGAGAGGCCAAGGGAAGACTCACAGGATACTTTTAGGTTTTTGGTTGTTGCAAAATACATAGACTCAAAAGATTATACTTTCAGAATCAACTTTAAAGCAGATAAGACATACTTTATTTTAACTAACAGAGGATTATTTGTAAAAGAAGGAGAAGGAAAATTAATTACAAAATCAGAACTATTTGTTCAAATTTTGGACAATCAGATCTTCCAATATAAAATCTCCAAGGGCCCTCAACATGGGAAGCTGAAACTGCTTAACTTGTCTGATTCTCTGGAAAGTAATGACAATATCACTATGTTCACAAATCAAGAGAGAGTGAGTGAACAGGTGATCTATGTTCATGATGACTCTGAGACTGAGTCTGATGAGTTCTTTTTTGTGGCCTTCACCAAAGGACCAGGGGGGAGCAGTCAGGGATCTTGACTCACAGCATTCATCTATGGAAATAAAAGTCACACTTTCCGTTGGGTTAAAGAATGATGAGAAACCAGTACGCATGATAGATAAGGTCTTTCATGTTGTGCGGAATGGCCAGCGCTTATTGACCCTGGCAGATCTCTGTTACCATAACCCTGACTTAGATTTTGATAATGGGCAGTTGCTGTACACCCAGCGGGGCATCCCAAATGGGGATTTAGTGTGAGCCAGAGACCCCACTCAGAAACTCTACCAGTTCAGGCAAGAAGACCTGCAGGAAGGGCACGTGCTTTTCAGGCATCAGGGTGCAGACTTGGATCGCTTCGTGCTGTTTGTGACAGATGGTGTCCACTACACATCATCTCTTCTCAAGGCCAGTGTGTCAGACCCTTATGTCCAGATAGCCAACAACACGGGGCTGCTCATACAGAGAGGAAAGGATGGCAGCCTCACAGTGGCCAACCTAAGTGTCACCACAAACCAAAATGTCAGAACAGACCACAAGATTGAATTCCACATTGTGCAGGGCCTAAAGCATGGCAGGATCCTGGTCAATCATTCTGTTTCCCACTCATTTTCTCAGGATGACTTGTTGATGTGTGATTTATAGGCACGATGGCAGTGATGACTTTGATGTATTCAACCTGAGAGTGAAAGTTAAAGCCACATACTTAGAGGTGAGAGTGGGTGTCTATGTTCAAGTGTGCTTGGAAGGTCACCCACATCACACGCAGGTTCTGCACATCGAGACTCTAGTAGTTGAAGAAAGAAAACCAGTAAAACTGAATACAGGAAGGCTCCAGGTAGGTAATTATCCTATCCACAGCACTAAGAATTCTCATTCTTACAGGTGCTAATAATCTGTTTGCTTCTGAAAGCTATTTTTGTGTTGATTTCTCCCCTGGTATCAGGAGTGAATTTTTAAAAATATAGATGCCATTGAGAAGAAAACTTGGAAAGTTTCATGATTTTGATGCTACCAATTTTCCTACAGTTGGAAATGGAATGTAAGCAATGCTCAGGCTTATTTTAAAGTTGGGCTCACATGTGCATACATGTGCATCATATATATGTTTAGTACAGTAAAAACTTGGACTAAGGGAGAGAGGTATATATTATGGTAAATTAAGAGATCTTTTATTCATTATCCATAGCAACACTGCCAATATTTCATTTGATCTGAGTTATATTTATGATGTGCTGAATGAAGCACAGTATAAAAACTTGGAGTAATTTAACAAATGTAAGAAACATTCCTAAGATACCAGCAAATACTATATTATATAGTTTGTTTAGGTCTGAATGTGGCCTTGTTTAGTATCCTGAAAGTGATGGTTAAAACTAGCCTAGACCAGTGGAATGTCAGAGGTGAGACCAAAAATCACCTGGTTTTCTGGGCCTCGTACTGGAAACTTCCAGCAGGCACAGCCATGCTGATCAGAGTTTGGAAGGGGTGTTCTTTTTTAGGGTAATGCTGTGTAGGGTGTGGGATGTGTAAGCTGCGATTTATAACAACTGGCCACAAATGCAGGCTATTCTGAATCTACCCTCGGGACTGCAAACAAGTTTGCTTTTTTGCTAGATGCAGCCAATAAAATTAAGTAAAAATGAATTCAAATCAGAATGGGTTAAATACTTTTGAATAAGACTTTGAATAGTGAGTTTGGAATAAGAACCAGCTTTTTTGTTCTTTTTCAAGAGCTTATATTTAAGTTTCACCACAAGGGGGCATATGCAGTCCAATGACTATACATCAGTTATAATCAGATTTGAGATGGAGTTCCCGGAATAAAAAAATACGTATTGAAAGTGCTGAGCGAGTTCAAATGGGGGATGATAACTTTCCTCTCAAGGTCTTACAAGTTTACTGACCCAACTGCTGCGTCTTCTACCATCTTGTATTCCTTCTCCTTACACTACCATTTTATTTCTTTCACCTCAACCTTGGAGTCCTGGGTTTTTTTGCTGCTGTGAATGACACTTGGTTAATACATTAGTAGCTACTTAGGTGTTGCTGACCATTACTTTTTTTTGTGACCAGGGCCAATATTAAAAATATTGGCATGGGCACCAAAACAGACTCAGGCTTAAACTGTGTATCAACCCTAAGTACAACTTAAGCCAATTGTGGATGTTAATATAAGACAATGTGGTTTTCAACAGTCTTCACTTCTACATTTATTAATGTTTTTCTTTTTGTGTCTATATATGGTGTGTGTGAACTCAAGGCTGGGCATGAAGATAATATTCCTTCAGAGGCAGTGTTCATAGTCGGAACTCCACCAATGCATGGATACCTCCAAAAATTTATACCAGAAGAAGGCAGCTTGGGTGCAGATGAAAAGTCCCTTTGACTTTCACACAACCGGATGTGGAGGATGGCAATATCCTTTATGTGCAGACATCCCCCAACCAAGAACAGGACTGTTTTTCCCTGGATGTGATGAATGGTTTCCAAGTTGTGAGCAGAGTCGAAATCTTGGTGGACACCACGCCTAAGTGGATTTTTCTGCAGGTACAGAATTTCACAGTTCAAGAAGGTGGCTCCAGAGAACTTCTAGAAGACTACCTCAAAATTCCAAGTAAATATTTTGAGGGATTTGACTGTGAATTTGTTCTACTTATTAAACCACTGAAACACAGTTATGTTAAAAGTTCTAATTTTCCAAGAGGAAAGCTAATAAAATTTATTGGGAAACAGGTAATAACTCTCAGTTTATGTAATTGGGAATGTTGGGTAGGAGAAAAAAATGGCTATTTATTATTTAGATTTATGGGTATGATGGTGTGTCTAGCATTGGTGGGTTCTTGGTCTCACTGACTTCAAGAATGAAGCCACGGACCCTCGGGTGAGTGTTACAGCTCTACAGCTCTTAAGGTGGCGCATCTGGAGTTTGTTCCTTCTGACCTTCGGATGTGTTCGGAGTTTCTTCCTTCTGGTTGGTTCGTGGTCTCGCTGGCTCAGGAGTGAAGCTGCAGACCTTCGCAGTGAGTGTTACAGCTCTTAAGGTGGCGCGTCTGGAGTTGTTCATTCCTCCCAGAGGGCTCGTGGTCTCGCTGGCTTCAGAAGTGAAGCTGCGGACTTTCACGGTGAGTGTTATAGCTCATGAAAGCAGTGTGGACCCAAAGAGTGAGCAGTAGCAAGATTTATTGCAAAGAGCGAAAGAACAAAGCTTCCACAGGGTGGAAGGGGACCCGAGCGGGTTGCCACTGCTGGCTCGGGCAGCCTGCTTTTATTCTCTTATCTGGCCCCACCCGCGTCCTGCTGACTGGTAGATCCGAGTGGTCTGTTTTGACAGGGCACTGATTGGTGCATTTACAATCCCTGAGCTAGACATAAAGGTTCTCCACATCCCCATCAGATCAGTTAGATACAGAGTATGGACACAAAGGTTCTCCAAGGCCCACCAGAGCAGCTAGATACAGTGTCGACTGGTGCACTCACAAACCCTGAGCTAGACACAGGGTGCTGATTGGTGTGTTTACAAACCTTGAGCTAGATAGAGTGCTGATTGGTGTATTTACAATCCCTGAGCTAGACATAAAGGTTCTCCAAGGCCCCACCAGAGCAGCTAGATACAGAGTGTCCATTGGTGCGTTTAGAAACCCTGAGCTAGACACAGGGTGCTGATTGGTGCGTTTACAAACCTTGAGCTAGATACAGAGTGCCGATTGGTGTATTTATAATCCCTGAGCTAGACATAAGGATTCTCCACCTCCCTACCAGACTCAGGAGCCCAACTGGCTTCACCCAGTGGATACCACACCCGCGCTGCCGGTGGAGCTGCCTGCCAGTCCCGTGCCATGCGCCCGCACTCCTCAGCCCTTGGGTGGTCGATGGGAGTGGGTGCTGTGGAGCAGGGGGCGGCTCTCATCGAGGAGGCTTGGGCCGCACAGGAGCCCATGGAGGGGGTGGGAGGCTCAGGCATGGCGGGCTGCAGGTCCCGAGCCCTGCCCCGCGGGAAGGCAGCTAAAGCCCGGTGAGAAATCGAGCGCAGCGCTGGCGGGCTGGCACTGCTGGGGGACCCAGTACACCCTCCGCAGCCGCCGGCCCGGGTGCTAAGCCCCTCATTGCCCGGGGCCGGCAGGGCCGGCCGGCTGCTCCGAGTGCCGGGCCGCCAAGCCCACGCCCACCCGGAACTCCAGCTGGCCCGCAAGCACCGCGCACAGCCCAGGTTCCCGCTCGCGCCTCTCCCTCCACACCTCCCTGAAAGCTGAGGGAGCCGGCTCTGGCCTTAGCCAGCCCAGAAAGGGGCTCCCACAGTGCAGCGGTGGACTGATGGGCTCCACAAGTGCCGCCAAAGTGGGAGCCCAGGCAGAGGAGGCGCCAAGAGCGAGCGAGGGCTGTGAGGACTGCCAGCACGCTGTCACCTCTCAATGGGACCTTGGAGGGTGTCTAGTCCACCTCCCAACAGATGCTAGAAGCCCTTCCACAGTATTCCTATAGAAAGGTTATCTAGCCAGTGCTTAAACATCTTCAGTGATAGGGAACTTACTACTTGCTGAGATGAGCCCTTCCAATGTAAATACGCTCCAATTTTTAGATAGTTATTTAGGCTGAGCTGAAATCTGCCATTTAAAAACTTTTTCTCCTAGGCGCTGGCTCTAGTACCCCAGATTTATTCTGTACCAGAGGTACCTCTGGTACAGAATAAAACATATGCCTCCTAGATTCATTCATAGTATGATTCTCCTAGAATCATACTATTCTGGTACAGAATAAATCATACCCATCCTTTCATGAAAGCTTTTTAAGTATTTGAAAGAAAAGATGATCAGATTTCCTTGAATTTTATCTTTCTTAGGTTAAACATCCCTAGCTTTCCAGCTTTTGCTTCTATGCCATGGGTTTCCTGCACGATCCTGGTTGCCCAGTTCTAGATGAGTGCCACATTGTCACTGGCCCTGTCAGCAATATCGGGGTAATGCCCAGGTATTTAACACAAGTATGCTTTAATCATTGGTGGATTTTTTTATTCATTCATTTTCTCATTCAACCAACAGATGCTTACATGGTACGTTTTCCATATCATACCCTATGATGAACATAAGCTCTCGAAAGTTAAAATAGTCCAGGCCCTGCAATCAGGGAGCTGGGTACAATTGCCAATTTGGCATCCAATCAGCATAAAATAACCAAGGACAACTCCGGGCTGCTGTCACGTTTCTTTACTTTGGGTTAGAATGGTCTTATTGTTAGACTTTACTTTCTTATCATGAATGAAAGAATGATTTCCACTACTTTCTTTTTAAATGTTGAAAAGTAACTTGCAGGTCCCCATCATTTCCTTTATAAGACCCTAGGAACATACACTCTCCAGGTTGGAAACCATTAACAACCACCTACCATTTTAGAGTGTCTTTGTCTAGTCAGCTAGGAACACATGTTTGATGCTTCATTTGCTTCTAAGAATTTCAACTCATCCATTGATTTGAATCAATTTACTAAACATCTTGTTCGAGTTACTGTGTGCAGTTACCATGGTCAGTAAAACATATTTCTCGCCCTCAAGAAATACTGCTGAGCAATCAGAGGCACCAGGTTTAATATAAGGTGCACTCTTCTTGCCTCTCACGTGGCATTTTCACAGTGGTATGGTGGGAATAAAGATTCTAACTGAAAAGCATGAGGAAACCTTCACAGAGGAAATAATGTTTCAGCTAGACTTTGAGGAGAGAGTGAAAGAGCAGGGAGATAACAGAGGAGGAAACAGAGAAAAGCAGGGCAAGCAAAGGGAACAGCATGGCCAAGGGCATTCTAGAGGGATGGGGAGTTGTCCAGGAGGTGGAGGAGTGGCAGAGTGTACTTGGAGCTAATCTGTGGAGGAGTCCTCCCCTTTGACCACAGGAGATGTAACCTGAATTACACGTCAAGGGGGCTAGACTTAACCAGGGGATTTGGGGAGCCCTGGGGAGAATCAGAGAATGCTGAGGGTTGGAAAAGACCTTAGACATCAGTGCTTCTCAGCGGGGGTCCCAGGGAAGGTGACACTTTAGTGACCTCATGCAGGTGGGGTCCCAGGGAAGGTGATGCTTTAGTGACCTCATGCAGGTGTCTTTCAGTCATGGCTTCTCCCTCAAAGGCTGGACAAACCATCTAAGACCATTTCAAACCTGCTCTGCTGTGAGTTGAATTGAATACCTCTCTAAAAATAGTTTGTAAATTGTAGCCCTATCTTCTGAGCACTAAATTTTGGTCCGATCCTGGTCAATTCAGTGGTTAATTGTGTTGTGTAAGAGGCGTGTATTTAAGAATGACTGGTTGAAACGTATGTGTCGAGATGCAGGTGTTCCCTGTGCATCTGCTGTGACAACATGCTGTTTATGTTATCATGTAGCCTTATTCACAGAGAAGAGTCAAAGTCATGGGTCCCTGATTTCGAGGCGACCCCTTCACATTGTCTCTCCCTAGATGACTCCTGGGGTCACTAAGTTTTGAGACATGGTCATTTTCACTTACAGTGACTCTAACCTCTAAAAACTAGTGGCTGCAGCCTTTAGTGACTTGGAGAGGGAGATTCCCTGGCCATTCTTGCCCTTCATTCATTCAGCAAATAGTTTTTGAATATCTATTTTGTGTCAGGGATGCCAGTTCTAGGTACTGGGGATAAATTGGTGAACTAACCAGGTGATAATCCCAGCCCATAGGGAGCATTTTTCCTGATGAGGGAAAGAGAGAGGCAGGAAGAAACAATAAATAAAATAAATACATGAAATAAATGGCATGTTGAATGATTTGTGCTATGGAGAAAAATAAAGCAGGAAAGGGAGCTAGGAAGTGCTGGGATCTTTAATGGAGTGTGTGTGTGTATTGACGTTCAATTTCTAATAGAGTGGTGAAGGAAGGCACCGTTGAGAAAGCAGCATTTGAGCAGACCCCGGAGGAGGTGATGGATAGGTGAGCTAAGTGTATATTGGAAAAACATTCAGGCAGAAGGAAGAGCAAGAGCAACAGCTTTGTGTGGGGAGCATGCCTGGTGTGTCCGAGGAGCAGCAAGTCATCCAGTGTGGCTGGTGCTGCAGGCGTGGTGGGGAGCACAGCAGATGAGTCAGCAGATCAGGTGTGGGAGGGCCCGAGGCTTCACCTTTGACCTGGAGTAAGGAGTGAGAGGGGAGCACTGGGGGATGAGAAGGTGTGAGCAGAGGAGCGCCAAAGATGTCCCTGAACGGAGTTGGTGACAGGGGACCAAATACTTTTGAATCTGTCAAGATTTTCCATTAGTTTGTTGTATCCTTTAATTTCAGGCCAGCAGGTATTGTTCTGGTTTTAGAAGTCTAGGGATAGACAAATCCCCAACATACCCTCTCTTTGCCTTCAGATTAATATTATTAAATGGCATGTCATTTTGGGAAGTGCCACTCCATTAAAGAAATGATGTATTTTTCCGGGAGAAATACTCTGAACATGACTGGTATTTAAAGGTTACATTTCTAAAGTGCATTAAAACTTCTCCCACATTCTGCTTAGAGCCATCTTCCATGTTTGTTTTCAAATAGCTTAAGACAGCATGTTCCAGGAGCACATGCACAGGCCATGAGCTGGAATTCTTCTGCCCACAGAACTCCAAAGAAATTCTCATAGCACCTCTGTACGAGTGGACACAACTTTCTCTTGAGACCCTTCATGAACTTTTCAACTCTTGTCAGAAACACCTCTGAAAGATCAAAAGACTTTACTCAGAGGAAGTATGCCACAGGAATGCGTGAACTTGAACTGTTAAAAATTTTGGCTGTATTTTATCAAAATAAACACAATCCCAGATACTTTTTCAGAAGTTCAGCTACTCCTTTTGGGGTTTGGGAGTTCTCTGCTGTACGTTTGGGTCACAGACTCACTGCAGCTAAGTTCCCTTTTAGTTTTATAATCCTCTTGGTCTCTGATTTTGATTCTGTGCTCTTCAATATTTCCATCAGAGTTTTAAAGACATGAAAGGCATTTTGATCAAAGTTGTGGTTATGACAAATCCAAGAGGAATAACTAATTCTCTGGAGGACGATTTCAGAGCAAACATTAAAAGGATGAAATCTGACCAGCCTGGGCAACATGGTGAAACCTCCTCTCTACCAAAAATACAAAAAAATTCCCTGGGCATGGTGGTGGGTGCCTGTCTTCCCAACTACTTGGGAGGCTGAGGTGTGAGGATCGCTTGAGCCTGGGAGGTGAAGGTTGCAGTGAGCTGAGATCATGCCACTGCACTCCAGCCTGGGTGACAGAGTAAGACCCCATCTCAAAAAAAAAAAAAAAAAGGATAAAATATGACAAAAGTAAAAGTAAATGCTTGCATTTGGATTATTATAGAGAGGGAGATCTGTGTGGTTGATTTCAGTGTAATTCATCACAGTCTGTCCACAGGGGATGTATGTTAGGTAGTTACGGGTAGCATCCTTTATTAGTTGCACAAAAACCTATTGTATTCTGAAGGAGAAGGAGCAGGATTATAGAAGTATAACCTCAGTAGGAAATATAACCTCACATACAAAGAACAGTTAAAGGACCAACGCATACTTAGTTTAGAAAAGAGAAATTTGGGCAAACTTAATAGTTGCTCTCGTCCATATGTCTCTAAAGGAGAAACTCAAGCAATGGATGAATAGAAGTTTCAGAGCTGAAATCTAACAGTTTGAATTGTCAAACAAAGCGATTACCAGCCTCAAAAATTAGTCACTAACAACACACTTTCATGTTAAGGTAGCACTTTTACCTCAGATCTTCTGATGATCAGTCCAGCATTCTCTCTGCTACACCACATTGCTCAATCGCTTTGTTCCTCCTTAATCTTTTTTTTTTTTTGAGGATGCACAGGAAGCATTTAATAAATTCAAGAGGAATTCAGCCTCACAAATTATGAAATATTGGGAAATCATTCATCATGTAAAAACTGGATATAAAAAGAAATCTTTCCTCTAGGAGATAGCCTCTTCAAAAAATAAAAAAAAATAAAAACCTACAGCCAAGCCAATAAAATGGAGCACATATCTCAGCAGAACTGCAGACAATTATGCTGATATTACTACTTTTAGTTGGTGTTGTGCTGCACGTTGAAATCAGTCCAGTAAAGCAAGAAAAAGTATATATAGAGAGATAACTAATGACTGAAGTGGAAAAATAAGAGTCATTATTTACAGATTATGTGATTGCCTATGTGGAAAGGGAAAAGAATCATATTAAGTACTTTGGACTGAATGATAACCCCCAAAATTCATATGTTGAAGCTCCAAATCCCAGTGTGACTATATGTGAAAATAGGATCTTTAGGAAGTATCATGAAATTATGTTGAGAGATGGCAGGGGAGAGAGAGAGAGAGAGAGAGAGCGAGAAGAGAGGAGCGAAAGACAGAGAGAGAGACAGACTGACTGACCTATTTGTTGGTCTCCATCATGTGAAGACATGAGGAAGTGGGCATTTACATACCAGGAAGAGAGCTCTCACCAGAAGCTGACCATGCTGGCACTCTGGTCTCAGACTTCCAGCCTCCAGAAATGTGAGAATATAAATTTCTGTTTTTAACCTCCTTTATTTAAAATTAAATGAATTTGTAAGCCATTTGGTCTGTGGTATTTTGTTATGGTGGCCTGAGCTCATTAAGGCAGATTTTGGTACTGAGAAGTGAGGTATTGCAATTAAAAACAAAGAAACAAAAAAACTAAAAATGTGAAACAGCTTTGAAACTGACAAATGAGTACAGGCTGGAAAAATTCTGATGTGCAAGCTGGAAATAAGGTTGGTAAGGGTGATTCTGGTGAAGTGTCACTGGGGAATGAGGAACATGCTATTGGGAAATGAGGAAAAGACAACCCTTGATATGAAGTGGTGAAGAACTTGGCTGAACTGTATTCTAGCATTCTGTGGAAGGTAGAACTTGAGAGAGATAAAATTGGGTATGTATCACTAAGATCTGCAATTAAAGTGTTAAAGGACACAGGAAACTTCATTCTTCCTGACTGCTTACAGGAAAATGCAAAAGAGGAGACTTGAATTGCAAAAGAAATTGTTAAGGAAAAAGGAACCAGAGCTTGGAGATTTGGAAAATTCTCAGCCTATCCATACTGCAAAAATTAGAAAACTTGTGCTGAAGAGAATCCTGAAAGTGTGGCTGAACAATCATCTGATAAATAGATCATGAGTGAGATTCATGGACTATATCAGCCATCTTAACAGAAATGAGGTGAAAGACTGGATTATACTAGAAGAGACACTGCCACTTAGATTGTGCCACCTAAAATATACAAGGCAGAACAGGCAAGGCTGTCACACTTCTTAGATTTTACAAGAAGGGGACACAGAAATAATTAGCTGTGAAAGTGCACTGGCAGTTATGGATGGTTTAATTCCTGCCATGCTCTGCAGGATCCGTGGGAATAGAAGAGACCTTTGAAGGAGCATCTTTTAACAATCCACCTCTGGGACCTACATCATCTTGGCTTCTGGTAAATTTTGACATGAATGTGCCACACTGGCAGCCACTAACCAACAGGGGCTGGGACCAGTCTGCATGATTTATCTCATACAGAACTTGTTAATGCTATGATCTTAGGAATCTAATCACCAAGGTAAGGCAGCCTGAAGTATTGACCTCACCATCCATGACCCTTCTTCACAGATGCTCAGACTTAGGCATCCATGAAGAAGTTGTATTCAGAACCTGTAGTTTTAATTTTAGACCCTCAGGATGGCATCTAAGGCCAATCCACGACCATTAAACCTCCTCAAGGCATTTAGGACAAATCTGATAATCTTTGGTGTCATTGCCAATAATTAAAGATGGCAACCGATGGGCTAAATGGTAACACTCATACCCTTACATTCATAGGGTTTCTCCCCAGTGTGAATTCTTTCATGTCTACTTAGGCGTGAGGAAACAGCAAATGCTTTCCCGCATTCTTTACATACGAAAGGTTTCCCTCTGGTATGAGTTTGCAGGTGAACATTAAGGCATGAGGAATACAGAAATGCTTTCCCACATATCTTGCATACAAAGGTCTTTTCTCCACTATGAGTTTTCAAATGTTTACTATGACGGGAAGAAGTAATGAAGGTATTCCCACATTCAACACATTCATAAGGCTTCTCTCCTGTGTGAATTCTTGTATGTTGAATAAGGCTTGTGGACGTAGTGAAGGCTTTCCCACATTCCTTACACTGATAGGGTTTCTTTCCACTGCGATTTCGTATGTGTATAGAAGGGCCCGAGTACTGAATGAAGGCTTGGCCACATTCCTTACATTCACAGGGTTGTATTCCAGTGTGAGTTCTTACATGTTCAATAAGTTGAGTTGATCTAGTGAAGGCTTTCCCGCAGTATGTACACTTGCGCGGTTTTATTCCAGTGTGAATTTGAATGTGATCATTAAGGCATGAGGAATTTCTAAAGGACCTTCCACATTCTTTACGTTCAAAGGACTTCTCTCCTTTATGATTTTTCACATGTATAAAGTTGAGAAAAATTAGTGAAGGATTTCCCACCTTTCTTAGTCTTTTTAGATTTCTTTCCTGTATGAACTGTTACACACTGCTTTAGATGTGAGGAAACTGTGATGGCTCTCCCACCTTCCTGAAATTCACAGAGTTTCTCACCAGTGTGGATTCCCATGTGATTATCAAGGCTTACAAAATACTTAAAGCCTTTTCCACATTCCTTACATTTGTAGGGTTGTCTTGCATTGAGAATTTCAAGATGCACAGCAAAGCCTGGAGTTAGAGTGTAGACATTTCCACATGGGTTAAATTTGGAAAGTTCCTGTCCAATAGAAGCTTCCTTGTGCACACTGAGGATGTCTTTTCCATAACAATTACCCTCAGAAGTGTTCCCTCCATTCTGAGCTCTCATGTGTGTCTTAAGGCAAAACTGTTCACTGAAGACCTGTCCACAATTCTTACAGTCACACAGTTCCCATCCACTGTAGCCTCTTGTCATTTGTATCCCATTGAATATTTGATTCTTCAAAAAACCCTGCTGAAGTGATGACCGTTTGGTTCTAGGTTGTATTTCCCATTCTGATAACCAATTGCCAGGTAGTCTACCACCATCCTTTCTACCTTTGTCTTTTCTTCAAAAGGGCAGATTGGTTCCCTGGAAAAAAACCCACGGGACAAATCAATGGCTGCCATCCTCTGAAGCTGATGGTGCGATGTGCCTCAATGCTCCCTTCCTTGATGCCAAGATCGCCTCAGGGCAGCTTATGAATCTAGGTGGATAGAGGCAATCTCCATTCCTCTTCGTACAGGGTTATTTGCGGTCCACAGCTGGGATGGACTCCACAACCACAAAGGCGAAACTGCACTGACCAAGTGGAGCCAGCACTGGAAAAGCTGTTCCTCCTTAATTGTATTTCTAGGATGCAGTATCATTTCAGAAAAACTATACCATCCATCACAGTTTGCACTTTGATTGTCAGACTGAAACTTCACAGGATGAGGATGTGCTTTTGTGTTTTAGAGAGACTTTAAAAATTGGGATTTCTTTGATTGCCATTTGTTCATATTTTTAAGTCACACTTCAGCAAACTGGTGACTTTGTGGTTTGTTATAGGTGGAAAATGAATTGACTTACTATGCTCATGATGACAGCGAGAAGCTTCATGACAATTTCACCATCTTTGCGAATAGCTCAGAGCTTGGAAAACAGAGTCTGCCCCAAACTCTTTTTGTGACTGTTGAATCTGTAAATGATGAAGCTCCATTGGTAACAGCCAATAACATCCTTCAGGTAAGGGCTACTTCTTTTGACTTATCAGAAGATCCTGAGGGCTACCAATTTGATTTTCATTTATATTATTTCTAATGATAAATAGTAAGACCTATGACTCTGTGTATATAGTTGACAAGTTCCCACTGGTTTTAAATAAATATTACTTATTACTCAGGTGTTCTGCTGGGTACTGTTGGGAGATGAGAAGGAATCACAATGAGTTACCTTCACATTGTGTTTCATAAGTGGCACCACCATGAGGGATGGCTGTTTCAAGGCAGTTGAGGGAGGTGCATGCATGTGGGCAGCTCCTGCCAGGCTGGCAGCGTCGTAGTTAAGAGAACAGCTCTGTAGTGGATAGGTAGATCTGGGGATGAGTCCTTGCTCCCCTGTATTAGCTACATGACCTTGGGCAAGTTACTTAGCCTGCTAATTTGCTCTCATATGAGTGGGGGGAAGTGGAGGCAGAGCTGTGAGGATTAAATGATAAAATGATGTGAAGCTCTCATGCAGTGCTTGATGCATGGTTAAGGCTAAATGATAGCTCTTATTACTGAAAAAAAATACTCCAAGGCCCTATCAGTTTTTGGGTAAAATAAGGCCACTACTGAGTCATGGGACAGTATTTCTCTGGTTTTGGGAGCCTCAGTCTCCCTTTGCTCTCAGAGGATCCCCCAGGGCTAGTTCCCAAGTGCTCACAATAAGTACTTCTTGGTTGTGCAGGGTGTCTGCCATTTTACACCTCTCCTGAGCAGGAGCCCTGAGGTAATAACTGCTGCTGTGGCTTCTGTTGCCCACACAGAGAGGATGATGTGCTGGAAGCCTCCTAACATGGATGGCTCCATTTCCTGCTACACTAGCACTACCAGCATTGAAGCTGGCAAACCCTTCCATGCCAATTTACACTCAAGTATCCAAAAACCTCCATTTAATAGATTTTCATGGTTTTCACGTACCCTTTCTTGCTGTCTCTTCTTCTAAGAACCTGGGCATGAATCCATATGACTGGCTTGTAATTAATATAACAAGTGCTCAAAAAATAAGTATTTGCTGTAATTATGTGCCAGGTACTTCTCTAAGGGCTTAAACCAGCTGAGATATGTGCTACCATTTGTCTCGTTGGACAGATGAGGGAACTGCATGACTGCTGAGCAACAGGTTAAGGATGGAAGGACAGCATGGAAGCCTGATGGCTCATACATGCCTCTGTCCATGGTCTCCAGCAGTGCCTAACACAGAGTAAACAGGAAATATTTGTTGAAGGAATGAATGAATGGAGATATAAACCATCAATTCCCCCAGCATTGGCCCATGTTTTCTAGACCAGGTTTCTGTCTTAACTCTCTTACTTTAGTGTGGCTTTTTTTCTGGGAGAAGCCTTAGCCTCTCACACAAATGAGCCCCTAGTGGGCTCATTCGTCAAGTATGTCAAGACATGGGAATCTGAATGTGTTCAACTTGAAATTTGGTTGAGACGAATGTTCCCACATATATATTTCGCAATTTCAGCCTTGTTTGTACTGCTCATGAGGGTCAATAGTTAATAATAGATTATTTAGAAGGTCAGAGTTAGAGGTTGTATGGTTAGAGGTGCAGAAAAGATGGACATGAGAAAGATTCCGTGGTTCCATCTGGCAATGGTGCCTCCCCTTGGGTGGTGGAGAGCTTGAATATGTGGTGGGGCACTTTTGTTATCACATTGACTGGAAGATGCTACTGTATTTAGTGCCTGAGGGCCAAGGTTGTGTACTATTTTCAATGTGTGGGCTAATCCTACAAAATGAAGAAATGACCCTCCCAATGTGTTGATAGTGTCCTGTTGAGAAACACTCCAGACAGGGAACTTGGGAATTACAGTACACAGGCCCCATCAGGCTTGCTCCCTGCTTGTTTGCATGATCTACAAGCTGAGAATGGTTTTTATAGATGAACATTTGCAGTCAATCAATTTAATTATAGGAAACATTAACTTTGAAGCCCATGTAAGCAAAATGTTTTCCCTCAAAAAAGAATTCCATTCTTCTCAGTAGCAGGCTTCTATTACAAAAACAAATTACATCCAATTATTATTATTATTATTTTGAGATGGGGTCTTACCCTGTCAGACAGGCTGGAGTGCAGTGGCACGATCTCAGCTAACTGTAACCTCCACCTTTCAGACTTAAGTGATCCTCCCACTTCAGCCTCCTAAGTAGCTGGGACCACAGGCATACGCCACCATGCCTAGCTAATTGTTTATTATCACTTTTTATAGAGGTGGGGTCTCCCTATGTTTCCCAGGCTGGTCTCGACTCCTGAGCGCAAGTGATCCTCCTGCCCCAGCCTCCCAAAGTGCTGGAATTACAGGCATGAGCCACCACACCTGGCTCAATTATTATTATTATTTGAATTTTATCGGTAAAAATTTTGTGAAAAAAACTTTTTTCTTGTTATGTAAGTACCCATAAAATATCCTCTGTTTTGTCTCATGGCCCCCAAAACCTAAACTTATGTTCTGGTTTTTCATAGAAAGTATTTGCCAACCCACATATATACCATGGAATACTATGCAGTCATAAAAAAGAATGAGTTAATGTCCTTTGCAGGGACATGGATGAAACAGGAAGTGATTATTCTCAGAAAACTAACACAGGAACAGAAAACCAAACACTGCATGTTCTCACTGATAAGTGGGAGTTGAACAATGAGAACACATGGACACAGGGAGGGGAACATCACACACTGGGGACTGTCGGGGGGAGGGAGATCATTAGGACAATACCTAATGCATGAGGTGCTTAAAACCTAGTTGACAGGTTGATAGGTGCAGCAAACCACCATGACACATGTATACCTATGTAACAAACCTGCATGCTCTGCACATGTATCCCAGAACTTCAAGTAAAAAAAAAAAAAGAAAATATTTGCCAACCCTTGCTGTAGACCAGCACTATCCAGTGGAACTTTGTGTGGTGATAAAATGTGGTATCTGTGCTTCCAATACAGTAGCCACCAGTCACATGCAGCTAGAAAGTAGTTGAAATAAGACTAGTATGATTAAGGAATGGAATTTTAAATTTTATATAATTTAAGTAGTTTACATTAAATTTAAATAGTCCCATCTACCTAGTGGCTACTGTATTGAACAATAGTATTCTAAACAGTAAGGGATGGGGCAGATTCTGGTAGGCAGAGGCAAGAATGTGTGCAAAACTACATTTACAGGGCAGGGAGAAAATCAGCCCACTAGAGTAGAAGATCCATGTTTCACAGCATAGGCTGGAAATGAAGGCCTTGGATTCTAGGAAATGATTTGGATGATTTTGTAGCCATGGGAGAACATGCAGATATATTCTATCTGTGTGGAGTGGCTGAGGGAACATAGAGCTTCCAAAGCCACTTTAGCCTCATGATGTTTAAAAAAGAAAAGCATAATATTGTTTTCTTCGTTTGAGCAATTTTCTCCGTTTCCTTCAGACAGCCTTTCATTCTTTCAGTGCGATCCCAGATTGACTTTTAAAGTACATCTGCATTTATTCTTCCTCCCTCTGTTTCTGAAGTTCATTACTGTCATGGCTAAAGAATAAGAAATCCATGTAAGTCTCTGACTGGCCATGTGGCTGGATTTAGTTTTGGCAGTGTTGCCTGATAGCCGTGCATGTATCAGGTTGGTGCCAAAGTAATTGCGGTTTTTGTCATTGAAAATAATGGCAAAAACCACAATCACTTTGGCACCAACATAATAGATCAACTGATCTATAATGAACACATCTATGTATTGTGTATTCTATAGTATATATACTATTTTCATATGTATTTATAAATGTATAATGAGTATGCATATACTAATATAATATAATATTTTTTATGTATAATCCCTCAGTTAAAAAGAAGACCAAATGTTATCCCTAACCTTGTTTTACAGGTGAGGAAACTAGAACCCAGGGAGTACTGTGCAGCCTAAGGTGCTATAACTGGTTGGTTGTAGGGTCTCCTGACTTCTATTTTGAGAAATCTGTGACCCCGCTTTCTTTACTGTGCTTTTTTTGGGGGGCTATTGTGGAGGATGTTAAAAATGGACCATTTTAATTAACAAAACAATGGTTAGGGCTAGTATTATTCTAACCCAATAGATCTCAAAAGTTATTTTCTAAGTTGCAAGGATGATCTAGACCACCAAGCTACAGATTGGAACAGCAGATGCACCATCTCTGGGTGGTGGTGATACAGACAGGAAAACAGTCTTTGGTGAGAGTGGTGGCCAAGTAGGTGACAGGGAGAGACAGGATGACAGCAGGGAGAATAGCAAAGAAATACGAAGCAGTAAACCTTTGATCTTAATTTATAAAGCACCCTAAGGTCAATTAAATGATTGGCAGGCATAGCCAGGAGCCCCCCAGAGGCTAATGTAACTAGTGCACTTTACATGGTTAAAAATCGTAAGGGTTTTTATTTGTTCAAAACAATTGGATCTAGAAATAGGCTTTTTAGTGCTTTTAGTTATCTTAGAGCTTGATTCATTATTCAGTCTCTATATTTTAAGTGAAAAATTTATAGTGTTTATACCTTAAGAACTTGTCACGTTATCATTTGACTCCACAGTTACTTCTTAGGTAATCTGGGATGGTCTGTTCCAGCTGGTCACAATTTAGGCTGCCCCACTGTTTTCAGCCACATCTCCCTATCCCACAGATTCGTGT
Source organism: Homo sapiens (assembly GCF_000001405.40). Classification (NCBI taxonomy): domain Eukaryota; kingdom Metazoa; phylum Chordata; class Mammalia; order Primates; family Hominidae; genus Homo; species Homo sapiens. The sequence goes on along the minus strand of NC_000005.10, from coordinate 54,851,903 downwards.
TGTAGTAATGCCTCCTGAACCCTCCCTGCAAAGTGATCTGGGAAATAGGTTGGCAGCTACAAAGAGGAATTTTAGGTGTCAATTGTTATTAAATACAGTTATAGAAGTTTACATTTATTGTGTGCTTACCAAGTACCGGGCCTCTTCTGTAACTGGTGTCATTTTCACAGCCCTCTAAGGAAACTTCTATGATTCATAACCTTACTTATACTACAGGAACACCGAGGCATAGAGAGGTAACAAAGGAGGCGTGGACTTGATGCCAAGTCTGTCTGAACCTGACATTTTGCCCCCACACTCTGCCACTTTTCCCTGCTCCTCCCGACTGACTCAAGCTCTTTCAATGCATCCAGGTTGTCAGAGGGTGTCTTTATTAGCAAGAAAAAGAAAAGTACCAAAGCTGCTGTGCCTCTTACTTCTACTGAAGGGGCTTTTATGGGATAGAGCTGTAGCAGTTGTTATCAGCATGTATGGATTTACCCAGGAACCTCAGTAGAGGGTTTGGGCATTTGGCTACATGGTACAGAATTGCAGGATGAGAGAAATGCACGAGAGGGAATAGGGAGGTCGAGATGTAGAAAGATACTGGAGAAGCGCTAGAGTTGACCAACGAAGGAGAAAACCAAAGGATAAATAGTAAACTCTTAGGCTCTTTAGGAATTGAAGCTCCATTTTGGGTTCGGCTTTCAGTTCCTAAGTATCAATTATAAGATGCACCATCAACTTAATATCAACTTTATGATATTAAATATACTTGTCAAATTAGGATGTTCAGAAACGTTAAAATGTGAGAGGGAAAACATGTACCCTAGACTTTGTCTCTGTCCTTCCTTAGAATTAGGGAAATACAGTCTCCATCAGACACTGCAGCGTTGCTTCAGTGGTCTGCCCAGACTGTCTCTCTCCAACCTTGATATAAGGGTGTTTTCTGTCAAGGAAAAAAGGAAGACTAATTGTGGCCGGAGGACTGTTTCCTTTATTCTTACCTTATTCCCTGGATAGTCTGGATCCAGTTCAGGAAGTGCACGACTCCCCAGTTTTGAAGGATGTGTCATTCAATACTGGCTCTTTCTGAGTTTATTTGTTTATTTATCAGATAAGAAACTTGTTCCTTGCCTTGAAGGTTTTGGATTAAAATTAGGAGAATGAAGTTTAAGGTTTGTAAACTGCTCATGTGAACTTCAGCAAAATCTCTCTGGGCATTACTCTCCTTAATAGCAAAACCCCAGGGAGGGGGCGTTGTTTTACTTGGTGATCTCTCAACCCTCCCAGTTCTAATGCCCTGTGATTCTATGGCTGTAAAGCTTGTCGATATTCTCTGGTTGAAGCTGGACTTAGACAGATGGAGAAGCAGTAGAGCTGCCATTTTACATTGGATGGACTCACTTTAGTCTAGACTAGGTGGAGGTTTTACATTTCAGATGAACCATTTCTCTTCTCTTTGAGAAACGTACAAATAGTTTTGGTTTTAAAGTCAGTGTGTCTAAAGTCTCAAGGTGACTAGGTACTATTGTGGGACATGCTAACTAGTCATGTAAAGATGTAGGAGAAGTTTTGGGAGGACTTTCTTGATTTTTTTTTAAATGAAAGAAATCCCAATAATTGGTTTCTTGAATTCTAAGTAATGGTCATGGCGTGCTGTTCAATGAAAGTCTTCCCAAAGACTTTTAGCTTATTTGCTATATAAGTTTAGCTTGTTTGCTAAATAAGTTTTAGCTTATTTGCCAAATAATTTTTTATTTGTTTAAATTATGACTATTGTGGATAATGCCTTTTGGAATTTTGTTGATTTCTAGTCATATGATACAGAATTTAGTTAGAGGGCTTCCCGTTAAGTGTGGATGTATTACCTCCTCTGGGAAGGTAGCCTGGTTAGACTATGGCTCCCCAAGCCTCTAGATGTGATGCTCTCAAAAGAGGCCTTCTCTAACCACCCCAGAAGAAATAGCACCATCCCATCCTTTATCCCCGGACTCTTATTTATTATATTTTTTAGTGCCCACCACCCTCTGATATTAAACAAATAAACAAATCTATTTTGTGTCTCCTCCCATAAATGTAAGCTCCATTTGGAAGGAGTTTTATCTGTCTTTTCCCTGTGGTGTCCTCAGTGCCTGGCATGGTATCTGGCACATTATGGAGGCTCAACAAATACTGAGTGCCTAATGCCTTCATGGAGTTTATGTTCGGTAGGGAAGACAATACAATTATTTTATAAATGGAATGAGATCTGCTCTACTCTTCAGTAAAGCAGTTGAGGAGATAGAGAATGATTGTGATTAAAGAATACCGATGCTACAGAGACGGTGGTCCGGGAAGGTCTGTTCAAGGTGGTGATATTTGCATGGAGGCTTGTGTGTGGGTGGCTCCGAAGATCTCCCCCACTGATTTGCAAGGACTCATAGGATTTAGCATACTCATGGCTAAGATTTATTACAGTAAAAAATGTGAAGCAAAATCAGCAAAGGGAACCAGCACATGGGGTGAAGTCCAGAGGAAACTGGGTCAAGCTCCAAGAGTCCTTTTCCAGGAAAGTCACCTAGGATGCACTTAATGCCTCCAGCAACGAGTTGTCATGACACATGCAAAGTGTTGATACAAGGGAAGCTCATGAGATACTGAGTGCCCAGGATTTTTACTGGGAGCCAGTCAGGTAGACACCCTCTGCTTAGTATGTACCCAAATCCCTGGCCCCCAGAAGGAAGCAGGTGTCCAGCATAAATCACATTATTTATACAAGCAATTTAGACACAGCAAGCCTCCCTTATAATTTAGGGGAAGTTTTATATTAGCATGGGAAACTGTTTAATAGCCGAGTTCCCAGATACCAGTGCAGTGCCAACCTTCTGAGCAGGGCTTTCTCAGGACAGGCAACCTTCAGCCTGTGAGGTGAACTCTTTTCTGAGTAAAGGTGGGAAGCTGGGGGAGGGTGATTAGACTGGGAAGTGAGGAGCCATAGGCATGTTAGAGGGAAGAGCACTCGAGGCAGAAGAATGATTAAGGGCAAAGACAGTGAGTCTGGAGCGTGTTTGACGACATGGAAAGCTCATGTGACTGGAGCAGATGGAGGGAGGAGGAGAGTGAATAGATATCTCTCCATGGTGAGAGTTGATTTCTGGGCATAAGGACCCCCCAGCGCCAGACAGTTTTGTTCCACAGGCCTTTCAGAGATAATGACAGGGAAGCAGGCCAGCACTTATTGACCCCCTGCTAAGACTCAGGCTCAGTTCTAAAAGTATCACATAAATGATTAAATGATTTCTCGTTTAATTCTCTCAATGACTCTTGAAATAAAATGAAGACTGCAACAGACTTGGGGCACAGAAAGGTTAAGTTACTTGACCAAAGTCATATGGTTAGAAGAGCGGGCGGGTCTTGTGGCCAGGATGTCTTTGCCCAGAGCCCCCACTTGCAACCTGTGGCGTGGGCTGTGAAATTAATTGAGTCAGAACCAATTTTTTAAAAAATTAAATAGAATGGGTAGTATCAGAATGTGTTGTGTATAATGAGGGTAAATATTGTTTTTTGTGAAAATTTTGCTTCATATATATAGAGTTTTAAACACACACACATAAGAATATATATATGCATACTAGGTTGCTTTGAAAAATGTATTCTTTAGTTTTGGTATTAATGAAAAAACATTGTAAGCTACTGACCTAGCAAAGCTAGATTCTTTTGTAGATATGAATCACACATTTTTTCATCACTCCACCTGTTTCTGGGATAATCTGGGATAATAATGTTTATGGGATTGAGTCAAGTCCCAGAAGTTCATCTACTAGAACTTCTATCCACCAGGACACTAGAAACTGGTACTATAGAGTAGTGCTAGAGTTGACACAGCCTATAACAAGCCCCAAGTCCCGCTTTATCAGGATACATTACCACACGTAAGAGGGCTCTGTGTTCTAGGTGGGGAGTCAGGTTTGTTGCCCTCAGCTTTGAAGTCTCCTTGTGACTCCTCAAGGTCCCAGCCCTGCCTGCTGGTTAACCCTGACTGCCCTTGACCCTGCGCCTCTGCCTTGTTCGTTTCAGCAGGAAAGGAGGTTGGGATGGAAGTACCAGCCACACTGTCTGCAAACCTGACTGATCCACTTTATATACTGCTGTTGTGGCCCAAAGTTATGAAGGAAGAAAAATAACACATTATGAAATTTTAAATATTCCAAGAAAAAGGGATGTAGATTAGGGTGTATAATCACAGTGTTGCTTTCCTTGTGTCTACAGTATAATGTGAATGAAATTGCTGTCAGGATTTTAGAATGATGAAGTCTTGTGCACTGAAATTTTATGATTTAATCACAATGGCTATTAACAATGTCAACATAATTTAGACTTGATGAAAAAGAGCCAAGAGGCATCCAGGAATTGGCCTTGCTGATTTTGATAGCCTGTGTAGGCAATTTATGACATTTAAGACATCCTTTTATTATTATTATTATTATTATTATTATTATACTTTAAGTTTTAGGGTACATGTGCACAATGTGCAGGTTAGTTACATATGTATACATGTGCCATGCTGGTGCGCTGCACCCACTAACTCGTCATCTAGCATTAGGTATATCTCCCAATGCTATCCCTCCCCCCTACCCCCACTCCACAACAGTCCCCAGAGTGTGATGTTCCCCTTCCTTTGTCCATGTGTTCTCACTGTTCAATTCCCACCTATGAGTGAGAATATGCGGTGTTTGGTTTTTTGTTCTTGCGATAGTTTACTGAGAATGATGATTTCCAATTTCATCCATGTCCCTACAAAGGACATGAACTCATCATTTTTTATGGCTGCATGGTATCCCATGGTGTATATGTGCCACATTTTCTTAATCCAGTCTATCATTGTTGGACATTTGGGTTGGTTCCAAGTCTTTGCTATTGTGAATAGTGCCGCAATAAACATACGTGCGCATGTGTCTTTATAGCAGCAAGATTTATAGTCCTTTGGATATATACCCAGTAATGGGATGGCTGGGTCAAATGGTATTTCTAGTTCTAGATCCTTGAGGAATGCTCACCATCACTGGCCATCAGAGAAATGCAAATCAAAACCACAATGAGATACCATCTCACACCAGTTAGAATGGCGATCATTAAAAAGTCAGGAAACAACAGGTGCTGGAGAGGATGTGGAGAAATAGGAACACTTTTACACTGTTGGTGGGACTGTAAACTAGTTCAACCATTGTGGAAGTCAGTGTGGCGATTCCTTAAAACATCCTTTTAATATCTGCCCCTCATTTTTTATTGGAGTGTGGTATCTCTTTTATCCACTAGAATGTGTAATAACAATGGCAAATGAGCATAGAAACTTTCTGGAAAGACTGTGTGTATTGATCAATTGCAGAGTGTTCTCATAAATTGATAACCTTTAACATTATTAAATAATTTTCACACATCAGGTGTGTTTACTTTTTTGTGAAAGCTAATAGATATAGCATATGCATTTTATCAACATAGTAGAGCCACGAGAATGCAGTTTTCAATAACATAGTTTCTCCAAAGCTATGGTTACCAGTTACTTCTTTCCAGGCAAAGTTTTAAACTTAGGAGATTATTTCAGATGATGATGTTTCTTATTTCTATATTTCAGAGCATATCAAACAGTAATAATAACAACCATTTACATGGTCCATTACATGGTCCTAATGATAGTTATTACTTACATAGTACTTACAGTGCCTGGCATTGTTCTATGCGCTTTACATTTACCCAGTGAATCTTCAACAACTCTCTGGGATATGATTTTTATTTTAAAGATGAGAAATCTGCAATGCAGAGAGGCTTTGACACTTCTCCAAGGTCCAAAGCAGAAGGGCTGCTGGTGGACAGCAAGTGGCAGAGCTAGAATGCGAGTTTGAGTTTGGCACCACAGTGTTCTCTCACTTCTTCCTTCATAGTTAGCGAAGAAGCTCAAGGACCTGGTGAAGCAGATAAAGAGAGTATTGCTCTTATTCCAATTTTAAGAAGGTGGAATTAAAGATCAAGAGGTTAAGCGATTTGCCCAAAATAACAAAGTTAGTGGCAGAGTCTGGGGCAAAGGCAGTTATGCAAATGCAAATGTGATAAAGTCTTCAGATTCAGTGCTGTTTCTGACTTTTCAAACAGCATGTTCTCAAGACATTCGGATTATCCTGCATGATGACTCACTCTCCCTACTTGTCATCTGGGCCTGGAGGAGGTGGCAAGAAAGTCTGTCTGCAGCCTAAGTGGGAGAAGAAGGTGGGAGCGTGGGGGATAGAGTTGCTGATAACATCTCAGACTCTGGAGGGAGTTCATAGCCAGCAATCAGAATGTTAACCTCTGTGTCCCACCATTTAAAACACACTTCTTTCTCCTGACAAATTAAAACATTTCCTTAAGCCACAGTTCTTTCAGCTGATCTCCAAGGTCATTCAATGGTACAAGAGATCATTTGTGTCCCAACAAACTGGAATTGGGAATTGGAGTTAGGCCATCTTGGGTGAATCCTTTGCATTTTACTTTGAAATATATTCTACTGAGTATTTTTGTATTCAAATATGATCAGTGAATTTTGTGCATATCTGATAAAACATATTTTTGTCCACAAGGGGGCTTCATTTTCCTATTTTTCAAGTTCCTCTTTCAGTAATACTATACATTTTGTTTTGTTGTTTTTATACTGAAAATAGAACCATTTGCTTGCTTTTGAGAAATACTTGTCATCACTAAAAGGAGCTTTGAGAGCTGGTCACAGTAGAAGAATTAAGGCAGCAAAGTTTGAAATGCCAATTGAAGCTCTCGGGGGACCAACAGTGGGAGAGTGAATTCATGAGCATTTCACATCCCTCGTATGAAACGCAACAAAGGTCTAGGCTTTGTTGTTTTTGTTTGTTTGTTTGTTTGTTTGTTTTTGAGACGAAGTCTTGCTCTGTCACCCAGGCTGAAGTGCAGTGGCACGATCTCGGCTCACTGCAACCTCTGCCTCCAAAGGTCTGGGCTTTTAAATATTAAGTTTACAACTAGGATTAAATGGGATCACAATTAGGTTTCTAAATACCACTAAACTCTTCTTAAAGCTAAAGGTCAATTTAAAAATTATTATTCCAGGTTTGTGTTATTTTCTGATATTTATGCTTTGAACTATTCTTTTTTGGGCTTTGGATCACTTTAAAATCTGAATTCAAATTGGGGGTCTTTGTTTTCCTTCTCCTCATCTGCCTGAAGTTTCCATTACCAAGCACTGGGCACTAAATCAGGCCTTACCTGAAGCAATGGGGTCGTTAATTGAACTAAATTTGGTTTGAGTGGAAATGAGACCTGAGGCTACTAGATCTTGTTTTGAGTGGCAGGTTTTCCATTTGTTTTGGAAGATGGTATATTTCAGAGGCGAGAGGGAGGGAAAGCAGTGTTCCATAGCAGAGTAGCTGCAGTGGAAAACATGCTTTGTCCAGCCTTGGTGTGTATGGCCTTGGAAAAAATGATTGTTTCTACAAGTCACGAGAAGAGAAATGGCAGCACATTTCCAAGTCAGCTGGAGCTCTAGAAGAAATGAGGATGAGATATGTGGATGGATTAAAAAATGTAAAAAGTGAAAAACCAGAATGAGTGGGCTTGGAATTTTGTTAAACAGTCCAACTTGCGCATTTTATTATAGCCTTTCTGTGGGTTTAAATGAAGGCCAAAACCTTATTATTTGAACGTTGTATTGATTCGCATTTCTGGTAGCTATTTAAAAGCTGATGTCCTTAGAGCTTAGTGCTGCAAAATCTTCAGTAGGCATATTCAAATGGCAAGATATAGGCATGTCCATCAACAACACAATTATTAAACAGATAAACTATTCACCCCAAGTTATGAAAGAATGCTGGAAGATTAAACAAAATCTGCAGTACATGTTATAGAATAGCCTCAATAATGGCAATAATCACACTCTAAGTGACTTTTTGGAAATACTAAAAAGTCACATCTGTCCTCAAAGCCAAATCTGATGAAGAAGATGGGTCATATAAAGCTAATATTTATTGAATGCTTACTATGTGCCTGATGAAACAGTTCTAAACACTTTTCATATATTAAGTCACTCAGTCTGTGCAACAGCTCTATCATTTCTAGTTTACTGATGAGGAAATTAAGGCAGAGAGAGGTTAAGAAATGTGCCCAAGGTTATATAGCTAGTAAGCAACAAAGCAGTGACCCAAACCCAGGTGGTTTAACTGGACAGAAACTAAATCAAGCATTCTTGAACAACCTGAAAATATTTAAAAGAATTTCAAGTAGTGCTATTGTTATTGGCACATGTTATTTTTCAACATAACTACTTTGAGGAGTTAAACATTGGTTTGGCAGTGTAAGTTCGTGTGTGTGTGCATGCGCATGTGTATATATGTGGAGTATGTGGGTATTTATTTATGTATAATTACTTTATGGTCTCATCTGTTAACTTTTAAGAAATTAAAGGATAATTCACAAAGTAGTTTTTTTTCCTGTGTTATCAGTAGTTGGTGTATTAGAAGGAAGCAGAATGGATTATCTTCCAGCCCCATTATGCCTGACATGAAAACATAGGAATCTTATATACTTTCTGAGTTTCCTGTCTCAAGTTCTGTTTAGTTATTAGATGATGCCATCCATCATCTAATTGGAGTAAGTTATTTCACAAACTGCTCTTTCTACTGAGGGAAATGGTTCTCTTTAACTGGAGAGATCATCTATTAAGTCATTTAGGACTGAATTTTTAAACAAGTTATGAAAAAGCGTAGAAGATGATAAAGTTCTTATGCATGGGTATGTGCACATGGTGTTTCTGTGGGTAAGAAAAATACATATAAATACAAATACAGATATAAATGTGAAATTTGAGTTAGTGACAAAACTACTTGTCTTTAGTGTTAGTGAAGTATCCTGTGGCTGCATGATTAGAGAAACTCAAAACAGCCAAATTCCATCAAATGTGATTCAGTGTCCATATAAACATTTTAAACCCATGTTCAAAACTGAACTCCTGATCTTACTCCCCAAATCTACTCTACATTCAGCTTTCCTTATCTCAACTGATGGTAACCCTGTCCTCGTTTCTGAGGCCCAAACCATAGAGTCATTCTCACCGCCTTTCCTTCTTTCACACCTCGCCAAATTGAAATAGCCAGAAGCTCGGCTGGTTTTGTCTTCAACAGACACCCAGAATTTGGCCACTTCCCACCACCTCTGCAACTTCTGGGGCCACTCTCTTCTGTCATCCTTCTCTGGAATTATTGTAGTCACCTCCTAACTGGTCTCTCTGCCTCTACCTTGTACCTCCCAGAGTCTATTCCTGATACAGAAGCCAAAGGATTCTGTGAAAACATGAGTCTGACCAGGTCACTCCTCACCTAAAACTCTGCAATGATCCATCATTGCACTCAAGGAAGAACCAGAGTTTTTACAGTAGCGTTCAAGACCCCGAACAATATGACAACCTTCATTATGTTTCAACTCATCTCCTTTTACTCTTCATCTTGCTTATTCTGCTCCTTCCAACTGACCGATTTCCTAGTCTCCCAACAGATGAGGCCTGCCTTTGGGCTGTTTCCTCTGCCTGTATGGTCCTCCCCTAGATATTTACATATTCACTGGCTCCCTCTTCACCTCCTTCCAGTCTTTCCTCAAACTGAACCTCATACTTAACATTTGCTCACTCCTGAGGCCCCCCTTATCTTGCTTTATTTTTTCTTTTTTTTCATAGTGCTGTGACTTTTTTTTGACACATTGTTTAATTCATTTCTTTATTATGCCATTGTTTCTTCTCTGTGTCCCTTTGTCCCTTCCTGCTGGAATGGAGGCTCCTGAGAACAGGACTCTTTTTTTGGTTACGGATGTATAGCAAACACCCAGAACATTGTCTGGAAGATAGTAAATGCTCAATAAATGCTTGATGAATCGTTAAATTAAGATGTTTAGGCAATGTAAATAGATTTTAAATGTAATTGGAAAATAGGAACTAGTACTCAGATACAATTGTAGATGTGTGCTATCAGCACAGCAAACATTGCAAGGCCATAAGAACAAGATATTTGTGTTCTTGCAAGACAGGTAGGACAAATAGGATAGAAAAATATGCAGTGTGTGTGTGTTTTTTTTCCCTCAACCATTTAAAAGCTAGTGAAATAATTTGCGTCTTACAGCAATGAATGGAAATCCTTAAATCAATCCTATGAGATAGGTTCTGAATTATCTGAGACCCCATGTAGAGTATCCAGCATGTGCCATGCACACAAAAGGTGCTTAGTCATCATCAATTTTTGGTGTTTTTCTACATTATACAAATGTACATGCACTTCACATAATGAAATTGGATTAATTATGAATCCTATTTCTTTATTGAAACCTCATAAACCTCATAAATTAACTAAACACTACTTCAGGCTTTGTATTTCACCTGACATTTAATTATACATCTGTTTCAAATGAAGAAACTTCATGCTTTAAAAACTCTGGTGAATTGCTTTGGATTTTAAATCTTTGTCCAAGGAGACAGGACGTCATTGCTATCCAGTTTACTAATGTGATGTGATTGACATTGGTCCTCAAAAGATCTGTGATTCTCTTCTTTTTAAGGTGTTGATGAATTCTTTCACTGAGATGACCAGTGGTGACCTCTGTGCAGAAGATGGGGACTCCTCTCCACAGGACCTGGCCTACTGGGTCACTACACCCAGCAATGGGCATTTGGCTCTTAAGTCCTTTCCCAGCCAAAGCATTCAGAACTTCTCCCAGGCACAAATCAATGAGGGCCAGCTAGTTTTTGTACATGCTGCTATGTTATAGAGAAAAACAATGTGAAACTAAAATGCACTTTAATCAGTGGTTAATGTGATGGTCATATGACTGAAAACTACAGGCCATGTAGAAACTTTCCAGGCACTGGACTCTTTAAAAAAGTGACATGTTTTAGTAAGGCTAATGATAGCAAATATTAGCATTCCTATAACTCTCATTTTACTTACTCAAATTGTCAAATTTAAGTAAGTAATGTGCTCAAATATAAGCTTCTCTGAGAGCCTTTTCCTGAACACCACTAAAATAGCATCCCTTCTCTGCCACTTTCCATCCCTTTCCCAGAATACCTGACCTTATAGTATAGATTGAATTGGATATTTGTTTGTTGTCTGTCTTTCCCTATAGATTATAAGGGCAGAATCTTTGTTTTGTTCATTGTTGTATCCTTAGCACCTAGCAGTGCTTAATAAAACATAGTAGGTGCTTAATAAAAATTTGTTGAAAGAATGAAATAATATTGAACACCTATTATGTATCCAGTTATATGTTCCAGATGTTAGGAATACATTAGTAAACAAAACAAAGAGATATTTGTTCAATGAATGAATGTGTGAATGAATGAATTAATTAATATAACTTTAATTTTAAGAGATCCTGACTTTGAAAGGCCTTGTCTTCTTCCTCCTGTTCATCAATAAATCAATAGGCCAAATGACTGCTGTAAATCTGCTGAAGGTGACCCAGCCACTCTGCAAGGGTTTGTTCTCCCCTGTCAGAGGAGAAGCAGGCCATTCCAGTCTGCAGCAGGAATGGGAGGGAGCATGAGCTAGGAGGGCTGGATGAGAAAGTTAAAAAAGCTCTGTTTTCAGTTATTTCAAATTATCTTCTTTGAAAATACAGCAAAGAAAATAAAGGTAAAATATCCTCTAAATCCAAATGAAGTAATTTCCTGACTACCTTCACAGTTAATGCAAAGGATCCCCAAAGAATCGGAAAATAATTTACTATGCGAATGCTCTCACCTAGTAGTTCCAAACCTGTAGCCTGGATTCGTGGAGGTTAGCTTCATTGCCACAAGGTCCTAAATCTACCTACATATGTACCAAAGCATAGTTTCTAGACTGAATGGTATTTTCCACATACATGTTTCTGTTTTTCAAATGTGTGAAGATGTGCTGATTAAATACAATACAGTTCATCTGAAGAGGCACTGAATTGATAGGAAGTTTCTGCCAATTATGTATTGTTAGTATTATATAAGTATTGTTAGGTGAGGGCCTAGAAAGTTTTTCATTTTTATGAAAGGATTATCATATTTTCAAAATGGAGATGACTGCTCTAGAGACTTGCACAAAAGAAGTTTTGGTTTTCTAAAACTGTGAAATCCACAATAGAAAGGAATCATTGACTCACTACCACCTGTCAGGCACCACAGGAGATGCAGTTCTGCCATCCATGTCTTTTCATCATCTGAAGTCCTCTGGGCCATAGGAAGGAATGACTCCATTTTCGAGATAAACTGAGGCAGGCGGATCATGAGGTCAGGAGATCGAGACCATCCTGGCCAACATGGTAAAACCCCATCTGTACTAAAATACAAAAAAAAAAAAAAAAAAAAATTAGCCAGGCGTGGTGGCGGTCGCCTATAGTCCCAGCTACTCAGGAGGCTGAGGCAGGGGAATCGCTTGAACCCGGGAGGCAAAGGTTGCAGTGAGCCGAGATTGCGCCACTGCACTCTAGCCTAGTGAGAGAGCAAGACTCTGTCTCAAAAAAAAAAAAAAAAAAAAAAGAAAAGCTGAGGCTCAGAAAGATTAAGTTTGTCAGACCTTAAAGCTGGGCTTTCTCCACTAGCTGCCACCCATTGAAGGGCAAAGTAGGTAGAAGAACTGAAGTTACTATTTTCAATGAAGGGTTGAAACAAAAATTAGCTTGCTGGATTGATTTATTTGTCCACTACCAGGTCAATATTTGCTTTTGGTGAGTAGAGAAAATAATTTCTCCTAGAAAAGTAGCAAAGAGAGTTAAAGGCAAGCTAAACGTGAGAGCCAATCCATTACATTTTCTAAATGGATATGGAGGCAACTAATAACCCTCAAAGTGGCTGCAGCCCAGCTGCAGATGAGGCTGTTGCTGAAACCAGCTGGTTCTCCCCTGGTGCATCTGTCCATCATCAGCCACAAACAAAGACTTGGGCTTAAGTAGTCTCTCTTAGCCTTTCATATTTGCAAAGTGCTCCACCATTAATTGAATTCATTATTCCACATAACAACCTAAGTAGGTTGATAAAACCAAGATGTGGGAGGCTAAGTGATTTACATAAGGTCACCCTTCTGGAAGGTCTATCAGGAAAAATCTGAGATTGTACAGTAGAAAATGCACAGGTCAACCCTGCTGTTTGTGTTTCCCTCTTTATCTTTATTTGGTCATAGTCTGTTAGAGCACACCCAGTACAAAATTCTATATTCGTTTTGATGTCATTCTTTTGATTCCATCTCCATTTTGTTTCCGGATTAATGAAGAGTTCAAAGTGTCTAATGGCAGAAAATGTTCCCTCCTTAATTGCGTGTTTCATTAAATACAACTTTCAAAGTGCTATTTCTAGTAAAACAAGCAAATGAAAAAGAACATTTGGTTTTGGACCCCTGTTATGAATCAGACTCAGACTTCTCTCTCTCTCTCTTTTTAAAATGGTGACTTTTGAGTATATTGGGAATTTTTTTTAACAGTCTGTAACCTTTTGTGTGTGTGTGTGTGAGGAATCAGAACTCTCAGGGTTTGCTTAGATAACAAGGACCTGAGAGCTTGTTATGCTATTGACCTACCTTTTATTAAATCATGTTTCTAGGGAGTACTTGTACAGAATTGCAGAGTCTGACTATGTCTCCTTTGTTCCCTGCCACGTGGTCCCTGAGGGTAACAAAGATACATTTCTACCCATTCCATGATGCAAGGACCTGTGGGCCTCCAAATGTACTGCTGGGTGGACGTTTTCAGGGGATGATGTGGATATGAACGTTAGGCTGTCTGCATAGGAATCTTGCCTGGTGCTTTGTGAGTCAGATTGGTAAAGCATTCCTGGGAACTGGATCGATAAGCGGATCCATCTCAATTTCAGCTTTGCACATAAGTTAATTTATAACTTTACTGATATCACTAATCCCTTGATAGGAGCGTGGGAGTAGAATTCTCTTCTTGTAGAAATTTCACAAAAGCAGGGCTGGGTCTTTCCCTTTTTCTCTTTCCCCTCTTAGCAGAGTATAGCTAGCTTGAGATAGTGAAATAATTAGAAGTGCAGGTAATTATTGTGTGTCTTTATAGTGTTTTATATTGTTTATCTATTGCACTGGGTTGCTATAAGGATTTAAATGAGAGTATATATAAAAGCAAATTTTGGTCCTTCCCATTTGGCAGATAAAAAACATGGAGTTAGCAAGGTGTGGTGGTGTGTGTCTATAGTCCCAGGTACTTGGGAGGCTGAGGCAGGAGGATCACTTGAGCCCAGGAGTTTGAGGCTGCAGTGAGCTATGATGGTGTCACTGCACTCCAGCCTGGATGGCAGAGAGAGACTTTGTCACTAAAAAATAAAAAAATAAAAAAAAAAAAATTAAATTAAATTAAATTAAATAAAAACCATGGAGGCTTGGGAAGGCTCAAGGTCATGTAACTAATAGGGATCCTAAAGCTCATGACTGAGTGCAAACTCCGACTCCAAATCCCATTCTTGCATGGGGCCGCTCCTCTGCTGTATGTCTGGGCTGGTGTCCCAGGGCTGTCTCTGCTGTAGAATGTTGGTTTCCTGAGAATGCGGCCGTCATGGTAGCTGTTTATTTTATCTCCTTCTCGATATTACTGAAGAATTTTGACATGCACAACCAGGAAAATATGTATAGCAATTTAATAAGCAGCGATTATGTAGAAATTCTGTGTTTTACTCTCCTTCGTTAGGGAAATATTGCAACCTGGCATTAGTCAACAAATTTTTTTTGACTCACATTTATCCCCTACTAGTCAGACTTCCTCTACCAGCTTGTCCAACTTTGGCTATTTCTCTTTTGCTTCCTTCTTGCACCCAGCCTTAAAAAGTGGCCCTAGCTTGAGACTCACAGAATTTGCATGGTAAGCCAAAATAATTACTATAATACTTAGTATGGTGAATGTTTTGAGGTTAACCGTGACTTCTATGCCCTGACAAATTTGAAAATTATCTGTCAAGTTGCTTATTTTAAAGTAGAAGGATTATAGTTCTAAATGAACATTTTTTTATGAACTAAGAAAAAAATTTACCCGAAGTGTATTTTCGTTTTGTTATATTTTATACGTATATAAATTGAAACACATTCTATTTCTTCCTGTAAACTTTACTCCCCAGAAAGGAGTTTTATAACCAGTTTTTCACCTTGAATGCTGCCATTGATTTTGTTTGTTTATCTTTGGTGGTGGTGTGTTGGAATATACTGTGGCTTTAGGACCTAGTTTTTCTACTTATCCAAATTGTACTTGGCTTTTTTAAAAAAAAGTACTGGGGAGGGATTGACCTTGAGAGTTTTGTTTAGAATGGTCTAGAATACAGGCTTACATAGACCCAGAGTTAAGCAGCCCTTCAGGCAAGGGTCTTCCTGGAAAAGTCTGTGACTTCAATCTCTGGTCATGAGATAGAAGGAGCTACATCTCACCACCAGCTGTCTGTCGTCCATGGCAAGAACTGAAGGAGAAAAGAAAGGAGAGGGACTCACAGTGTGTTACTAAAGGGTTTAGAGCAGGGATTTGTAAACCTTTTAGTCAGTGGCTCTTGAAACACTGAATTGTATATTGTAAGATTTAGTGGGAGGTAACCAAGAACTATGAGAAAAGATTGTCAATCCTCAAGGAAGTAATTAAAGGCCTATTAATTGGTGAAATGAGAGCTCTACACTCAGGAGTACACTAACCATGTAAAACATATAGTAAGTGTCCAGTGAGTGGTACAGAATGGGTAAGCTGCAGGAATTCGGAGGAGGGAAATTTCCCCTAGACTGCAAGGGTCAAAGGGAGCTTGTTGGCCAAGACAAGCCTCGAGCTGCCCCTTCAGAATGAACAGCATTTTGGTGGGTGGTGTCGAGGAGGGGAGGGCACTCCAGGGACGACAGCAAGACTATGAAGTGAAGACCCAGGGAAGGAAGGATAGGTTTGGAAGGTGGGGAGGAGAATAAGTCAGATTTCTTGAATGGTTAATCACATTGTTTCCTGACTCAGATATCATTTCCCCCATTGAGTTCTAAGTAGAAGAGTATAGATGAGATAGCGTCAACTTAAAAATAAATACTCACTTCTGAGTCAGCGAGACTTACACTTGACCCTCAAGGAATTTGCTTAACTGTGCTAAGCCTTATCATCCCTTCTTAGTGATGAGGAAACAAATGCATACTTCTTAGGGTTATGATATCTAAAAGAGAGGGTAGGGCTGTGTCTTGTTAGATCTCTGCTTCTCATTGTAGGGCCTTTCACATATTAGGTACCTGATAGTGTTTACTGAAGAAATATCTAAGGCTTCCAAGCCTAGTGCCCATGAAAACCTGGCTATGGTTTTTCTTGAAACAAACATGCTGGGATACAAGGATTTTGAGAAATCCTGTGTTTATAAGGAGAATAAAACAGATTTCTTTACTCCATGACTTCTCAGAGACTTCAGAATATAGATTTGCTTTTTCAAATCTCCATAAAGGGCATACAGAGTGAAGTCTTGCCAAACAGATGTGGTTTCAGAGCCTCTTATGACCATACCCTTTATTAGGCAGTTATTCTATGGATATAGATTTAGGTAGGACCTTAGAGAAATTATTTCCAAATTAAATGCCTGGAGCTCACTGATGAAAATATGAACTGCTTGGATGAAATGCAGTGGGCAGGAGGGAAATGATGCTTGTCTTTCAGAGAGTTGGGCTGGGTCATAAGAGAGGCTTGTCAGGCAATTGCAACCAGGGGTGAGCACTAGCTTACTGAACATGTTCAGAGTGACTGCTGAGTAGGAATTAAACCTAGATACCCTTCTGGCTTAGGTAGCTGGAGAAGAGGTTGAAGATTGAGGTATTATGGCTGAGAAAAAAGCACTCTTGGCCTGGGACAACTCTGGTGGCTCCTCTACTCCAAAAGGCTGAGATAAATGAAATAATATGTATTTTAAAAAGAGTCCTACCTGCCAAAGGC
Source organism: Homo sapiens (assembly GCF_000001405.40). Lineage (NCBI taxonomy): Eukaryota > Metazoa > Chordata > Mammalia > Primates > Hominidae > Homo > Homo sapiens. The sequence continues at coordinate 54,835,001 of NC_000005.10, read as the reverse complement.
AACTCTGGACATGATGGAACAAGTGAATTATAAATCAGTGCCCTTTATAAGAAAAAAGGCACAGTGGGGAAAGGTTTCTAAGAAAAACTGAAGATGGACAAGTTGGATGTTGGGGTGGCCAGAGACCACACACATTAGAGACATAATCCATCTGATAGGAAGGGGCATTCTACTTTGACAGGTGACAAAGGAAGGTCCCCAGTATGGCTTTATTAGCATAGACTGAGGGCACAGAAACACTGCTCTTAGTCTCGCTGGAGTGACCTCTGATTCTAGCCTCCCAGCTCCAGAAGCCAGAGGTTGGCAATGACTGCAAAAAATGTCAGCAGCAAGAAGTGAAAGGAATGCGGGTGGCAGTTACCAGCATCATATGAGCATGTTGTGTAATAAACAAACGTGTGCCAAGACAGTCCTGAACTTGGCGCGGAGCTGTGTTCCTGGGCTGACTTGCCCAGGCACTCTTACCTTCACCCCCAAGGAGACCCAGGACCGAGTGTCCATCCCAAAGTTCTCAGACACTATAAATGGAGCCTCCAAATTGAAGGCTTAGGACAATCCTTGCAAGTTTGGAAATCTTGCAGATACAATGCTGGTGTCTCCTTGGACTTAGCCAGTGCCTAGTGTAGTTTGAGTACTATGGTTGATGGCCCTTGCTCTCTAAGACTACAATGGCTGAGCAAGGAAAGCAAAACAGGATGTCATTCAGGAAGCTTAGTTATTGTTAGATAGTTAACTCAACTTCATAAACAATTTATAAAGTGCCTTTTCAGAGGGCTATCCTGCGAAGGCCTAATGCTAAAACCTTTAGCAAAGGCTCAAACAAACGAGATGAGAGAAGATTCTGGGCTGGAAGAACCACGTGAGTCAATTTCAGACCTGCCATCCTGTAAGGTTAGAGATGTTCCCCAAATCATTGCAAAGTAAAGGGATATGTACTCCAACTCTGTGCTCCTCTAAATGTGGTCCACGGGCCTTCCAGTCTGTGAACCAATAAGAACCGAAAGCAACAGGAAGTGTTTAGAAATTTGTATAGCAAGTTGATGTTGCTGTAACATTTTTATTGTATTTTATAAAATTATTTGTCCATGGTGAATTAGGTAACACTGATCCTTTACCACAGAGCATTTGAACGTTCCCAAGCCTCTCTGGCTCTAACTTGAGTGTCCCCAAGTCTCTCTGGCCTTTGGTTACTAATGAGGTCACAGCACACAAAGCCATGTGTCACTGGTTCTTCCCCCCATGGCATTCACATGTGCCCTTCCCTCCCCACAATGTCCATGCATTTGTCAGGGTCCCCAGGAGATGTCTCACGTTTGTTCAAGAGCCACCGTCTGCCCCTAGATATCAGCAGATGGGCACTCCATTGAGCACCTACAGCTGCCATCAGGCCAGGACCCCTCTACCCATCCTCCAAGGGGAGAGTGCTATCTCCTGTGTTCTCGGCACTACACAGTTTGCTTTCCCTTTCATGTACTGGGAGCTGAGCCTGGGGCCACATAGCCAGGCATTGCCTTCTTTCTCTAGGGATCAGACACCTAGGCCTGGGCTGGGGGTAATAAGCCTGTTTCATCTGGGGCCCTAGTAGCAAATTATGTCCACAGATAGATGCCTCAGGGATCACTAGAATCTTATAGCCCAGTTTCAAGTTAGAGCTAGCCAGTGCCCCCTATTACAACCAAGTTATAACCAAGTGTTTTCCAGAGAGTTTTCAGGGATCTATACAGATTATTTTGTTAACTGGCAGCTTTTCTGTGCTTTATACTCATATACATGTTTTAATCTTCACTTAGGTTCTGTGAAGCCCCTTTCATCTCATGACCTGAAAGCTGTGACCAATGATGTGGACAGTGCGGGAAACAGAACTATAACTTTTCCAGTGGTAAGTTCCCCTAGACTCAGGAGGTTGGTGAGACTGAACTCTGACAGCAGCACAGAGGAAGTTTCTGTTTTTACCCAATATCTGGTGAGTCCTGACGTCTGTGCTGCTGAGCCGGGCTGAGCATCTCTGCGAGGCGGGCCTCTCATTTGTCTGCATCCTGTTAAACCAAGCAGGTGTGACCCTTTGCCCAGGCAATTACTCATTTCAGCTGTGCAGGTTTTAAAACTGGACAATCTGTAGGGAGCATACAAGACATAATGGTTAGAAAACACCGAGAAAATTTAAACTGTGTATTTAATAAATAAAAAGGGATCCCTTTATCACTGAAGAGTGACTTAAAATCCAAAGCATAGTTGCAGGAATAAGTCCTGCAGGATATAAGTGTTTGCGTTTATATTTAATATGTAATATCATATACATTATTTAATATATTATAAGTGTGTCTTTATAAATATGTGTGTGTATAATCTGTACTTGAAGCCATTTGTTTTAAACTTCACTGGTGCTTACCACTACTACCACCACATACTTTCTTATTTAACTGGCTAAGCCTTCAAACTTTTTTTTTTTTTGCATTCTAGCCAGGAATCTGACTGACCAGACATGTTTACTTACATGTGATTTTATTTTCTAAAAATCTATGTTTCCAAATAGTCTTCTTGAATACAACTCTTTCACTTGTTTGCCATTCAACTTTCTTTTTCCATTCTGAAACAGTATATACATGCATCTGAGAGCTGATTTGGCTATAGCTTTACACAACTAAGGAATAAAAAAATCCAAAGTTAAGCTTAGAGGAAATAGCAAGTGTAAACCATATGTCTGCCATTAACCTTTGAGCCATTTCTCTCCAGTATGATGTGGCAAAGTTGAATGTGGCTTTTGCTTTGCAATTGCCTTTGTCTGGGATGCATTTAAGAGAACTGGTCATGACTAGTTAAAGCTCTGAATGTGATGCCGAAAAGGGAGGTATGAATTCTCTAGCTCACAGATGCACCCAGAAGAGGAAAAAAAGGATTAGAATTAAAACTCCATTGTTCGGGGGAGCTGAAATGTTCCCAAGGACATCAAAACATGTCCAGGGTCAGTTTGCATTTAGAATACTGACAAAATTTCTATATACAGTCATATAAAGATTTCTTTATACAGTCATATAAAGAAGCTTTGGCTGTAGCCCTAGTTTTTTTTTAATTGAATACAATCATTGCAAGCATTATTTTCAAATACTTTTGCAAATATATGATATTTTAGATCAATATGATCCAAACAGTGGACACAGTAGCCAGGATCCTCTAGATTATGCTGCAGTGACAAACAAATCTCAGCAGCCTACAATAACAAAAATGTATCTCGCTTATGTCATCCATTCGTGTGGGCTGGCTACGGGTCTGCTCTACATGTCATCCTTATTCCAGCATCTGAGTTGAAGGAGCAGCCCTTCTCTTGGGCATTGCTGTCCTTGCAGCAGGGGGGAAAAAGTGATGGTGGAACCAGAGCAGGCGACGTGTTATATTAAGGTTCAGGGCCACACAGGGGTGTCTAGGATGAAAGGCTCTTGATTGCTGGTCCATATGGAGATGGGAGAAGGCTTCTGTCTAGAAGCACAACCTGGGAAGTCCGATGAGTGAAGGGTGGAGAGAGAGTTTTGCTCTCCTTCCTGAATAGACTGAGCGTCTGGCTTTTCTCACCACACACCCTTTCCTCTCCCACATGTACACCTGCCACACCAGGGACCTGGTCCAGTGCTTACACTCAAAGGACAGATGAGAGATTGTTTTATCATGTACAACATTAGAATGTTTATAAGGCTTTTTATACAAGGCACACACTCCTGGGTATGACAATTTCTTTCTCCTGAAAGGAACATCTAAGATAAATTTACAGTCTATAGAAATTCAGCACAGTAACCCACACTTTCTACACCTTTAGTGTGTGATGGGCAGAGAGAGCTTATAATTTAGGAATCAGGCACCCTGTTGCTGCTCTTTGATCTACTGCTGACTACTTACTGACTGAGCACAAGTTCCTTGGCCTCTAAAGTCAGAAGGTCTGGATTAGTTCTGTGACTTAGGGCAAATTACCCATGCTTTAAACCTTAGTTTCCTCATCTGTAAAATGGGAAAAATAATAGCAATAATAGTTGACAGCATTTTGAACATTAACCATGTACCAAGCACTGTTCTAAGCCTTCTATTATATTACTATTATCTCCACTTACAGACTTAGATCCTAAAGCACAGGAAGGTTAAACAACTTGTCCACAGGTGCTCAGGTTATAAGTAGCAGAGCTAGGATTTGAACCCAGGGCCCCTGACTCTAGGTCATACTCCTGTCAACTAAGCCATGACTTCCTTCTAGTGTTTAAATGTGGAATAAGACAGATAATAGATGTATAGATAACAAATGCTTGACACATTTCCCCACATATAGCAAACACTAAATAAATGGTAGCTAAGGCTTATGTTATTATCTTTTCATTCTTGGAAATGTGAGAAATTCCTTTCCTCTCCTAATAGCTGAAAGTCGAGTTTCACAGGCGAAGGCAATTTTCTAGGACACTGTGCTTACCCTAATGTGCTACAGTAATTTAATGAATGGAAATGAGGCCGTTAGAGGACAGTGACTTTTGCTTCACCTAATAACCCACTTACTGTTCCCCTTTGGGTAGAGCCCCTGGTGTTCTCCAATACATTTCCCTGAGTGATGATGAGAGGGGAAGGCTGAGAAAAATGTAATGGGGTCTCATGTGGGAATCGAACACTTCATTTTCTGGCATAGCAAAGGCTGGAGGAGGAATGAAGCCTGGGGCTGGGGGAGCTCCAAGAACCTCATCCCAGTGGGTCAGAGCAGCTGAGAGTGCTTTAGCTAAATTAAGGTGTTTTTACAAAAGATGTTTGGTTAAATTTCTGTGAATGTCATTGAAATACTGTCTCCCCTTCCACTTTAATAGTCATAAAGAACATCAATAATGTGGGGAGGAGAGGGGGTGTGCAGAGAGAATTCTGTAAGGATATAAACCAAAATGCTAACTCTGGCTCTTTCAGGGGAGTAAGTTATCTTAATGTTTCTGTGTGTGTGTGTGTGTTAGTTTCTGAGTATAAAAATAATACATGTCTATTATGAAAATAAGATAAGAAAACATTAAAACATTAAATTTATGTTGACAAAGCACAGAACATCACCCATAAGTACAGTACAATGGTTGTTAATCTGAAGGCATTCCAATTCTGGTTAGCTTGTGTGTTCAAAAATGCACGTATTTATTTGTGACTTGGGAAGAGTAAAAACTTACTATTAATCTTCCTGGCTTTCCCTTTTCCAGATCCTGCCTCCTTTTTCTCATGCGAATAGAATGTGAATCTTTTCCTAAAGTTTACAGTTTTATGGCCTCTGTCAAATAAGACCCTGGTCAACTCTCAGTTGTTTTATGATGGCTCATATTTATTATCCAGCACCTCCAGAACATTTTGGGAAGGAAAAGAAACCTGCAGACAGGTTATGGAGTTGGTGAAGATGATCAAAACATTTTATCTGAAATGCTTAATGAAGACACTTATTAACACATATTATAACTAGTCCTCTTCAATCTCGTTGATGAAAAAAAAATAATACCCAGGAAACAATTTCAATTGTAAAAGAAGTTCAGAACTATTTAGTTGAGTATAAATGATCAAATGGATTTGATTACTATTTGGCTTCCTTGATAAGTTTTTCTAATTTCAAGAGTCAATTCAAGCCAATAACCTACTAAGTTGGGAGAGTGTTTTAGGCAGTTGATGGTTGAGTGAGCTTTCACACCTTTAACTGAAAGCGCTAAATGTTCCCAGCCCTCTACCGCCCTTCACTGGGGGAGGCAAAACCACCATATCGTTTGCAAATAAAACTCACGCTTGGCCAAGCACGGCAGCTCAGGCTTGTAATTCCAATACTTTGGGAGGCTGAGACAGGAGGATTGCTTGAAGCCAGGCGTTTGAGACCAGCCTAGCCAACGCAGTAAGACCTCTCTCCACTTCCGCCCCCCAGTCTCCATGAAACATTTTTTAAAAACCCAATTAGCTGGGTGTGGTGGGGCATGTCTGTAGTCCCAGCTACTCGGGAGGCAGAGGCGGGAGGATTGTTTGAGCCCGGGTGTTCTAGGTTACAGTAAGCTATGATCATGCCACTGTGCTCCAGCCCGGGCGATATATGGGTGGATACAGCTTCTGAAAGAAACCTCCACTCTCTATTATACTTAAGATCATACTTTGGCAAAATAATTGTGAGGAAAATACTTGTTATGGCATAGTCCAAAAATACTTTCTTATCCCAGAATAAATTTACTATTTTTCTAAACCATACCATGTCAGCCTACCCAAGATAAGCAAGCAACATCTTTGTCCTTCACCATAAATTATATCTGCCTAAATGGGAAAAGCTAAACCACAAAAACTTTTGCTCAAAATCTTGTGTCCTGAAGAATTAAGCATGTGAGTACACAGAGAAGGTAAATCATCGGATTTTAAAATTAAATAAAAACTTTTAACAAATTTAGAAAAATTATTGTTCATTTCAAAGAATGTATAAACAAAATAAAAATTAAATTCTATAAGGCACTGATTTCTTCCAAGTACAGCATGAAGCTAATTGAATGATTTTAATTCCAGTGCTTGTTGAAATAATTTAGACTCATTAAAAAGCAAAGTGTTCCAGTTTGAGATTTATGGTGCCTGGCCCTTTTGCTTTTCCATAAAGCCAGTAATTGCATTTCAGCCATTGTACTGTTGTGGGTGGGAGATCAACTGTCTTTGTCTCTGCTTGCTGCTGCAATATGGACACAGGTGTCCAGGGCCACATTTAGAAAATGATACAATCAATTCTGGGTTATGACTTTTGTCTAATTACCTATTCTCCCAGAATCTTGATTTATTGACCAAGAAAACACATTTTAAGAAATTGTGAAAACACTTCCCATAGGATAGAAATTAACTTATTACAACTTAATGGAGAGTACAATCAACTGAATGTTGATTCATACATAGGATAGGATAGAAATTAACTTATTACAACTTAATGGAGAGTACAATCAACTGAATGGATTATTAAACTTTGGTCCCTGAATATTCTGAGCAGGGAAGGCTCAGGGTCTTGCTGTTAGTGATTACTCCTGCCCCCACCTCCACTGCTGCTTTCTTGGGATCTTTTCAGTAATAAGCTTAATGACGACTAGACATAGAAGTTATTTCAGACATTTTCCACTAGTTTTTGTTCTTTTGGGCTAATTTTGGCTTTGTCATTACACTTCATTGAATTATGTGCTAGCATATTTTTCCACATATAGAAATTATTGTATTATCATTTAATCACCTGTTCATTGTTCAAGCTGGAAATTGGCTGATGGGCCCGGGCCCAATGGCTTTGAATAACCAAAAGTGTTTCTTTCTTTTAGAACTGTTGGCTATTTCTTTCAAAAAGCGGATAGAACAAAATCCCATTTCTGTGAAAGTGCTTTGTCCTTTTTTCTTCCATTCATTTCCTATGGTTGCTGTGATAAATTGCTACACATTTGGTGGCTTAAAAGAGCAGAAATATATTCCCTCCCAGTTCCTGAGAACAGTCTGAACTCCATTTCACTCGGCCAACATCAAGGTGTCAGCAGTGCCGTGCAACCTCTGAAGGCTGTGAGGAGGAGTTTTTTCCTTGCCTCTTTCCCAGCTTCTATGGCTGCAGGCATTCCTTGGCATGTGGCTGCATCACTCCCATCTCTGCCTTTGTGGTCACACTGCTTTCTCCTTTTCTGTCTAAGTCTCCCTCCGCCTCCCTGTTGTAAAGATTCATTTGACTGCAGTTAGGGCCCACCTGAATAATCTAGGACGATCTTCCAATCTCAGGATCATTAACTTAATCACATTTGCAAGGTCTTTGCCATATAAGGGAACATTCATAGGTAGCTTTCAGAAATTAGAGCCTGATATCTTTGGGGGGCAATTTTTAGCTTACTACACTCACATATAACAAAAGCAAGATGTCTCATACTGCCTTCTGCTGTTTCCTAATAGTAACCTTTTATATGATCTCATTTGATAGTTTTATTAAAGGTCTATACATGTATAATGGTACAAGGCATATGAGAATCTATGTTTAGGTCTATATAAACGTGGATTTGGACTTCTCTGCCAGGTAGGGCTATAGATGGATATCTTGCTGTGCTCCTTGAAAAGGTTTTTATTCTAGTTGGTTTCTGGAGAGACTGACACAGTTATGGAAGGGCATGAGCCACAACTCCTGGATAGTTATTTGGGTTAGGTTTTCAGTTGTCCATTTCTAGCTGCAGATTTCCAAGTAACACCATTTTGGAACCTAGGTTTTCCAAAATGCCTCTTCTATCCACTCCCACTAAGGGAAATTATTCCTGGGACTTAACTCAGCCCCACTTTGTTTAGCCTGATTCCTGGACACTCTCTAAGCCTTGGCACCCTGGGCTTCCCGGGCTTCTGATCTCTTCCGGGAACCTTGAATTCTGTATATCTGGCTGCTCTCTGTAACCATGGTGATGTCAGTCTGGTGGAAGAGAGAAAGGGCAAACAGAGAGGAGCTGTTTCTTGGTGCTCATCTTTCAGGAGTACAGCATCTTGGTATCTTTAGAATGTTAGCTTTTAGTACTTTTTGGTTAATTTTCATGGACCTTTGCAGACTTTACCCTCTTGAATGGTTTGGCTTTCTGTAGTCTCTTTCCCCATGGATATCTGTTTGGCATAGAGATTTCTTTCTTCTTCTTTTTTTTTTTTTTGGCCAGTTCTCTTTCTCTTCCTCCTTCTGGCCAACGACTGTCCAGTCCAGAGACCTGAACCTTGGACAAAACCATTGTGTTGTGGAGAATTAAGCAAGTGGATTCATGTCTCCATCTCTTCTTTTTCCTTCTCCCAGCTGACTTTGAGATAATTTGGTTACTCTCTTCTCCAGTGGGAATTTAAAAGCTACTTTTAAGCCCCACTCTGGGAAGGATCAGTGGAAAGGACTCATGCTCTGGCTTTCTTATCAGATTTGTAGGGAGCTGTATTTACAGACACCCTTAGAATGAAGATATTCTCCAGAGTGTTCTAGCCTTGCCTTTTGGTCAAGTTTGACAATTGTGATCTCATTACCCCCAGTCCTGTCCCGTGTACTTCTGTAGACCTGTAGAATGCCTTTAGGAAAAAAAAAAACTGTATTCCACAGTTGACCCCCGTCCACCCAAGCATAGTACATCTGAGCTCCTGCTTCATCCTTGGGTTCATCCAAGGACACTCATAGTGATCCTTAGCTCTCTGGCTCCAGGTTTTAAAAGCTTAGCCTTGAGCAGGCAGGTATCTGTCAGTCACCTTGGTGCCCAAACAGGAATTGCTCTTGGGAAAAACTCCTCTTTCTTTAATCCCAATGTCTTTTCTCTTTAATACAATAATGAGATTTTCTCCCTGATCAAAAATGGCAGTAGTGCCTGTAATCCCAGCATTTTGGGAGGCTGAAGTGGGTGGATCTCTTGAGCTGAGGAGTTCAAAACCAGCCTGGGCAACGTGGTGAAATCCTGTCTCTATCAAAAAATACAAAAATTAGCCGGGCATAGTGGCACACACCTGTAGTCCCAGCTACTCAGGATGTTGAGGTGGGAGGATGGCTTGAGCCTGGAAGGCAGAGGTTGCAGAGAGCTAAGATCATGCCACTGCACTCCAGAGTGCAGACAGAGTGAGACCCTGTCTCAGAAAAAAAAAAAAAAAAATTGTATAGTATAGTATAGTATAGTATAGTATAGTATAGTATAGTATAGTATAGTAGAATGGGAATGCAGCCTTTCTTTAATTTGCCATTTGTAATAAATACAATACATAAAATGAGCCATGTATTTGAGTCATTACAAGTCTGGACAAGCCCTGGCCAATAGTGACTATGTTGTTTTCAGGCCAGACCAAAAAAGGGCACTAGTCTGCCCTACTCATACTTGCAACTGACTTTCCACATTACCAGGGTTCTTGGAGTTGGAGAGCATATCTTGTGAAATTCTTTGCTGCCTAGAATTTCACTGAATTTTCCATACTGTAGGCATGGCTCCTAGGTAATCAAGAAGGTGTGAACTCTGGAGTCATGCAGGGCTAGGTTCAAAACTAGGCTCTCCAACTTATTGTCTATGCATGAATTATAAATTATATAAAGCGGCTCATAGAGCACCTGGAATTTGTGTTTAGGACTCAATAAAAGTTAGGTGTTGTCTAGGTGATTTTGTTAAATAAATGAGTAAGAAATATGCTAGATGGCCTTAATTCTTCTTCATGATAAAAAATGTATATACTTTAGATTTGTATGGCACTTTTAAAGTAGTTTATTTGTCCATTTGGCAAATATTTTTAGAATAGTGAACAAATACTTATTTACAAAGCAACCAGAAGTAAGCTTTTGCAATGTGCCAAGATTTTAGCTTATAAATTCCTTCATTTTTATGGGAAAATATTTTATTAGGCATATTTTAGAACTTTCTAATTGCTTAATATTCACATCCATGATTCAGTATAAAAAAGACTATAGCCTCCCATCTTAACCAGAATCCTCTGATGTTCCAGTAAGGAATTGGCTGGTGAGAACTTAGCTTTCTTGAAAGACCTAGAAATGCCCAGGGCCTGCATTTTTTTGAACACTGATATGCAATAGACCAATTTAGTCAAATGCATATCTACAAGTGAGTTATTATTCCATATTTTAATGCACAAATTGAGGCTCAGAGAGATTAAGTGACTTGCACAAAGGTCACAGAGCTGAAAACTGGTGACATTTATACTTGAATTTAGATCTGATCAATCCAAGATTCAAAATCTACCCTGCATTAACAAATGGTTTTCTTTGTGGTTCCCTAGACATCAAGGATATGAGATCCAGAGAGTTTAAATCTCAGAGATCTGAGGGATATTATAATATTGCCCCTTCAAATGAAAGCACTGTTAGCAGTGGAAGAGATCTGAGTCACCCCAAATCACTGGTGGTGAATCTGTACACATTTGTGGCATCTTTAGGCCTTGCCTCCTCAGAAGAAATAATTTGACTGAGGGGCATAAAACAGAAAAAGAGACTGAGGCAAGTTCCAGAGCAGGAGTGGAAGTTTATTAAAAAGGTTTTAGAACAGACAAGAAAGGAAATAATCTTTGAAAGAGATCCAAGTGGGCACCTGAAGGTCAAAGAGAGAAAAAAGGGACACTTACCTTGATCCTAGGGCTCTATAGGCTCGCCTCTTTCCCATAATTCTTTCCTTAGGGTGGGCTTCCTGCATGTGTAGTCCCTTCCTTACCCTTGGGAACTGAACACATGCAGTGTGCTTAGGAAGTTGTACCCATGTCCATCTGAGGCTTTTTTCCTTTTTGTGGTGGAGTGCCCTGAAGACCATACTTTGCCATTTTTGTCTCTTAATATGCATGCCCGGGAAGTTTCTTCTCCCTGGGATCTGCTTTTCTTGAACACTTTAACATTAACAGGTGTGGACCATCAGGAAATGGCCTCTCCCTGGTGCCAGCTGCCAATTTATCACTTTTAGAGAGGCAATGCAATAATTGCCGAGCCATCACCTGGCATTTCTAGTGGGTTGTCGGGGAGAGCCCTCTCCTGCCCCGCTAATGCCTAACTACCTGTAACAGCACTACTCTGGGAAGTTGTAGGATTTGGAACCACATATCCACCCTTTCATAGGCAAGGCAGGATTACAGCCTCGTTAAAGTCTTAGTGAAATGGCCTAGGTTAGAGGAGGCAGCTGGGTGGTGGTGGTGAGATGGGGCAGGTATGGGGACCAACTAGACCCTATATCTTGATCTTAAAATTACTTATTGATTTTTAAGTGTCCAAGGCATTTGTGAGTGGGTCTCCCTCCCCCATTCTGCATACTCTGAGTCATCAGAGAAGAGGGATTACTTGTCCCTTCTTGAAGTTGAAGTTGATGTAGTAAAACATTATGAAGTTTACTTTTTAAAGTATCATGTTCTAACTATTTTGAAAGAGCTTCAGACTTACAGAAGAATTGTAATAGAGTACAAAGAATTCATGTATAATATTCATCCATATTCCCCAAATGTTAGCATTTAACCACATTTGCTTTATCATTTTTCTCTTTACATACACAAACACATTTCGGAGACTTTGAGAGCCAGTTGCTGCCATGCCCCTTTATCTCTAAATATTTCAGTGTGTTTTTTCTGGAAATAACGCCATTCTCTTACAGAATCACAGTATAATTTTCAAACCCATGAAATTCACATTGCCACAATACTATTACATAATTTATAGACCTTACTGAAATTTCACAAGTTGTTTCAGTAAATTTTTTTCTAGCAAAAGAAAAAGTCCACAGCATAAAACGTAGCGTTTAATTGTCCCATGTCTTTATGTTACCAGAAAGGGATCCCAATCCAGACCCCAAGACAGGGTCCTTGGACCTCGAGCGAGAAAGAATTTGAGGCCGAGTCCATAGAGTAAAGTGAGTGCAAGTTTATTAGGAAAGTAAAGGGATGAAAGAATGGCTACCCCATAGGCAGAGCAGCAGCAATGGCTGCCTGACTGAATATACGTATAGTTATTTCTTGCTCATATGCTAAATAAGGGGTGGATTATTCATGAGTTTTCTGGGAAAGGGGTGGAGAGTTCTCAAAACTGAGGGCCCCTCCCCTTTTTAGACTATATATGGTAACTTCAGACATTTCTGTGGCATTTGTAAACTGTCATGGCACTGGTGGGAGTGTCTTTTAGCATGCTAATGCATTATAATCAGCATATAATGAGCAGTGAGGTCAATCAGAGGTCACTTTCATTGCCATCTTGGTTTTGGTGGGTTTTGGCCAGCTTCTTTACTGCATCCTGTTTTATCAGCAAGGTCTTTGTGACCTGTGTCTTGTGCCGACCTCCTATCTCATCCTGTGGCTAAGAATGCCTGACCTCCTGGGAATGCAGCCCAACAGGTCTCAGCTTTATTTTATACCCAGCCCCTACTCAAGATGGAGTTGTTCTGGTTTGAATGCCTCTGACATTTAGTCTCCTTCAAGCTGGAATCATTCCTCAGTCACGTTCCCTTTCATGAACTTGCCATTTTCTTGCTAGGTACAGGACAGTTCTCTGTAGAATATCCCTCAGTCTGGTCTTACCTGGTGTTTTATCCTGTTTCCTTATGATCAGATCTATTTAGGTTGTGCCTTTGGGGCAGGAATACCGGGAGAGCTGCTGGGTTCTCAGAGCTTCCCATCAGAGGCCCTAAGGCTCACTTTGCCCAGGACTGAGGATGTTTACCTCTGTCACTTGGTCAGGTGTTGCTTTCAGGTTTATCCACTTGAAGGTACTGTTCTCCCCTTTGTAATTAATAAATATGTGAGGAGACATTTGGAAAGATTTAAATAGCTTGTTTCTCATCACATTTTCACCCACTAGTTTTAGGATTCTTGCCTGAAATGTTTATTGTTGCAGAGGTTGCCAAATGTCGATTTTTCTCATTTTGTTTTTCCTACTATGTTTATTAGTTGAAATCCAACACCATTGGTTTTCTAACAACATTCCAGAAAGATTTCATCTGTTAAAGAGAAAATATCTGGGCTAAATTAAATCCATAAGAAATAAAAACCTCTCTTCTCTCCTCTCCCTAACCCCAGAGCCCAGGTATTCAGCTAAGTGGCTTATCTATCCATATTTAATACCATGGAAATATGTAGAGCTGTTGGAAATTGTTCCTAAGGCCATTTTCTATTTTAGGTGACAAAATTCCTAATCCTCTCTTAGATCCTTCTCTCTTCAGGTTTACCCTATACTTTTTCTCCTGAAGTCTTGGTCTCATTCTGCCTTTCCTGGCCTTCTCCTTAATACACACACACCCCTTGGAACCTGGCTCTTAAAGCTGCAGAAGGAAAAGCTCTCTTCTGAACATTAAAGAACCTACTCACCTGCAAACCTCTTTCAGGGCATGGCCAGCAAGTGCACATTCCACAGGCACCCTTAGTCCCTTTTATTTCTAGCTCAGCACTTTCAGTAATGCCCTATCCAGTCTTAAAGTCCAGATACTCAAGATGCATCTAATTAAATTCTCTCTGTCACTCTCCAGGGTAAAATTAGGCAATTAGTTATTCACACTTAATTTCATACTCTTGAAATGCCTTTTTAAAAATAGAACCTATAACAGATCTCTCCTCCACTAGGCTCCTGAAATACAAAGCTATGTTTAGAACTCTTCCCCAATCTCTTCCCTCAGAAGATTTCTGACTTTCATCTCAATTGTCTGTGAGCACTATCCCTTTCCTGGGACAATCACTCTCTGTACCACGGACGTCGGAAGATCCTTAGATTATTCTAACAACTTCTTATATATTTTTCAGGGAAGCTAATTTTCACTTATACCAAAGGACAAGGTTGACCAGCTTCCAAGAAAATCTTTCTTCCTGGTTAATAGACTATGCTACTTTTCATCTTAGGGAAATGGATCTTTTTTGCTTTATAATATGATGCCTCTCTCAAGCTGAATAAAAAGCATCCTCTGGTCCAAAATTCATGGCACAGTCACCTGTTTCTGGGAGGGGAAATGCATTTATGACTAACCATAAATCTTAAGCTAGGAATTGAAATGCTAGGGCTGCCAAATAAAGCAGACTTTCTTTCCCAGGAACTGCTGGGGAACTGAATCACTCATTAGTACCAGAAATTGCTATATTTGGAGAAACTTCAATTTCTCCTGAGTAACCTTGTTTCTCTATAAGGTAATGTTTAGAGATAATATTTTTCTTTCTTCTTCCCATTTAAAACCCTCAAAAGACAGCATTTCCTTGCCTCATTCTTGAATGGGCTAAGAATGAAAGAACTCCTCACCAACAGTTTTTGGCTACTTTGGGACAGGGAGCTTATCTTCCATGGAAACTCACCAGACCAAAAGCCTTTCTAGAACTCGAGATGAAGATATAGCCTCTGTATCAGTATTGAGCCAAAGCAACATATATTCAGAGACCCAAACTTCTGTTAGTTACTATAGCATTTCTAGATATTGATTGATGAGGTGGACTCAACTGCTCTGTAAATTACATGATAGTTTATCTTAGGCATGTTTGAACTGGACATAGAATACCTTGACAAAACACATCTGTAAACTCAGAGTATTATAATAGCTAGCAGGTCAGAAAAAGAAGTGACCCATAGAAACTAAGGGCTAAATATTTTGTCTGTAGCCTTCCCTTCTGTGATTAAAGTTTGGTACATAAAGGGAAAGAATCAAGCATTTATCCTGTCTTTCCTGTACCTCACTATAACCAAATGGCAGATGAAGGAAAGTTCTTTCTTATAAAAGACTTCCAGATAATAAAGAAGAAATGATAAAAGAATATCAGTGTTTTGCCACTGCAACAATAATGGATTTAGGCAATGGTATCAATGACTCTTTAAATCTATTAGGTGACAGGCTAATGGAGAACCTTAAAATAGAAGGACCAACCTGCCAACACTTGAATCTACCTGTCAATCTTAACATATCCAAGAGAGAAGCAACCTAATATTTTGCTTTGCAATGAGAAGCAAGAGAAAATATAAAATACAACCTGTAAAATACTCTTATCCAAAAGTTGAACCTGATTCCTATTAAGTCTCTAGATTTAACTACCAGTACGTAGGAAATACAGAGGCGAGAGGAAATGCGAAACAACATCCCAGGGATGGAGTCAGCAAAATCCAGAATGTGGGAAACTCTCAAGACAGACAGCCCAATTTCTTCAACAAACAAATTCCAAGAAAAATTAGAGAAGAGGAACCCATAGATGAAAAGACATCTATGAGAAGTATCAAACAAATGTGATGTGGACTTAGGATCCTGACTCAACAGTGCAACTAGTGAAAAAAAAAAGACAAGTACTAGATTACCAGATACATTTGAACATTTGGATATTTGAAAATACTAAGTAATTATTTGTAATATTTTGGTGTGATCATGGTATTATGGTTATGTTTTTAAGAGTCATCATTAACCAATACTTACTAAAGCATTTATTGATGTGTCTTAGTCCATTTTCTTTTTTTTTTTTTATTATACTTTAAGTTTTAGGGTACGTGTGCACAACATGCAGGTTTGTTACATATGTATACATGTGCCATGTTGGTGTGCTGCACCCATTAACTCGTCATTTAACATTAGGTATATCTCCTAATGCTATCCCTCCCCACTCCCTCCACCCCACAACAGTCCCCGGTGTGTGATGTTCCCCTTCCTGTGTCCATGTGTTTTCATTGTTCAGTTCCCACCAATGAGTGAGAACATACGGTCTTTGGTTTTTTGTCCTTCTGATAGTTTGCTGAGAATGATGGTTTCCAGCTTCATCCATGTCCCTACAAGGGACATGAACTCATCATTTTTTATGGCTGCATAGTATTCCATGGTGTATATGTGCCACATTTTCTTAATCCAGTCTATCATTGTTGGACATTTGGCTTGGTTCCAAGTCTTTGCTATTGTGAATAGTGCCGCAATAAACATACGTGTGCATGTGTCTTTATAGCAGCATGATTTATAATCCTTTGGGTATATGCCCAGTAATGGGATGGCTGGGTCACATGGTATTTCTAGTTCTAGACCCCGGAGGAATCGCCACACTGACTTCCACAATGGTTGAACTACTTTACCGTCCCACCAACAGTGTGAAAGTGTTCCTATTTCTCCACCTCCTCTCCAGCACCTGTTGTTTCCTGACTTTTTAATGATTGCCATTCTAACTGGTGTGAGATGGTATCTCATTGTGGTTTTGATTTGCGTTTCTCTGATGGCCAGTGATGGTGAGCATTTTTTCATGTGTCCTTTGGCTGCATAAATGTCTTCTTTTGAGAAGTGTCTGTTCATGTCCTTTGCCCACTTTTTGATGGGGTTGTTTGTTTTTTTCTTGTAAATTTGTTTGAGTTCATTGTAGATTCTGGATATTAGCCCTTTGTCAAATGAGTAGATTGCAAAAATTTTCTCCCATTCTGTAGGTTGCCTGTTCACTCTGATGGTAGTTTCTTTTGCTGTGCAGAAGCTCTTTAGTTTAATTAGATCCCATTTGTCAATTTTGGCTTCTGTTGCCATTGCTTTTGGTGTTTTAGACATGAAGTCCTTGCCCATGCCTATGTCCTGAATGGTATTGCCTAGATTTTCTTCTAGGGTTTTTACGGTTTTAGGTCTAACATGTAAGTCATTAATCCATGTTGAATTAATTTTTGTATAAGGCGTAAGGAAGGGATCCAGTTTCAGCTTTCTACATATGGCTAGCCAGTTTTTCCAGCACCATGTATTAAATAGAGAATCGTTTCCCCATTTCTTGTTTTTGTCAGGTTTGTCAAAGATCAGATAGTTGTAGATATGCGGCATTATTTCTGAGGGCTCTGTTCTGTTCCATTGGTCTATATCTCTGTTTTGGTACCAGCACCATGCTGTGTTGGTTACTGTAGCCTTGTAGTATAGTTTGAAGTCAGGTAGCATGATGCCTCCAGCTTTGTTCTTTTGGCTTAGGATTGACTTGGCAATGCGGGCTCTTTTTTGGTTCCATATGAAGTTTAAAGTAGTTTTTTCCAATTCTGTGAAGAAAGTCATTGGTAGCTTGATGGGGATGGCATTGAATCTATAAATTACCTTGGGCAGTATGGCTATTTTCACAATATTGATTCTTCCTACCCATGAGCATGGAATGTTCTTCCATTTGTTTGTATCCTCTTTTATTTCCTTGAGCAGTGGTTTGTAGTTATCCCTGAAGAGGTCCTTCACGTCCCTTGTGAGTTGGATTCCTAGGTATTTTATTCTCTTTGAAGCAATTGTGAATGGGAGTTCACTCATGATTTGGCTCGCTGTTTGTCTGTTATTGGTATGTAAGAATGCTTGTGATTTTTGCACATTGATTTTGTATCCTGAGACTTTGCTGAAGTTGCCTATCAGCTTAAGGAGATTTTGCGCTGAGACGATGGGGTTTTCTAGATATACAATCATGTGATCTGCAAACAGGGACAATTTGACTTCCTCTTTTCCTAATTGAGTACCTTTATTTCCTTCTCCTGCCTGATTGCCCTGGCCAGAACTTCCAACACTGCGTTTAATAGGAGTGGTGAGAGAGGGCAGCCCTGTCTTGTGCCCGTTTTCAAAGGGAATGCTTCCAGTTTTTGCCCATTCAGTATGATATTGGCTGTGGGTTTGTCATAGATAGCTCTTACTATTTTGAGATACATCCCATTAGTACCTAATTTATTGAGAGTTTTTAGCATGAAGGGTTGTTGAATTTTGTCAAAGGCCTTTTCTGCATCTATTGAGATAATCATGTGGTTTTTGTCATTGGTTCTGTTTATATGCTGGATTACGTTTATTGATTTGCGTACGTTGAACCAGCTTTGCATCCCAGGGATGAAGCCCACTTGATCATGGTGGATAAGCTTTTTGATGGGCTGCTGAATTCAGTTTGCCAGTATTTTATTGAGGATTTTTGCATCGATGTTCATCAGGGATATTGGTCTAAAATTCTCTTTTTTGGTTGTGTCTCTGCCAGGCTTTGGTATCAGGATGATGCTGGCCTCATAAAATGAGTTAGGGAGGATTCTCTCTTTTTCTATTGATAGGAATAGTTTCAGAAAGAATGGTACCAGCTCCTCTTTGTTCCTCTGGTAGAATTCGGCTGTGAATCCATCTGGTCCTGGAATTTTTTTGGTTGGTAAGCTATTAATTATTGCCTCAATTTCAGAGCCTGTTATGGGTCTATTCAGAGATTCAACTTCTTCCTGGTTTAGTCTTGGGAGGATATGTGTGTCAGGAATTTATCCATTTCTTCTAGATTTTCTAGCTTATTTGTGTACAGGTGTTCATAGTATTCTCTGATGGTAGTTTGTATTTCTGTGGGATCAGTGGTGATATCCCCTTTATCATTTTTTATTGCATCAATTTGATTCTTCTTTCTTTTCTTCTTTATTAGTCTTGCTAGCAGTCTATCAATTTTGTTGATCGTTTGTAAAAACCAGCTCATGGATTCATCGATTTTTTGAAGGGTTTTTTGTGTCTCTATTTCCTTCAGTTCTGCTCTGACCTTAGTTATTTCTTGCCTTCTGCTAGCTTTTGAATGTGTTTGCTCTTGCTTCTCTAGTTCTTTTAATTGTAATGTTAGGGTGTCAGTTTTAGATCTTTCCTGCTTTCTCTTGTGGGCATTTAGTGCTATAAATTTCCTTCTACACACTGCTTTGAATGTGTCCCGGAGATTCTTGTATGTTGTGTCTTTGTTCTTGCTGGTTTCAAAGAACATCTTTATTTCTGCCTTCATTTCATTATGCACCCAGTAGTCATTCTGGAGCAGGTTGTTCAGTTTCCATGTAGTTGAGAGGTTTTGAGTGAGTTTCTTAATCCTGAGTTCTAGTTTGATTGCACTGTGGTCTGAGAGACTGTTATAATTTCTGTTCTTTTACATTTGCTGAGGAGTGCTTTACTTCCAACTATGTGGTCAATTTTGGAATAGGTATGGGGTGGTGCTGAAAAGAATGTATATTCTGTTGATTTGCGGTAGAGAGTTCTGTAGATGTCTATCAGGTCTGCTTGGTGCAGAGCTGAGTTCGATTCCTGGATATCTTTGTTAACTTTCTGTCTCATTGATCTGTCTAATGTTGACAGTGGGGTATTAAAGTCTCCCATTATTATTGTGTGGGAGTCTAAGTCTCTTTGTAGATCTCTAAGGACTTGCTTTATGAATCTGGGTGCACCTGTATTGGGTGCATATGTATTTAGGATAGTTAGCTCTTCTTGTTGAATTGATCCCTTTACTATTATGTAATGGCCTTCTTTGTCTCTTCTGATCTTTGTTGGTTTAAAGTATGTTTTATCCAAGACTAGGATTGCAATCCCTGCCTTTTTTTGTTTTCCGTTTGCTCGGTAGATCTTCCTCCATCCCTTTATTTTGAGCCTACGTGTGTCTCTGCATGTGAGATGGGTTTCCTGAATACGGCACACTGATGGGTCTTGACTCTTTATCCAATTTGCCAGTCTGTGTCTTTTAATTGGAGCATTTAGCCCATTTACGTTTAAGGTTAATATTGTTATGTGTTAATTTGATCCTGTCATTATGATGTTAGCTGGTTATTTTGCTCGTTAGTTGATGCAGTGTCTTCCTAGCCTCGATGGTCTTTATAATTTGGCATGTTTTTGCAGTGGCTGGTACAGGTTGTGCCCTTCCACGTTTAGTGCTTCCTTCAGGAGCTCTTGTAGGACAGGTCTGGTGGTGACAAAATCTCTCAGCATTTGCTTGTCTGTAAAGTATTTTATTTCTCCTTCACTTATGAAGCTTAGTTTGGCTGGATATGAAATTCTGGGTTGAAAATTCTTTTCTTTAAGAATGTTGAATATTGGTCCCCACTCTCTTCTGGCTTGTAGAGTTTCTGCTGAGAGATCAGCTGGCAGTCTGATGGGCTTCCCTTTGTGGGTAACCCAAACTTTCTCCCTGACTGCCCTTAACATTTTTTCCTTCATTTCAACTGTGGTGAATCTGACAATTATGTATCTTGGAGTTGCTCTTCTCGAGGAGTATCTTTGTGGCGTTCTCTGTATTTCCTGAATCTGAATGTTGGCTTGCCTGGCTAGATTGGGGAAGTTCTCCTGGGTAATATCCTGCAGAGTGTTTTCCAACTTGGTTCCATTCTCCCCGTCACTTTCAGGTATCCCAATCAGACACAGATTTGGTCTTTTCACATAGTCCCATATTTCTTGGAGGCTTTGTTCATTTCTTTTTATTCTTTTTTCTCTAAACTTCTCTTCTCGCTTCATTTCATTCATTTGATCTTCCATCACTGATACCCTTTCTTCCATTTGATCGAATCAGCTACTGAGGCTTGTGCATTCGTCACGTAGTTCTCATGCCATGGTTTTCAGCTCCATCAGGTCCTTTAAGGACTTCTCTGCATTGCTTATTCTAGTTAGCCATTTGTCTAATTTTTTTTCAAGGTTTTTAACTTCTTTGCCATGGGTTTGAACTTCCTCCTTTAGCTTGGAGTAGTTTGATCGTCTGAAGGCTTCTTCTCTCAACTCATCAAAGTCATTCTCCATCCAGCTTTGTTCCGTTGCTGGTGGGGAGCTGCGTTCCTTTGGAGGAGAAGAGGTGCTCTGCTTTTTAGAGTTTCCAGTTTTTCTGCTCTGTTTTTTCCCCATCTTTGTGGTTTTATCTACCATTGGACTCTGATGATGGTGACATACAGATGGGGTTTTGGTGTGGATGTCCTTTCTTTTTGTTAGTTTTCCTTCTAACAGTCAGGATCCTCAGCTGCAGGTCTGTTGGAGTTTGCTGGAGGTCCACTCCAGACCCTGTTTGCCTGGGTATCAGCAGCAGAGGCTGCAGAACAGCGGATATTGGTGAACAGCAAATGTTGCTGCCTGATCATTCCTCTGGAAGTTTTGTCTCAGAGGCGTACCTGGCCATGTGAGGTGTCAGTCTGCCCCTACTGGGGGGTGCCTCCCAGTTACACCACTCGGGGGTCAGGGACCCACTTGAGGAGGCAGTCTGTCCGTTCTCAGATCTCCAGCTGCATGCTGGGAGAACCACTACTCTCTTCAAAGCTGTCAGACAGGGACATTTAAGTCTGTAGAGGTTTCTGTTGCCTTTTGCTTGGCTATGCCCTCCCCCCAGAGGTGGAGTCTACAGAGGCAGGCAGGCCTCCTTGAGCTGAGGTGGTCTCCACCCAGTTCGAGCTTCCCAGCCTGGCCACTTTGTTTACCTACTCAAGCCTCAGCAATGGTGGGTGTCCCTCCCCCAGCCTCACTGCCGCCTTGCAGTTTGATCTCAGACTGCTGTGGTAGCAATGAGCGAGGCTCTGTGAGTGTAGGACCTTCCAAGCCAGGCACGGGATATAATCTCCTGGTGTGCCATTTGCTAAGACCGTTGGAAAAGTGCAGTATTAGGGTTGGGAGTTACCCAATTTTCCAGGTGCCATCTATCACCCCTTTCTTTGACTAGGAAAGGGAATTCCCTGACCCCTTGTGCTTCCTGGGTGAGGCAATGCCTTGCCCTGCTTCGGCTCATGCTTGGTGCACCCACTGTCCTTGCTGCACCCACTGTCCTGCACCCAGTGTCTGACACTCCCCAGTGAGATGATCTTGGTACCTCAGTTGGAAATGCAGAAATCACCCATCTTCTGCATCGCTCACGCTGGGAGCTGTAGACTGGAGCTTTTCCTATTCGGCTGTCTTTGCTCCTCCCCTCTCTTAGTCCATTTTCTATTGCTTATAACAAAGTATCTGAAAATGGGTAATTTATAAAGAAAAAGAATTTATTACAGTTATGGAGGCTGAGAGGTTTAATGTTGAGGGGCCACATCTGGTGATGGCCTTCTTGCTGGTGGGGACTCTGCAGAATTCCAAGGCAGTGCAGGGCATCACATCATGAGGGAGCTGAGTGTTCTAGCTCAGGTCTTTCTTCCTCTTCTTATAAAGCCACCAGTCCCACTTACATGATAACCCACTAACCCATTAACCCATTAGTCTATGAATGGGTTAATTCATTCATGAGAGCAGAACCTTCATGACCCAATCACCTCTTAAAGGCCCCACCTCTCAATACTGCCACAATGGGGACTAAGTTTCAATATGAGTTTTGGAGGGGACCAACATTCAGACATTTCATAGCAAGATGAAATGATATGATGTCTGTGATTTGATTCAAAATAATCTATGGGGCAGAAAAGTGGGTAGGAGTATATATGCAACAAGACTTATTCTGAGTTGATTATTGTTGAATCTTCTGGCAAGTTAAGTACAAGTTTCTTATAAACTTTCTATAATATTATACAAATACCTTAGACATTAGTTGTCTCAAAATCAATGTGCTTTTCTTTTTCTGGTGAATAGATCATTTTTATAATAGAATCCCCTAGGTTGGAAAAATAAGTTACTACATTTTTAATGTTTCTGAATTTAGATGGCTATGTGCAATAATTTGAGCATGAGTAAAGTGAACTCTCAAAGGACATGTATCTCTTCCAGTTAGGATATATGTCAATCCTTGTATCACCCCTGAAACCAGGAGCTAATTTCTCTTACTGTTTGGTCAGGTCAGTGAAGGGTTGATACTATACCAGCACGTAGACTGTGAGAACACTGGCTGGACTGCGGAAGATTCCTTTACATTCACGGCCTCCTCCCCATCAGCAGCCCTGGGACCCGAGGAATTCTGTATTACTATTTCATATGATATCAATGAGCCTGGTCAGCAGAGTTGTCTGCTTGCAAATACAGGTAATGCCACCACGATATGAGCAGTGCCTAATCTATAATTATTAAAGTAGGGAGAGTTTGGAAATAAATCTTTCCCTTGTTAATTGTCAATGCCATGATATCAACCTTTGAAATAAAGCTTAAACAGTTATAAAACATTATTTCTTTACACGTCCTCTTTCTCCAGGTCTCTTCTATTTTATCTCATAAGCTTAAACAGTTGTACTGGGAGAAGGATGACAACTTAGCTTTAAAGAATTTTATTTGCACCTCCAAGTGGGGACTTCACTGTGCCCATGACAGAAAACTGTGGATAGAAAATGAAAATGACAAATAGGGTAAGTTCTTAAAAGGAAAGGGGTATTGAAAGCTGCATGTTTCCATGGCAAGAGAAAGTCCGGTAGTAGATAAATTATGAAATTAACATTTTATAAATGAATATAAAAGATTTTAAAGCTCAGTTGCCTGAAATGTTGGCTTAATTGTGTGTGAATGTGTGTATTTAAAATGTATTTATTTAATATGCCTTGGGTAGCAATGCTAATTCAAGTACTTGAGCAACCAAAGTGTTACAAGTAATCCACTAAGACAAATTTGAGGGAAAAAGAGCTTTACAGTTGTCATCTAAAAGTTCTAATGAAATGCCAATTTGTTCTTTCTGTTTTAACAGGAGCTTCTGTCAAGGAGGGAGACAAGGTTCTAATTGGCCGATTTAAGTTAGATGCCTCCAACCTCTTATTTAAATTGCCTGAATCTCAGTGCTCGTCCTGTGAAATTTGGTTCCAAGTGACATCTCTTCCTCACCACAGAACAATTATGGTTGGAAAAAGAAATATTACCAAAGGTAAACCCAGTTTCTACCAGTATACAACTTTAAAGCTAAGTTGTCATCCTTCTCCCAGTACAACTGTTTAAGCTTATGAGATAAAATAGAAGAGACCTGGAGAAAGAGGACGTGTAAAGAAATAATTTGGAATTACATACATTCATGATGACTCTGAATCACTGGCTGATAATTTTACCTTTGTCGTTTGGCCAAACCAAAAGAGCAAGTCCACCCAAGCCAGAAGCTGACTTTCTTGAAGAGATGTTTAATATCACCATCTCTCCAGGTAATATTATTATAATGACCAGGCACCAGAATTAAAGACAAAGGGGCTTCAGTTGAAAGTTCTGCAGGGCAGTAGGTTGGCTGTGGGACCTGAACATCTGAAAATGGAAGATCTGGACAGTCCTCCAGATGAAATCAGATATATGATCATCCGTAATCCTAATAATGGCTTTTTGGCAATGGCTTACCTTCTGGACACAGCTGTTCACCATTTTACACAAGCTGACATTGATAACTCTCAGGTGTGGTTCATACAGGATGGAAGCCCTTCTTCTGGAATGTTCTACTTTAGTGTGACAGATGGTGCACACCACACCCTCTATAAACTCTTCCACCTGGATGTCATTCCCATCTCCATCAGCATTGTGAACCTTACTGACCTACTTCTCCCACAAGGCCAGACAACCATCCCCATCACCAATGCTCACCTGTCAGCCATGACCAATGGGAGGAACCCCCAAATCACTTACATGATAACATGGCCCCTCCAACATGGGCACCTGCTGATTGAAAACCAGGTGGTCACCAACTTTGGACAGGAAGATTTGGATTCAGGAAGACTCTTTTATCACATGACAAATCTCACTGCCACACAGGACCAGCTACAGTTCTCACTGTTTACATCAGAAAGCAACCTGACAGGACAAACACTGAACATCAGAGTGCAGCCTTTACTGCGGGTTATGCCAAACCTGAAAATTGCCGACAGAGTGGCTCATCAGCTGAGAAGAAGGGACCTAGATGCTACCGTGTTGCAGGAAGTCAGGGACCCCGAACAGAGGGACCGGCTGAAGCCATGGCAGAAGAACATAAATTGTGAAGATTTCATGGACATTTATTAGTTCCCCAAATTAATACTTTTATAATTTCTTACACCTGTCTTTACTGCAATCTCTGAACATAAATTGTGAAGATTTCATGGACACTTATCACTTCCCCAATCAATACCCTTGCAATTTCCTATGCCTGTCTTTACTTTAATCTCCTAATCCCATCATCTTCTTAAGCTGAGGAGGATGTATGTCACCTCAGGACCCAGTGATGATTGCGTTAACTGCACAGATTGTTTGTAGAGCATGTGTGTTTGAACAACATGAAATCTGGGCACCTTGAAAAAAGAACAGGATAACAGCAATGTTCAGGGAACAAGGGAGATAACCTTAAACTCTGACTGCCAGTGAGCCAGGTGGAGCAGAGCCATATTTCTCTTCTTTCAAAAGCAAATGGGAGAAATATCACTGAATTTCTCAAGGAACATCCCTGAGAAAGAGAATGCATCCCTGAGGGGAGACCTCTGAAATGGCCACTTTGGGGATGGTAGTCTTTCATGGTCGTAGCTGAGGGATGAAATCAGCCCCCATCTCCCGTAGTGCTCCCAGGCTTATTAGGATGAGGAAATTCCTGCCTAGTAAATTTTGGTCAGACCGGTTGTCTGCTCTCAAACTCTGTCTCCTGATAAGATGTTATCAATGACAATGCGTGGCCGAAACTTCATTAGCAATTTTAATATTGCCCTGGTCCTGTGGTCCTGTGATCTTGCCCTGCCTCCATTTACCTTGTGATATCTTATTACCTTGTGAAGCGTGTGATCTCTGTGACCCACACCCTATTTGTACACTCCCTCCCCTTTTGAAAATCACTAATAAAAACTTGCTGGTTTTATGGCTCGGGGGCATCATGGAACCTGCTGACATGTGATGTCTCCTCTGGATACCCAGCTTTAAAATTTCTCTCTTTTGTACTGTGTCCCTTTATTTCTCAGACTGGCCGACACTTAGGGAAAATAGAAAAGAACCTATGTGAAATATTTGGGATGAATTTCGCCCGATACTATCGAGCTTGCTAATATGACTGACAGTGATCCCAAATTTGAAGTGACAGAGCCCCCTGTACATAGAAGGCTGGGATGAAGAGGGGTTCTACAGCACAGTGATAGAAGAGGCTACTGTATTCACTCAGAGGGGCATTGACCAAGGGTGGCTGGTATTCCACCCACAGGCGTGGGGATGCTGAATGACTTCTTCACTTTCTTGCTCAGGCCAGATCATGTACAGCCAGTGATATGTTATCTCCCCTTCACCATAGTGCCGCCTGACCCCTCACTTTTCCAAACATTTACACCAGGTGTTCCTTTATTTGTCACTGGAGACAACCTTGTAACCCCAGTTCTCTCTCAGGAAAAGCCTATGATTTCCTCAAGACTTGTGGCACAGACAGAAACTTTAGGGAAACTGACCCAGACCAGATGGCAGAAAGCAGATCCCTGGGGACAGCACAGTGGTGAAGAGCCCAGTGTGGATGGCAGAGTTTCTGCCATCAAGGTCATTTGGCCACCAGCCACCACTAATAGTCAGCTTTTGGGCACCCACACAGCCCAGAGAGAGCAGTTACCCTCTGATGGTCATCATACCCTTGGCTGCCGTGGTCTTCGTGCTGAAAGTGGCTGCAGTGGCCATGTGTGTCTGGTTGTTGAGCCAGAAGGTAGAAAAGGCAAAACCCCTTATCAAGCCCCAGACCAATCCGGAACACACAACCCCAAGTCATAGGCCACAAAGGAGCATAAAGTTCCCACTGTCACAGTGACACCCCTTCTGCAAAGCTCCAGCAGCCCCCCAGTCTGTCTTTTCAGGGCCCTGCAGTGTGAACAAATGTCTTCTCCAGTGGCCGAGCCAGTGGACAAATGTGCTGCTTGGGAGACATGGATGAACCTGGTCAAACTCTGCCGACAAACCAACCCAACACTGAAGCACAACCAGTACCGGGTGTAGATTGAGGGCTCGCATTTCTTACTGACCACCTACCATGTGTCAGGCACTGGGATAGGCATTGGGATATAAAGCAAATAAATGCTGGTTGGATCAACTGAGAAAAGTCAGGCCCTGCTAGTGATTCAATGTTCAATCCTAGCTCCATGGTTAGATGTTGCGGGGTGGTTGATTGTGACTTGTACAACACTCATGGGCTTTCTGCAATGGGCTCTGTGTGTCATCTTCTGGACCTGACTTTCTCAGTATACATCAGTTGGTCAATATTTAAACCCTTTACTAAGGTAGTACAGAACATGTTAGCCCCACTGAGAATGCTAGTATTAACCTGGGGCATAGAGTTAAAGGAGGAAAGCTTTGAATATTTTACACTGAGAATTCCCTCTGAGTGAGTCAGCAGGAAGTACAAGAACTATTTCAGCATGTAGAAGAGGTAATTTATCACATCAATGAGTATGTTTACGTAATGTTTTTCTGTAATGTCTTTTCCTCATTGGAGTCTCTAGGTTTGATTTCCTAGTGCAGGAAATGCCTCAGTGCTCTAGGTAGTGTTGGGACAGTCTGGCCCCTTTTGAAATTATCTACTGAATACATTGTGTTTCATCAGGAGGCTTTGTCTATTTTGATTTATAAAATCAAGCCTAGAAGAAACTATCATCAGAGTGAACAGGCAACCTACAACATGGGAGAAAATTTTCGCAACCTACTCATCTGACAAAGGGCTAATATCCAGAATCTACAATGAACTCAAACAAATTTACAAGAAAAAAACAAACAACCCCATCAAAAAGTGGGCGAAGGATATGAACAGACACTTCTCAAAAGAAGACATTTATGCAGCCAAAAAACACATGACAAAATGCTCATCATCACTGGCCATCAGAGAAATGCAAATCAAAACCACTATGAGATATCATCTCACACCAGTTAGAATGGCAATCATTAAAAAGTCAGGAAACAACAGGTGCTGGAGAGGATGTGGAGAAATAGGAACACTTTTACACTGTTGGTGGGACTGTAAACTAGTTCAACCATTGTGGAAGTCAGTGTGGCGATTCCTCAGGGATCTAGAACTAGAAATACCATTTGACCCAGCCATCCCATTACTGGGTATATACCCAAATGACTATAAATCATGCTGCTATAAAGACACATGCACACGTATGTTTATTGCGGCATTATTCACAATAGCAAAGACTTGGAACCAACCCAAATGTCCAACAATGATAGACTGGATGAAGAAAATGTGGCACATATACACCATGGAATACTGTGCAGCCATAAAAAATGATGAGTTCATGTCGTTTGTAGGGACATGGATGAAATTGGAAATCATCATTCTCAGTAAACTATCGCAAGAACAAAAAACCAAACACCGCATATTCTCACTCATAGGTGGGAATTGAACAATGAGATCACATGGACACAGGAAGGGGAATATCACACTCTGGGGACTGTGGTGGGGAGGGGGGAGGGGGGAGGGATAGCATTGGGAGATATACCTAATGCTAGATGATGAGTTAGTGGGTGCAGCGCACCAGCATGGCACATGTATACATATGTAACTAACCTGCACAATGTGCACATGTACCCTAAAACTTAAAGTATAATTAAAAAAAAAAAATCAAGCCTAGAATAGAAATATTATTTGAAGCCCTACGGGACAGAAAAGTTTGTTGAATGTTTTTACGATGCCTCAATTTGGCTTAACTTTACAATGAATTAAAATAATGGTCCAGGCCCAGTGGCTCATGCCTGTAATCTCAGCACTTTGGGAGGCCAAGGCGGGCAGATCGCTTGAGCCCAGGAGTTTGAGACCAGCCTGGACAACATAGTGAAACTCTATCTCTACAAAATAAGCAAGCAAACAAACAAACAAAAAAATTAACCAGGCATGGCGGCATGTGCCTATAGTCCCCAGCTGCTCTGGAGGCTGAGGTGGGTGGATCGCCTGAGCCTGGGAAGTTTGGGCTGAAGTGAGCTGTGATATACGAGATTCTGTCTCACAAAGAAAATAAATAAATAATGTAATAATGACAAATTTGTATTTGCATTGTCTAATTGAGCCTACTATTGGCCAAGTGAAGCTTCAGTTTCTGTAATTTTAAAATGAAGATATTAGTACTTGTATTAGGAATGCTTTGGGCTGCAAACCTGCAAGACATCCTCTATTAGTGGTTCAGGTTGGAGACTGGCAAGCTTTTTCTGTAAAGAGTCACATAGTAAATATTTTAGGCTTTGTAGGACATATATATATTCTGTCATACATTCTTCTTGCTTTGTTTCTTTTTAACAACCTTTTTTTAAAAAAAAGTAATTCTTAGTTATTGGACTTGGCCCACATACCATAGTTTGCCAATCATTGATGTAGGTAATAGATGTGTTGAATTATCTCAAGTAATGAACATGCTGGGGGTGGGCATTCTAAGACCGGTTCAGTAGTTCAAGAATGGCACCAAGGACTGAGCTCTTCTGTTCCTGCTGCTCTACCTTCCTTAAGCTGTTAACATTTCATTCTTTTATTTAATTCCTTGCAATTGTAAGATGTTTGCTAAAGCTCCAAGCAATACAACTACATTCGAAGGCAGGAATCATAGTGGAGGAGAGAGAGATAGAGGATGGCAAAATGGTTTTTTAAAAGAGTTTTTTAAATTTTTTTTTATTTTTAGTAGAGATGATATTTCACCATGTTGGCCAGACTTGTCTCAAACTCTTGACCTCAGGTGATCCTACACCTCGGCCTCCCAAATTGCTGAGATTGCAGGGGTGAGCCACCATGTCTGGCTGAGACTCTTCTATTATTATTATTATCATCATCATTTTTAATCTTGTAAGAGGAGTTTCTCCCTAAACTTTTGTTTTATGTCTCATTGTCTAGAAATGGGCAACATGACTTCCATCCCTTGACCAATCACTGGCAAAGGAAAATGGTGTCCTCATAACTGACAGTCTCTCCCAGGGCTGAGGGAGGAGTCTACCAACTCAGAGATCAATGGATCAGCCTACCATGTAATTAGGGAAGGATGGGGGGATAGCAATTCGATAGACAATGAATAGGTTCTATTAAAATACTCTTCAAATAGTGACATACTTGGGAACCAAAGATTTTGATCTTTCAAATCAGTGTCTTATATCTCCTTTTCATGTTTTAAGGATTTTTCTTGAAGCCAGAGGCCAGTTTTTCTCAATAGGGGTGGGAAGGCCGTGATGGGGGTGTGTGTGAGGGGAGACATGCCACCCAGAGTACATTTGGCAAAGGCTAGGGACATTTGTGGTTTTCAAAGCTGATAGGGGAAGGATATTTCTTGCATCTAGTGGGTAGAAGCCAAGGAGGCTGCCAAACATGCAAAAAGGCACAGAACAGCTCTCACAACAAAGAATTATCAGGTTGAAAATGCCAACAGTGCAGAGATTGAGAAACCCTGTTTAAGTCACAATGAAGAGTTTTCCTGTATAACCAATGAAGGATAAACTTATTACCAAGTCTAGGCAAAAAGTATATTCTAAAAACTTCATGGTAAAGTGAAAATCCCACGGTATATTTGAAACTCTGATTGGCTAGTGGTATACATGGACATTTAAAAAAGAGGATGTATTAAAAACCAAGCAAAACTTGACAGCAGGCTCATTTCTTCATATTACTCATCTAAGGAAAATATTTTGCCTTGTGTTAACAGGTGGAACACATCGGGAGAGTAAAAATGAGACAGAAAATTCACAAAGGTAAAGATGAGGTCAAAGTGTCCCCAGAAGTCTGATGCCTCTAATATGTTTCATATGGAAAAGGTTTTGTTCTCACCCCATCTCTTTTCTGTTCGTCTGAGTCACACTTCCCTCCCAACTCAATTTTAACTGCTCTTTAGGAAAACACAATTCACAACCTACAGAATAAATGAAATCGTAGCATGTTTGGGCCTAGAGATGACTACCCATGCCTTAAATACTTGGATCTAATGCCATGGACAACTGTTGCTGAAGAACATTTCTCTACTCTTCTTCCAAAAGTGCTTTTATCCAGTGTCTGTACTTCTGAATCGTATAGTCCCTTTCAAGTGTTTTGTTTAAAAGGAGGAGGAATGAGAGGCTTAACCCAAGCTTGGCTTGGTCATTATGCAACTCAAGAATCGTTCTTAGGCCTGTTTTAATCCAGGCACTTAGAAGGAGTAGGATGGCAGTGTGTGCCTGAATCTGCACATGCAGGGGAGGTCGAGGAGCATCTCTAAATCCAGTAAGTGGGTTTTGTTCCCCATCAGCTGGGCAGGGAGAATGCCTGCTCTTTGTGGAAAAGCCAGACATACTTGGCTCAGTGAGTATGTGGGCCTCTTCCTTGCTTCAGCCACAATGTCTCTGGAGCTAGGATTACCAGCCTGGCGAAACAAAACAGTCTGGCTTCCCCTCCTCTTTTTCCTCTTAATTTTGCAACTGCACACATAAAATTGGTGTCCATATTGGAAGGAGATACACACAGATATTTAACAATAATAATTCATGTTATTGTTTGTGAGTGTGCCTGCTGGAGCCAGAATATCAGTGTGAGATCCAGATGTCAAACCTCAGTGATTAATCAAGTAATTAACAGAGAGTTTGGAAAGTTTTCTTCTAGAGGCTCTGGAATATTCTACTGATTTACAGATGGGTTCAATTAAAAGGAAATAATGCTTACCATTTGGTGCTGGCTCAAACTGTGAAAGAAATATTTTTGGCAAAACTTCATTTAACATTGAAAATTGAAGTTTTAGAAATTGAAAAATCTGCCTGAAATGGCTTCTCCCATATGCAGAGGCATAACGGAATAGTTTTGACTCTTTGTCATAACAGAGTCACTGCTTCTTAACAAATGACTGGTGAATAAATAAGTGTATAGCAGAGGTTAGTATCAGAAGACTGGCAGGTTTTTGCTTAAGAGAAGGTATACTCTGGGCTAAGCTGGGAGTGGAGAGTCTCTCTTTTTTTTTTTTCACCTCCTGAAAACATTTTTTCATATTAAGAGGTCTTGGCAGATTCCAACCTTTAGCGGTCCCTTCTCAAACATCTGGGTACATTTCCTTATAGTCCTGCATTAATTAGGTGAGGTGAAGGTGACACAGAAGCTGGCTTTACTCTCTGGTTCTTCAGATTTCTGGAGCTGAAGTGGACACATTTGGAGGGTAGATGGAAGGTGATGGTACATATCAGGTGATGGATCCTGAATTTTGGATGGGACTGAGCTATCCACTCCTGCATCATTCAGAGGCATCATAATTAATAATGAGGTTTAGCCCTGCGCGAGAAGAGGCATGAGGATGAGAGTGGGCTGGGAGCCCACTGTTTGGCCTGCTGAATGATGGATCTTTTGCTTATGATACACAAAAACACCATTGGCTGTTTCATAGAGACCGGGTTGAGGCTGCCTTCTCATAGAGATCTACAAACATTTATAAGGCGCCTCATGTATATGAAATGCTAGGTCCTCCCCCTGGTCTGAAGATGCAAGATGGTATCCCTCAAGGATCTTTTTGGTCTGCTTCTTCTAGTAGGCCCTTCTAGAGTCACACTAGAAGTGCCAGGACAGATGAGGATATGGGAGAAATAGGACAAAGACACGCAGAGCTTAGGACAGGGCTTTGTGTTTTCACTTCGAGTGCTCATAAGTGAGTGCTGCCCATCCAGAGGGGCAGCAAGAGTTGGAACACAATGGCCCACTCTAGTGTGTCCCCCACCCTCCATGTTTCTCCGCCCAGCTTTGCACTCCCTGTCCCTTGGTGTGCCCCAGGTCTGGTGACATGGCAGAATGGGTAAATAATCGACTCTGGGTCTGTTTTGGATCATAGCCCTCTATTTCCTAGAAGTGTGACTTATTCAATTTCTCTGAACTTAGTTTCATCAGTCAAAAATATGGGGATAGTGATATTAGTACCTACCTCTCTGGGTTTTGTTAGGATTTAGTGATATAATCGCCTGATATTAATAGAATAATAATAATCATACAGTATTTTCAATGCATCAGGCAGAATTTTCTTACCTAGGGTTTTAATGCACTATAAAAGAACTAATCTATGAAGTCTCTGAATAAACCAGAGGCTCATATTCTACCCAAAGTGGTATATTACTGGTAGTAGAATTTCAGGTGAACGATTTAGGATAGAAGAGGTGTGTTTAGGAAGGGAACTTCCCAAATGCTCAAACTCTACCTGCCATGCAGGGCCGTTTCCTTGGTCCTTGGATGGGGACTTGGTAAGAAAATGGATGAAGGAAAGAGCACACCAGGAACATTTACAAGGGGCAGACTCAAGCTGAGAGAGATTGAGAGTTCTTTACCTTGCAGAGGGGGCTGAACCACTGATAAAATACCCTGCCCTATTCGCTTCCTGTTCAAGCAGGGATCACATCTGCACAACCCCGTCCTGGATGGGAAACCCTTACCTGCTCTTCCCTCCTCCCAACCCGGTTGGTCTCAGGCTTTCATCAATTGGTAATTTATTTTTTAATTCCAGAATTAACAAAGGACTGTCACTTAAAAAAATTAATATCCCTAGCAAAATTTAAAGTATCCAACTATCACCGTAATTCCATTTTTTAAAGTAAGGGCAGAATCTTAGAACAAAGAACTTCATGGTGGGAAGAACAGATTTTTATGAAAAATTCTCTTTGTCCAGATTTGACTTTGGCCTGGGAAAACCTCAGGACACATCATCAGGGTCAGGAGTTCACCGCTGGAGGCCATGCTTATGGGTGCTTTGATTAGAGCAGAGGCAGAAGCCAGGGCAGAGGGGAATTCAGGCTCCTCAATGTTGGTGCTCTTTAGAAGGTGTGGCCAGGTGTCCCTGGTACATGTGTACATATGCGGTAAGGGAGGAATGGGAGTGAGAGTGAGGGGCAAATTTGCTACTTAAGGGTCTAGAGAATAGCAGTTCCATGGATATGCAACCTGTGCAGCCATACAGGGCCCATTCTCAGAGGGCTTTGGGTTTGGTTGAATGCTCTGTGTCACATCTTGAAATTAGAATAATTTCTTAACAAGAGGCCCCACATTTTCATTTTCCACTGGGCCCCACAAATTATGCAGATGTTTCTGAGTCCTCATAGAATTTAATTGATAGCTGCATCAGACACCTCTTCAGCACAGTTTAGAATTCTCTCAACTTTGCATCTGGCTCCAGCCTTAGCTGTGGCTACAAGTTCCAAGCATGTTTGCAGCCATGAGTGTGCACTGTGCCCTGCACTACCCACCTGAAGGCTCCTCTCTTTCCACTGCATGACGGTGGGAACTTGTGCTTGCACCACCCAGAAGTATGGCTCTGGTCCAGTGGAAAACTGAAGCCTATGGATAAATGCTTCCTCGTTTCATCTCCCAAGTGAACGGTTCTGAAATTCATTCTCTGAGACTTCTCAGAACATCCTGAAGATTGAGCACAATACATTGGTGTGTGGACTCTTTTCCTTCCCTGTTTATCATCCCTGTTCCTCACTCCTGCTCCCACTCACAGATGAGTCTTTGC
Source organism: Homo sapiens (assembly GCF_000001405.40). NCBI lineage: Eukaryota > Metazoa > Chordata > Mammalia > Primates > Hominidae > Homo > Homo sapiens. Next base: position 54,800,578 of record NC_000005.10, on the reverse strand, counting down.
TTTTGAGGAAACCCATGCGAAGACAATAGTTTACATTCTCCCTGATTGTGACCCCTACGATTACAGACTCTGGGGCTGGGGATCCATTGCCTATTGACTCTTCCATGACCCTTAGGCACACAGTTACGCCTGGGTCACTTGTCTCCAGGACCTACTTTCTGCTAGGCCCCTTGCCTGCGGCAGCTCAGGTCTGTGGAGACACTGCTTTCTGCCCACAGTTGGCAGCCAGGGACCCTTGTGCCCATGAGGAGACTCTGGCCCAAGGCTCTCTTTTGGAATCATGTTGAGGGGACAGGCATTCACTGAACCATCTTCTAGCCGAACATCTCCTTACTCTTCAGTGCACTTTCTCTGCTGATCATGTTGGGTCCCAGAAACAATAACCTTTTTACCCCAACTTTTAGCAAGACCAAGATTTATTGTATTTTGTAATATTTTAGAAAGGCTTCTTTTCATGCTTTTCATTTCAACATGGTTCCTGCCTCTTCAAAGACTACATCAGCTCTCTTCTTTAAAATAATAGCTTTATTGAGATATTTATATACCATAAAATCTACTCAATTAAAGTATACAATTCAATAGTTTTCAGTATTTTCAGAGTTATGCAATCATTACCACAATCAATTTTAGAACATTTTTATTACCCCCAAGAATTCTTGTACCCATAGCAGTCACTTACCATTTACTCCCAGTTCCTCTAGCTCTAAGCAGCTACTAATCTACTTTCTGTTTCTATAGATTTGCCTATTCTGGGTGTTTCATATACGGTCATGTGCTGCCTAACAACATTTCAGTCAATAACAGACCACATATATGGTGGTGGTCCCATGAGATTATAATGAAGCTGAAAAATTTTTATTGCACAAATACCTACCATTGTGTTACAACTGCCTACAGCAGTCAGTACAGTAATATTCTGGACAGGGTTGTAGCCCAGGAGCAATAGGCTATACAATATAACCTGGACATGTAGTAGGCTATACAACTTAGGTTTGTGTAGGTGCACTCTGTGATGTTTGTACAACACTGAAATGGCCTAACAATGCATTTCTCAGAATGTAGCACTATCCTTAAATGACTCATGACTGTGTATAGAATCATACAATATGTAGTCTTTGTGATCACCTTTTTCAGATAGCATAATGTTTTCAAGGTTCATCTATGTTGTGGCATGTAGCAGTTCCTTTTTATGGCCGAATAGCATTTTGTTGCATGGGTATACCACATTTTATTTATTTATTCATTCATCAGTTAATGAACATTAGGGTTGTTTCCATTTTTTGGTTATTATGAATAATTCTGTGTGAAATATTCATGTGCATGTTTTTGTGTGGATATGTATTTTCATATACGTATGAAAACATGAAGTTGAAGAAATGAAATTGATTGGTTCATATGGTATTGTATATGTTTAATCATCTGAGCAACTGCCAGACTGTTTTCCAAAGTGACTACCATATTTTCCATTCCCACAAGCAGTGTATGAGGGCTCCAATTTCTTTACATCCTCACTATACCACTTTTTTATTTTAGCCATCCTAGTGGGTGTGAAGTGGTATCTTATTGTGGCTTTGCATTTCCCTACTAGCTAACAATGTTTAACATCTTCTCATGTTCTTACTGGCTATTTGTATGTCTTCTTTAGAGAACTGCCTATTCAGACCATTTGGCCATTTAAAAAATTGGATTATTTGTCTTTTTGTTATTATTTGTCTTTTTGTTATTATTTGTCTTTTTGTTATTATGTATTTTGGATACTAACCTTTATCATATATATATATATATATATATATATATATATATATATATATATAATATACAAAAATTTTCTTCCATTCTGTGGGTTGTCTTCTTACTTTCTTGTTGGTGTTCTTTGAAGCACAGAAGTTTTAAAATTTGGTAATGTCCAATTTACCTATTTTTTTGTTTCTTGTACTTTTGATATTATATCTAAGAAGCCATTTCCTATTCCAAAGTCATGAAGATTTATGTTTATGCTTTCTTCTGAGAGTTTTGTAATTTTAGCTCTTACAATGAGATGCTTGACCCATTTTGAGTTAATTTTTTATATAGTGTATATAGTGTGAGGTAGTGATACAATTTCATTGTATTGCATGTAGATATCTAGTTGCCTCAGCATCACTTGTCAGAAAAACTATTTTTTTCCATTTAATTGTCTTTGTGACCTTTCAAAAAGGAATTGATCATAAATATGAGGGATTATTTGTGTACTCCCAATTCTATTCCATTGATCTATATGTCTATCTTTATGCCAGTAGCAACCTGTCTTGATTACTATAAGTTTTGAAATCAAGAAGTATGAGTTATCCAACTTTGTTCTGTTCATTTTCAAGATTATTTGGGCTATTCTGGATTCCTTTAATTTCCATATGAACTTAAGAATCAGCTTGTCAATTTCTGCAAAGAAGGTAACTGAGATTTTGTTTGGGATTGCATTGACACTGTAGATAAATTTGGAGACTATTGAATTTTAACAATATTAAGTCTTTTCATCCATGAACATAATATGTCTTTCCACTTATTTAGGTCTTTAATTTCTTTCAATAATGTTTTTGTCATTTTCAATGTATAAGACCTGCACTTCCTTGGTTAAATTTATCCCTAAGTATTTTATTCTTCTTATTACAAATGAAATGTTTTCTTAATTTACTTTTGGGTTGTTTATATCTGTGCAGAAATACAGCTGATTTTTGTAATATTGAGCATCCCTAATCCAAAATGCTCCAAAATTCAAAACTTTTTGAGTGCCAACCTGATGCTCAAAGGTCATGCTCAAAGGAAATGCCCATTGTAGTACTGTGAATTTTGGGATTACGGATGCTCAACTGGCATGTCTATGCAAATATTCCAAAGTTCAAACAAATTTCCAATCCCAAACAATTCTGATCCCAAGCATTTTGGATAAGGGATATCCAACCTGTATAACAATCTTGTAACCTGCCACTTAGTTTAAATATTTTATTAGTTTTAATTGTTTCTTAGTGGATTATTCAGAATTTTGTACATACAAGGTCATGTCCTCTGCAAATAAAGATACTTTTATTTCTTCCTTTCTAGTCTGAGTGCCTTTTATTTATCTTCTTGCCTAATTACCCTTGCTAGAACCCGCAGTACGGTGTTGAATAGAAGTGGTGAGAGTGGGCTTTTGTGTCTTCTTCTTCATCTTAGGAGAAACTTTTCTTTCTCTCTCCATTAAGTATATTCCTAGCTGTGGATTTTTTTATAGGTGTCTTTTATCAGATTGAAGAAGTTCTCTTCCATTCCTAGTTTGTTGAATGTTTTCTTTTAATCATAAGGGGTGTTGGGTTTTGTCAAATGCTTTTTCTGCATCCATTGAGATGATCATGTGTTTTTTTGTCCTTTATTTTGTTGACATAGTGTATTACATTCATTGATTTTTAGATATTAAACCCACCAATCTCACTTGGTCATGGTGTATAATCCTTTGTATATACTGCTGGATTTTGGTTTGCTAGTATTTTTTTGTGTGGATTTTCCCCCCACTATTTTATCACTCTTGCTATAAACCTCTGACTTTAGGGACATGAACTCAAGCCAAAGAATGTGTGTTGAATAGACATCAAAGATTTTTAATCTAGGAAGGTTGTTGTGAAACAGAAGTAGAATGGATTGGGGCATTTAAAGTGTTTGAGTCTATAAAGAGGGAGCTGAGATATTTTGTCTTGGTTTAGTGCACAGATCACATTTAGAATGGTAGCTGGCATTTGAGTAGGTCTCTGGGGCAGAAGTATCTACCAGAACTATGATGGAGGTGTTGCCCATATGCTGTTCTACACTATTTGGCTGTGTCAGCTGCTGCCCCTGTCTCAGCCCATCCCAGATGAGAGTCGAAGTTTAGGTTTGTTCTAGCAAGTTGGGAAAGCCAGGAGGGATCATGCAAGCTTTGTTTGCTTTGAGGATAGAACATGCAAGCATTGCAGGATGTTAACATGGAAGAGTCTGCTGAAATAGTAAGACAATAGATATCACAATTCAAAGCAAGGGTCTTCAGTACAATGTAATATTTCTAAAAGGAATGATAGAAAACAGGCTAGATGACCCTTAAACCCCTCATTCACATTTTGAATGGAGAAGACTCAGGAATTAGAAGCTGGTGAAGAAAAGTTTAGAGAAAACTGCTCTTTTGCCTGTGTGTTACCCCACCTCTGCCCTCAAGGAAGAGATGGGAGGGCTTGGACTTTAACTTAAGCTTAGGAAAAGAGGTTTCAAGGGGCCTACATGGAGACCTTAGTGTGTGTCGCCTGCATCTGAGGAACACAGAATAATCTAAGGGCAAGAGATAGACTGACTAGTTGCTTGATAGTGGCACAATGAAGAAGTGTTCATGGTAGGAGGCCAGATCTTCTGGGGTCTGTCAGGCCAATGAGAGAATATGTGGATGTTTTATTTAAACCAGAAATCCAGAAGCCAGAGTATAAGCTGGCATAGAGTCATCTTAGATCCCATTGAAGAGAGTGGTCCAGAGAGAAGCCAGGTGACTGCTGGATTTCTAGGGGATGAGTACAAAGAAAGCAACCAGCCAGAGAACAGTTGCATTTGTCCTGCCAAGGAAATTTTGGATGAAAGATCTCCAGAATCTCAGAGGAACTATGTTAGAGCTCACAAGAAAGTCAGCTTTCAACATCTGCAAAAACAGAGATCCAAAATTCTAACCTTATGGAAGCACCAGTTGAGTAGAATCTTCTGCTCCCCTAACCTACTCATCCTTACTGAGCTTGAACCCTGAAGTGGTTGAAACTGTCATAAGCCAAAGGAGGAAGGTCAAATAGGAGGGAAGAGAGAGTCTTTCCTCCCTTGACAGACCCAAATTATAAGAGGGGGAAAAGCCTCAAGCTAAAAGCAAATTTGAAATTTTGACTATTACATGAGGCTGGACATTTTAATGCTAATCTGAAGTTGTAATTTATGACTTGAAGTGACCCTAGAACTGTGGGTACTGGATCAGAAAATTCTTGAGGACTTCCTCTGTCCCTGTCTGAAACAGTAGGCTTGGTCCTGCAGAGCTGACTGAAAGGGGCATTGGGAGGCAAAAATTGTTTCCTGCTTACCCTCTGTCCTGCTTGTTCAGCATGATGTTTACAAGAGAATGATTCATTTCTATTTAGTAAAATCTTACCTCTCCTACAGGGCTGAGTGCCAGATGCTGTTGATTTTCATTTCAAAATTTGATTTCTCTAAAATAATACCCTATCTACATTTTACTTCCTCCAGAGGTCCTTGTCTGACCACTTCAGTTAGATGTGATCTCAGCCACCATAATGAATGTTTGCCCTTTTTGGCCACTGAGCATCAGAACCACCGCCCTATGTCTAAGAAATGTCTTCTTTATGAGGGGGAGCCAGCATCCAGGAATAGAAAGTGAAATGCCAGGTACTCCCATTCCAGCCTCCTTGCATCTCATGTGCAAACATGTTGCCTAAATCAGAAACCAGCAGTAGAAAGAAGCAGGGGCTGTCCACAATCTATATTCTGGTGACAGGCAGTAGCAGAAGCTACATCCAATTTCCAGAGGCAACAATGACAGAGAATAGTGCCCAGAGTTGTTGTTGGTGAAGCTTGCAATATTTGTGCCCAGTGGTGGCCACAGTCTTTGTCAGACCAGTTCTGCGGTATGAATTTGACAGTAGTTACTGGATCTGTAGCCACCAAGACCATAGTCATCAGATAATTTTGGATTTACAAAAAAAGTTGCAAAGATAGTACGGAGAATCCCCAGGTACCCACACCCAGCTTCCTTTGATGTTAACATCTTGTGGAACCATGGTACAGTTATCAGAACTAAGAATCTACTATTGGTATAACAGTACTATCTAAACCGCACACTCTATTTGGATTTCCAGCAAAACCACAATCTTGAACATTGAACACCAGGGCTAGCAACAGTAGGAAGTTGTTACTACCGCTCATTCAGAAAGGATAAAAGGAAGGATTGGTTCCTGGATCGTGGAGAGTATGGCTGCTGGGAGCTGTGACCTTCAGCAGATAGAGGTAGCCAGCCTTGCTAGAGCACGGGAGGGAGGGAGCTGGGGCACAGGTACTCCCATGTCACCCTCAGGCCTTTTTCTGATCTCCTGCCCATGGCCTTTATTGACTGAACCCAACCAGAAGCCATAGGGCCAGCTTGCTCTTGATTCAGCCCACAGACAGCAGCTTCCCAGGGTAGACAGCAGGGTAGACAGTGGATTTGGAGGTGCACATGGAAGGCATCCAGTACAGGACAGACAGCTGATGTGTGGCCAAGTAACCCTAGAAGCCCGCTTTCCTGACTTGAATCATCATGCTACTTCTACCTCACCACACTGTTGCCTTCTCATTTTCTCCTCTCTAGGCTAAGGTTCTTTTTGTTACAGATGAAAGGAAAAGCTTAGAGTTTTGCAAACTGAGAGGGGCTCATTTTGGTCTACATTCCACACACTGTACCATACAGAAAGTCCTGGGCCTTCTCTCCTGCTTTTCTTGGGTTTCCTCCCAGCTCTGGAAGCCAGAAGTCTATCTTGGGACCCCTCCATCCTGACTCCCGGTGGCCCTACTTCTAGATAGAGGGCTTTGCTGAGCAGTTCCTCCTAATGAGCACAGGAAAGCCCCCAATAATTTTTGTGCATGTGTGCAATGGAAAAATAAGCCTCATGTTGCTTTCTGAGTAAGTGAGGTTTGCTTTCTTCCTGGAAAGAGTTTTATTCTCTGAGACTGTTATTGCCACAGTCAATTGCAATCTAGGAAGCTGCTTTCAGAAATCCTCTCCTATGCTTTGGAATGTAATTGAAAACAACTGTTCTGCTTCTGCTAAAACATATTCTGCTTCTACTGGAACCAATATTGCCAGCCAATCAAGGAGAGGGTGAGGGAGAAATGGTTTGGGCAAGGGGAGGGGAGATGGTGGTTGGGCCAGAGCAGGGAAAAAATAAGGTTTATAAGTTAGAAGAAAAAAATATATAATTTGAGGTTTCCATGTAGAATACATTTCCATCAGAGCTGCCTGGATGGCAAAATAGGTTATGAAGTAGAAAATCTGGGTGACTTTTTAGAGTGACAACATAGCGTCAGATCCAGGCAGCGATAAGACGAGTCCAGAGCAGGACTGGAACACTAGCCTTCTAGGAACAAGTGAGTTAGAGACAGGTGTTTACCCCACCTGCTCTAAAGAGGAGGAGACAGGGGAGACTATTTCACAGAGCTATGGGGAAGACACAGGGGATGTGCTCTGAGCTTTCAGAAGGAACCCTGCCATTGACTTTCTAGTCATCAGTCTCACTTCAGCAAGGCAGATTAGAATGCTCCTCCCAACATAGCCTTTGCCTTTTGTTTCCTACAGGCCTCATACTCTCTAGCCTTAGACTTTCTGTATGAGTCATAATTTTCTTCCTAGGAAAATGACCCATACCAAGTGCAGATGCCCACTGGGTCTTTGCCAGGTAGGTCTACACTTGGAATATGTCCCTCCATAAGCAAAGTACTTCCAACCCTGCAGGCAGAGTGGCTGGAGAGTCTCCCAGTAGATCTGGCACGCATTCTCCAGTGCCTTGAAGAATAGAGGATTTGGGGGCCAATTTGAGAAGACAGGGCTCTTACATGCCTTTCCTTATAAGCGATAGAACATATTCCTCATTTCATAGGAGAGATATCAGAGATGAACACATTCAGGAACATTAAAAAGGACATTGGAGGTAAAATGACAACTGTTTCTTCCTAGAGCTTTTTATAGTTGTAACATTAGGCATGAATTTGAACTGATGCCAAGCCCTTTGGGTAAATATTTTAGCAGAGAATCTGGGCCTCTGAGGAGTCAACAACAGGCTGGACCCTGGATAAGAATATGAGAGGCAACTCCCCCTTTTCTGGTCTCCCATAAGACTCTGTAGTCCTAATTAATCTCCAAATGTAAACATTCCTGTTGTTGTGGAACTTATGAGAGGCAACTAATAACTAACACTTAGGGGGCCAGACGCAGTGGCTCACACCTGTAATCCCAGCACTTTGGGAGGTTGAAGCAGATGGATCGCTCAAATCCAGGAGTTCGAGACCAGCTTGGGCAATGTGGCGAAACCCTGTCTCTTCAAGAAATACAAAAGTTAGTTGGGCATGGTGGCACACATCGGTAGTTCCAACTACTGGGGAGGCTGGAGGATCGCTTGAGCCCAGGAAGTGGAGGCTGCAGTGAGCCCTGATCTTGCCACTGTACTCCAGCCTGGGTGACAGAGTGAGACCTTGTCTCAAGAAACAAAACAAGCTAACACTAAGGACAGTGCCAAGCATTTAATAAGCACTCAATATTTTACATGTTTTAACTCATTTAATTGTCACAAACACTCTGTAAAGTACAGACTGCTATATAGTACCTCATTTTTCTCATTACTAAAATTTAGAGAAAGAGGCCAAGTAACTTGTTCAAGGACATATAACTAGTAAGCTTATAGGGATGTCATGAAGTGCTTCTCAGATCCGTCTGTTTCTGGAATGAAGGATTCATACCTCCAGCTGGTGGGAGTGTGGCTGACAGACAGAACGCAGCCAGCTCTCTTTGGGATTGGACTTGGCTGAAGACAGCCTCCAGGCTGAGGACCAAGCTCATTTCCCAGGGCAGCCCACATCAGTGACTGATTGACACAGGGGTACAAAGGCTCATCCCCCTTATTCCATATCAAGATAATTCTGATGGTCCACCTCAGCTTCCAAGTCCCTCAAGTGTTGGCTCAGGCCTTTGCTGGGACTGCATTGTGGCTCAACTTCTCTCTCTGCCCAATTCTGCTTCTCTCCTTTTCTTTCCATAGCAGTTGATCCAAGGAGCACTCCCTAATAATACTCCTACTCTCTAAATATCAATTCAGAGTCTGCTTCCCCAGGAGCCCAAGCCTTGACAGTGCTGGAGCTGCAGTTCAAGCTGGGGCCACTGGCTCCATAGGCCAGGCTTTTCAATGCCTTCTACTGACTCTCAAGAGAGGTATTATTGTTAAAGTTGGGAGGGACCTCAAAAGTCTGGTAGTACAATTTTAGATCTTTCCTGCTTTCTCTTGTGGGCATTTAGTGCTATAAATTTCCCTCTAATAACTGCTTTGAATGTGTCCCAGAGATTCTGGTATGTTGTGTCTTTGTTCTCATTGGCTTCAAAGAACATCTTTATTCCTGCCTTCATTTCATTATTTACCCAGTAGTCATTCAGGAGCAGGTTGTTCAGTTTCCATGTAGTTGAGCGGTTTTGAGTGAGTTTCTTAATCCTGAGTTCTAGTTTGATTGCACTGTGGTCTGAGAGACAGTTTGTTATAATTTCTGTTCTTTTACATTTGCTGAGGAGTTCTTTACTTCCAACTATGTGGTCAATTTTGGAGTAGGTCTGGTGTGGTGCTGAAAATAATGCATATTCTGTTGATTTGGGGTGGAGAGTTCCGTAGATGTCCATTAGGTCTGCTTGGTGCAGAGCTGAGTTCAATTCCTGGGTATCCTTGTTAACTTTCTGTCTCGTTGATTTGTCAAATGTTGACAGTGGGTTGTTAAAGTCTCCCATTATTATTGTGTGGGAGTCTAAGTCTCTTTGTAGGTCTCAAAGGACTTGCTTTATGAATCTGGGTGCTCCTGTATTGGGTGCATATATATTTAGGACAGCTCGTCTTGTTGAATTGATCCCTTTACCATTATGTAATGGCCTTCATTGTCTCTTTTGACCTTTGCTGGTTTAAAGTCTGTTTTATAGGAAAGACTAAAATTGACACCCTAACATCACAATTAAAAGAACTAGAAAAGCAAGAGCAAACACATTCAAAAGCTAACAGAAGGCAAGAAATAACTAAGATCAGAGCAGAACTGAAGGAAATAGAGACACAAAAAGCCCTTCAAAAAATTAATGAATCCAGGAGCTGGTTTTTTGAAAAGATCAACAAAATTGATAGACTGCTAGCAAGACTAATAAAGAAGAGAAGAGAGAAGAATCAAATAGACGCAATACAAAATGTTAAAAGGGATATCACCACCGATCCCACAGAAATACAAGCTACCATCAGAGAATACTATAAACACCTCTATGCAAATAAACTAGAAAATCTAGAAGAAATGGATAAATTCCTTGACACATACATCCTACCAAGACTAAACCAGGAAGAAGTTGAATCTCTGAATAGACCAATAACAGGCTCTGAAATTGAGGCAATAATCAATAGCTTACCAACCAAAAAAAGTACAGGACCAGATGGATTCACAGCCGAATTCTACCAGAGGAACAAAGAGGAGCTGGTACCATTCTTTCTGAAACTATTCCAATCAATAGAAAAAGAGGGAATCCTCCATAACTCATTTTATGAGGCCAGCATCATCCTGATACGAAAGCCTGACAGAGACACAACCAAAAAAGAGAATTTTAGACCAATATCCTTGACGAACATCGATGCAAAAATCCTCAATAAAATACTGGCAAACCAAATCCAGCAGCACATCAAAAAGCTTATCCACCATGATCAAGTGGGCTTCATCCCTGGGATGCAAGGCTGGTTCAACATATGTAAATCAATAAATGTAATCCAGCATGTAAACAGAACCAAAGACAAAAACCACACGATTATCTCAAAAGATGCAGAAAAGGCCTTTGACAAAATTCAACAACGCTTCATGCTAAAAACTCTCAATAAATTAGGTATTGATGGTATGTATCTCAAAATAATGAGAGCTATCTATGACAAACCCACAGCCAATATCTTACTGAATGGGCAAAAACTGGAAGCATTCCCTTTGAAAACGGGCACAAGACAGGGCTGCCCTCTCTCACCACTCCTATTAAACGCAGTGTTGGAAGTTCTGGCCAGGGCAATCAGGCAGGAGAAGGAAATAAAGGTACTCAATTAGGAAAAGAGGAAGTCAAATTGTCCCTGTTTGCAGATCACATGATTGTATATCTAGAAAACCCCATCGTCTCAGCACAAAATCTCCTTAAGCTGATAGGCAACTTCAGCAAAGTCTCAGGATACAAAATCAATGTGCAAAAATCACAAGCATTCTTACATACCAATAACAGACAAACAGCGAGCCAAATCATGAGTGAACTACCATTCACAATTGCTTCAAAGAGAATAAAATACCTAGGAATCCAACTCACAAGGGACGTGAAGGACCTCTTCAGGGATAACTACAAACCACTGCTCAAGGAAATAAAAGAGGATACAAACAAATGGAAGAACATTCCATGCTCATGGGTAGGAAGAATCAATATTGTGAAAATGGCCATACTGCCCAAGGTAATTTATAGATTCAATGCCATCCCCATCAAGCTACCAATGACTTTCTTCACAGAATTGGAAAAAACTACTTTAAACTTCATATGGAACCAAAAAAGAGCCCGCATTGCCAAGTCAATCCTAAGCCAAAAGAACAAAGCTGGAGGCATCATGCTACCTGACTTCAAACTATACTACAAGGCTACAGTAACCAACACAGCATGGTGCTGGTACCAAAACAGAGATATAGACCAATGGAACAGAACAGAGCCCTCAGAAATAATGCCGCATATCTACAACTATCTGATCTTTGACAAACCTGACAAAAACAAGAAATGGGGAGATGATTCCCTATTTAATAAATGGTGCTGGGAAAACTGGCTAGCCATATGTAGAGAGCTGAAACTGGATCCCTTCCTTACACCTTATACAAAAATTAATTCAAGATGGATTAAAGACTTACATGTTAGACCTAAAACCATAAAAACCCTAGAAGAAAACCTAGGCAATACCATTCAGGACATAGGCATGGGCAAGGACTTCATGTCTAAAACACCAAAAGCAATGGCAACAAAAGCCAAAATTGACAAATGGGATCTAATTAAACTAAAGAGCTTCTGCACAGCAAAAGAAACTACCATCAGAGTGAACAGGCAACCTACAGAATGGGAGAAAATTTTTGCAATCTACTCATCTGACAAAGGGCTAATATTCAGAAACTACAATGAACTCAAACAAATTTACAAGAAAAAAACAAACAACCCCGTCAAAAACTGGGTGAAGGATACGAACAAACACTTCTCAAAAGATGACATTTATGCAGCCAAAAAACACATGAAAAAATGCTCATCCTCACTGGCCATCAGAGAAATGCAAATCAAAACCACAATGAGATACCATCTCACACCAGTTAGAATGGCGATCATTGAAAAGTCGGGAAACAACAGGTGCTGGAGAGGATGTGGAGAAATAGGAACATTTTCACACTGTTGGTGGGACTGTAAACTAGTTCAACCATTGTGGAAGTCAGTGTGGCGATTCCTCAGGGATCTAGAACTAGAAATACCATTTGACCCAGGCATGCCATTACTGGGCATATACCCAAAGGATTATAAATCATGCTGCTATAAAGACACATGCACACGTATGTATATTGCGGCACTATTCACAATAGAAAAGACTTGGAACCAAGCCAAATGTCCAACAATGATAAACTGGATGAAGAAAATGTGGCACATATACACCATGGAATACTATGCAGCCATAAAAAATGATGAGTTCATGTCCTTTGTAGGGACATGGATGAAACTGGAAACCATCATTCTCAGCAAATTATTGCAAGGACAAAGAACCAAACACCACATGTTCTCACTCATAGGTGGGAATTGAACAATGAGAACACATGAACACAGGAAGGGGAACATCACACACCGGGGACTGTTGTGGGGTGGGGGGAGGGGGGAGGGATAGCAGTAGGAGATATACCTAATGCTAAATGACGAGTTAATGGGTGCAGCACACCAACATGGCACATGTATACATATGTAACAAACCTGCACGTTGTGCACATGTACCCTAAAACTTAAAGTATAACAATAATAAAAGAAAAAAAAAGTCTGGTAGTACGACCCCATGTTAGTGCCTAAAATCAAAATTCTCTTTGAAGAGAGAATGTCTTGCCAATATCAGATGCTCTGTGTTTCTTCATTGAGAAGGGATGTATGCATGTGTGTAATGGTGAAATATTAGGAGGTTCCCTCTGCACCCACATTTGTTTCCATACGAGGAGTGATTTGTTGCTGCTGTTACTTAGCAGAATTGAGGTTCCCTATGGTTTTCTGATTATCTTCTAAGAGTGCAAGCTCAGTGAAGCTTGGACTCCTGAGAATTGATAGCCCCTTAGTGATACTGCAAGGGGTGGGCACCAGAAGAAGGGCAGAAGCCACCACTGCTTTCTCCAATAGGTTGTGGAGTCCTTGGTTAATAGTGAGATATCATCTGTATTCTGCCTTCACAAGCCACAAGCTCATAGAATTGTGTCTTTTGGGCCCAGAAATAACATTGTGGGTCATGCAACCCCTTGTCTTCTACAGATGAGGACATGGAAGTATGAAGGAGCAGAGAGTTTCCCCAGCTAGTCAGTGACAGAAGTGGCTCTGGACCCCTGAGCCTGGACTATCACTCAAGGGCTCTTTGTATTACTCTGCTCTTCTATTTGAAAAATTTCTTGAAACAGTTGCAATATTATGAGTGTATCACAGTGATTATTCCATGTGCTCCTCTAACACTTCCTGGCTTCCTTTGCATTTAAGTTGGAATCATGTGAGTATCCTGCCTTTGCACTATGAGCAGGAGTGGAGTGCATGTGTTCTTCAGGCCAGTGAGTTCAGATTGGTGTTCCTTCTGTACTCTTTATGTGCCCTGAAACAGAGACCTTAGGGACCAGGTGGAACTTATGGTAGAGCTACAAGACAGAGAAAGGCATCCCAACTCATATGAGACTTTAGGTGAACAAAAAATAAACCATTGCTGTTTTAAACCATTGGGACTTCAGGGGTTTGACCTTTATAGCAACTAGGATTCGCTACCCCAGGCCAATGGGCATCTACTTCTGGGCCAACATGCCTGAACAGGACATAACGAACAAAGTTTGGCAATGGCAGCTTGGCATCTGGAAAAAAACAACAGAAATGTGACACTCAGTTCTTGGACACTCCTTTCTCAACTAAAAAGCAGAAGGGCTGAGAGAAGACAAGAGTTTCAAGGTTGAGATGAGAATGGTAGTTGCTGGTTAAGTGTACCTCCCTACTCTTCTTCAGGAAGTCACGTTCCCACGGACACAGAGAAGGCTGGGTCAGGCAGCACTCACGTGTTCTATCTCAGTTCTCTCTCGACTTCCAGGGATGGGTTGTGGCCACATGCCTTTTCAGCCTGAGCCCAGCTGCATGACCCCTCCTTGCAAGAGTGCTAGGAACTGATAAGAGGAACTGACCCAATGCCACTTCTCTATGAAACCTCTGCTCCAGGCCCCACTTCATGTTCCCACCTGCCATAGGCCTGGAGGACCATGGGCCTGGTTCTGAACTGAGAACTTATACCACTTTCCCCTGATGGGTACAGCTGTGGCTCTAGACAGAAGCCTGAAAAAAGACAGAGGAAAGGCAGGGCATCCTCTCTACTGGGCTGTTGATTTTGTGGCTGTCACTGGGTGACTTTTGGCTCTGGGACCTCAAATTAATATGTGGATTGCTCTCCCCAGTGCTGAATTCTAGCCAGCTGGCTTTGTCCTTGCATTTCCTGGCACTGAGCCTGGCATGCCTACAGCAGCATGGCCCACTGATGGAGGGCTGGGTTGTCTGTGCCTTGCCTCTTCCGCTGCTGATGTCCTGTTTCAGAGAGACTCCCTGGTGGACATTCAGTGACACACATCCCGGTGTCAGCAGGTTCAAGGCCCAACTCTCACAGCCACACTTAACATGGCTTGAGATAAGGCTGGCTGTTTACGGTTGTGCTTAGTGGTTTCATTTCATGCAGACGTGGCAGAAGACAGGCTGTGATACAGCTGGAGGGGGCAGTCGGTGGTAGCTGATGATGTAGATAATGGGAGAAATTCTGATAAAGGGGCTGACCTTTTCCATTTTCACTAGTAATGACAGTCTTTGCTGCGTTCTGCAAGTATCAAAATGCAGGATGAGATTAGCAAATACAGTAAAGCCCAGCGATTTATGTGTAAAACCAAGGCAATATTGTGACAAATACTTGGTTTTCTTGACATTTCTCTTTTTAAAAAATCTAATGTATCTTAGTTACAAAATTAAAGCATAGAAAGAATAAGGTATTTTCTAATCCTAAGTCTCTCTAACAGATGAATTAACAGTTTGACATATGTTTTTCTATATCTTAATGCTTACCTATATCCATATATTTTTTAAAATGTGAGTGGGATCATACTATATATATGTGTATATGTGTATATATATGGTGTATATATGTATGTATATATATGGTATATATATGTATATATGGTATATATATATGTATGTATATATGGTATATATGTATGTGTATATATAGGTATATATATGTATGTGTATATATAGTGTATATATGTATATATTGGTCTGTAACTTCCATTTTTATTGTATTTTAATGTATTTGGACATTTTCCATGTCAATAGGATCTGCTTTATCTTTAAAAAAACCTACACAAGGTTTAACTCTGACGATGGCCCATGACTTATTTCTTAGTTCTTCATTGATAGTGTATTTTGTTCATTTTTTATTATGATAAATGCTACAATAAGCATCATTATACAGTATATTTTTTGCTAGGTGTGTTGGTGGTATAGTGGTAAGCATAGCTGCCTTCCAGTATATCTTTGTATATCTGTCTTATAATTTCTTTAGGCTTAATAACTAGAATTAGAAATATTAGCTTGAAGCATATGTAAAGTTACATTTTCAACTTGTGAGCAGATTACCTTCCAGAAATGTTGTAAGAATTTATATTCCTACCAACTAGTAGGAGAGTGTTTGTTTTGCCACACCCTTATTACTGAGTAATACCATTCCTATTACTTTCGTAGGTTAAAATAAATTTTGCTCTTCAAAATTTGTATTTTTTTAAAATTTAGCTTTTTTTTAAAAAAAACTCAGGGGTATATGTGCATGTTTGTTATATAGGTCAATTTGTGTCATAGAGGTTTGTTGTACAGAATAATTTGTCACCCAGGTGTTAAGCCTAGTACCCAATAGTTATAATATTTTTATTGATTCTCTTCCTCCTTCCACGCCTCCACCTTCTGATAGGCCCCAGTGTGTGTTGTTCCCCTCTATGTGTCCATGAGTTCTCATCATTTAGCTTCCACTTATAAGTGAGAACATGCAGTATTTGGTTTTCAATTCCTGCATTAGTTTGCTAAGGATAATAGCCTCCAGCTCCATCCATGTTCCTGCAAAGGACATGATCTCATTATTTTTTATGGCTGCATAGTATTCCATGGTATATATGTATGACATTTTCTTTATCCAGTCTATCGTTAATGGGCATTTAGGTTGATTCCATGTCGTTGCTATTGTGAATAGTGCTGCAATGAACATATGCATGCATGTGACTTTATAACAGAATGATTTATATTTTTGGGGGTAAAAACCCAGTAATGGGATTGCTGGGTCAAATGGTATTTCTGTTTATAGGTCTTTGGAGGAATCGCCATACTGTCTTCCACAGTCATTGAACTAATTTACACTTCCACCAGCAGTGTATAAGCATTCCTTTTTCTCCACAACCTCATCAGCATCTGTTAGTTTTTGACTTTTTTAAACTTAATTATTATTATTTAAAAAATTTTTATTTAGGTTTAGGGGTATATGTGAAGGTTTGTTACAAACACATGTCATGGGAGTTTGTTGTACATATTGTTACGTCACCCACATATAAGCTCGGTACCCAATAGTTACCTTTTCTGCTCCTTTCCCTCCTCCCACTCTCCCCCCTCAAGTAGAACCCAGTGTTTGTTTTTTCCCTCTTTGCATTCACAAGTTCTTATCATTTAGTTCCCACTTGTAAGTGAATACATGTGGTATTTGGTTTTCTGTTCCTGCATTAGTTTGCTGCATTGATAGCCTCCAGCTACATCCATGTCCCTGCAAAAGACATGACTTCATTCTTTTTTATGGCTACATAATATTTCATAGTGTATATGCACCACATTTCCTTTATCCAGTCTGTCATTGATGGGCATTTAGATTGATTCCATGTCTTTACTAGTGTGAACAGTGCTGCAGTGAGCATTTTTGTGCATGTGTCTTTATGGTAGAATGCTTTATATTCCTGTGGGTATATACCCAGTAATGGGATTGCTGGGTTGAATGGTAGTTCTGCTTTTAGCTCTTTGAGGAAATGCCATACTGCTTTCCACAATGGTTGAACTAATTTACATTCCCACCAATAGTGTAAAAGTATTCTCTTTTCTCCACAACCTTGCCAGCATCTGTTATTTTTTTACTTTTTAGTAATAGTCATTCTGTTTGGTGCCCCATAGTCATGATGGTACCTCATCATGGTTTTGATTTGCATTTCTTTAATAATCAGTGATATTGAGCTTTTTTTTATATGTTTTTTGGCCACATGTATGTCTTCTTTCGAAAGTGTCTTCTTTTGAAAAGTGTCTGTTCATGCCCTTTGCCCACTTTTTAATGAGGTTGTTGGTTTTTCTTTTGTAAATTTGTTTAAGTTTCTTATGGGTGCTGGGTATTAGACCTCTGTCAGATGCATAGTTTGCAAACATTTCCCTCCCATTCTCTAGGTTGTCTGTTTACTCCATTGATAATTTCTTTTGCTGTGCCGAAGCTCTTTAATTAGATCCCATTTGTCAATTTTTACTTTTGTTGTGATTGCTTTTGGTGTCTCCATCATAAAATCTTTGCCTGTTCCTATGTCCAGAATGGTATTGCCTAGGTTGTCTTCCAGGTTTTTTATAGTTTTGGGTTTTACATTCATGTTGGTAATCCATCTTGAGTTGATTTTTGTATACGGTATAAGGAAGGGGTCGAGCTTCAATCTTCTGCATATGGTTCACCAGTTATCCTAGCACCATTTATTGAATAAGAAGTCTTTTTCCCATTGCTTGTTTTTGTCAGCTTTGATTTTTGACTTTTTAGTAATAGCCATTCTGACTGGTGTGAGATGGCATCTCATTGTGGTTTTGATTTGTATTTCTCTAACGATCAGTGATATTGAGCTTTTTTGATATGCTTGTTGCTCACATGTCTGTCTTCTTTTGAAAAGTGTCTGTTCTTGTCCTTTGCCCACTTTTTAATGAGGTTATTTGTTTTTCTCTTGTAAATTTGTTTAAGTTCCTTATAGATGCTGGATATTAGACTTCTGTCAGATGCATAGTTTGCAAAAGTTTTCTCCCATTCTGTGGGTTTTCCATTTTCTCTGATGATAGTTTCTTTTGCTGTGCAGAAACTCTTTAATTAGATCCCTTTTGTCATTTTTTGCTTTTGTTGCAATTACTTTTGGTGTCTTTGTCGTGAAATCTTTGCCCATTCCTATGTCCAGAATGGTATTGCCTAGATAGTCTTCCAGAATTTTTATAGTTTTGGGTTTCACATTTAAGTTTTTAATCCATCTTGAGTTAATTTTTGTATATTGTGTAAGGAAGGAGTCCAGTGCCAATCTTCTGCATGTGGCTAGTCAGTTATCTCATTTATTAAATAGGGAATCCTTTCCCCATTGCTTGCTTTTGTCAGGATTGTTGAAGATCAGATAGCTGTAGGTGTGCAGCCTTATTTCTGGGTTTTCTATTCTATTGCATTGGTCTATGTGTCTGTTTTTGTACCAGTACCATGCTGTTTTGGTTACTGTAGCCCTGTAGTATAGTTAGAAGTTGGGTAGCATGATGCCTCCAGCTTTGTTCTTTTTGCTTAGGATTGCCTTAGTTATTTGGGCTCTTTTTTGGTTCCATATGAATTTTAAAATAGTGTTTTTCTAGTTCTGTGAAGAATGTCAGTGGTAGTTTAATAGGAATAGAATTGAATCTATAAATTACTCTGGGCAGTATGGTCATTTTAATATTGGTCCTTCTTATCCCTGAGCATGGAATGTTTTTCTGTTTGTTTGGGTCATCTCTGATTTCTTTAAAATTTGTATTTCTTTGACTGAAATTGAATTCAAGCAACAACTTTTCAGATAGTAATGCTCATTTGTATGTAATTTGCCAATTGCTTAATTTTTCTCAAATTTTCTTTTATGTTTTCTGATACATTAAAAACTCTTTATACATCACTCTTTATATAGCACATTTATAATATATGCTGAAACTATTTACAACACTTTTTTATTAGTCACTCATACTGAAAGATTTGATTTAAAGTACCATATGCTTCTGTAAAAACGAAAGTCATAAAGTTAGTGTTTTCCTTTACTGCTTCAGTTTTGTGGCTGGCTTAGAAAAGCCTTCTCCACCTTAGGCATAAAAAACTAGTCTACATTTTATCCTAATATTTGTAAATGTAAAAAGAAAAATAACCTATGAATATTATATCTTTCATCCTACACAAAAATAAATTCCACCCAAATGAATTTAACTTATTCTTAACAATTTGACAGCCAATTGTTGCTATGCTACATACTGAACTATGAAACATTTCATATTGCTATATATTGAAATATTCCGGTTATTTTAAAATTCCATCTTTATGTTTTATATTTAAAATGAATTACACATATTGAAAATGAATTACACATATGTGTATTTTAATCTAGATCCTATATTATGTTTCACTGACTTTTTTTCTATACTTATGTCAAATTAAAATGTTTCAATTATCTACAGTAGCTTTAAAGTACGTTTGGATATCCAGTAGGGCAAGTCTCCACTCTCATTAATCTTTTCATGCATTTATCTTTCCAAAGAAAAGTTAGAATCAATGTAGGTTCCCTCCCACCAAAAAAAAAAAAAAAAAAAGAAAAGAAAAGAAAAGAAAGAAAGAATAGTAAAAAAAGAATAAAAGCAATTAGGGTTTGTATAAATCAGGGTTCTCCAGAGAAACTTAACCAATAGGATACTGGAGAGAAAGAGACAGAGAGAATGAGAGAGAGAGAGAGAAGGGAAAATTTACTATGGGAATTGACTCACTTGATTATAGAGGCTAAGAAGTCCCATGATTTGCCATCTGCTAGCTAGATAACCAAGAAAGCCAGTAATGTAATTCAGTCAGAGTTCAAAGGCCTGAGAACCAGGAGCACCAATGTCCAAGGACAGAAGAAAATGGATGCCCTGGTTCAAACAGAGAGAGCAAATGTGCCCTTTCTCTGCCTTTTTGTTCTATTGAGGTCTGCAAAGGATTGGATGATGCCTGCCCACATCGGTGAGGGTCATCTTCTTTACTCAGTCCACTGATTGAAATGCTTATCTCTTCCCAAGACACCCTCACAGACACACCCAGAAATAATGTTTTACTAGCTATCTGGGCATCTCTTAGCCCAATCAAGTTGACATATAACATTGACCATCACAGGACTTTTAGTAGGATTGTGTTAAGTTTATAAATTAATTTGGGAGAAAGTAGAATTTATATAAGATTGAATCTAAATTGAAATGTAATGTGTAAATCCATTTATTTAAGTTCTTTATGTTTTTTAATAAAGTGTTTTTTCATGAAAGTCTTAGAAAAATATAATTTTAAAAAGACCCCATTTATAATAGCATAGAAACTATTGCTGGAACTTTATAAAGTATCTAGCTATCTCTAAACTATTGCCGGGTATGCTGGTATATAAACAAATGTTTAATAATCATTTTTCTTTTATATGAACGTCTTCCTAAACTCCCTGTTGTTAGTCCTAGTTGTTTTTGAGATATGATCATATTGCAAATAACAGTCATCTGTCTCTTCCTTTAACAGTATTTACACCTGTCTTATTGAATTTGTTAGGACCTTCAGGAAAATGTTAGGTAGTGTATATATCATGATGTATATAATATAAACATAACAGTATAGAATTTATTATATTTGTCTTTTTTTAGTATAATGTAAAAACACTAGCGCTATCCCCATTTAAGTATGTGTGTTATTCATTTGACAATTTTTTTCTCAAAATAAGTAAATTTCCTTCTTGATTTGTTTTTAAATTTTAATACGTATTTATAGGGTGTATGCGTTTTATTAGAATGGATGTTGGATATTCATTGACTACTTTTTGACATCTATCCAGACAATCATATAGCTTTTTTTTAGTAATAATGATGTAATACATTCTATTAATCAATTTTTCAAAAAATATGCTGGATGAATAAATGACCACATTAAAATATCTTTGTATTCCTAAAGCAAACCCCAATTGATTATAAGTTTTCATATATTACTGCATTTTCTTATATATTTATGATATTTGCCTGTATATTCTTAAAGTTACATTTGTCTGTACTTGTCTGTGTGCTATTTTTGTCAGATTTTAGAATAAGCGTTATGTTGGCTTATAGATAACTTTTCAAATCATTTTTCTTTTTAAAAGATATTTTAGTATTACCCCTGATCACATCCCTAACACAGAATGAGACGTCTCCCTGCCTGGCCAGGAAGCCCCTCTGTATTAGTTCATTTTCTGTATAACAAATCACACTAAATCTTAGTGACTTAAAACAACCAACATTTATTATCCCAGTTTGGGAGAGTCAAGAATTGAGGAGCATCTTAGCTAGATGTTCAGGCTCACAGTCCTTGATGAGATTACAATCAAGATGTTGTCCAGGATTGTAGTCATCTAAAGACTTGACTGCGATTGGAGGAATCTTCTTCTAAGCTCATCCATGTGGCTTTTAGCTGGAGGCTTCAGTTTCTCACCACGTAAATCTCTCCAGAGTGCTGCTTGTGTATCCTCATGACATGGCAGTTGCCTTCTCCCAGGGTCAGTGATCTTAAAGAGAGTGAAACCACATTGTCTATTGTGGCCTTGTCTCAGAAGTCACAAGCTATCACTTCTGACCTATTCTATTAGTCACAAAGACAAATCCTAATTCAGTGTAGAAGGTGCCTACACAAGGATGTGAATACCAGTAGGGACAAATCATTGAGGGACTCTCTGGGAGGCTGGCTACCTCACCTCCATCTCTGTTCTCTATATTTTGGGCTCCCTTCTCTGAAAAACTGCTCTTGGTACTCAGAAAAATATTTGTGAGGCCATTATAGGTAAAGCTTTATCACTAAGAAGGCTTTCAGCCTTTCAGCCTTAAGTGTTGCCTTGGGGTGATTATATATATGCACAAGTATGCAAAGCTGGTGACTAGAGGCAACTTTCTACTTGAGTATGGATTGCCGTTTGTGAAGATTTCAACTCAAATACTTTGCAGTGACCCCTCCTTCTGTTCAGGAGTTATCTGGAAATACTCTTTGGAAAGGGTAGGGCCTCTGGTGAGTGAGGATTTTTCCCTAGATTGTTTTGTACTACCACATTCCCTCTTTAAGAGGAACCTAGGGTTAAACATCAAACAGAACTCCTACAGGGATGCTATTAATTCAGGTCAGGTATGCATAATGCTGACCCATTTTAGAAAAATTGCCCTGTGGACACCCTCATTTGGAACACGATGGCAAGAAGAGAAGCATTTACTCCCTGGAGGATGGGGGGTGGGAGAAGAAGTGTCATGTTATTTTACTTGAACTCTTTTCCTCTCTCCACTGGGAATATCACAGTATAAAAATAATTTTTAATGTGATGATAAAAATTGAGTTAGTCCCTTCTTTTTCCCATTCCCTGTTTTCCTTATATCTATTTTACTTGAAAACAACCTCGCTAAGATAGTGCCTATAAACATTCTTGTATTAGCTTATTTGCCTGAATTGACTTAAAATATTTTTTAAAAACTAAGTCAACCAATTTTTATTTTTATTTTTTTAATGGTGCAGAGGAACTTTACTTTCTTCGAATTGTTTGATCAGATACAGTTTTTATTCCTTCATCCTATCCTGAATTCCAATAATACCTTCTGGAATTTCTTCCCCTTTGTCTATATTCTGAAAACCTTTTCTGAATTATTCTTCCTACTATGAAAAGAGCCCTATTTTATCTTTGTTATCTTGTCTGGAAGTTTCTTTGTCTTTCTTGGTGTCTCACTTTTTAATCTCATAACTTTGTTTCCACACCTACATTTTCAACCTTTTTAACACTATATCTGAGCATTAATCAGAAATAAAAGAGAAAATTTATGAAAGAGGAGCGTCAAAGAAGAGCTACTGGGCAAGGAGAATTGAGATGCAGGTGAAATTTTCCAATTTCACTAAAATGTCTCCAGTCATTTTCAAAGGCCACTCCCAGTTTAGATATTTGTTTTCTTATAACCTTTGTTTGCTTGTTTGTCTTCAGCTCAAAACCACTTCTTCGGGTAAAATCTTATAAGTAAAGCAGATTAAAAAAAATTTTATTGATAACAAATACAGAATCCAGATTCTCATGGACTGGGAATTTCCTTTTCCTCAACTCTCCATTCCTCTTCCCTGGTTGGGAGGGGGGCTCCCTAGCAATGTTTAGAAGATCATTTAAAAATCCCGGGACTTGATAATCTCTGACCTCTCTCCCTCTTCTAAAATTCTGTGTGACTGTGCAACTATAATTGCCCTGATCTTTCCTCTCGGCCAATCAAAAGCTTACCCATCTGTTACAGACTGAATGTTTCTGTCTCCCCTCCCCAAATTCATATATTGAATTCCTACCCTCAAAGTGTTGGTATTTGAAGACGGGGCCTTTGGAAGATAATTAGGGTTAGATGAGGTCATAAGGATGGGCCCTCAGGATGGGATTAGTGTCCTTAGAAGACATCCTCTTCCTTCTCTCTCTCTCTCTCTCTGTCTCCGGTATATAAGGACACAGCAAGAAGGCAACTATCTGCAAGCCAAGAAGAGGGCTTCACCAGAACCCGACTGATATGGTTTGGCTGTATCCCCACCCAAATCTCACCCTGAGTTGTAAAAATCCCCATGTGTCAAGGGCAGGGCCAGGTGGAGATAATTGAATCACGGGGGCAGTTTCTCCCATACTATTCTTGTGATAGGGAATAAATCTCACAAGATCTGATGGTTTTATATAGGGGAGTTCCCCTGCACAAGTGCTCTTGCCTGCCACCATGTAAGATGCCCCTTTGCTCTTCCTTCATCCCTTGCCATGACTGTGAGGCTTCCCCAGCCATGTGGAGCTGTGAGTCAATTAAACCTCTTTCCTTCATAATTTACCCAGTCTCGGGTATGTCTTTCTTAGCAGAATGAGAATGGACTAATACACCGACCATGCTGGTATCCTGATCTCAGACTTCCAGCCTCCAGAACTGTGAGAAAATAAATTTCTGTTGTTTAAGCCACCTTCTGTTGTTTGAGTCTGTGGTATTCTGCTATGGCAGTGAAATGGACTAAGACAGCATCTTTCAGTGCTCAGCTCCTCCGGTCCACATCCCTGACCTCACTTGAATATATTTATATCATCCTCTTCTGTGCTCTTAACCATGCTCTTCCCTTTACTTAAGTTGCCCCTCCCATCTTTCTTGGTCCTGAAAAAGCATACAATTTCCAAGTAACAGGCTATATTCCAGTTTGACTGGAGCATGGGAGTGGTAAAAGGAAATGGGATAAAATTACGTATGGATCATAGAGGGTAATAATTATCTGGGGTGGTCACTGATGTCTGGAGTGAGAGAGCTGGCAACACACACAAATCAACCAGCTTATCTATAAAATGATTTCACAGTTCCCCGCCAGTTCTAGCATTCTTGATTTCTATGGTCAGAGTTGTTTCTGGTCTAACAGCAGGGAATAGAGTGAATTGAAGTTGGGGAGAACCAGAGGCAGGGACAGAGGGTTATAGTCCTTGGTCTGTGAGCACCATTAAATAAAAGTCATAAAAAAGCACTGTCCACCCAAACATCTTTCCATTGCTGCTCTGTGACATGTCTAATTGGATCTTCCATTTCTCTGCAGGGCTGGGGAGTCTGAAATTCCCTGTAGTGAGCATGTAGCTGGCAGATGGTGCTTTTGAATTCATTGCTTCCCTTGGAATTTTTCTCATAATCTCCATTCCTCTATCCCTGAACATTTTAAAGTTCATGTCTAGCATTTCTTTTTCAAAGCACCTCCACATTCACAATATTATATTTATAACAACTTGATGATGGAATAGAAATGATCACCTTCCTCTTACAAATGAAAAAATTGAGTGCCTAACAGGTTGAATGACTTGCCAAGATTAGATACCAGCAACTCATATTAGCAGCAGAACCATAACAGAAAAGTGATGAACTGGAAGCTCAAGGTATGCTCACAGTGCTAACACGATTCTGTGGGAATGGTCTCCTTGTCACGGTGCCCATGGCCAAATTAGAATTACATTATCCTGGCAGACTCACAATCTACTCGCTGTGAAAATCTCCACCTGAAAGAAAATGTTTCTGGCCTAATAATCTTTGCTTCTCAAGACATGGATTTTTCGAAAACTGGACTAGAAATGGGCACAATTCGAACAAAATAGGTTTTCAAAATTGGTTGGGAGCAACTAGGAAAAGAGAATATGGTAAGCAGATTTTACACATCTAAAATACATTCCTATTTAAGAAAGAGAAACTTTCTAAATCAGCTCAGAGCAAAGATGGAAACAAAGGTTTTATGCCAAAGTTACAGCCACCACAAAGTCTGTTCCATCTCCTCCAAGTCCGCCCTGCAACATGATGGCCTGTGTCTGTCATCCCGGCCCACATGCTGCACTCCACCCTTCCTTTGCACAGCTTTCTCTTTCACAGGCAGAACACTGGCACCTCCCCAAAGGGGCCATGTTGGGAAGAAGCAGCCAGGGTGGGGTGGCAGGGCGGCTCTGTGAGTGCTGGGAGAGGGTGTGGGACCTGATCTTTATGCTCTGAGCCACCGCTGACGTCAAGCCCTCACCCGCATTGGAAGAAAGCACACAGAAAACTCCCTTTTGCCGCTGTGCAAACTGTTCTTGCAGAACTGAAGACACGCCCACTGCCCCTTACAATTATTCTAAATCCATGCTTTCATTGGCTATACTCAGAGGGAAATAAAAAACTATTTCCCAGTTGGCCCTTTTTCAGCCAGACAAAATTAAAATGAAGCATGACGTTTAAGTGAAATACTCTTCCAATTTATGTTCTGGAGTTTCCAAGCTCCTTCCATCCCAGCCTGGTCAGAGCAGAGCTGGCCAGCTGAAGGCTTTTCTTCCAGTTTCCTAAGAAATATCCTTGGAAAGTTGGCTATAAGGCTGTTTCTAATACACATCTGTTTCAGGCTTCAGACGTGCCTTCTCACCCTCCTTGGTGGAATGTGGTACATTAGGAATCTAATCTAATGGCTCCTCCTGTAGAGGGAACAGGAAAGGTGAAAGTTCATCAGATTCACCCCAGGTCTCATTGTCCCCACTGATTAGGCAATACACAGACTTCCTAGGGCACCATCTCTTAAGGACCCCAGCTCAGACCTGGGGGAGAGAAGGAGGCCATTTTTCCTTGGTGAGCATGTATGGTGGAATCTGCACCTTTCCTTGAAAGCTAAGTTTGGGAAGGGATAAGAGAACTCTTCTACATCCTTGTAAACTGCGCTCCTAAGGGTTTGACATCAAGAACGGTGTTAGAGGTTTGAGGGCCAGGAGAACGTGAGCCTACCTGGTTACTTCTAATCCCAAATACTCTGTAAATCCCAGTGGCTCTTAGGTGTGTGTTGACATCATCTGTGGAGCTTTCTAGAAATACAAATTCCATGCTTCAAACCCAAGTATTCTAATCCTGTGGGAAGGGGCTACAGGGCATTAGCTTTGTGTAGTTTCAAAAGTTCTGCAGTGATTCTCATGTAGGTAGTTCATGTATTTGCCAGTTTTCGCAGCTAGGGTATGTACACGAACCACTTCTAAGAGTAAAACTCTAAAATCACTGAAAAAAAAATTTTTTAAGTGTAAATATGAGGCACAAAGGTAAGACGAGAGCCAATTTAAACAGCCTGGGGGATATAAAACAAGGAAGAGTTGCAGTATCTATGAATAAATACCTCATTCATAGAAAAATGGAGTAAGGCAGTTATTTCTAGGAAAATGACCTTGGCCTGTAACAATAATAAATAAAATTAACTGTGCTCTAGCTACAGGAATAATACCCAACTGGGTAGGAGAGAACAAGGAGTCATCCCTAGAAATCAGGTAGATGGGGCTGGACATGGTAGCTCACATCTGTAATCCCAGCACTTTGGGATGCCGAGACAGGTGGATCACTTGAGGTCAGGAGTTCGAGACCAGCCTGGCCAAGAGGGTGAAAACCCATCTCTACTAAAAATACAAAAATTAGTACGCCTACAATACCAACTACTTGGGACGCTGAGGCAGGAGAATTGCTTGAACCTGGGAGGCACAGTCTGCAGTGAGCCGAGATCGTGCCACTGCACTACAGCCTGGGCGAGAGAGCAAGACTCCATCTCAAAAAAAAAAAAAAAAAACCCAAAAAAAAAAAACAAAACCGGAAAAAAAGAAAGAATCAGGTAGATGGGTAACATTAGACCCGAGGAGCACAGATACATGTAGACAAACACAGCGTGCACAACGTAAGGAACACAGGTTAATAAGGACCATCGCTATTTCGAGTTCTTATTCTAAATAGTATTATCCACATTTGATTGTGTTCCAGTTGTTAGGACTTTGTTCTACTCATTCAGTAGCTATTATTGACAACTTACTGCATGCCAATCACTGTGCTGGATGCGGGAGGGACAGCAGCAATACCAGCAGAACTCTTTCTCTATTTCTTTTCACATCTTATTTTTACTCGGTCTCAGTTCTGCATTTAGACTCTTTCCATATGTAGAGAAGTTGCTTTCTGCCACCCCCATTTACACCCTTCACCTTGAAACTCTAAGAAAATAGAGAACTTCTTTCTCTCAGGGTCTATTGACCATTCTAAGGGAAATATTCAGATCAGTTTTGCTTGGGTCACACACCCAACTTTGGCAGATGGTGTTTTCCAAAGATGGCCACACCAACATATTTACTCCATTGCATAGGTTCTTCCTGCTGTGTGACTGACACATCTCCCACTAAGAGCGGAAGTGACCTCTGTTCCTTCCCCTTGAATCTGGGTGGGGGCTGTGATGGCCCCATCCAGCCATACTAGGGAAATGGTATGTAGTTCTTGAAGCTCTTGAAGGGCACAAAAAGGAGACAGTTTATGTCTGGCACACACACTCTTTCTCTTGAGATAGTCATCTTAGATCCCAGCCTCCATGTTCTGAGGAAGCCCAGGCCACCTGGAGAGGCAACGTGTGGGTGCCCCAGTCAACAGCCAGCAGGTGGGTGGGTTGAATGGGCTTTCACATGATTTCAGCCCCCATCCCTCTACCTTCAAAGTCTTCCAGCTGTGGCACCAGGTATTGTGTAATCGAGACAAGCCACCCTGCTCTGCCCTGTTTGAATTCCTGACTCACAGTACCCAGGAGCAATAATAAATCATTTATGTTTTAGTTTACAAAATTTTTAGTAACTTCTTATGCAGCAGTAGACAAATAATATCCCCATGGAGCAAGGGAACAAGTGTGTTACTGAAGAAGAGAGATGTGAAACGTTGCTAGGTAGACAACATGGACAGACACCACAATCTACTACAAGTCGTCCCAGGATATGTTAATTTCCCATGAGTGTTGCTAAGAGAAAATCTTAGATTTTATAAAAATTGGAGCCAGAGTCATTATTATCAACAGTAAATGAAAAAGGATGCTGATTTTACTATCTAATTCCATTTGCTACATCCACCGTTTATTATTGTTCTGGAAATATAAGTGCATTTTCTCAGATTCATTGTTTAGGCATGATTTTCAATTTAGCAAGAATTAAAAAATGAAATTCAGAAGTATTACCAAAAAAAAGTTTTAGGCATAGATTGAATTTCAGATACTAAGCTTAGGAGGCTCTGAACTCTAAAGCTGCTTTCAGAAAGAGGTTTTATGGTGGTCTTTAAGAAAAGACCATCCATGGAGGTGGTGTGGCAGGTCATTTTCAAGACTTGTTTCCTAGCTAGGTTTTCCTCTACCTGCTGCCATTCTGAGCAATCCAGTAAGCATCTTCATTTGTCTGCTGAACATCATGATGAATTTGCATAACACCAGACTGAACCTGAATTCCTCACTAGCAAAAGGAAGTTTCCAGAGGATAATGTTTAATTTGTTTATTTTTAGAAGATGGTCAACCAAAGTATATTCTCAAAGTTTATTCTATTTAATGATTTGCATAGACATCTGATAAAAATTCCTTTATATAGACCCATATTTGAAAGTTCAAAACACAGAAGGGGAAGCTGTAAATTAAGCAGGATTTAAAATATGCTCTTTCTCACAGGAAAAAAGTTTACTTTGCAGTCAATTTAAATGACAGCTACCAGAGAAACCAGAGACCGAGCTTCAGGATTGGGAGCTGAGATATGAAATAATAACACTGCCTGCATAGGGACTCATCTACAGAGAAGAAATTAAAAAGTAGACATTGGAATGTGGTGTCTCTGAGAAAGGCAAGCTTTGGGGAAGAAAAAAAAGGTTAAGCTTGCTGGCCCTCAGCTTTATGGTTGCATGGCGGCCAAAGAATTGAATGCATTTTCTGCCTCCATTTCCGTTCAAACACAGAGGTTACCAATGAAGGAGAATGCATTTTACTCTGTGCCTCTCTTAAGTTAAATTCCTCATCTAAATCCACATGAAAAGCTAATAGACACAGCCCATTTCATAAGTTAGCAGGATTGAATTCTGCTTTCTGAACTTGTAGTGAGAGTGTTCAATTAAGTGAATCTTGGCAAGTTTTTAAAAACGTTTTTAAAGACGATATTTTTTATTGTGGTAACATTTACATTAAGTAAAATTGACCATTTTAACCAACTTTATATATATATTTCATTGGCAGTAAATACATTCACATTGTTGTATAACCATCACTACCATCCACCTCCAGAACTCTTTCATCTTCTAAAACTGAAGCTCCTTACCCATTAGGTGATAACTGCTCATTCCCCCTCCCATCCCCCAGCTCCTTTCTACTTTCTGTTTCTATGAATTTGATTCCTCTAGGCACCTCATATAAGTGGAATTGTACAGTATTTGTCTTTTTGTGACCAGCTTATTTCACTTAGCATAGTGTCTTCAACGTTCGTTCTTCTTGTAGCATCTTTCAGAATTTCCTTTTTAAGGCTAAATAATATTTTATTGTACATGTATTCCATATTGGTGAATTCTTTTAAATGGGCTAAACTGTACTCTCCAACAATAGTTATCAGGACAGTCTTTCTCTACTGTCTTTTCAACGTTAAACATTTGTTTAAAAATGACATTTTTCTTCTTTATCATTTTTATCATTGTATCATTATATCTGGCTTATCTTTCCTCTCTACCTCCCTTCTTTCCTTTCTCCTTTTCTGTCTTCCTTCCTCTTATCTCAATCTCTCCTTTGTGATAGCAGGTGCTACATACTGCGGTTGTCCTTACTATATACCCAACTCTTCTGCTAAGTTGTCAGTTTCTCCAGGGCAGGAACCAAATCTTACCTTATGAGAGGCCCTGAATAAAGCCAAGTAAGTGCTCAGTAGAGGAGAGTTGAGTTTAACTGAGTGGACTATTATGTGAGGTAGAGGCAAAAGAATGATCCCATTCACAAATTTCTCAAAATCAGCTAAGGCAAACACAGACCCATGTCTATTTGTGTATTTATTTTTATTGCTGCCATCACAAATTTTCACAAATGTATGGCTTAGAACACCACAAATATATCATGTTATAGTTCTATGGATAGAAGTTCAGTTCAGGTCTCACTGGACTAAAATCAGTGTCACCAGGCTGCATTCCATTCTGGAGGCTCTAGGGGAGAATCCCTTTCCCTGCTCATCTATGCGTCAGCAGAATTCAGTTCCATGTTGTCATAGGACTGATGTCTCCAAGTCCTTGCTAATTTGTCACCTGGGGCAGACCTTAAGTCCAAGAGGCTTCTCTTGGTTCTTGCACATAGCTCCCCACACCTTAGAACTAGCAACAGGCACCAAATCCTTCTCCTGCTGCCATCTCCCTGACCCTCCTTGTATTGTTGCATCTCTATCACTGAAGCCTGGAAAGGTTCTGCACTTTTAAGGACAGATGTGATTAGACTGGGCTCACTTAAGAAACCCAACTGAAGGTCCATAACCTTAATCATATCAGCAAAGTCTCTTTTGACATATGCACATGTTCCAGGGATAGGGGATAGGCATTTAAGGGGGTCATCATCCTGCCTACCACAATCTGCTGGCAACTGCTTCAGATCTCCTAGTTCCTGTCTTCCAATGATTTTCTTCCTAGGGCCCTGCCCGCTGGCCAACTCATTCACCATTCTTTAGGGATCCATGCATAATCTAACCTCAAGCTATTTCTCCTTCTACATAAAATGGACGACAAGTTGTATTGCTCATTGGGATGATTTCCTTTCACCAATTTCTTTCAAGGCCACCCCTGCGTGAACTAAGCCCAGTGTTTTTTCTTCCTCCATTATCCGGTCATAAAGAATCCCACATACGGCCACAGGTGGGAGCTGAGGTACAGGTCCTGGTGCAAGAGTAATGGGTGAAATAGGAGTCTGGACTACCTACCGAGACAGCTTGCTACCTGTGCTCAATCTTTGTTGTATAATAACACTTCCATTTTATGATGGATTACTGCTGGACTTCCGCAATTGCATGACTTGGTGGGCTGGATATATGGTTCAAACACTTCATTCTGGAACTTCTACAGAGCGCTCTCCTACTCTGAGCTTATTTTTACCTTGAAGTCTTTGTTTGTCACCCACTGTATAGGTTCAAGCAGTATTCCCAGGTGGGGAATATTCTGCCTCCAGAATCTGAAGTGGCCTATTAGGTGCTGTACTTCCTTCTTCATGGTTGGAGGTGCAGGAAGCAATAATTTTTCATTTACTTGGGAGGGGATGTCCCAGCTTGCCTCAGACTAATGGGCACCTAAAATTTTTACTGGTGATGTGACACTTCTTGAGTCTTCGAAGTGTTTAGCTCACATTTTCTGTGGTGCATGTGTCTTAAAGGCCTCCAATCAACTAGCAACTTTGTGTTCATCTGATCTGATTAACATGATGTCATCAAAAGAGTAGAACAATGTGAGCTTCTGTGGGATGTCCAGGTCTCTTCAGACTATATTTTAACAGAGAATAGAAGAGTTCATATAGACCTTGGGCAAAACAATGAACAGATACCATTGCACATTTCAAATGAATGTAAAACATCTAATCTTCTTTCCTGGTAGAAATAGAAAAGAATGCATCTGCCAGCTTCATGGCCCCACAACATGAGACTGAGGCCATGTTAATCTGCTCTCACTGTCACAGCAGCTGCAAGTGGGGCTACCCCTTGGCTGAGTTTACAACAATCCACTATCGATATTCTCCTGTGTCTGTCTGGTTTCTGCAAGGTGCAGATCAGTGTATTAAATGGAGATATGATGACCACCACCTCTTCCAGGATGAATATAAAGGTGACTGGGGGAGACTGTACTGATTTGGGAAGTCTCTTCGATAATACAGGACTAAGTAGCCTGGAGAGGGCCCCAGGAGATCGTGTAAGCTAGGATGGTAGAGGAAATAGTCTAGCCAAATGAGGTGCAAAGACCAGAAATTGTCATAGCACACAGTGGAAGGGAAATTAAAACATCTAGAGAAAGCAGCATGGTAGAGTAGCTATGCTATGTAAAGCTGGAAAGCCCAATTATATTATAACTTAACCCTATTTATTGGTGTAGTAGCAAGGAGGAGAGTAGCACAGATTCTGAGGCAAGGAGGGTGTATGTTGTCTTATGGGAGAAGGACCTCTGCATCTTCTTCAAGTAAGGTTGGCATGTTATCCCTTAGTAGGGAGGGATGGGCCACTTTTGCAGGCTCAGAAGGTTAAGAGAAATCTGGGAAGTAAATATTTTGGGGGGAATCAATCTAGGTTTCCCTGTCTCATGTGTCCAAGTCCCATTCTTTCCCAACCAGGGCCAGAACCTTGGAATAGTCCACTGCCATAGTTGGGAGTTTAACCTTCCCTTGAACTCAAATACTATGTCAAATAATTCTTGGGTCTACTTCTCAGCTTCCTCAGCCCTCCCGTTGTAGGAGATGATACCTCTGTGTATGCTACCAAGAAAAGTCTCTCTGGCCTTCACTCCTAGCTTATAATTGCCAGTTAATCACTCTGAGCTTCTTATCTTTTTCCAGATCATCAGTTGAACTTACTGAGAGTCAGCTCCATTGTCCTTATAGTTTCCCTCATACTTCTCAAACACCTGATATGTTGCACCACCTAATGAATTCCCTTCCACCACTGTATCAATCATTGGTTGAAAATTTGAACAATTGCATTGCTACCTAGTGCCAGGGCTTTCTGTTGCTGACCTACCGCTAGCAATGAGGTCCTCTTTGCCAGGTGTGTTTGTTAGATGATTTGGTTCCAAAATCCCATCTCAGTGTTTGCTTTCTCAAACCACTCCTGGTACCAACTGTCACAATTTGGGCTCCCTAGGAAGCATACTCTGGAATGGAAATTGCTGTGCAGAAAATGTCTTAGGGAATGCACCTTGAGATCAACATTTGTGAAAAGAATGGAAATAAGATTGGGTAGAGGAAGAAGTTAGCTGTGATATACTCTGAATGGAGGACTTAGCTAATTCTAAAACTGGAATGACTTTTCAGAGTTGTTCTGAATTGAGGGAAAGGGGCTGGCCTTTATAACTTTAAGCTGATCAGTCACTGATTATGGACTATCTGATGAAGGAGGTGTAACCTTGGACAAGGCTGCTGTAATCAGTTACAGCAGTGTAACTTATTGCAGGAGGCTGACCCTGGGGCATTGCCTGCAGCGCTCCCAGTGGCTGGGAGAGTAAGTCCTGTATTCCTGAAGACTAAGTGATACATGACAATGTCTATCATGCAATCTTAAAACCTTATTACAAATCAGAGCACTTTAACCCACCTTGAGAAAACAGCCTATTTCAAGCTAAAAATGATTATGCAAGTCATCAACAAAAGTATTGAATAAGACAAAGATCTCTCTGTTCCTACTCCCACCTATCCCTTGTCTAGTACTATTACTCAGTGCATTTTTGTTGACTAGCAAATAAAGTACTTTAAGGAAATGCCCAAATTCTAGCCCTAACGTTACAGATGGAGGAGCTTTCAATGAAGAAAAAAATGCCTCCTTCTGCTCTTTGATTAATTGGAATAGCCTTTGAATGCCTACTCTATGTTAGAAATTGTTTTATTTATTATTACTTTATGTATTGAAACTATGGCAAATGGAATTTATTATTTCTATCTTAAATATACTAAAATATATTGAAATGTACCAAGTAATGGGTTGTGTTTATGTTTCAGTTAATTATAACATGTGATTTTATTTATGTAGATGCTAACTTAATATTTCAGGTTGTTGCTACCTGAATAGAATGACACTAAATTATGTAATTTTTAAAAGTCTAGAAAAATGATGATGATACACATTTACCTAGAAAGTGTGTGAATGCCTAGCCACAATGTCCATCCCTTGGAGTTTTCCAATTCTGTAAAAGGAATGCATTACTTCTTGTCCCAGGGATATGTGGGGCTGGAAGCTAACATCCTTTTCCCAGAGGCTTAACTTATGTGC
This sequence comes from Homo sapiens, assembly GCF_000001405.40. Classification (NCBI taxonomy): domain Eukaryota; kingdom Metazoa; phylum Chordata; class Mammalia; order Primates; family Hominidae; genus Homo; species Homo sapiens. Next base: position 54,766,167 of record NC_000005.10, on the reverse strand, counting down.
AAAAGTGACTTTCGTCAGACCTGCTATACAGAAGGGTCCAAAAGTGGACCAAAAATCTGTATGGAGCCATCTGAGCTCTACCATGTATTTGCTGTGGGATCATGGCCATATTACTTGAACTCGGGGCCTTTGTTTATTCATCTATGAAATGGAGACAGAAATACTACCTCTTAGGGGTTTTTATGGGGACTGAATGGGAAAACTGTATGCAAAGCATGCAATAATTGGCAGATATTTTTATTGCTCTTTCTATTATTAGCTGGCATTACTAGAAGTGTCTACAGAAATGAATTCTCTTCTAGTAAACCAGCCCCTCCCTGTGTCTTCATTTCCTCTTCCATAAAATGTGGATAATAATGGTATCAATTCTGTTGGCTCTTATGAGGATTAAATTGATTAACATATGTAAACCCCGTAGAAAAGTGGTTAGCACACAAGTAAGCCCACTAAAAAAGTTCTTGTGCTTTCAATTTAAACTAAATTTCTTTGACCAAATTATAAAGATATAACTACTTTTTCTCCAAAGGGAGATATGATGTAGTCAAAGTATTATATCATCTTTCCTCACTCCTTGGTCACAGATTCCACTCTTTATAAGGCCTTTCCTGACTAACCGGAAGAGACCAGGTAAGCTGGTTCTGCAGAAAAATCGCAATGCTTGGCTAATGAGTAGTGAAGGCTGGAGCCCATGTGGCCTTGGGCAAATCATGCTCTGAGCCTTGGTTTTCCCAGCTTTCTGATGGGAATAGCATCTCTACCCTGGGCACCTCCCTGGATGGTTTACAGATCACATGGGAGACTCTGTCTTCTTGCATATGGCATAATTAGTGTGCATGAAGAAGGCTTCGCTCCGCTCAGTCTGCATCAATGACCCTCAGGCTTCTCCTCCTTGACTGTTGCATTGGATGTGCATGAAGTAGCTATTTGGGGTGCTCTTGGGGTCCACTAAAGGTGATAACTTCTGGAGGATAGTGTTCAAGCCACCTAATCTAACACACAAATACTTAAGAATATACAATTGAAGGATGATTAAGCTCTTAATATAAAACCATTGGACACTAAAGCTTAATGAGGCAAAGGATGTTTGAAACTGTGTCTGTAATGGGCTAAATTGTGTCTCCTCCCCAGATTCATATGTTGAAGTCCTGATCCCCAATACCTCAGAATGTTACTGTATTTGGAAATAGGGCTTTTAAAGAGGTAATTGGGTCAAAATGAGGTCATCAGAGTGGGCCCTGATCCAGTATGACTGGAGTCCTTATAAGAAAAGGAAATGTGGGCACAGATGCACAGAGGGAAGACAATGTGAGCACACAGGGAGCAGATGGCCATGAACAAGCCAAGAAATGCCAAGAATTCCCAGCAACACCAGAAGCTGGAAGAGACAGGGAAGAATCTTCCCCTTAAGTCTTCAAAGAGACAGCATGGCCCTGTTGATTTTAGACTTCTAGCCTCCAGAACTGTGAACGAATAAATTTCTGTTGTGAAAGTCACCTAGGTTGTGGTACTTGGTATGGCAGCCCCAGTAGGCTAATGCGGTGGCCCAATACGTGTCTTCCAAGAAGCTCTAAGTCTGTGGAGGAGAGTCTCTTAAGTCAAGGGAGGAGGAACTGGGGAAGAGGAACTTAGGAGAAGGAGACAGGCTTCACTCTCCTCTTCTTTAACCAGCATGTCTTTTTAGCAGTGCTGTATATTGAACTTCCAGGAAAAGCATTCTATCTACTAAAGATGTGCAGTGAAAAAGCAGCAGTGGAAAACTACTGCTCCTGTGTAGCTGAGCCTGTCAATGCTCTGCCTTAGGTTAGGAATCTCCCTTACAGGCCCCCTGTGTTCTTTTACTCACAATAGCCTGTACCTGGGGCTTTGACTGGGGTGGTCCCCAAAAAGGCTCCAGAGCCTGCTTTGCCTGCACTTAGAGAACTGAAACAGGGAGCAGTCCTCAATCAGTGACTGACCTACACAAGGGTATAAATACCCCCAGCTCTGTTGCCGCTCATCAGGACAACTTCAGTGAGAACTGCACTGTTTCCAGAGACTCCCTATGGGACTTAGCGTGACACCTCACCCTTGATTGGCCTCCTATCCTTCCTTTTCCTTCTCCCTTGTGGATTCTACCTGGGAACACTTCCTAACAAATCACTTCTATGTGGTGTTTCTCAGCCTCTGCACTGTTGACATGTTGGTTGGGATAATCCTTTGTTGTGGGGAGCTGCCCTGTGCATGGTAGGATGTTTAGCAGCATTCCTGGGCTTTACCCATTAGATGCCAGTATCACCTCCCTTCCTCGCCCATGGTCATGACAATCAAAAACGTCTTCTGACAAGGCCCAATTTTGGCCCTGGGAGCCAAAATCTCCCCATTCAAGAATGACTGCTTGAATATTACAAATGTAGATCCTTAAGTTCTGAGAGGTGATAAAGTAGAAGACCTGGGATTAGAAGCTAAACTTCTTGATTCCCTGGCCACTGGCTATTTATTTATTTTTTGGTTTTTACTACACTTGTGTTTCCCAAACTTGTCAGATCGTAAGACTTATGTAAATGCCTTTAAATACAGAGTCCCAGATGCCCCTCCTAAATAATCTAATTCAGTAGGCCTGGTAGAGGGCACCTGGTCTGCAAGCCTCAGTGGTTCTCTTGATTAGGCAAGCTTGGGAAACTACACTAAAATCCTGATTCTCAGACTGTACTGTGGAAAGGACTCATTGCGCGAATGGTGTGGGGAGGGGAAGAGGGAGGGCAGTGAGGTAGTAGATGTATCAAATATAAATGTGTTTCCATAAAATGTAAATTTCTGGGCTTCATATTCTGAAATCTTGATAGTCTTAATAAAATTCCCAAGTTTTTCTGATATAAGTGGTCTGAAACAATTGTTATAATACTTTTCATTAAATTATGTTATTTTGTTAATGTACATGCAGAGTAGTGCCCTGTATCTATAGATATTTATTAAACACTTTCCCCCTCAGCTGACATCAAGATTTCTAATGAATGCATTTATAATACTCTATACTTCTCCTTTTTAGTACTTAATAATTTGTGTAATGTTGGTCTTCTTCAGTAACATATTCTGTAACTCAGGGCCTATCTCAGCCTTTATCCGGTTATATTCCTTAAGCCTAGAACTCTATCTGTGTGGAGTGAGTGTTCAATAAATGTGGCTGAGTAAATGACATCAGATATGAGGTAAATAGAATAATGACCCCCTCCCTGAAGATGTTTACATCTGAATCCCCGTGAATTTGAATATGCTCAATAGGAATATGTTATATTACACAGCAAGGGAGAATTAATGTTGCAGATTAAGGTCGCTAATCTGCTGACCTTAATATAAGGGAATTCTCCTAGATTATATACTGGTGGACTTTATAACAACAAAGGTCCATTGAAGTGGAAGAGGGAAGAAGAGGAGGTGAGAGCCAAAGAGAGATTTGAAGATGCTATGCCACCAACTTTGGAGATGGAGGAAGGAGCTACAAGCCAAGGAATGAGGGTAGTTTCTAAAAGGTGGAAAAAACAAGGAAATGGATTCTCCACTAGTGCCTCCAGGAAGAACACAGCCTTAGAGACACCTTGATTTTAGCTGAGGGAAACCAATTTAAGACTTCTGACATCTAGAACTATAAGAGAATACATTTGTGTTAAGCCTTTAAATTTGTAGTAATTCGTTTCAGCAGCAATAGGAAACTAATATAGATGGTAATGGAAATAATAGCTGACCTTTACCGCTATTCTTCCATCAGAGGCTTAGAAAGGCTTATGTGGCCAATGGCACACCATTAGCAAGTGTGGAGTTGGGCTGAAAACCTCTCAGATCCACACTCTGCCACACCAGTGCTATTGAATGTGGGCTGCGCAGACTGTTCCTGATCCATGTTGAAATAAATGCAGATATTGAGACTACATGTTGAGAAATGTCTCATGGTAATTCTTTCCTTTTTTACCATGTTCATTCTGATTTTGAAAGATAATTTTATATCTGTTAATCTATTAATTTTAAAATGGGGCTTCTTTTATATGTCATTTTTATTTCTTTTTTTAAAGTAATTCATTCTTATTATATTTTATAAAAATCTTGGTCCACATGAATTGGAAGAAAAAAACAAACAAACTGGTTCCTAATCACAGACTCTTGGAGAAGCTCTGCACAGACCATGATGCCAAGATTTGGGGTTGCGATGGGTCCTTGCCACTGGCTTTACTAATTCCCCCAAGTGGGCAGAAGTGAAGTCCCAATCCACAGTTGCTCAGGGCCTTCCTGTGGATGGGATGGGGGCAGAAGGCAGCCTGGTCCTAGCAGCCTTCTTCCCCCTGAAGACACAGCTTTCCTAGTTCCGCTTCCCAGTCACACTCCAAAGCCTCATCATTTCCACCTTCTCCCCTTTCTTTCAATAAAGGATACTTAAGGTTTATATTAACTTTTTCTTCTCTTTGGTCAATTTTTTTTCTATGAGAGTGCATGCCCCCCACATATTTCACATGGCCTGCATTTTTATGAATCCAAGAATAAATGCATTTTTGGCTAACAGCTAAGATGTATTTTTAGACTCATGGAGCTGTATTTTTGTCTTCTGGAGAACATAATTTGAAGCAGATGCAGTGGCATGTGGCACTCTTTAACTCTGCACCCAGTTTCAGATGTCCACCGGCAAACTGCATCCCTTCAAAAATATGTTAACACTTTAATGAAAACTGATGATCTCTCAATCTAGAGGGCTGAGCCATCCCTAGAACAATGACTGAGATCTTGCCTATTTATTCAAACTGCTTCAGGTCAGCTGTGTTGACCTTTGCTCTGCCTGGGACAGGGGCTTTTGCAATAGAGATGGTTGTTTAGCATGCACGTATGAATCACTGCCATTTCCTACCATTCCCAGTTCCAGGATGGAGCAAGACCACATCCCAGGGGAGCTTGTATGATAGACAGAGAAAGAACCCTACTAACCTATTCCACATATGGAATCTTCTACTTGTCAACAGTTAGATTTGGAAGCAACTTCTGTCATCATCTATTTCAACATCCTTATTCTAGAGCTATGCTCAATGATGCCATTTGAGTCTAATTCTACTTTGGACTTTTATTGCCTGAGTAGGTGTCGAAGAAGTTTTCTTGAACAAGTGAGTGAGTGAATGATGAATGAAATTGAGACCCAGAGAAGATAAATCTCTTGTCCAAGATAACAGAATTCAGAACATAACAGATTCATTTCCAAGCAGTCCAGCAAGATTGCTTCAGTACCAGTATAGAACTCCTAAAATTGTTCTGGTATGAGTCCAGACTCACCATTAGTTTTCTTCCAGATAGCTGAGGCTTAAATCTTAAAATGTCTAGGCTGGGTTTAACCTGCTCTGCCAGCAGGGATTCTATGCATTTTAAATCAAGAGGTTCCAGATCACAGCAGAAGAAAAAAGTTTCACAGGGGCAGAATGGCACAGCCTGTGTGAGCATTGTGAATCATCTCATTTCACCACAGGAAATAAAAGCTAGGTGGTGGAGGGCTGGTCATGGAAAACGCTCCAAGGCGAGGGTTATTTCAACTCTGCTGTGATTGGAGCTAGGCTAGCGTACTTACTCTTTCACAATAAAATAAAGAATAAAGTTAAGACAAATTTTAAAAAAATCTTGCAAGTGTTGCAGATTTGAGTACCTATTAGGATCAAAATTAAAGAGATGCCAACGGTGGCTAAACCCAAGCTTTCCTTTCTCTGACAATCATTTAGAGCTTAGGAAAAACTCCAGGCAGACTAAATGCAATGTAATTGAGATGTTGGCCTGTCAATATCTAACTGGGAAAATGACAGGCCTGGAAAGGTGATCATCAGTTTCACCAGGTAGATGGTAGATATGATGTTCACATCACATTCATGCTAAACAGAATGTGATATGAACAGAATGTGAATGAACAGAAGCTGTGATGTGGCACCAAGAGGCCCGCCACTGTCCAAGGAACTGCGCTGGCCAGCAGGTGACCTGCCTTCTCAGAGCATTGTTTTCTTCATATGCAAAGTGATGATGACAATATTTCCCTCAAAGAATTGTTATGACTAGGATTAGTAACTGTGTAGATATACATTAATAATCATGGCTAAAATTGTTCTAGCACTTACTACCTGCTAAGATGCTGTCCTGATTTTTTTTTTTAAATATAACTTATCTCAGAAGCAACTGTGGACAAATTATTTATCCTTCTGGCCTCTCCTTATTCTTACTTTATTAAAAACAAGCCCTTGGAAATTAATACTTTATCTGCATCACAGAGTTGTTATGAAGATTAAATAAGTTAATCTGTGAACGTGTTTTCTCAAGTGCATGGCCCATGTTAAATATTCAATGAATGTTAGCTATTATGATCCATTATATTATACTGCCCAGAGATAATTAAAAGGATACAATTAGACTTCCAATGAATATTATGTGCATGAGGAGGGGGAAGAAGAGGCTGTGTTGTCTGTGAGACATTTCACAGAAACAGATGTGTTGGTGACCTCTTAGTGTGTCCCATCATGTACACTTCCCCTGCTTCTCCCTTTTCCCTGCTCTGTGTCCAGGAAGGTCACCTGCATGGGCTATATCAAGAGGCTCCCTTTCTGTCTGTCTTCCTCTGTGCTCAGCAGATGCAGAGCCTGAGAAAAGAGGAAAGGAGGAAGGAGGGTGGAGTCAAGGCACTTATTCCCCTGCTTCTCCACTATAGGGCTCCTGCACGGTGGTTGATGCAGTTAATTTGGCGAGTGGTTATTACCATTTGGTGATTGAAGGTGGCTTCAAGTTTGGGCATCTGGAAAATAGTGGCAAATCCAGGGTGTGTTCCTTTGGGAAAAAAGATAGTAAATGACAAAATATTTCAGGACAATGGGAGCCTGGAGCTAGATATGAAGGACTACCACTTGGGACTGAAAGGGATCGTGGCAAACAAATGTTTATTTAAAAGTTTACCCAAATATCTAAAAATCTTCAAATTCCCCACACACACAAATTTTTTTTTTTTTTTTTTTTTGTTGTTGTTGTTGTTGAGACAGAGTCACACTTTGTCACCCAGGCTGGAGTGCAGTGGCATGATCTTGGCTCACTGGGCTCACTGCAACCTCTGCCTCCCAGATTCAAGCAATTCTTGTGCCTCAGCCTCGCGAGTAGCTGAGACTATAGGCGCACACCACCATGCTCTGCCAATTTCCCTCTCACAATTTTACCTTCCCGATAGAAATATTTCTATAACCATTTTTCGAGCATTTGTGTACACGTGCCCTCACCTTCCTTTACCTGTAGTTTTGCAAGAATTTCTTAGTTTAGCAATTATGATTCAGTTCTTTAACAAATAAGTTCTGCAAAATCACACAACCCATTTCTCAGTTTCTTAGAAAAAATAAAAAGATATAAAACAAAATAAGATAAAGTATATGATATTAGCTTTTATTTAATTTACTGTAAAATGTAGACTGTCATTTCATTTTGTGTAGTTCTAAAATCAATTTTAAACTTTTTTCAAAGGAAGGATTGAAAATAAAAGAAATAAGCAATACAAGTAAATTCCTTGAGGCCAACATAAGGTCTTCTTGGTTACCCTTTCAGGACCCATTCATTTGTTGGTCTCCAGCTCCTGAGCTTTTGCATCTGACAAAGTATCCCAAAGTCACTTTCTTAGAGCTGACCCCAGGACAGACAGTCATGAGCCTGGAACTTAGGGAGGGGAAAATCCCGGTTAGGTTGTATGGCAGGATGGCTACTTTTCTAATTATTCATTTATATTCTTTTCTATTGCTCCTGGATTTTTAGCTGGACTCCTGGTCACCTAAAATAAAGATTACATTTCACAGCCTTACTTGAAGCTAGATTGGATGTGTAACTAAATTCCAGTCCATACGATGTAAGCAGAAGTGCTGTGTGCAACTTCTGAGAAGCGTCATCACAAGAGGGAGCATGCTATTCTCTTTTCTTTGTCATCTTCTTGCTGGCTGGAATGTTGACGTACAGTGGAGGCTTAAGTATCCATCTTGTGCCAGGCACAGAAGCTATGCCAAGGATGATGGAGCAACAAGGTAGAAGAAGCTTGGGTCTCTGAGGTTCAGGACTCTGCCCTATCGATTTTGGAACACTTACCTGGACTTGTTTAAGCCACTGCTATTTTGGAGTTTTTTTGTACTCTCAGCTCAATCTTATCATAATTAATGTATGATGCTCAAGTTCCACTGGTTTCCTCTCTAACCAGTTCTGGAAGACCCCAAGGAGAACCTGAGCACCTTTCACCTACCTTATGCCATCTTTGCTCTGCTTCTGCTCTAGGCATTGATGCCTCTGATTAGAAAACTTCTACCTCTACCAAATGAGTTCCTCATGATAATATCACCAGCAATTGATGCTGCTGATGAACAAAGTTCATTGTTCAGGCTGCTCTCAGTTCCATGGAACACTGCGTGGTGGATGAGAGCGCAGGGATCAGCATCCAGCTCTGTCACACGCCAGCTGGTATCTCTGTGGGAGGGTGGGTGGCCTAACCCCTCTCTGCCATCTGTGAAATGAGAATAATAACAGTGCCCAACTATTGGGAAAGAAGCAATGATAATAAAAGAAAATATTTAAATGGATACTTTCCTTGTACCAGGATCTGTGCAAGCCTATTCCATATTGAACATTTAATAAATGCCAGAATTTGTGCTACCTGGGGCATGACTGCAGTGTTACCCAGGACTGCTCAATGCTGCCACAATCCACAGGCATCTTAGCCCCAGGGCTGTCTTCCGTGGGACACAGTTTTGATTCACAGGACATTAGTCTTGTTGGGATGACTTCTTACAGCAACTCTCCTGTGCTCAAAATATTCTTTCCCTACACTGGCCCCAACATATTTACCTTAAATCAAATAACATGAATCATACCCAAGTGTCCTTGTCCTCATGCAAAGGAAGAGAGAAGAAAGTATGCCAGATAGTCTCTGCAAGCCTGAGTCTTCTGAATATGCTGAGGCATGTCTGATTCCCAGGATGAAAACAGCTCAGAGTTTCCATTTGAAATCAACCTCCTACTCACTACTCCACCTCACCCATCCCATACCCACCAGCAACAATTGCACACATCATTACTGAGGAGATGAGGGATTGGGATCCTAAGAGAACCTGACATTTTTCCATGGGATGATGGCAAGATGGTCTCTAAACTCCAGGAGCTTCTCTCTCCCCAGGTGTGCACAGGTATGTTTCTCTGTGTACTGCCTGAATACTGCCATGGGCCCTGCCTCCCCTCTGCCTAGGCTCTGAGTGCATTCCCTGACCTGTTTTTCTTACCCAGTGTAACTCTGGGGTTTCTGAACCTTGCACACTTGTCAGCTGTGCTTCTAATTCAATACTGTGACCAGAGACATGGGGAGCACGGGCAGGAGAGAGGAGGGTCTGGGAGGCTGAGCTAGACAGGAGCATCCTTCTTGTCAAGGAGTCCCTTCTTCTAGCTTTTAATATAGACTCTTTTCTTCTCATAACCATTAATGTGGAAACGTTCTCTAATACATCCAGAATTAAACTCATTATCTTTTTCTGTTTCTCTTAATAAGTGCTTCTGCCCACATGTACTTCCTCCAGGGTTTATTCCTCTTCCTGTCTGCTCTGATCTCCATTTCTGGTGCTGCCTTCCTCGCAGTCAGCCAGGTTCACAAACTCTGGCTGCCCGATGGCTGGGGGTGGGTGCCATTTGTACTGTAGCTGTGTGCATGATATCCCCAGAGCTGGGAAGTGCACAACCTGGTTGATGGTGCAGGACCAGCCCTGCCCAGGCTTGCCACCTTGCAGTCAGTGTTTACTCCCTGCGCCTATTCACATACCCCCATCCAACCAGTCCCCAGGTTCCATCTACCTAGTCCATCCTTTACCTCCTGTCCATTCCCAATGTCATCTTCTCAACTCCAGCCCCCATCATGCCCCACTTAGCTTTCTAACTGATGTTTCTTCCCTCAGTTCCCACCAAGTCCATTCTACAAAACAGTGCCAAATGAGTCCTCCCAAGGCCAGATGGGTAATGTCACTGCAGTGGAGACCCATGACATCAAATGTCCTAGTTTGGCACCCAGACCTTCTGGCCACCATATACTTCCCCATCTTTATATCCTTCACATACATACACTCCAGCTTGAGTGAACTATGCGCCATTCCCTAGGCAGCCCCTGATTTTCTGGCGACTGGCTTTACTTGGGCCTTTCTTCTAGGAATGCCAGATGACTTCCTGTGCACGTAAGGCCCCATTCATCAGTTTTCAGTCTTCTCGGATTCTCTCTAATCTGAATTATCTCCAACTAGCTGTTATCACTCCTTTTTCTGAAATCTCATTAACAACTCTCTTAGGCTGTTTAGATTGGAAACATTTGTATTTGTGTCTTAACTGTGCCTTCAAGTAGTTTACAATCCAGTAAAGGAAATGTGTCTTGGGTGTCTCATAAGGCCTAGTACTCATCTTTGTCCTGTGGTAGATGTGTGTGGAGTGAGGGAGGGAGAGAGAAGAGGAAAAAAAGGAAGGGAAGGAGGGAGGAAGGACTAGCTTTCTAAATACAAACAAACTCTAAAACAGGTTTCTTTGATTTAGAAGTGGGTGTTTCAGAATCCAAGATGGATATTTTCCCTCACTGATGCCACAGGAAAATTATTAAGGTTATACCAAATCAAAAACCTGAAGAGAAAATCAGAAACTGGGAGGAGAACCATCCTCTTTTCCTTAGGAGAATTAAAGACAATCATTAAAGAAGCACATCCAAAGACTAGGGGCTGCTGCCCCTGCACCATGGGCCCAGGGTCATTTAACCTTGTCAGTTAGGCCCATTTTTATTATTGAGCAGGTGACAAAACTCGGAGGATCTGTTTGTACTCTCGACATGAGGTTTCCTACTGGGAAGAGCAGAAGAGTGGGTGACTGACACTGCTATCTGTCCTGGCACTGAACAGAGGCTGCTCTAATTGGGGGTTGGGAGTACCCCTGGCCCAGGAGCCCTAAGAGCAAGCCTGGCTCAATGTCCCACTGAAACCTTTGGAGAAAGGAAGGTGGAGCCCCACTGCTTGCCTTTTCATGATGCTCTAGTTTGAGGGGAAGCTGCCAGGCTTCTGTGTGGGCTTCTGTGCACTGGAGCCTGACCCAGGTTCAGGACTCTAAGTCTGTTGGGGAACAGCAACCAAAGTGAGGCCTATCACAGCACACGGGGTCTCTTGGGGTGGGCAGGAGAGGAGGTAACTAACAGAGTCTTAACAAGTTTGTGCGGAAGGAAGTGAGGCTTCTATTAAAAGACATTCCTTGGTTATTTTGTTTTTAGTTCCTTGCCAATTAAAAAAGAGAATGTGTGTGTGTATGTGTGTGTGTAGCATATGGTGTATGTGTGTATAATACATATGTACATGTGTGAGTATACGTGTATGTGTGCATGTATGCAGTCTATGTATTTCCCCCACACCCCTGCTGGGAAGAAGAGTGACAATTGCTATAAAATCAACATCGCAGAGACCTTTCGCTATGGATTTTCTGAGACAATCGCTATTTCAAATGTTTCGTCTCAAAACATATTTTCTGAACTGGTCAACAGGATATGTGGTCTCAGTGTTTAATGCTCACGTTTCATTAAGATATTTCACCATCTACTCAGTTTTCTCTAAAATGTTCATCAGTCCCCGTGCCCACCCTCCACAATCACCCATTTAAAGTTTATCAAAAGATATATTTTTATCCTCCCCTAAGCATATTTCTGAAGGTTCTCTCAAGCATTCAGCTTTGGTTCTGGTGGCACTGTCTTTTGTTTTTTTCTCTTTGCTGCAGATATCGTGAAATGAATAAAAGAAAAAAAAAGGATGGCATTGCGGTTAGAGAGGATAGGAGGCAACTGGAGAGGGGAGAGAAGGGCCATTCTTTTTCAAAAATAGAGAACCATTGCAGCTTTATGGCTCTTAGACATAGAGCTCATCTAAAAAGTGATTTCTAGCTTTGTAGGTCAGGTCCTCAGCATAAGACAATTAGGTGTTTATTCACAACAGATAATTTGTAAACATAGTGTGGCAGATCTTAGAATTGTCTCCACTTATTAAGTGTGGTCCAGGGGGTTGAAATAATTGAGAGTTTGCTGGAAATACAGAATCCCAGACATTCATTGCATTATCCCCACTGAAGAGAAGCTGCATTTTAACAAGATTCCTAGCTGATTTCTATGCATAATAACATTTGAGAAGCATTGGTCTAGAGAACATCCCATTTCACAGATGTGGAAACTGAGATCCAGACAGGCTAAGGACTGTGATCTATATGCAAGATGTACTTTATAGAAAACCTTGCTTTTGAGCCCCGATTTGTGCTCTCTAGAGAATCTTATTCTTGTCCAATCAGAGTAGTTTGGCAGTTCTGAATTTTCTCAGTCTCTTTTGAGTAAACAGTTAATTCAGGATTGTCCCTCTCTCTTTTCTCCTTCCCTTCTATGCAGGGGTTGCTGAGAGACTGGGGGTCTTATCCTCAGTTCTGGAATCAAAGAGGTAGGGCAGAGCTGCCATGGGCAGTTGTGCTGTTTGCCTCTCAAAAGGTGCCTGGAGGCCAGGCACAATGGCTCACCCCTGTAATCTCAATTCTTTGGGAAACTGAAGTGGGAGGATTTCTTGAGTCCAGGAGTTCAAGACCAGCCTGGGCAACAGAGCCAGAGCCCATCTCTTAAAAAAAAGTGCCTGGATCTGGAAGCAAACAAAAGCTGCAGTTCTTCCCTTCTGCTCACCTCTCCAAGTTGGAGCCCTGTGTGGGGTGGTTTCAACTTGGAGGAAGAGGCATCTCTTAGTGATTCCACAAAGGCTCCTGGACAGTATAGCAGGGTCCTGGGCAGAGCTGTTTGGTCCATGGTGGTCGTCAGTAGAGGCCAGCATACATGGAGGTAAAATTCATCTCAGTGTGTGTCAGCTGAATGACTCACTGATTGGAGAAGCCATGAGGGCTGTGCACAGTTCCACCACAGAGCGTGTTACTATTCTTAGGGCCAAAGGACTGACAGATCTGAAAGAATGCAAGTTTCTCTTTCGATTTTGCATTTCTTTACTTCTTAAAATACATCAATATCTTTTTCAAGAGACTTTAATCAACACTAATCCCGATACAAGTCTCAATCTCTTTGAGCAGACAATAGAATTAGGACATTTATAACTTGAACTTAGAGGGCAGAGGTCATCTCCTTAAAGCTCTGTTGTCCACTGCATACAACCACCACGGTCTTCTGGTCCTTGCCAAGCCTCCCAGACCCTTGTTTGATCTAATGCAAGAAGAAGAAAGCTGAAAAGGTTAGCTGTAAATATTGTGTGGGGTTATAGAGTGGTTTCCTTGGTGGAACTGGAAAGATTTGGAATTACATATAAAAATATTTGAGGACTTCAAGCAACAATATTAACATTTTATATGAATTTTATATTAGGGTATATAAAATATTTTATATTTCATGTGTTTATAATGTTTAAGAGAACTGGACTTAGAATAAATGGCCACTCAGGGCTGGGAGCGGTGGCTCACGCCTGTAATTCCAGCATTTTGGGAGGCCGAGGCAGGCAGATCACGAGGTCAAGAGATCGAGACCAACATGGTGAAACCCCGTCTCTACTAAATTTACAAAAATTAGCTGGGTGTGGTGGTGCATGCCTGTAGTCCCAGCTACTCGGGAGGCTGAGGCAGGAGAATTGCTTGAACCCAGGAGGCGGAGGTTGCAGTGAGCCGAGATCACCCCACTGCACTCCAGCCTGGGTGACAGAGTGAGACTCCATCTCAAAAAAAAAAAGAAAAAAGAAAAAAGAAAAAAAAGACTAAATGGCCACTCGTATAAGTCCAATTTTTAAAAATTGAGTAATTGATTTTACCTTGTTATTTTTAAGTAAAAATCTTACTGTTTTATATAGCACTGGAACAATTAAGATAACTTAGGTTCACCATATTTAAGTTTAAGTAGTCCTTCTAAATCTAATAAATTTCTAACTCTGGAAGTTAGAAATTTGAAGTGGACATGAAGCGGAAAGCCTTTAAGTGGAAATAAATATATTAAAAGTATAAATGTCATTTGCAATATTTAAATGTATTTAACTTTGTAAATGGATCACATATTAAGCAAAAATCCCCTAAAAAGTAATTGTTCAAATATAAATGTTTGCAAGACTAGCAAACTTTATTCACAAGCTTCACTTAAAAGCAAAAGGTAGAAGTAGGTTTTAAAATTTGTAATTTTAATCAATCAAATGTTAATTTAAAAATAACAAAGCAAACCTCAGAATAGTGTCACTGAAAAACCACAGTTAAAGGCACTAAAAATGCAGAATTATCAAGGAGCTGGCCCCCATTGCCAATGTCCTTGGTTCTCTCAGGGCTACATCCACACACCCTGTCCCCAGGGGACACTTCCCAGGAGAACTCTTGTGTGCTGTCTCCAACCAGTGCTAGAGTGGTAGGGGTTTTCTGTGGCTGCCCTCAGGCATGTCTTCCTAGATATCTCGTTCAGCCTTTCTCATTCTACCACACTGGCACTGTGGTGGTAAGGAGCTTCTCTGTGGGACTAGCATCTCCTGAACTGTATCTGGGCAGCAAGTCTCAGGTCCCCATCCCTGGCATCCTCCTAGATATGTCCTGGGTCTCGTTCCTTCACTGTCACTGCCAGGGCTTTAACTCAGCAGTGAGTAGAGTTCTCGCACCTTTCTCAGGATGTGAGAACTCAACTCTCTATCTGTCTCCACCCAAGAAAGGCATAGGTCTAGCTCTTCATCTAGTCTCTTTCTATCTATTGTTGAATGCTTTATGCTCTCTTCTTCAAGTTCTGGGTAGTGACAGATTGCATTTTCCAAAGTGGCCACAACAATATCTCTCATCTCACATGGTCGTCTACAATGGGATCTTCCCACTCCCTCGTGAAGAGATGGAGACTAACCCTCCTCCCTTCGAATCTGGATGAATTAGTGAGGTGCTTTGATAATAAAGTATGGTAGAAGTGACAGTGAATAAATTCCAAAACTGAGTCATAAATTGTGATGCAAATTCTGCCTTGTTCACTGGAACACACACGTGGTTGGAATCCTGAGCTGTCATGGAAGTCCGACTGCCCTGAAGCCAGAAATGTCCATGGGAAGATACGCAGAAAGTCCATGGATAGGTGTGCTGGTCCGAAGTCTTCCTGATTGTGTTCTCTCTCCAGGGCTGCTGTAACGAAGTACTGCAAACTGAGTGGCTTGTACAACACTGAGACAAACAGAAATGTGTTGTCTCACAGTTCTGGAGGCTGGAAGTCTCAGATCAAGATGTTGGCAGAGTTGGTTTTTTCTAAAGACTGCAAGGAAAAATCTATTTCATGCCTCTCTCAGCTCTTGGTGGTTTGCTGGCAATCTTTGGTGTTCATTGGCTTCTACTGCATCACCCAGTCTCTGTTTTTTTTTTTTTTTTTTTTTTTTTTTGAGACATAGTCTCACTCTTTCACCAAGGCTGGAGTGCAGTGGCATGATCTCAGCTCACTGCAACCTCCGCCTTCCAGATTCAAATGATTCTCCTGCCTCAGCCTTCCGAGTAGCTGGGACTACAGGCGCTTATCACCAAGTCCTGCTAATTTTGTATTTTTAGTGGAGACAGGGTTTCACCATGTTGGACCAGGCTGGTCTCGAACTCCTGACCTCAGGTGATGTGCCCGCCTTGGCCTCCGATAGTGTTGGGATTACAGGCGTGAGCCACTGCACCTGGTCTCTGCTTTCATCTTTACGTGAAGTTCTCCCTGTGTGTGTGGGCCTGTGTCCAACTTTCCCCTTTTCATAAGGAGAGCGGTCATGGTGTATTAGAGGCCATCCTACTTTAGTGTGACCTTAATCCTAACTTAACTAATTAAATCTGCAACAATCCTATTTACATTAACGTCATATTCTGGGATAATGGGATCTTGGACTTCAACATATGAATAAGGGTGAGTTGGGGGACACAAATTCAACACATACCACCAAGTCAGGTGCCACAAATGTGAATAAACAAGCTTGCCTGTGACTGCAGCCCTCCAGTCATAGGGTCACCCCCTTCCTATGAGTTTTCCCAGTTGGGGCTCCAGGTATCACAGAGCAGAGATCAACTGTCACCGTGGAGTCCTTTCCTAATTTCTGACTGATGAGATCTGCATCAGTATGCTAGAGCTTCCATAACAAAATACCACAAACTGGGTGGCTTAAGCAACAGAAATTTATTTTCTCACAGTTCTGGAGGCTAGAAATCCAATATCAAGGTGCTGTCAGGTTTAGTTTCTTCAGATCCCTCTCTCCTTGGCTTGTAGAGGGCTGTCTTTCCCCTGAGCCTTCCCTCTGTATGTCTATGTCCAAAAAAAAAGAAGAGCAGTCTTATTGGATTAAGGCCCACCCTGGTGACCTCATTTTAACATAATTACCACTGTAAAGACTTTACCTCTAATTATGGGCACATTCTAAGGTACCCCGAGTGTTAGGACTTTAGCATATGAATTTTGATGGAGAGGTCACAATTTCACCTATAACAGGATCTGTGAGCATGATAAAAATAGCCATGGCTTTATGTCATTAGGTTTGCGGATGATTTATCACATGGCTACAATAACCAGAACATAGACTTCGCTAATTCAAAGCTGAGATTTAAAAAATGTTTGTTTTCTCAAGCATCCTTTTAACACGTGTTTGCTATGGGTTTAAAACATTCATTGAGGTAGCTAATTGACTCTTTTTTTTTTTTTTTTTTTTTTGAGACAGCGTCTGCCTCTGTCACCTAGGCTGGAGTGCAGTGGCATGATCTCGGCTCACTGCAACCACCGCCTCCTGGGTTCAAGAGCTTCTCATGCCTCAGCCTTCCAAGTAGCTGGAATTACAGGTGTGTGCCATCGTGCCCTGCTAATTTTTATATTTTTAGTAGAGATGGGGTTTTGCCATGTTTCCCAAGCCGGTCTCCCCAGTTGACTCTTTTGTTCTAAGCTGTATCCACTATCATTGACTCAATCGGGCAACAGGAAAAAAGAAAGAAAGAAAAACATAGTTATTATCTCAAAAGACTATCTGGCTATACATTTACTCAACAATATTCATGGAGCTTCTACTATTAGACAGATATTGCTAAGTGGCCACGAAAACACATAAGGTTCCTGCTCCAGGAAGCTTACCGTCCAGTAGGAAAGGAAAACGTTAGTTAATTGCTACATAACTATACAAGTGCCAAGGACAGGTATGTGGTGTGAAAACATGTAATAGGGATGTGACCTTGCCTGTGATCAGAGGAGACTAACACTGTGGTGGGAGGGAGCATGACCCAAATGCGGGACTGAAACAACGCCTCTGTGGCTGGAGCCCAGAGAGAGTGGCAGAGAGCCTGCAGTGAAGATGAGCAGGACTCAGCCCCCTGCAGGAACATGCAGGCCATCCAAAGAAGCCATCCACTGAAGGATATTCGATTGCATGAATGGGTGATGCAAGGTCAGGGTGCACCCCATGCATTGTGGCTCCCTTTGGAGGAATATGGAGACTGAATCGGAGAAAGGGAAAGTGGAGTAAACAATTCAGTTAAGAGGCTTTAATCAAGATGAGAGATGATGTATTTTCCTCTGGGGTGGTGTCAGCAGTGGAATTAATGGAAATATATATATATGGCAAAATCAATAGGACTTGGTGATGGATTGACTCACAGGAAAGGCAGCTGGTCGAGAATGACTCCTCACTGTCGGCTTTCTCATCTGGGTGGATAGTGGTGCCATTTGTTAAGGTCGAGACCACCGGACCAGGTGTGGGCAGAGGATCATCAGTTCGGATAAGAACTACACAGCCCCACATGGCAGCCCCTGGCTACATATGGCTTTTTACATTTTAGGTTTAATTAAAAATAAATGGAATTCAAAATTCAGCTCATCAGTCACACTTGACACATCTCAAGTGCTCCAGTCACATGTGACTAGTGGCTACCCCATTGGATAGTGCAGATATAGGCTATTTCCATTGTCATAGAAAGTTCTGTTGGTCTAGAGAGACTTAGTTTGAGATACTGCTGAGACATCCAGGAGAAGCTGTCAAGTCAGTGATTGACTCTATTGCTCTGGAGCTTGGAGGAATGCTGTAGCTAAAATTTCATTTCATTCACACACTTTTTCAAGTATTCATTAAGACCTTAACATTTTTGTTTGCTGCTATGTCTCTGGCACCTAGACTAGTATCTGCTGCAAATTCTCCCAGAGCTTACCCTCTAGTAGGGATGAACAGATAATAAACAAATATAGAGTATTTCAGGCAGTAACAGGGAAGAAAGAAAACTAAACCAGGGTTAATGGGATAGATGGTGAGAAGGAGTAAGGGGCTATTCTAGTTCTGGTGGCCAGGGATGTTCTCTCTGACAAGGTGACGTTTGAACAGAGACCTAGAAGTAGGATACATTCCAGGTAAAAGGAAGAGCAGGTATAAGGAAGGAGGTTGCTCATGATCTGTTTGCCTGTACCTGGTATTTGGAGCCACATGCCAGATGTCCTGGCAGAGGGCAGGAAGAGAGAGGAGGAAGAGTCTGTGAACTTACTGGCCGAGTAAGGAAGGGCAGACCTGCAAAGGAGACAGAGAACCGGTGGGAGGAAAACCAGGAGAACGCTGGGCCCTGGAATCCAAGGAGGGAGAGTGTCCTGACAGGGAAGGGGACCCAGCAACTCTGATGCTGCTGGGAGGGGTTGGGGAACTGCAGACTGAAAATGTCCTGGGCCTCCATGGCACAGAGGCCACTGGTGATCTTAGCTCCTGTTGTTTTGTGGATGACAGTGTGAGAGTGTGTGTAAGTGTGGGCGTAAGTGTGCATGAGTGTGCATATGAGAGTGAGTGCATCAGAAAGTGTGTGTGTGTGTACATGGGAGAGACAAATAGAAAGCATAAGGCAGTGTATGAACATGTGTGAGTGTGCATATGACGGTGTGTGTGCATGAGAAAGTGTGTGTGTGTATGCTTGTAAGAATATATGAGTTAGAGTGTGAATGTTCATGTGGGAGTGTGAGTGCATCAGAAAGTGTGTGTGTGTACATGGGAGAGACAAGGAGAAAGTTGAGAGTATGAATGTGTGTATATGTGAGTGTGCATGAGAAAGTGTGTGCGTGTGTGGGTGTAAGAGTATATGGGAGCGTAAATGTGCACGTGAGAGTGTGTGAGTGTTTGTGACTGTGTACGTGTGAATGATGAAGACAGTGTGAGACAGTGTGAGAATGAGTGTGTGTGTGAGTGTGCATGAGTGTGTATGAGAATGTGTGTGAGTGTAAGAATATACACGTGAAAGTGTGCATGTGAGAGTGTGAGTGTGCCTGCAAGGATGTGCGTGCGAGGGTGTAAGTGATAGAGAGACAGAGAGAGAGTGTGAGAGAGTTTGTGGGGAGGGTCCAGGTTGGAACGGGCAGGGGAGGAAAGCTGCACCTGAGCGCAGGCAATTCTGGGGGAAACAGAGATGGGAGAGTAGAGAGGGAAGCTGCTGAGGCGGAGGCAGTGTCCTGGCCAGGTACAGCTCTGCCCTTCAGCTTCCATGGCTCCACGTGGCACCTGCCCCACATCAGAACACCAGCCAGCCAGGCTTCGGTGGGGAGTAAGGTATTGAGTTTCTCAAAGTCATTCTTCTCGGTTAGAAAACAGAAGCAGTAAAGGCCAATGCCCTGTTGGGCGTTTATTCACTCAATGAATCATTGGCAGAGTAGCCGATGGCCTCCTTGGAACACACAATGGTAATAATACTGAAGATTCCTTGTGCCTGGCTCTCTTCCAAGCAGGTACACATACAACACCTTTAACCCTCACAGCCGGTGAGATGGAGATCATCATCTACCCTCCTGACAGTCGAGATGACTTAGGCAAAGAGGGGTGAAGCACCTTGCTCAAGGTCACACAGCGAGTAATTGGAAAAGCTGGGATTCAAACCCAGAGCCTGTGTTCCCAATCATTAAGAACAGGGTCCTGAGAGGAGGCATCAAAGGACAGGTACCACCCATCCACTCCTCAGCAAGCACTTAGTAAGCACCTGCTGATTGAATTGCACCTAGTCCCTGCTCTCCTATGGCTTACAGTTTAGTGGGGGAAACCAGTGCTTAACTATTCTCTGAAATACAGTGCAATAAATGCTCCAGGAGAGAAGAGCTTGGTGTTGTGGGAATGCCAAACCCAGGTACTGGAGCTCAGGGGAGGCTTTCACACGAAGAGATGAAGGAAAAACCGAATTCCAAAGGCGATGTGGAGCTGGCTTACAAGAGGGTGTGGAAGGAGGGGCAGATGGAGCAGTGTGTGCTGGGGCCAAGGGAGGGGAGGCAGGAAAGTCCAGAACTCCCAGGCTCTTCAAGGACATCAGTCGTTTGAAGTTCCAGCCCACCTGGCAGCTGGAGGCCACTGCAGCTGACAACGGGACTGGTAGGCGAGGTCAGGAAGCAGTAGCACCAAAGCAAGTGAGTGAAGTGCCAAAGACAGACCCTGGGCTGCCTCACAGTGACAAAGACTCTGACCTTGAGCAAACTCTAGTCAGGCTCTTCTGAGCCCTCTTCTCAGCCAGGCCTCAGCCTTGCTCTAAAACACTTGCACAATCGCTAATAAGGTTTCCAATACCTCAAGGCCACATCCCCAGGATGCTCCTACCCCCTTAAGGATGCCTGCCTGAGAAAACTCAAGGCTGCCCAGGGGGATTTACTGCTTGCTCTAGCCCACACCTGGAACTAGCCTGACCACTCTTTCGTAGAGCACTTACTAAGAAGGGCAATTTTGAGTTCTCTGTAACCTTTGAGATGTATATGTATCTCCTACAACCCAGGAGTGTGTTTCTCAAGGCCCTGAAAGCTATTCCTTTGAATGTAATCATCAGGAAGGGTAAGGACCTCTGTCTCCCAGTCTCAGAGAGGATAGAATCCTAACTTTCCTAACTGCCAGCTAGCAGGCACAGCTGGTCTGATTGCATTTATACTGAACAGCCCTTCGTAATTTTTCACTTCCCTGACCCTACTGGTTCTGTTTGCCCTCCTTCCTATTCCCTCATTCTTCCCTAAAAATGCCTAGTCTGGCCAGGCATGGTGGCTCACACCTGTAATCTCAGCACTTTGGGAGGCCCAGGCGGATGGATCACCTGAAGTCAGGAGTTCGAGACCAGCCTGGCCAACATGGCAAAACCCATCTCTACTAAAAATACAAAAAATTAGCCGGGTGTGATGGCAGGTACCTGTAATCCCAGCTACTCAGGAGGCTGAGGCAGGAGAATCACTTGAGCCTGGGAGGTGGAGGTTGCAGTTAGCCGAGATTGTGCCATTGCACTCCAGCCTGGGTGACAAGAGCAAAACTCCGTCTCCAAAAAAAAAAAAAAAAAAAAAGTCCAGTCACCTCTGCACAAATTGAAGCTGAGTTCAGTTTACATTGGACTCTTCCCTATTGCAATAGTTATTACTGGTTAATGTCTGTCCTTACCACTTTAGTGTCTGGCTTTGTTTCGCTTGGACAGAATCAGATGAGAAACCACCAAACTCACTGGGCTGAATTATTTCAGCTTATGGACAGCCACAGACAGTGTGAGTACCTGTTCACACAAATCCTGAGGCCCAGCACACACTGGGCCATTCACAAAGCTCATTCAACCCCCCACGGCCCTGACACCACCAGTTTTACCTCTCTGTAGAACAAGAAACTGCTGACTCACTGAAAACAGAGCGCATTTATAAACAGGAAGCTGAGTATGTGACCACAGACATTCAGCATCTGATAGCAATTGCTGAATGTGGCAAAAAAAGAAAAAAGTTTGAACAAAAAAAAAATCTGTGTCACTAAATAAGAACTCTCTAGCTCATGGAAATACAATCCTGCTATTTGATCATTTCATAAATACTTAAATAAGGGGAGTTCTCATTTGGCCAAACCTAGGCACGCTTCAAATATTTACTGAGGCCTTCGAAGGGTGTGGTTTTCCCTTTTTTTCTTTCCATTCCCTCCCAAGCAGAGCAAAAAGGCTCCTTGGTGAGGCCTTCCTGGCCTATACAGAAGAGATTTGTTTTCTCTTTGAGCTCTGATAGCCTGACCGTCCCACATCAGACCTCTGTGCTGGTGCAGAGGAGGGCTCTGCCAGGAGGGCTCCCAGAGAGATGCACAAACACTGGCGGGTTAACACTCCGACATGCAGCTCTTCCTACAAAGCATTGACTGGATGGTACTGAAGCTAAAAAATGGAGACTCACTTGTATCAACCATAGTAAAGAGCCTGTAAGAGGACGCAGTTCCCCCTGCTTTCAGCAGCAATGAAGAGGCTCATTTTCCTTGGAGTTTCTTTGTTGTTGGGGGGTTGGTTTCTAGCAAACTGACCCAAGAAGGCTAATGGCCGAGGAAAAAACCAGGTGATTATTTTCTAAAAGATTATCTTCTGGGAGTCGGTGCCATTGCTGCCTTTGTCATCAGGGTAAAGGTATCCCAGTGATGTATGGAATCTTTCCACTTCTCTTCCGGGGAATTGGGCATGGATAACAATAGCACAGTGCCGGGAACATAGTAAATTCCTAATAAAGAGTAGCTAAGTGTTTTTTATGCAGAGTTTTGTCTAATCTTCACAATAACCTTAGGAGGTAAGTATTGGCAATCTGATTGGGTAAATCAATACTGAAGTCTCTACAGGAGCAGCATATTTGGGAGTATGGTCCAGGTATGCCTGGTTTCAGAATGCAGCCATTTGCCTAACTTATTGCTGACATTTTCAAGCAGGATGTGTCCTTTATATTTATACTGAATTAATTGGACATACTGATATTCAAATATACCTACAAAGTAGAAAATCTTATTTGGTAATTCATCATCAGCTTCTCACAGAGCAGCAGATAGCACTTGTTTTTCTATTATGTACCAAGAAAATTCTGTGTTGGAATTTACAAGTAGCAGTGGTTGTGTCAAAATGCCTCAGACAACATATTAATGATGCTCATAGTAACTAACTTTTATGGAGTGTTTCTTGTGTGCTGGATGGGATGTGTAAGTGCCATGATATTCAACATAGCCTCAACACAACCCCTGTGCTGTCATTGTCATTAGCTCCAATTTACAGATGAGGAATCTTGAGGCTCCAAAAGACTGTTTATAAGCAGGCTGACTCTGGAGCCCCTGCTCTTACCCATTATGCTGCTCTGTAAAAAGGGCTTTAGCTAGAACACTCCTTTTTATTTCTGTAAAGAGGAGACTGCTGTTTCTTCTGTTTTATTGGAGTCTGGAGAAAAATCTCCTTGAGCAAGGATGATTACTATGGCTTAGATTGAAGCTTCCAGAAGTAGACCTTGACAAGGGCTATGTGCACGTGAATTGTGAAGGAAGTGCTCCCATAGGAAGTCCAGGAAAGAGCAGGAAAAACAGGACAGGAGCCGGGAGCAAACCAAACAAAGGTGTGATGTCAGGCAAAGTCCTGAGGAGGGAGGCCTGTGCCTGATTCTACAGGGGAACTCCAGGGTAAAAATTCTGTCTGAGTTCGTCCAGATGCAAAAGTCAGCGAGGCTTTGAAGTTCTCTAGGGAAGGGCTGCCCAGAGGGCATGTAAATTCTCAGGCACTTCCAACTTTCCAGCCACAGGTGCCAGTGGACCTAAGGTTATCTTAAAAGAGAGTTGCAAGTTTGAGCCTTGGAAGCAAGCCACAGAAACCCGGAAGGGTGCACGGAGCTGGAAAAGAATTGATATGGGTTGCGTGTGGGTGGAGCACCCCCAGGGGCTGCTGCATCTAGTAATCATAAGTCAGGAATTCGTTTTGCTGAATCAGAGCAAACTCCATCTAGCAGAAGCAACACCAAAGTGTCTCTTTCCTGTAGGTAAAGCCTAAAGATCAACAATTTGGGGCTGTATGGTGATTTATTTCAGGGGTGGACAAAACATGCCCCATGCCAAATCTGGCCCCAGGGTCTTTGTATAGCTTTGGAGCTAGGAATTATTATTCCTTTTTTAAATGGCTGAAAATGATGAGAGATTCTACTGTTTCCTTGCATAGAATTTTAAAAAAAGAAAATTATAAGGGATTCAAATTTCAATGTCCATAAATAAAGTTTTATCGAAAAACAAATTGGAACATTAGAAACTCATTTATTCTATATTTTCCATGGATATTTTCACTCTCAAATGGCAGAATTGACTAGTGGTGACAGAGACCTGTAGGGTCTACGAAACTGAAGATTCGGCCCTTTAGAGAAAAAGTTTGCTGGCCCTTGTTCTGCAGGATCAGGAAGCGGGGCTTCTTTATTTTGCGGTGCCACATCCTCAACACGTGCTTTCAGCTCATGGCCCAATATAGTTACTGAAGCGCCAGCCACCATGTCTGCCTTCAAGCCAGTGCAAAACAGAACAAAGAATTCACTTCCTCCCTTTAGGAAAACTTCTAAGAATCACATTCCTCACTTCTGCTATATCAGGCCAGAACTTAGTCTCCTTATCATACCTGTAAAACCTTACTCCAAAAGCTATGAGGCCAGCAAAAATTTGGAATTCCTTTGTTCAGGAAAAGTATATAAGGAGACAATTTCTAGCTCTGCCTCACCTAGTTAAGAGTTTCAAAACAAGGAAGAATGGTATGTAATAATATAGGCAGGAATAAAAACTAAATTGTTCTAATGTCTCACATTTAAATTACAATGTAATTTATGACAAACAAATTACAATGTTTCTTTTCTCCATCAAATTTTCCATTTCTCTTAGTTTTTAAGGTAGCCTAGGAAATTAGTTAAGTACCCTATTTTCCTTGCTTGTATCCAGGTCTTTGTTCCTACCAAGAAGAAACAAATTACCAAATAAAAAGGTTAAAAAGTGTACTTCTCCGAGCATTACCACAAATACTAAGAGGGAGAAGGTGGCATAACTGCTGCCTCAGTTGAAGCTCTCACATTTTTCATTCACACCATTGTGACAGCCTATCTTGCAGCCCTCTAATGGAGAGTCCAGACTTCTTGTCTTAAACCTCCACCCTTTGCACATCTGCTCACATTGCTGCCTCCATCTGTCTACATTGCAAATATCACCATGTTGCTTCCTGTCTGCATCCAACATGTGAGGAGGAGAAAGCCCAACTCTCCTGCGTGGCCTCCACGACCTGCCTGATGCGTGGGCATCAGCTCCTGCTGGTTGCACCTTGCTCTTCATAGTCCACAGACCACACTCCAGGCAGACACCATTTGCAGAGCTGTTTCAGCCCCTAAGTCAAGATTCTGGGGAACACAGGAAGTCCACTTGCTGGAATCCCTAACGACATCAGCCCCTTGTTCTCACCAGTATCCCTGTGACAAACACCCCTGTTAGCCTAAACCAGTGGTTCTCAACCAAGAGCAATTTTGGCAACACTTTGGCAACACTTGGCAACATCTGGAGACTTTTTTTTGTCTTGACTGAGGGAGGGGAGAGTGTAACTGGCATCTGGTGGGTAGAGGCCAACAGTGCTGTGTGGCATCCTGTGCTGCACACGAGACAGCTCTCCCCCAAAAGAACGATTCCGCCCAAAATGTCAGTAGTACTGAGGTTGACACTGGCCTGTGCTAGCTCAAAGGTTCCTGTGATTTTTAACAAACACACCTTACCAAGCTCAGCTGTGTCCCACAGATGCTTCCAGCTTTTCAGCTCAGTGGGGGGCGTGGAAGAATAGATGGAAATGCCACACAGTGTGGGTGCATGATGTGGGAAACATTGGGTGCTGGGAGCCCCAAATCCAGAATAATAAACTCAGAATTGTGGTGGCGGCGGAGTATAGGTGAGCAGGAACACTTTCAAAAGGAAGTGGATGTACGCTATGATGTACTGGAGGAGTTGGAGTTAGCCAAGTGGAAAGGGAGGTGGCTTGTTCTAGGAAGATGAAAGGAGTCATACCCAGGGCCTGGAGGCCAGCACGCTGGAGGCCCCCAGGGATTTGAAGAAAGCTGGTGTGGTTGGCACCTAGAAAGTGACTGAGTGAGCAGAGAGATGAGGGTTGGGAGGAAAGCAGAGACCAGACTACAGACAGGTAACTGAGCTTGTACTTCCTTCGAGGGCAAGCTTAGGGAACCCAGGGGAAGTCCCTGGGTGTTTCTCCCCTGGAATCTGCTGAAAGATGGGGAGTAGGTGGCACGGGGGAGGGATGTGGAGAAAGTTGGGCTTTGTTCTCCAGTCTTCTGTCCCTCCTTTGTGAGGTGTGTAATTCTCGCTATTTACAGCAGTCAAGTAACCCTGATTCCACCCAAGAAACCCCCTTTCACGCATACTAGTTTGAGTGGGTTTCTTTTTCCATCAAACAAATGAGCTCTGATCACGAAGGAGCCTGAAATCCGGGAGAAAAATCTAAATGAGAGATTCTGATGACAGATGATGCTTAAAGCCAACAGGAATGGATAAGAATCCTCAAGAATAGGCTAACCTGTCAAGATAAGAGGACTTGAGCTAGAACCCCGAGGAACGTTTCCACTTAAGGAAGTGGCAATTGGAGGGAAATCCAAAGGGCACTAAGGCAAACCAAAGAAGCAGGAGAAAGATTCGGCAGTGCAGTGCCATGGAAGACAAGAGAAAGAAGGGACAGAGAAACAAGGTAAAATGTTGCAGAGGGGTTGGGAAAGAGCTGAAGAATGTTCCATCAGTATTAGCAACAAGGTCATTGGTGGCTTAGATGAGAAAATGACAGCAGAATGATGACCACAGAGGTCTGGTATCGATGAGTGGATGCATGCATGGGAGATGAGGCAGTGGAGAGAGATGGGTGGAGGACACCACTGAAATTTGGGAATGGAGATTCAGAGACAATATCAGTGTCCTGGGCTGCCAAAATGAAGTACCAAATACTGAATGGCTTATATAACAGAAACTTGCTGTCTCACAGTTTTGAGGCTAGAAGTGTGAGGTCAAGTCAGACTTGATCTCAGATTTTTGAGAGAGAAATTTGTTCTAAGCTTCCCCCCTCACTTCTAGTGGTTTGCTGATGATTTGGGGTGTAGCTTGGCTTATGGAAGCATCATCCCAATCTCTGCCTTCATCTTCACACGGTGTTCTCCCTGTGCGTACGTCTGTGTCCACATTTCCCCTTTTTATAAAGACAACAGTCCTATTGGATTAGAGCCCATCACGATGACCTCTTTTTAATCTGATTATCCTATCTCCAGATGGGATCACACTGTGCAGTCCTGGGGGTTAGGACCTGAACTTTTCTTTTTTGAGAGACATAATTCAACCCATCATGGAGTCTATGATTTTTTTTTAGTTATAAATAGAATATATGTTCACTGTAAACATTAAATAATACTGATGTGTCTACAGTTAACATCAGTAAAATTTTCAAATTAGGTTAAAAGAAAAATATATGTCCTTGAAGAATGAAAGAGAGTTGGGGAAGTAGAGAGGAGGCAGGTCTATGGAAGGTCTAAGTTGTTTGTTTAGTTCAGGATGAAAGAGACTTGAACACGTGGAAACACAGGAAGGAGCCGTGGGAAGGAGCCAGGAGAGAGAGAGCTGTTGAAGACTGAAGATACTGATAGTATGTTTGGTGTGGTGTGGGGTAAGTCGACTGTGTGTGTGTTGTGTGTTGTATCTGTGGGCAGGGATCTTGGCTGTACCCAAAGAGAAATCTAGAACTGACCTATCAGGTTATGTGGGGCTGGCTCTCGGAAGTGTATTTGCATGAGTATTTGTGTAGAGAATGGGGCTGCCAGGAGGGAGTTGTATGCAGGGATGCCTGTGGAGTAGATTGGTAGAGAAAGGACAGTGAAGAGAATAAGGACAATGGTCACCACTGGCTGCTCCCCAACCTAGCCCCATGGAGAGAGGGGCTAGACCCGTAAGCCCAGCAGCCTGGTTTTAAGAGGCTTTGTTATATTTCATGGGGTTTAGGCATAACTAGTGCCACATTCAGGCCCAAGTGACACTGAATTGGGAAGAGAAATGTTTCCTCCACTTCTTCCTGGAACTCAGCACAGCTTAGTCACAGTGAGGGCTCAGGGGCTGGCTCCTGTCCAGCGTCAGTTGAGAGGACAGTAGATCCAGGAAGCAGGACTCTAGACCAGGGCATCTACAGCTGCAGAGGCCAGGGTGCTCTGAGACAAGGATGAGATGAATCCTCACAGGCTTAGGGAAAGCAGACACTGAGGAGGAGGCCAGACACAGACATCATGAGAGGACTGTGCAGCAGCTCACTGGAGCATCTCAGGCACCCAAGGAACTCGTGGAAACAACTGTGCAAGGCCCAGGTGGAGGAATAGAGAACCTGCAGTTATTCTGGAAGTAAGCTAGCCATCAGCAATCATTGGGTATATTAATGTTTTAATTTAATTTAATCTTAAGTTCTGGGATACAAGTGCAGGACGTACAGGTTTGTTACACAGGTAAATGTGTGAAGTATATTAATGTTAAATGCCCTGTATCTACCCACATTTTATTTTAAATGTCAGTGGTGTAAATATTTATATATTAAAACATATGACACAAATTCGTTTGAAGAATTTTGGGTAATAGTGTTTATCAGGGAACTTATATTTCATGCTTCCATAAGAAAGAAAAATTAACTTTTTAATGTTATTAGAAGAATCATGAAAAGAAGATTTGTTAAAACAACAACAACAACAACGGTGAATATATCATATTTATCTAAGCTGAGCCATCAAAAATAAATGTTTTTCCATCTATCAAATATAGGGCTAATGCCTACAGTGGCTATTACATATGTGCCCATGGAGACTTGGACAAAATCTTCCTTGCAGTATAGATTGTTTCTATTATATTTCTTGTTGCTTCAAAAACAAAGAAAAAACAAACACCACTGTTCTCGGTAAGCAAATGAGTAAATAAACTCATTTATTCATGTAATAAAATACTACAGAAAGTTAAAATGAACAAACTTGATCTAAATATATTAACACAGATAAATGTCAAAACATG
This sequence comes from Homo sapiens, assembly GCF_000001405.40. Taxonomy (NCBI): domain Eukaryota; kingdom Metazoa; phylum Chordata; class Mammalia; order Primates; family Hominidae; genus Homo; species Homo sapiens. Next base: position 54,737,350 of record NC_000005.10, on the reverse strand, counting down.
TTGGCAAGAAAAGCAAGTTACAAAAGGAAATGTACCATATGGTTTCTAGTATTTGTATAAATATTTAAAGCACACAAAATAACAGTATATATAATTTATGGACATGTCTATATAATATTAACATAAGTTTAAATGTACATACATGAAAAGAAGCATACTAACTTCAGGGTGATGGTTACCTCTGGAGAGAAAGGTAGAGGATGAGATGGGGGTGCTTTATCTGTGCTTAATGCTTTCTGCTTTTTAAAACAGAGAAAATTGATTCTAAGGCAAGTAAAGCAAAATGTTAATGTCTGTTAATATGGTAGGTTGGTACATGAGTGTCTATTAATAATTTTGGTACTTGGCTGTGTATTTGAAATGTCATCATTTAACATTTAAAACTTTAATAAAAAAACCAGACAGTATCACTGAACAGAAAAGCACAACAAAAATGTTTTCACTTAATTTTATTGTTTTAAATGTATTCAGTATGTAAATATAGTAAATATTATAATGTCAATTTTATTATAATATAGCATATAGCATATCTGTTTTTGTGTGTATCTCTAATTATAACTGTTCTTAATACATTTTCCCCAAATTCTTGTCCATAAACAGCTGCAGATGACTTTCTTGTCACCTTGTATTTTCATTAAGTGTGATCAGTGGGCTTCTATTCTTCTAAGTTATAGTCACAGTGACTGACAAGGCTAATTGACTCTGTTATCTTGTCTTGGTAAACGTAAGTGGGTCTGCTCGTGGGGAGTCACAGTTGTGTGCCTGAACAGTCAGAAAAACCTTTGCTGGAGACAGGGCAGCCACCAGCTGCAGGCTGCCAAGGAGGGCCCCTTGACTTTCGATCTGTAGTTTCTGAACAAGAAGGAAGGCTAGGAATGGCCTCAACAATGCTCTTAGCACTCCTAATTCTGTCTAAGACTTTGAGAGGACTTTCCTTTATTGTTTGACTTACGAGCAGGGGTAAAAAGTGATGGACGATAGAAGTTATGGGAGCTGTGCCTCCTGGTCCAAATTGGTAAGTGTCTTTATATGATGTCTGTTGTAGTGTAAGGCTTAAAATAACAATGATGTGCTACTTTGACATCTAAACTGGGAGGGCCTCTGATGTCCTAACTGCATCATCCTACACACTTCGCTCCTACTGATAAGGTGTCCTAGCCAAACAACCCTCCTTATTACAAGGACAAGGCACAGTGCCTGCTTATCCCTGAGTAGTAGACTTCAGTTCCCTGCCAGCCCACTGAATTATTCAAACAAGCCGATCACATCCATCTGAGAAACAAGGAGTCACTCCATGCTCTTGCTACTATAAAGCCTGCTTTCCACAGGGTCTGCTTATTCACTCTGTTCCTGAGCACATCCCCATTCAGCCCTGCATGGTGCAGTATCTTCCTCTCCTCCCCTGGACTGTACACTACTGTCAATCTCATCTGTCCAGTATTAGATGTCATATCTTGGGCCATCCCCATAACCGTAGTGTGGAATCCCTCCCTAGTCAATGGGATGAAGAGGAGACAATCAAGGTATCTACATATTTTACATTTTTCCTCTCAGATCAATTAGTACAACTGCATGAGATTTTTTACATGTCTTTTATTTCCAGCCAATTTACTTTGGTCAGGAGAATGGGAATCCAAAAATGTACATGCAAAATGTGTTTCATTATCTGTTGCTAGTTGAAAATTAATCAATAGGTTTTTGCTTTGAACTTTCTATTAGTCATAGGTAAAGTGATTGAAAAGTGAGGGAATAGGGTGGCTTGACAAAGGATAGAAACCCTCGGTCAGAAGCCAGGGCTCCCTGAAGATCATTCACCAAGAATATTCAGAAACTGAATAATGGTGACAAGAATGTCTCATCACATGATATAAATGTGAACAATACCAATTAAATACTTTATAACCAGCCCAACATATAAATGATAAAGAATCGTCACATCACGAGCATTGTCAGTGATCCTGCCATGATGTCACTGTGATCGCCTGCTCTTTGGTGCCTCGTTGGCCACAATGATATCACTGAACAATACATCACAGGCTGCAAGATGTGGCAGATCATTCCTCAATCATTACCCTTATGTGACTTTTAAAAAAGATCAATCTTTAAGAAAATCAGTTAGAATGTTATATTTTAGGGATGTTTCTTGTGTTTTGAATCCTTGATATATAACACTTCCTTTGAGTTATTTTAGTAATTTCTTTTGTGGCCTTGGACAGTTGCAATCGCAATTTATGTTTCAAAAGTGCTTCCATATCTGCTTAATTCATTCTGACATCATAGGTGAGTCTAGACTTATAATTTATTCACACCCCAAAATAGTGATAGTAATAGAACCTAGAGAGGTTAAAATGATTTATGCCCCAAGTTTACAAAGTCAGATGTACACATTCTTGACTGAAAGAGATTTTCTGATTCTTAAATTCAGTGTTCTTTCTACTACTCAGATTATTTTACATTTTACCTCTTTATATTTCAGTTCTTAATAAATTGACTAGACTAGCAAACGTCTGGGAAAAAATGGAATGTTGAAGCTTGAAAGGGGCTTTAGTGATGATCCCAAGTGTCAAAGCATATAAAAGAAGGAAGAAATGAGGTTTATTGGATAATGACTGGGATTGAGGAATATTAATAAAAGCACATTGTTGATTTCACAGTGTTCTGTCTGATCCATTCCTATATGATGGATAACATTCTCAAACTATACTTTGTTCCATCCAATATGCTTAAAATACTTTTCACACTGAAGTTTTAATTTGCAAAGTGCTAATTAAACAAAAGTTAGCGCTTGGAATGGCTTTATGGTTAAGAAAGCTGATATGGATTAACTCTGCATTAAAAATAGAAAAATTAAAATAGGATGGAGTTTTAGAATATACTTGTTCCAGTTCAGCTGGCTGATGAGGCTTCATCCTTGTCCCATGCAGTGCTGGAGACAGCATCTTTGGTATGTATTCTCAGCTGGTACTCTTCCCCTTATGTCTTTCTTGGGCACTGTCGTAGTCCATTTGGGCTCCTGTAACAAAATACCACAGACTGGGTAGCTTATAAACAATGTAAGTTTATTAATTACAGTTCTAGAGGATGGGAAGTCTATAATCAAGGCACTAGCAGATTCAATGTTTGGTAAGGGCTCACTCTCTGGCTCATAGATGGTCCCTTCTTGTTGTGTCCTCACATGGTAGAAGAGGCAAACAGGCTCTCTCAGGCCTCTTTTATAGAGGGCACTAATCCCATGTATGAAGGCTCCAACCTTATTACCTAATTATCTCCAAAAGATCCCACCTCTTAATATTATCACACTGGAAATTAGATTTCAACATATGAATTTTGAGGGAACACAAATATTCAGACCATAGCAGGCACGAAGGGGCATCAGATGCCCATGGGTATCCTTCTAGGACTACAATGAAACTCCTCAACAACACTACACACAAATCTAATTCAGAGCTCTTAGGATATTATAATTCCAGCTGTTCATTTAAGCTGGCTGATGGCACTCAACTGCTCAGTTAAGACAAGCTTAGAGGAGGAGAAGAGTTAGCTTCCTTTGCCTTGGGTAGTCTGTATTCTTTGCTTAGTATAATGAAGTCAAGTTTTCTGTCTTCTAATTCCATGACAAGGCTTGCCATCATGATTGCTTCTATTGAAGTAATTATAATGTGTCCTAAAAAGACTTATGTTTCTGAGCAAACCAGAATAAAAGGAGCTAGATTTACTGTCCTACTCAAGACAGCTTAAACTCTGAACAAAAATATAGAAAACAATGGCACTCAAGATATTAGACATCAAGCAATGAAGGACAATGATCACTGAAAGATGGGAAACAAATCAGATGAACCAGATAATTGCCCAAGAAACTTTCTCTATTGCATGTGAGAAGTTTCCAGGTTGCAGCGCAGGGAGAGAGAACCCAGGAAGAGCCCAGTTGTCTCACTGAGTTTAGGAGACATAGCTCAGAATCCAGGAAGCCAAAGTGGCTAGAATTTACAAGGCAGAATACTGGAAAGAAGAGAGCTCCCCAGAGACCCAACTCCAGCGATGTGAAAAGAGTCCTCCTAGAGTATTCAATTGAATGCATGTGTGTGAGGAAACTACCCAAGGCCAGGGAAAGACCCATCTGAAAGGACTAAAGACAGCAGTCCTTAGACTTCACAAAGCCTGAGAAAAGTGCCAATTCCCAACAGCCTGAGTGGGAAAGATCTAACAATTTGGACAGAATTAGAGTATTATAAAGGATGTTGCATCAGTAATGGGGAAAAATTGACCCTAAGTTAGATGCAGCTCTGGTTGAGCCTAATGATAGTCAAAAGCAAGGCCTGAAACATAAAATAACTTAACTGCATCCAAAAGAAAACTCAAGAATAATTACACAAATTAAAAATATCCAGCACCCAACATAGCCAAATTCACAATGTCTGTCACTCTATCAAAAATTACTGGGAAAAAAAACTAGGAAAATAAGACCCATAATGTGGAGAAAAGGAAGTAATCAAAACACACCCAGAAATGCCACAACTGGTAGAATCAGTAGACAAAAACATTAAAACAGTTATTATTAATATATTCCATATTTTCCAGAAGCTAGAAGACAGATTTAACATGTTAAATGGAGACATGGAAGATATACAATAGACCCAAATTAAAAATTCAGAGATGAAAACTATAATGTCTGAAATTAAAAATAACCTGAATAGGATTACTAGCAGATTTGACATTGTAGAAGACATCAGAGGGGATTAATAGACTTCAAGACAAAACGAACTATCCAAAATGAAAGATGGGGAACAAATAACTTAAAAAAAACCCCAAAACAATAATTGAACTCTGGCGCAAATTTAAGCAACCAAATACATGTGTAATTCAAGTCCCTAAAGAAGTGGTGGCAGGGAGGCTAAATAACCATTTAAAGAAATAATGGTCAATATTTTTCCAAATTTGATGAAAGCTAAACCCACATATTCAGAAATCTCAACAAACCTCATACACGTGAAATATGTGATGAAAACTAAACTTAGTTAGGCACAGTATAATTAAATTGCTTAAATCCACTGATAGAGATAAAATCATAAAAGCAACCAGAGAAAAAGACATGTTACATACAGCACAAAGATAAAGGTGACCTCAGATTTATCTTTGGAAACAATGCAAGCTAGAAGACAGAGGAACAACATGTTTAAAGTGCTGAAAGAAAAACAAATACTATCAACCTATAATATTTTTATTCAGTGAAAATAACTTTCAAAAATGAAGGCAAAATAAAGGCTTTTCCAGACATACAAAGCTGAAAGAATACATACTGGCAGACCTACACTATAAGAAATTTGAAAGAAAGTTTTTATGATACCATATGGAAACCTAGATTTACATAAAGGAAGGAAGATCACCAGAAATGATCACTACATGAGTAAATATAAAAACTTTTTCTTATTATTTAAATGTCTTTAAGAGGTAATCCACTTTTTAAAGCAAAAAAAAATGTATTGTGAAGTTTCATTTTTGCTTTAAATAATGACAACACATTTTGAAGTTTATAACATACATATAAGAAAAATGTATGACTGCCCTGGCACAAAGCTTGGAGGGGAAAAATGGAAGTATAATTTTGTTAGGCTCTTATATATGTGAATGAGTATAATATTACACAAAGTTAAAATACATAATAAAAATGTATAATAAAAGCTGTAAAGGAACACAGCAAAGAATTTCATTTGATAAACCAACAAATAAGAAAAAATAAAATTATTAAAAATATTCAGTTGAAGAGAAGGTAGAAAAGAAGGAAAAGAGACAAAAAAAATCAATGGGTCTAAAAGAAAACAAATAGCAAGATGGTAGACTTCAATTCAATTGTATTAGTAATCACATTAATTATAAATGGTCTAAACATTCCAATTAAAAGGTAGATTGCTAAATTGGATTAAAAAGCAAGCTCCAGCTGCTGGTGATCTCCTTGTAGGCAAGGATTCATGTCTTCTTTAACTTGGTATTTCTTGAATATAGAAGAGTGCTAGACACATAAAGCTCAATAAATGTTTGTAATATTAGTACTGTGATAACATTTACTTATTCAGGCAAGGCTTTGCAAATATAATACGCCATTCAAGGCTTACATCAATCCTATAAGATAAATAAGGTATGTATTTTCCCCATATTACAGATGAGGAAGTGAGATAGAATAAATAATTGCCTACATATTAGGCTGCTGAGTTATTAATTCTATTTCTGCACTAAATTCTGATCATAATTTAGGGATGATTCAGTTTCCAATCATTAAGGTACTCCATGAGGCAGATGGTGCTTCTTATCTATAACTTCCATTTTTAGGTATATGAGATCTGAATAAGCTTCTAGATGAATTTCTGGAAGTGTCAATTTAAGAGTTACAAAAAAAGGAGACATATATTGATATAAATTCTTGGTTCCAAAGATGATAAGTATTTTTAAATTTTTCTCCCTATTTCATATGACCAAGCTTTTGAGTCTCATGTTGCTCCAAATAATAGATTTTCAAAATCCCTGAGATATTAATTCTTCTACCATCAAATATAATGGTGAGAAAACTACAATAGCATCTATAAAAATGTAATCCACCATATTAGGCCTAAGCACTGTAAACAACATATAATTTCTTTCCTCTCACATGTATATTTTTCTTCTGAAAGTTTCATTCTGAAAGATAAGATTTCCACTTCTCTACACCTGCATTCTTTTTTTTTTTTTTTTTTTTTTTTGTTTAGTAGAGGTGGGGTTTCACTGTGTCAGCCAGGATGGTCTCGATCTCCTGACCTCGTGATCCGCCCGCCTTGGCCTCTCAAAATGCTGGGATTACAGGCATCAGCCACCGCGCCTGGCCATCTCAGGGTAATCTTTTTTTAAAAAGAATTTTTTTTTAATTATACTTTAAGTTCCAGGGTACATGTGCACAACATGCAGGTTTTATATACGTATAAACATGCCATGTTGGTGTGCTGCACCCATTAACTCGTCATTTACATTAGGTATTTCTTTTAGGGCTATTCCCTCCCTCCCCCCACCCTACGACAGGCCCCAGTGCATGATGTTCCCCGCCCTGTGTCCAGGTGTTCTCATCGTTCAGTTCCCACCTATGAGTGAGAACATGTGGTCTACACCTGATTCTTCATATGGAGTTTAATTTTTGAGGTTCTCTTATGGCCAGAAGTTAGAAAAACTATTTTCTTAATCTTTGATTCTATAATCTGCTTTGAAAGCAAGAATAATACCAATGTGCTTCACAAATTCCAAATTGTGACTGAGTGTTCTTTAGATTTATTTAGGTCCTCAAATAGCCATTGCCTGCCGGCTCCCGTTGAAATCTGTGATGCTGATGAAAGCCATGAGCCCAGGAAGTGCTGGTCTGGCCAAAAGATGCTGCTGTCAGCAGCAGTGGGGGATATCTGTTGTGCTCATCTGAGTTTTAAATCCTGAAGCTTCTTTAAGTGAAAAGGTGCCAAGGTGCTGGAAAGATTCTTCATTTTCACTCAGTAAGAGGTAGGTTCTATAACTATTTTTTTAAAAACACTTTCCAGCCTGGCTGTGGTGGCTCACGCCTGTAATCCCAACACTTTGGGAGGCCAAGGCGGGTGGATCACCTGAGGTCAAGAGTTCAAGACCAGCCTGGCCAACACGGAAAACCCTATCTCTACTAAAAATACAAAAAAAAAATAGCTAGGTTTTGTGGGGGTGGGGTGGGGGGGGGGACCTGTAATCCCAGCTACTTGGGAGGCTGAGGCAGTAGAGTTACTTGAGCCTGGGAGGCGGAGGTTACAGTGAGCCAAGATTGCACCATCTCACCATTGCACTTCAGTCTGGGTGACAGAGCGATACTCTGTCTCAAAAAAAGAAAACAAAAAGAACAAAACAAACAAACACAAACAAAAAAAAACACTTTCCAGAAGAAAAGTAGAGTTTCTTCATCATGATGGTAATGTTCTCATTAGTCATATAGATGTGACTGAAGTACGGGAGTTGCAGACATTTTGCCTTTTGGTTACAGAGAAAACTAATAATGAGACCAAAGACTGGAGACAGAAAATAGGGCTAAGTTTAGAAAGAATGGAACCAGATCTTCTACTCTTGGCAGTGCCCTTGCCAGTTCCCCAAGCAACCTTCTTGCTCTCTCCTCAGAACCCCTAGAACCATATGGGGAATGTACACTAAGGATCCATGGTCCTGACCACCTTCCCTCTTCAAAGTCAATGAGTTCAGGGGTCTTATCTCTTTAGAAAGTTGATTTCTATCATGAAAACGACCCAGTTGTCCTTATAGTGAACACATAAACCAGTGATTAACAAATGGAAGTTGGAGATACGTTTGAGACCAACTCACATGCTGGCTTGAAAATTGTATTCTGACTAAACTGATTTACATCTTCTTTTCAAATACCTTTTTATTCATTATCGTATACTCAGCTTGGCTCGGGAATTTAGTGCCAGGCTTCTATAGCAAATGGGAATAGGGATTGCTGAAGTTAATCTCTGCTAATGTGTAAATTAATAAATAAGCTTTTCTGAAATGCTTAAATCTTTTGCTAAAGGCTCCTAAGAAGTGATACTAATAGGAAAGTGCCTATGGAGCAATGCTAAGAAATTTCAGCAAGAAGGAGAAGCTCAGACCTAATGCAAGAGCATGGCAGACATGATTCTGGTCAGTTAAATGCTCAAATTTACTAATGCACTTTCACATGTAGCCAGTTACATTTAAGTGGCTTTTAAAAAAAAATCAATTCTATAATTAAGTTTCACAGCATGAAGACATAAGCTAGTAGTTATGTTTTAAATTAATAAAGTGATGAATTATTGCTTAGAGTGAGCACACCAGGAGAGACTAATGAATGTTTTGTTGAGGTAAACTAGTGTAAAAGGAAAAAGACACAGGACATGGCTTGCCTTGGCTCAGCAAAAAAGGGATCAGGGGAGGCCAGGCTCAGTGTTTGAAGAGTCTTTCATTTCATAAAGGGTTTTAGAGTGCTTAAAGAGAGAAATGCATCTCTTCCTCTTCCTTCTTCCTCCTTCCCTCCTTATCCTTCTTAAAAAAATTGGTCTGTGGTTTTGGACAATTTAAATTTGTAATAACTGTTACAAACTGTAATGTAGAAAAAGAAACAGAACCCAGACAAATTGGTTAATGTATAAATGCATTTTTTGCAATATTGGCTTGCTCCAGTATTGTTTCTGGTGTGGCAAGCCTATGGAGCTCAGTGGGAAGACAAGCTCTTCCTGCTGCCCACACCCTGTTCTCTCACAGACAAAGATCTTGGAAAGGCAGACCTTGGCAGGTGTCTGCTCTGCACACAACGAAGGCAGATGACCTAGTTGAAGTCTGTGGCAAATGCCTTCCAGCAATGCTACCAAATTAGCATTAAAACAAACAAACAAACAAACAAAAACTCTAATTCAATTTTTTTTCCCATTAGGCTGAAACTCTGATCATTGCAAAGCAGATGGCGTAAAGCAATAGAGTAGGAGTGGGATTATTTTCTAGCATGAATTAAATTGCTTATAAGCCAATTCCTAGGTAATGGAAGTCTGTAGAGCATCATCATCTGTTTGTTTGGGATCTGGTCAAGTAACATGCCAACAATGGTATTAAAAAGAAAAAAAAAGAAGCAGTTGATAGAAATCAGGAGGAATAAGATTTCGACACAAAGACTGATGGTCTGTTTAGTGAAATGAAAAGAGACCTGAGAGTTAGAAGACTTGGGCTCAAGTCCTGACTCTATTTACTACTTGCTTCCTAACTGTGCCTTATTAAGCCACTTAATCTCTCCAATCCTCAGTTTCTTCATCTATAAAAATAATAATAATAATGGTGAGTATTTCCTTGGGTTACTGTGAAGATTTCACAACAATTTCTTTAAAAAAAAGCTATTTTGTTGTAATATCGGAATGATTAATAGACACTAATATCTTTGTAAGGCTTTAGTCTTCCTATCTTTCTATAAGATGCCTACTTTAGATTATCTGACCTGAATGTTTGACTTAACCTTTTTGAAAGAAGAGATAAACAAGTCTTGTGATTATTCAGGCATCTTTAGTTTAATGAACTCCTAGATAATTTGGGAAATCACTGCAACTAACTAGCTACTTCTTGTTTGTCTTGTTCTACATTCATTTCCAAGATATCCTCTGTCCAAACTTGGGAAGAAGTCAGAGCTGATAGGGTTTCTTTGTAAACGGAATTGTATTCTGTATAGTTTAAGAGAAAGAGTGAGCAATTAAGCAACAGTAACTTACTCCAATATCTGAGCTGATAAAAACCTCAATAGTAGATGAGATTATGGTCCTCTCATACGCTATTCATTCTGTTTTTACAAGCCAGTGGTTTAGGATGTTCTAAGTCCCAAATGGAGTTGGAATATTATTTTCTAGTGTGTGACTTTCTAGTCAACTGAAGGTATATCTGTATCCCGGAGACTTATTTGATTATTTGGGAGGGCTTATTATAAAAGGATTGCAGAAAGCATTTACACGACTTGCAATTATATCTTTTTTTGAAACGGAGTTTCACTCTTTCACCCAGGCTGGAATGCAGTGGCATGATCTCACCTCACTGCAGCCTCCGCCTCCCAGGCTCAAAGGATCCTCCCACCTCAGCCTCCCGAGTAGCTGGGACCACAGATGTGCACCATCATGCCCAGCTACTTTTTTTGTATTTTTGGTAGAGACGGGGTTTCACCATGTTGCCTAGGCTGGTCTCAAACTCTTGAGCTCAAGCAGTCTGCCTGCCTTGGTCTCTCAAAGTGCTGGATTACAGGTGTGAGCCACCATGCCCAGCAGCAACCATAGCTCTTACGAGATTTGTTCCCTTGAGTTTCATCAACATTTTCAGATTTGTTAGCATCTGACATTGAAAACAAGAGTTTTCTAAAAATATTTGAAAGAGATTCATGACAAAGAAAGGATTTCCGAAATTCTTTATCTCTCATTTAACATACCAAGAATCACACCTGGACCACATTTCTCTATAACAAGGAATAAGCTTTTGGATCAGGTAAATGTTCTGCCATGATGGCCAGGCCATGAGGTGTGTTCCCTGAATAGAAGGAGGATTTCATGTGCAGGAAGCAGGAAAAGTCTATCCCTTTTATCTCCAGGAGACAATGAAAAGAAGGGAGACAGAGGTAGGTAAAGAAGGCTGTCAGACATGTGAGTCCTGAATTCCCTTTGATGAGCTTTAATTTTACTTCCTGCTAGAAATCTGCAAGAGGCATCTGTGCAATGGACATCATGCCAACAAGGCACAGCTCAGCTAAGAGAGCAGCAGGCTAGACAGAGGATCTGGATTACACTCCTGAGTCTCTCCTGATTTCTGTATGGCATAAACACCAAGAGAGAGCCAGGGGGTCATCCTTAGGGCCATCATGGTTGGAGTGAGATAATCACATAATAAAGGCTGGGGAAGAACAATTTGGTCTGGGGCTCTGGAAGGACATAACAAAGACTCAGAGAAGTCTGCCCTGCAAAGTTAACAGAAAGTAGCCACAGGATCCTGACTCAACTGAGAAAGAATTCAGCAGCTGCCCACTGCAAAGCAGACTCCCTACAGGCAAGGCCACCTAGGATTGGGAGGACATCAGGTGGGCTTGAGACTCTTTTACTCCAGTGTTTTTCCTTTCATATCCTAGACACTACGTAGGAGAAAGAAAAGTTAATATTAATAACAGCAATTATTCCAACAGTACAGGTATTACTCAGAGGTTATTTACATTGTAGCAGTAGAGAAAGGTTTACCTGGATTCGGCATTGAGTCATCCTCTTTGGTATATCCCAACAAACAAGCAAGGGAAGCATCATGAGAAAGATTAGGCCCAGAGGTATATCTTCTCTGCACATCTGAATTGTTATGTGAGTAAATTTTGCAAGCCCATCACACAATATTTCCTAAGCAATATGAGATAATAAAAATTTATCTGTTGAAAGCTTCATGTATGCCAAGCACTAGGCTAGGAACTGTAGACTGAATGAAGGATGAGGCGTAGTGTAGTCTTTGCCTTCAAGAAGCTCATGGTTTAATAGGAGAGCCATCTCAGGTCATTAAAATGATCCGTTTACTTGTCTAAGTATTATAGTTAAAGCAAGCACAAGAGGATGATAGGAGAGCCATCTACCAAATCTATCAAGATTATGGTCTAGAAATGTCCAATGAGCATCATACATGACTAAAAAGGTGCTGCTAGTAGCTATCAGACTTCAGAAGTTTAGTGGCTTAAAGAAAAGAGCTATTCTTTCTCATGAAAGAGTCATGGAGGGTCTTCTGGTAGGAGGAGCAGCTATCCTCTCCTTCATTCAGGGACCCAGGCTGAGGGTTGCTCTGTCATATTCAACATGTGGATCTCAAAGTCACCTTGAGCATCCACCTTACAGTCAGCCAACAGTGAGAGGGTTTTATGGACACACATAACTACAAGGGAAGTTGGGGGAGTTAAGCTGGTCAAGGGGGAGACAGGATTTTGTAGGACATCTGTAATGTTCCACAAATGTAAGCTTCACTGACTGTAGTGGAATGGCTTGTTGAAGATTAAAAACTGATGGCTTTTGTTTCGAACTGTGGAAGTGAGGCATGGAAGATCTTTCAGTAGCATTTAGACAGTGACTCGAGACATTCTTCTTCCATCTCTTGCCACAAAGGTGGGGTTATAAACAGATCTATTGTTTTTGTAGGTGAGAGCTCTCTTGAAGGAAATCATATTTTATTGTCCAAAAAGAAGGTAGGGGTTAACATTTTAGAGTTTAGAAGGCCAGAAAGAAAAGAAGCTTCCAGGTTTGTACTCAGATCCATTGCACCCACAGCAACAACCTGTAAACAGGCCATTTTGTGTTTTCTTCAGCAGAAAGGCAATCCAGGTCTCTTGTCCTGGAAAGCATTTAGAATGAGGCATTTGTGCTTTAGGGCATAGCGAAAGAGGTATCAGCATTCTGAGGAATGAGAAGGGGCAGGAAGTTTGTTGGGTGCTCAGCGTGAGAGCCGGTCTTGGGATCCTTCTGTGGCTCTAGTGGGTCCAGGGCTGGTGGACTGAGGAAAGGACTGTAGTGAGTGGACACTGCATGGTGCCTGTGGAGTGACTGGACCAGACCATCAGTCACAACCTTGTGTTTCAGGAGGGCTCTTGAATGACAGGCTGCTGATCTGTAGTTGAATGGAGCCTTCCTCTTCTCTGAAGTTCAGGGACCCTATCCAGTAGTGTCTTTTGGAGATACCATCCATGAATGTCTCAGCCCCTGTGATATGGCATTGCTCAGCAACACCCCTGTGCTGGAGGGACACTCTTTCAGAATGGCTGCACTTGCTACTCCACGGGCAAAGAGCCAAGTGAATGCCTCCATGTACATCTAATCTCTCAAGTGGAAAAGCCAGTAGCAATTTTCTGCGGAGCTTTCTTCCTCATCTTCTACTTCTATTCTGTTACCAAATTATGAGAATTTTACCTCTTAAGTATTGCTTGACACTCTTAACTTTTTCCAACTTTGGTGTCACCACATAAGCTTAAATCATGATCATCCTTCTCACCTATACTTCTCCCATGGACTCTTTAGGTCGACTATTCCTTGCTCTTCCCTCCAACACAATCTGTTGCCACTGTATTCAAAGTTGCTGTCTTCCCATAGTTACCTGAATTATAGCTAAAACCCCTTAGTATTCCCCATGAAATTTGACTTTGTCTAGAAAGCCCAACTATCTTTTCTCCAGCCCATCATGGACCACATCCCTCACTCATATTGGCTTCATCCTATCACATTGGCCTTCTTCCAGGTCCTGGAGAAACTAGCCCTGCTCCTTCCCACCTTTGGACCTTTGCAAAGGCCATGCACTGGGCCTGGGGTGCTTTTTCACAGTCTGCCTGGGCAGAATTTGCTCCCAATCATCCTCCAGTTCTCAGATACATCAGGGTGACCCCTGACTCCTCCTAAGACTGGATCAAGTGCCTACTCCTTACTACATGGTATGATAAAACTTTTCTTCATAGCACTAGGTATAAAATGAGCCCAGTGGTCATTTTATACCTAATCATATAACATTTGATTAACACCCATGTTCTGCTGTAGACTGTAAGAATTATGAAGCCAGGAACTGTGCAATTTTTTTTCCCTCCCTTCCTTCCTTCCTTCCTTCCTTCCTTCCTTCCTTTCCTTTTGCATCTTAGACCACACTATCTTGTTCACATTTTACCTCTAATGCCTGACACACAGACGTTTCTCAATAAATTCTTGTTTAATGTGCAAGAAAACAAACTGTAATAACAGCAGGGACATGCTTTAAAATTTTCAAAACTGCGCTGGGCACAGTGACTCATGCCTGTAATTTAAGCACTTTGGGAGGCTGAAGCAAGGGGATCGCCTGAGCCCAGGGGTTCTAGACCAGCCTGGGAGACACGGCGAAACCCCGTCTCTACAAAAACAAAAACAAACACAAACAAAAGACAAAAAAAATAGCTGAGCATGGTGGAATGTGCCTGTAATCCCAGCTGCTTGAGTGGCTGAGGCAGGAGAATTGCTTGAGCCTGGGAGCTTGAGGCTGCACTGGGCCATGATCATGCCACTGTGCTCCTGGGCAACAGAGTGAGACCCTGTCTCAAAATAAATATAATATAATATAATATAAAATGAATTTCAAAGCCTTTTCATATACATGATCTCACTTGACAAATGAGAGGGAAAGGGGGAGTTAGAGTCCCTTCTCAGCATGCTGCTCTGCCTGCCTTACATAGAATCTGCTATCAGAGGAAGAGCTTTAAACAAGCTTTTGGGGCCAGGGTATAGTGTGGGATGTGATGAATGGTGCCTTGTAAGATGCTTCCTGTGAAGCTTGCCCATGGGAATGAGTTATATGTATAATATATATACATTTGTATGAACTCTGCACAAAATACGAGGTAAGATGGAAAATGGCTGGAAAAGTGCCAAAGAGACGTGGGAAGTTTGTAGAAAGGTGATAGTCAGGAAAGAATAAGTAGTTAAAATAAGCTAATGTGTGGCTAGAGAGGAAATAATATTTAGAGGTAGGCTAGATAAAACATCATGGCTAGAAAGAAAACAGGAAGAATATTACTGAAGAAAATTGGCCAAGAAAAAAATGCAAACTCTAAAAGGTCAGAGAGCCATTTGAAAGAAGGGGGTTGAGAGATCAAGGCCTACGCCAGTGCCTTCCAGGCAGCCGCCCTTTTGAGTAGAATTGATTTGTGGATATATTTAGGTGCCTGGTTGAAAGACAAAACACAGCACTCAGATACTTTCTCTCATCTTATTTCATCTTGACGTTGGTCATTATTGCTAAGGAGACAGGGACATGGAAAACCACTTAGGGAAAGTAAAGACAGAGATTTTAAGGTGAAAAATAATTTGGTCATAGGACCCTTTAACCTTCCTTTCTCAGGTCTCTGAGAATAAAAAAATGGTCTTTGGCATGCTAACCTTTAGCTTTGTACATTTGATTCTGCAACCTAGAGGGAGAAAGAGAGAGAGAGAGCACATGATTGGATGGTAGAAATGGGTTCCATACTTCCCCTTTGGAGAGAATTTTTTCTTTGGCCCTGCCATTCACTTCAATATTGTCCTCACCTTCTTAACTCTAAATTCCTGTACTTATGTCTCCTCAGTCTCACCTCTCATTCACCCTTTAATCCCTTCATTCTCCTAAAATTGCTCTTTGTCATTCCAGAATATGTTATTTGGAGTCTTTTACTGCATCTAGCACTTTCTGCATGCATTTTCTATCATTTGTGTATACACTTCATTTGTTGTGTATATAGTAGATTATAGGTACCCAGAGGCACAAATCCTTATCTACGGGGATGTATCATGTTCATTTCTGACTCTGTAAGGCACTTGCTCAATGTCTTATATATAGTAGGATGTCAATAAATATTTATTGCTCTGAATGGCTAAAACCACATTACCTTAAACTATTCAGGGGCATATGCCTCCTGTTTTTCCTTCTATTTCAAATATGTCACAGGAAGAAAAAAACTGCCTTATCCGGTATAATCTTCCAAGGATTTTATAAAAATTCAAAACACATACTGTATCCAACTCATGAACTCATCAACTTAGCCTGCATCCAAGGATTTTCAGGAGACTGGAAAAAAGGAAACACACTAAAATAGAATATACTTTTTTATGTTTGATGTTTTTCTTCCTTGATTTTTCTGGGAATATTTCTAGATAAAAGAGTATACTTTTCATACATAAGTGTTATATATATATGTTTTGTGTGTGTGTGTGTGTCTGTGTGTTATGAGGTATACTTCATTGAAAAACTGAAGGCCAGGGACTGCTTTTGAAAGCCACAATGTGGCCATGTGGCTCCTTAAGACTTACGACCAGTAATGGAGATGGTGAAGATAAACTCCTTCAGCTTTGGGATCATGATGCCACGGCTTTGTTCTGGCTGGCTGTCCTCTATAGATGTCTACCAGTTCCTATTAGCTGATTACAGAGGTACACATTGGCAAGGCATGTATATGCACACATGTGCAATACAGAGGTCTACCTGGATTCTGCCACCCTGGGCTTCTCATATCCTCATTACTAGAGCCTGGAAGGGCACATTGGAGATCTGGCTCTGGCTTGGATCCCTTAGGACTTCACGTCTTGGTGGCCTATCTCATCTGCAGGGAGAAGACATGGGAGGCTGTGGTGACCACCATTAGGGTCAGCTCGCAGGGTGCTTTCACTACTCTGTCAGTCAATCAGCAGTCAACTAATCTTTATTGAGCACCTACTATATGTAATGCATGAATGGCGCTGCTCTAGGCAGGGGAGATACAAATTCTTCAGATACCTGTGACTCAGCTCTGGCCTCAGAGGAGGTGGGGGGTCCCTCCTTCATCCTTCCCGTCTCATCATGGGTCACAGAGAGTCCCCAGCACTATCTTTCCTGTCTTGTTATAATAGTCTTAGAGTACCTCTTCATTTTACAGCTAAACTAGTAATGATCCTAGGATTACCAAATTTACAACAAAATTCACTCTTGTAATCTAACAGCTTGCCAAAATATGGGTGATTTTTTAGATTTTGAAGTGGAAAAAGGAGGAAGTAGAGATGGGGAGACAACTTACCATTCGTTTTGACAAAGAGGAAAATTAAAATGAAGAGATTCACCCAGGCCCACTGTTTTTTCCATGTCCTTGTGTGAAAGTGTAGAAAGGTTTGATGGGACAGAAAGAACACTCAGATTGGGTGTGCTTACTCATGCCTTCAACAACATTCTATGTGCTGGGCCCTCTGCCAGGGCTTAGAAATATAACAGTCAATAAGACAGGCACAGTGTGTCAGGACACCAGGGTTTTGATTTGACTCTTGCCAAATGAATTTTGTGACCCTGAGAAGACACTTCACTTTTCTTGCTCTCAGTGTCCACATCTGTAAGCTGAGACTGACACTGGAGGTGGCCAACATTCTCTAACTTTTTCCTAGCTCCGCCTGGAACCTCTAGGACCAGGGACACAAACTCTTATCTTGGAAATGGAGGTACTGGTGCCGGTCACTTTTCCATGAAGGGCTGGGGAGATGCCTCTGGGGTCCAGTCCCCTCTAGACAGTGAGCATCCAGATTCCTGAGGATCAAGGGGAGGTGTGATGATCTCCATTGTCCTGGGCCAGGAAATGCCAAACAGGAGTTTCACATTCAGCTCCTTCTCTGGACTACCCTGGGAAGGAGCCCACCTCCTGCTGCTCAGCCCAGCGGGTGCTCTGTGCTGACTCTCACACGGGCTGTCAGCACATTGACTGCATTCCTCTGCATTCTCCCGGCTTCAGGGTTGTCAGCCAATTAAAAGAGCAATTCTGACACTGGATGAAAAGGGAAGGGAGAGCTATGTTTGGTGCAAAGTGTGGGCAGGAGGCACTGCTGGTGCTGGAGGAGTCCAGGCTGGATGCAGAAGCTGCTCCTCCCTCCTGTGGAGGAGGACAGCCCTGCCCAGCCCACCAAGCTCATCCCTGTCCCCACAGCGGACAGCTGGCCCCAACCCCTGGAAGATCCTGCCGCTGTGGTCTGTGCAGAATTTAATTACACCTTTGGGAGGTGTTTTTTGTCCCCCTGCACATCACCAGGAAGAAACTATGACTTGCAAATTCAGGGTTCTTAACCTTTTTTTGTGCCCTTTGGCTGTCTGGTAAAGCCTATGGATCCCCTCTCAGAAGAATGTTTTTAAATGCAAAAATTTAAATACATACATAGAATTATAAAGGACATAAAGGACACCAGTCATATTAAAATCAATAAACAAAATATTTTAGTGATAAAGTGATAGAATCACAGGTACTGCTAATACTACAGTGTTTGCTGCCTATGGTGTTATTTATTGCTGCATAACACAACTTAGCAACTCAAAAATAACAAATATCACACTCAGTTTCTAAGGGTTGGGAATCTAGGAGGGGCTTAGCTGGGCGTTTTTCCTCTGAGTCTCCCATGAGGTTGAAGTCAAGTTGTTGGCCAGGACTCCAGCCATCTGAAGGCGGGAAGATTGACTTCCAACTTCCAAGCTCACTCATGTGGCTGTTGGCTGGTCTCACATTCTCACTGGCTCTTGGCTGGATGCCTTAGTTCCTTGTCACATGTCAAGACATGGCAGCTGGCTTCCCTTAGAGTGAGTGATGGAGAAAAAGAACAAGAGTCCCAGTCAGAAGCTGCACCCTTTCATAACCTAATCTCGGAAGTAACAGCCATCACTCCTCCTGTGCCGTATGTCACAGGACCAATGTGGGGCTCCAAGGGAGGGACTGCACGGGTGTGTGAACATCAGGAGGGGGGTCCCTGGAGCCACATGGGAAGCCAACTATCACACCTACATTCATGACAGAGGGACAGGCTAAATTTTCATTATAGCTTAGTAAAAATAGAGACATAAATTTTTTTCTCATCCAGTTTCCTGGAACCTGAGATCTAGCCACAGACCCCAAGTTAAGAATCCCTGATAGATTGAAAGCATTTTTGTTTCCAGGCAATTTCTAGTCTTTTTATTCATGACTTTTTTTAGCTTTTTTGAGGTACAATAAAAAAATTGAACACATTTAAGGTGTACAATTTGGTGTTTTGATATATGTATGTATTGTGGAATGATAGCCAGAATTTATTGAGGTATAATTAAAACTTGTACACATTTAAGGTATACAACTTGGTGTTTTGATTTACACATGTATTGTAAAATGACAGCCACAGTCAAGCTAACTAACGTATCTTCACCTCACACAATTTACCCATAGTCACATTGACGTATGTTAGATGTCCAGAACTTACTCATCTTGCAAAACTGAAACTTTATACCCTTTGATCAATGTCTCCACATTTCTTCCTCCCCGCCAGCCCCTGGTAACCGTCATTCTACTCTCCACTTCTATGAGTTTGACTATTTTAGATTCTACATATAAGTGAGATCCTGAAATATTTGTCCTTCTGTGTTTGGCTTATTTTACTTAGTATCATATCCTTCAGATTCATCCATGTTGTTGCAAACGGCAGGATCTCCTTCTTTTTTTAGGCTGAATGATATTCTGTTTTGTATATGTATACATATATACCACATTTTTAAAAATCACTTATCTATTGTAGACATTTAGGTTGTTTCTATATCTTGGGTATTGTGAATAATGCTTCATTGCACATTGGAGTATTCATATCTCTTCAGGGTACTGATTTCATTTCCTTTGCATATATACCCAGAAATGAGACTGCTAAGTCATATGGTAGTTTTATTTTTAACTTTTTGGGGAACCTCCATACTGTTTTCCGTAATAGCTATACCAATTTACATTTCCACCAAGAGTGTACAAGGGTTTCCTTTTCACCACATCCTCACCAACACATGCTATCTTTTGTCTTTTTGATAATAGCCGTTCTAACAGGTGAGAGGTAATATTATATTGTGATTTTAATTTGCATTTTCCTGATTATTAGTGATGTTGAGCACCTTTTTATACACCTATCAGCCGTTTGTATATCTTCTCTGATAAATGTCTATGTCCTTTGCCCATTTTTTATTGGGTTGTTTGATTTTGCCATTAAGTTGTTATGAATTCCTTATATATTTTGGATGTTAAACCCTCATCTGATACGTGGTTTGCAAATATTTTCTCCCACTTCGTAGGTTACCTTTCACTTTGTTGATTGTTTCCTTTGCTGTACAGAGGCTTTTTAGTTTGATAGAATCCCATTTTTCTATTTTTGCTTTTGTTGCCTGTGCTTTTTGGGGTTATATCCAAGAAAAATCATTGCCCAAACAAAGATCAAAAAGCTTTTTCCCTATGTTTTATTCTAGTAGTCTTTCTGATTTTAGATCTTACTTTTAAGTCTTTATTTTGAGTTGATTTTTGTATATAGTGTGAGATAAGGGTCCAATTTCATTCTTCTGCATGTGGATATCCAGTTTTCCCAATACCATTTGTTGAAGAGACAATCTTTTCCCCGTTGTGTTTTCTTGGCACCTTTGTGAAAGATCAGTTAATGAGTGTATTTATTTCTGGGCTCTCTATTCTGTTCTATTGGCTTATATGTCTGTTTTATGCCAGTGTCATGCTGTTTTGATTGTTATAGCTTTGTAATATATTTTGAAATCTAGACAGCTGTTGCTTCCAACTTGGCTCTTCTTACTCAACATTGCTTGGACTATTCAGAGGTTTTTGTGATTTCATATAAATTTTAGAATATTTTTTCTATTTCTATAAAGAATGCCTTTGGAATTTTAATAGAAATGTCATTGAATCTGTAGATCACTTTGGGTAGTATGGATATTTTAACAATATTCTTTTGATCCATGAAAACAAGATTTCTTTCTATTTATCTGTGTCTTCTTTAATTTCTTCATCAATGTATTATAATTTTCAGTGTATAAGCTGGCCCTAGGGGAGCGGAGTTACTCAGGTAAAATGCTTTCTATACTTTTCTATATGGCTGTCCTCAGTTTTTGTGCTCCACTGGGTGGCTGTAGCTTCTTAACCTCACTCCGGAGCTCTCCCAGTGCTCTTTCAGTCCCTGGATAATTGCCAAATTGTTGTTTATTTGGTGGGGGAGGAGGGTCAGAGCCTCCTAGTCCACCATCTTGCTGATGTCACTCCTTAGACAATTTCTGTGTCTAAAGAGAAATGCTGTAGGATAATAAATATTACAGACCATCCTCTACTCATCAAAGCTGCAGGGCCAGTGCACAGGCCTGAAAAGCTTCCCTTTGATTAGTTGAGCTCAGGGTTGCTGACACTCTTAGCCTTGCACAGAGCCTAATGTATGGAAGATGGTGTATATTTATGGGATGAAGAGATCTTATTGATTAGTGCATATCAGATCAAAATATGTTAAAGTCAGGCAAATTGCTGGAGACCATCAGTAGATTACTTTTTACAGAGAGACTATACATGCCTTGCTCCTGCCTGGAAAACTCTGCCTGTTCTGTTCCCTGAGCTTGGAATGCTCTTCTTCCAGATATTGCTCTTTTCCTGCCTTCCTACATTTCTTTACTCAACTACCACTTTCTTGGCAAGGTCTCCAATCTGCTTCTTCTATAATAGGAGTTTCTCAGATAGCCCTGAAAGATCCTCATCCCCTGGTCTTTGTGTCCTTCTATAGTCTTGTCCTTGAGTGTGGGAGGGACCTAGTGACCAACTCCTAAGGAAAAGAAAATAGCAAGAGGGATGGCATGTCACTTCCAAGATTAGGTAACAAAGAGTCTGGCTTATTTCCAGCTTGCCTTCCCTTCCTCTCTCACTTGCTCTCTTTGGTGAAGCCAGCTGCCATGTTGTGAACTGCCCTAGAGAAGCTGATGTGGCCAGGATAGGAGGGAGGGCTCTGCCAACCAGCTGATAAAGAGCTGAGAACCTCGGTCCAACAAACTTCCAGAAATTGATTCCTTGCCAACAACCATGTGAGTGATCTTGGAGGTGGATCCTCCCCTGTTCAAACCCTGAGATGACTGCAAGCCTGGCCAGCACCTTGATTACAACCTTGTGAGACCTGAGACCCTGGCCCAGCCTGTGACTTCCTGAGCCAGAGGACCCTGGGCACACCTAAACTGTGCCTGGATTTCTGAGTCATGGAAACTGTGATCATAAATGTTTCTTGTTTTAAGCCGCTCATATTTGGGGTAGTTTGTTATTCAGCAAGAGGTAACTAACACATTATCAACAATTATAACATCTCACTTTCACCTGGTATTTCCTATCCTTCACTTCCACTACACGCCATTGTTCCTCCTTACCACTTTTCACTATATAACACATATTTTTTACTTACATATGTTGTTGTCTGTTTCCCCCAATAGAATGTGAGTTCTATGAGGGCAGGCATTTTTGGCTAGAAGTATACCTAGAACAGTGGTTGGTGCACATTCAGTGCTCAATAAATACTTGCTGAATAAATGAAGGATGTGAAAATGGGAATGGGAGGAGCATGCCTAGAGTTCCGGTGGCATTTGAGAGAGCAGCCCCTTAGATGTGCTATCTAGACACATTCGACTCACCCTTCCCACCACTGTGAGATTATTCTCCATATCCCTGCCCTACCTCCTATACTTCCCTTGACCTGGGCAAGCAGGGCCCCTGTCCCAGACCCCGTACCTCATCAGGGATCTCATCTTGGAGTGTCTTCCTCATATTTGTCTAAATCCTCTTCCAGCATCTGAGAACAGCCTAGATTGGTAGTGCCTCTGTTGGGGTGCCCCAAGTCCAGACTGCCTCCCATGTAGACCCAGTCGTCATTGCTCTTGTTCAAGTGCTCTCCTGCCACCACCCCCTCAGAACCCTGACTACCCCCAGTGAGAATCATTACAGCAAGGCACTGTTAGTGACAAGAATGTGCTGGCCAGGAGAGTAACAACAACAATAATAATAATGAAGGTTATAGATTGAAGGAGAACTAATAAAATAAATTTTAGTTGAATCCTGGTTTGAAAAAAATCACATCCACAATGCTCTTCCTTATATTTTTCCCAGCTGTAAAACAAAGGCCTCATCAAATTGATGAGTCAGGAAAGATATAAAGGACATAGCCCTCTGTCCCCAGTTTGCTGGGGGCAGGAATTTTTGTCAATTTCAAACAAATCCACAGTTGATCGGTTTTCCTAGAGCCTATATACTTGTCAACATGAATGGGCTTCTACATGATTTAAGCCACTTCACAACAACAAAAGAAGGATGTTTCTTCCTTTTTCATTATCTAAGCCTTTAAAAATAGTCGAGATAAGCCTTCAGCAGGAATGCAGTTTACATACGTGAGGCCTCTGCCAAGGGGTGACTTTTGCCTTATTTTGTTCTTGGCTCTTAGTCATCCCAGCCCTAATGTAGCACAGGATCTGGTTCTAAACAGCCTGGGTTGAAAATGCAACTCTAACCCTTAGGTGTATGACCTTGAACATGGCACTTCTCAGTTTTATCATTTGTAAAATGGTGTATCAGTTCATTTTCATGCTGCCGATAAAGACATACCTGAGACTGGGCAATTTAGAAAAGAAAGAGGTTTAATTGGACTCACAGTTCCACATAGCTAGGGAGGCCTCACAATCATAGCAGAAGGCAAGAAGGAGCAAACCACATCTTATATGAATGGCAGAAGGCAAAGGAAGAGCTTGTGCAAACCATCAGATCTCGTAACATTCACTCACTAGCATGAGAACAGTGCAGGAAAGATCTGCCCCCATAATTCAATCACCTCCCACTGGGTTCCTCCCATGGCATGTGGGAACTGTGGGAGTTACAATTCAAGATGAGATTTGGGTGGGGACACAGGCAAACCATATCATTCTGCCCTTTGACCCTCCCAAATCTCATGTCCTCACATTTCAAAACCAATCATGCCTTCCTAACTGTGCCCCAAAGTCTTAACTCATTTCAGCATTAACTCAATAGTCCACAGTTCAATGTCTCATCTGAGACAGGCAAGTCCTTTCCACATAGGAGCCAGTAAAATCAAAAGCAACGTAGTTACTTCCTAGGTACAATGGGGATGCAGGCATTGGGCAAATACAGCCATTCCAAATGGGATAAATTGGCCAAAACAAAGGGGCTTCAGGCCCCATTCAAGTCCAAAATCCAACAGGGCAGTCAAATCTTAAAGCTCCAAAATGATCTCCTTTGACTCCATGACTCACATCCAGGTCATGCTCATGCAAGTGGTGGGTTCCCATGGTCTTGGGCAGCTCTGCCCCTGTGGCTTTGTAGGATGCAACCTCCCTCCAGGCTGCTTTCATGGGCTGGTGTTGAGTGTCTATGGCTTTTCCTGGTGCACGGTGCAAGCTGTCAGTGGATCTACCATTCTGGGGTCTGAAGGAAAATGGCCCTCTTCTCACAGCTTCACTAGGCAGTGCCCCAGTAGGGACTCTGTGTGGGGGCTCTGACCCCACATTTCCCTTCCATACTATGCTAGCAGAGGTTCTCCATGAGAGCCCTACCCCTGTAGCAAACTTCTGCCTGGACATCCAGGCATTTCCATATATCCTCTGAAATCTAGGCAGAGGTTCCCAAACCCCAATTCTTAACTTCTGTGCACTGGCAGGCTCAACACCACATGGAAGCTGCCAAACCTTGAGGTTTGCACCCTCTGAAGCCACAGTCTGAGTTCTATGTTGGCCCCTTTCAGCCACAGCTGGAGCAGCTGGGATGCAGAGCACCAAGTCCCTAGGCTGCACACAGCACGGGGACCCTGGGCCCATTCCCTGAAACCACCTTTTCCTCGTAGGCCTCTGGGTCTGTGATGGAATGGGCTGCTATGAAGACCTCTGACATGCCCTGGATACATTTTCCCCATTGTCTTGCAACTTAACATTCGACTCCTTGTTACTTATGAAAACTTTTGCAGCCAGCTTGAATTTCTCCTCAGAAAATGGGATTTCTTTTCTATCATATTGTCAGCCTGCATATTTTCCAAACTTTTATGCTCTGCTTCCCTTATAAAACTGAATGCCTTTAATAGCACTCAAGTCACCTCTTGAATTGCTTTGCTGCTTAGAAATTTCTTCTGCCAGATACTCTAAATCATCTTTCTCTAGTTCAAAGTTCCACAAATCTCTAGGGCAGGGGCAAAATGCTGCCAGTCTCTTTGCTAAAACATTGCTCTAGTTCCCAACAAGTGCCTCATTTCCATCAGAGATCACCTCAGCCTGGACCCTGTGGCCACATCGCTATCAGCATTTTGGTCAAAGCCAATCAACAAGTCTCTAGGAAGTTCCAAACTTTCCCACATTTTCCTGTCTTCTTTTGAGCCCTCCAAACTGTTCCAACCTCTGCCTGTTACCCAGTTCCAAAGTTGCTTCCACATTTTGGGGTATCTTTTCAGCAGTGCCCCACTCTACTGGTACCAATTTACTGTATTAGTCTGTTCTCATGCTGCTGACAAAGACATACCCAAGACTAGGCAATGTACAAAAGAAAGAGGTTTATTGGCCTTATAGTTCTATGTGGCTGGGGAGAGCTCACAATCATGGTGGAAGGTAAGGAAGAGCAAGTCTTGTCTTTCATGGATGGCAGCAGGCAAAGAGAGACATCTTGTGTAGGAAAGCTCCCATTTTTAAAACCATCAGATCTCATGAGACTCATTCACTATCATGAGAACAGCACGGGAAAGACCTGCCTCCATAATTCAATCACCTCCTACTGGGTTCCTCCCACAACATGTGGGAACTGCGGGAGTTACAATTCAAGATGAGATTTGGGTGGGAACACAGCCAAATCATATCAAATGGACACAATAATAGTGTGATAGGAAGAATAATGGCCCTTAAAGCTGCCCATGTCCTCATCTTCAGAGCTATGACTATGTCACCTTACCTGGAAAAAGAACTTTGTGTGTTTAAGGTTACATGCAGACTTTGTGTGTTTAAGGTTACATGCAGAGGTGAGAGATTAACTTAGATTATGTAGGTGAGCTAAATACATTCGCATGAGTTCTTAAAAGCAAAAAACATTTCCTAGGGGTGATCAAAGAGAAAGATGCTATGATAGCCAAAGGATTTTCTGGGTAATTGTGGAAAAGGACATAAATATCTCTGAAAACTTACTTCATTTGATTAAAAAATTATGTGAATTTTCTGGTGAAAAGACATCACCAGAAAGTACTGAAGAAGCCCTTCACAAACCTCAGAATTTTATATTAGCCACATTTTAAAAAAGTATTAAACATACTTTAATAATATATTTTATTTAATCCTATGTGTCTAAAAATAATCCCAGCTCTTTGGGAGGCTGAGGCGGGCATATCACGAGGTCAGGAGATCAAGACCATCCTGCCTGACACGGTGAAAACCCGTCTCTACTAAAAATACAAAAAATTAGCTGGGCATGGTGGCATGCACCTGTAGTCCCAGCTACTCAGGAGGCTGAGAGGCAGGAGAATCACTTGAACCCGGGAGGTGGAGGTTGCAGTGAGCCGAGGTTGTGCCACTGCACTCCAGCCTGGGTGACAGAGTGAGACTCCATCTCAAAAATAATTGAATAAATAAATAATAAATAAATAAATAAATAAATAATTCTAATGCATGATATATATATGAATTATTAGAGATATTTTATATTGTTTCATACTAAGTATTTGAAAGTATTGAGTGCTTTACACTGGCAGCTCATCTCAATTTGAACTAGTCACATTTCAAGTGCTCAATAGCCACAAGCGGCTGATGGCTACTGTGTTAAACAGTGCAGCTTACAGAGCATAAGTGGCCAAGTTTGTAGCTTTAAGACAGTTTTTTTTTTTTTTTTTTGAGAAGGAGTCTTGCTCTGTAGCCCAGGCTGGAGTGCAGTGGCGCGATCTCGGCTCACTGCAAGCTCCACCTCCCAGGTTCACGCCATTCTCCTGCCTCAGCCTCCCAAGTAGCTGGGACTACAGGCGCCCGCCACCATGCCCGGCTAATTTTTTTGTATTTTTAGTAGAGACGGGGTTTCACCGTGTTAGCCAGGATGGTTGCAATCTCCTGACCTCGTGATCCGCCCGCCTCGGCCTCCCAAAGTGCTGGGATTACAGGCGTGAGCCACCGTGCCCGGCCAAGACAGTTCTTAAGTGTAAGTAGATAACCAAGGATTACCAAACATTCGAGGAAAGTGTTTAATTTGAAATATAAAAACAAACAAATGTTGCGAGATAATTCCCTTTAGTCTTTCATATTTCTGCAAATCTTTCAAGCAGAGGCACAGAATGCTTTTCTAGGCTATCTTTTCAAGGGTCTTTGTACAGCAAACAGCCTTGAAAGAGACAGTATGACCTATCACAGCAAAGGGCAAATTCATTTCCTGCTCAGTATACTGTCTCACTCTGGAGCAAAAGTCAGATAAGCTCACTGTCCATTATAAAAGACTGGGGTCCCCTAAGCTTGGGGTTCCTCTCCTATAATCACCTACTGTGCATGAAGGCATTACCCAGGCTTCTTTGTGTTGCCCTGTGGGAACCGATGCTCGGGAAACTGATACAAATGCTGAAACTCTGGCTGTGGCTATTGCTGTGAATAACATAGTGTCTCTGACCCAGAAGTCTCATGCCTTCTTAAAGCATCCAAGCAACTGTAGTAGGCTAACTTGTTAGACTGCAAGTGGGCTAAAAGTCTTACACTCGTCATAATTCTTGACCAAAAAAAACAAAAAAACAAAAAAACATACAGGAAAAGACAAAAGCAGCTTAGAGAAAACGGAAACTGTAAAGGGATATAAAATTTTTTAAAAAATTAACTTGATCCTTAGAGAGATTTTGTAAAATTATTATATCCATGAAAGGAGAATGGGATGCCACAGAAATAGAATAATCATGGACTAAGAAAGAAATTTGAGGAGTTAAAATTGCGATGGCAGGAATGTAAAATGCATTAGAAAAGTTGGAAAATAAAATTGAGGAAAACAGGAAAGAAAGAAAAGAAAATTAGAAGATCCATCCAGGAGATCTAATATCTAAATAATAGGAGTTCCAGAATGAGTACAAAATTGAGGGAAAGAAATTAACAAAGAGAATAACTTAAGTAAATTTGAAACATGAGTTTTGAAGTTGAGTCCCAGTAATGCAAAGCCCATTGGATAAAAGTAGACCCACACCAAGGCATGTCATCATTAAATTTCAGAGCACTGGGAAAAAACAACATCTTGTCAGTTTCCAGAGAGACGTAAGACTTCCTGTATAAGGCCCAACAATTAGAATTGCTTTGGATCTCTAAACATCCTCAGTGGAAGTTAAAGGACAATAGAGAATCTGCCTTTAAAATTGTGAGAGCTCTCTTACCCAGCCAAACTGTCAATTTAATATGAGAGCAGCATACGAATACTTTCAAATATGCAAAGTCTTAAAAAGAGAGAAGTAAAAGGGACACATGGAATTATGATGAAGAGAGAGTCTCAAGATAACAATTGTGTACTAGGGTAGAAAGCAATCAGTCTGGAATAGAAAAATCAGAACAATTCCATCTGGAAAAGATGGTTTCGAGAAATTGAAATTGATAGAATATTTGATATATTTGAAAATATAAAGAGAACATTTAAACATTATGAGAGTATTTAGAGCTGAGGTTTGTGAAGAGCTCCAGAAGCACTTTTTGATGATATCTATTTACATATCTGTTCTAATTAATGATAACTGCATTGAAAACTAAGCAAATTATAAAATAAGACAACTAATCACTAACTTCTAGGAAAACAAAAAATGTACAAGACAGAAAAAGCAAGAGTATATATATATATAAAAACATGGTTCCATGGTGAGCAGTGTTTACATAGTCCTAATTATGTAAACACTGATTATTGATACATTCTACATTATCATATAAATATACTGTATCGAGACAATAAGGGGATGAGAAGTGGGCTTGTAGGAGGGGGTTGATGCCATAAAAAAAGTTAAATCTTGATTATTTAGTTTTAGCCATTATGGAGAATGAACTAGCAATATAAGCATGTTACTCAGAAATATGAAGGTAAGTATCAAAAATAAGAGTTAAAATTGCTGCGTGTGGTTGCCTCTGGGAGCTGTAATGGTCTGGGCATAGAGGATTGCTCTTGGTTTTGGTAATTAGTCTGTGGACTATATAACTAATACTATGTGCAGCTACAACTTTCATAAAATAAATACTAACTTTAGTAACACAAAAATAAAAAGAAGACACTGTGTGATTTTACGTTGTGTTTTGTCCCCTTTCTGCCACGATGACAGGAGGGCAGGTGGCTTAAAATGAATTGTCAGCTGCTGGGAGCCATGTGGGTCCTATGGAAGCTTCTCCAACAGCCTCAGGGCAGCAGCAGCAGCACCCAGAGTAGCTCTTGTTCCTCTACGAAACCTCCTCAAAAAGGTACCATGGCCATGAATAAAGCATTCAAGACAGTCACCTTCCAGGAGGGTCCCACGAGGAGAAATGAGGGGAAGAACACAAGAAAGGCTTTGTCTGACTACAGGGAACAATTCATTGGCAGAAATTGCCCTGAGATTGACTCCCCATTGCCTTGGGTCCCAAGGTCCTGGGAGAGAAAAGGTCAGTTCATTTTTTATTAACTCTTAAATGTCAGTGTCTTTATAATTAGTAATGTAACAAAATTACATGGGTGTAATACTTGGTGCCATGGGATCTTGGTTTTTCCCCCAGCTTGTGAGCTGGTTATCACAGTTCCATCAACCCGTGGGCTGTGGGAAGTTCTACCAGACTCTCAGCAAACAAAATGCTGTGTCCTAGACCCAGATGCGGCTCCTGTTCCCTGTCAATTTTACAATTAGCAGGGGAGGGAAGATGGAGACAAACCATTATAAAGCAGATTAGCTTTTGATCAGCGCTATGAAAATGCTCCTAATAACCAATACTATAAGAGTTGAGGAACAAAAGATCTCACTCCTTGCTGCATTAATTACAGAAGACATCATGGCTGAGGCAGACTCTTAGAGGCAAATGCAAATTTCCCATAGGCAAAAATGGTGGGAGATTTCAGCCAATAAGAATAGCTTGAGTCAAGACACAGATATTTGGAAAGACAAAATTCAGTTGGAATGCCAACTATGTGTCATTATCAATATCAGCCTCATACGGTGCTAAAGACCAAGCTTCCCCTTCTGTAAATCTACCCAGAATCACATATTAGTCTGTGGCAGGACCAAGATTCAAACCCTGGTCTACCTATGCAAAATCTGTGTGTTCCTACCATCCTGTGCTGCCTCTTATGTAAACATAACACAGTGTAAAGCTATCGGAAAAATAATTTTGGGCTCCCCCCAAGCCAGACCAGATAAAACTCAAGTGCAAGTAATTTATTTTGCAGTTGATTCCAGGAAACTTTAGTAAAGGAATGGGGAAAAGAGACAGAGAAGGAAAGAGAACTGATAAAGGGTTCTTTATTAAGAGAGTTGCCACTATAGCTAGAGCTCAGTCCAGCTGCGGAATTCAGGGATTCAGTGCACACAACCTGCTCCTCCTGGCTATACCTCCCCAAGTGGGTGAGGGGCCTGGGGTAATTATGTATTCCAGCTACTGACTGAAGGATGCTGAGGGGGGTGTTAATTCTCTAACACTTTAAGCAGCCTGCCATATGTGTGACAAAGTAAGCTCTGTGGCCCAGAGAAAAACCCCAGGCAAAAAAAAATGCAAGCACTGTAAGTTGGACAGACATATTGAAGTGGTGAGAGGAGATGGGTAGGGGATCAACGAAAGCTCCATGAAAGCAGGGACTGTATCTGTTCTATTTACCACTGTACATCCACTGCCTGACACATACAAGATGCTTACTAAATAGCTGTGGAAGAAAGGAAACGAGGGAAAGAGGGAAGAAAGGACAGAGGATTAGCAGAGTCAGGGCAACCACATTGCACATCTCCAGGACACTAGAGAAGAGGCCAGAAGGAAGAGCATAAAGGTCCTGAAAGATTTTGTTCAGTGTGCATGGAGGGCTTGTGAAAGTTTTGCAAGTTTGAAAGTCTGCAAGAACTTTGGAAAGTAGAGCAGAAATATGACATGACCACAGCAGAGTTTTAGGGAAATGAATCTACTACTCTTCTGTTCAGCAAATACTTACCAATCTTTTGGAGTCAAGAAGTGTTTCATTTTTAGTAAGGATGGGGCAAAAAGTAGAAGATCTACATTGCTGCAGAACATTTTTAAGTTATCTCAATTGTTCATGGAGGAGAACAGCTGCCGAATATTGTCAGCTTTCTATCTATTTCTTAGAGCTGGTGTGAAGGTGTGAAGAGTAGCACTTACCAAGAGACTGGGTACTGTGAGGACAGAGACTGGCAGGGCCCTCTGATGCAAAGATCAAAGAGGAGGCAACAAGGAGCAAGTCCCAGGTGATCTGAGGGTTGTCTCTGGCCTAACAGCTGGTACATCTCAGAGTCACACTTTTTTCCCTCAAGTTGTAAAACTGGAAGAGGAGAAAACAGGAGGTGACACTTTAGGAAATATTGGGAATAGAATGAGTGTGAACTCCACAAGGGGATGGAGTCTACATGGGGATATTTAATTTTGTTATATCACCTCCCTAATAGGCAATTCACTTAGAGCCCCCGGTGAACTGCAAGTCCCAAATCCCTTCTCCACACTTCAAAAATCCCAAAACTCTAAGCACTGATTTACTTTTATAAATTTGCACAAATTCATTTGACATCAAAACTTGACCTTGCTGTGAATTCATTCATAGTCTTCCTTTTCTTCTCCCACTTTGGGTGAGTACTCATTTTCCTCTAGAAAATTTTGCGGCTCTGAATTCCAAAACACATGTGGCCCCCAAGGGTATCAAACAAGGGATTGTGAACCTGTAATTAAACATGAAGTATTTGGCTTTTTTGCCTGTAAATAGGCAAAAAAGTTTTTTTGATGTTGAAAGGCAAGTCATGGAGCATCTGTTTTACTGATGTTGATTATACCAAATGTGGCATACTCCTGGCACTTGGCAGCAGTAGGGACATCTCCTGACCAGGGAGGCTCCTCAATGGCTGCAGTGATGACAATGATGATATGGTTTGGGAGCCAGCATTTTCCCGATCTTAAGAAAGGTAGACAACTTCTTGGAGGCCTAGTCTTGGGGTAGAGTTTTGGGAGTCACTATTGGAAGTACAACCTGAAATTTATTCTCAAGCCTCCATTTTACACCCTGTAATAAATAATTTCTTGCTCGAACTAGCTAGAATAGAGTCTGACTTGTGCAACTGAGCCTGAAATGGTATCCCAGCCACACAGCAACACCGATCCAACCGTGCTATCATTCCAATTTTTTTTTTAACTCAAACTATTGTCAGTTGCATAACTGCCAGACTTGGTAGCCATAAAGTAAAATAACAAAATAAATGTAAAAATAAGCCGGGTGGCATGCGCCTGTAGTCTCAAGTGCCTGTAGTCAGGAGCTGAGTTGGGAGGATTGCTCAAGCCCAGGAGTTTGAGGCTGCAGTGTGCTGTGATAGTGCCTATGAATAGCCACTGTACTCCAGCCTGCAGAACATAGAGAGACCCTGTCTCAAAAAAAAAAAAAAAAAAAGTCTGCTCACAAAACAAATATTTCCTACTACCAAGGCTGAGACTGCCCAGTAGAAGTTGATGCAGACAAAGATCTTCCAGCAATTGTTGAAACCATTACATTGCCTCCAAAAGTGATCCTGTTAAAACAGAACTATTCATTTGGATGTAGGCTTTCTGTCACTGTGTTAGTTAGTCAATATAAATCTATTTGGTAATCATTGGAGAGAATGGAAGTAATACAGAGAAAGATAATACAGAGTATTTATTTCCAAGGAGTTTCTTCTCTCCTGGGCTTCTGGTCAGACACCCAACCAAGCATTATGCCCACTCTAAGTGCTGTAATGGGTATGCACAAAGTGCAATTACTTAGCCATTTCCTCCACTCACATCCAGGCATTTCACAGCTTGCACAGCCTGAATCCACAGCCTCACTCCTACAGACAGATGCTTAATGTAAACACTTAATATCCATGTGTCTGTAACAGTAATAACGTCATCAGAACCCTAAAGGCAAAAAGGCTTTAAGAAGTAGCTAGGTAGAGAGTAATAGATTTATACCATGAAAATGTGTTTAATCAGGAGTCTGAGTACATGAAAATAACATCAAATCAACCCTATCTCTAAAAATGAGAGAAAAATTAAATAAGTAAGATGGATACTTGAAATATTAGTGTTTATTAGCAGAGTTTTTAGTGTGTAAACATACCCACCCTAATTTTGTCTTGAGAATTGGATTCTGAAAAAACTGTGATCAGCACAAAGGCATGTTGATACCCTGGCACCATGAAAGCATTGAAAGGGAGAAAAATGACTGGATTGGCAAAAGTCTTGACAAGAGAGGCCAACAGAAACCAAAAGCCTTCACGACTGTAACTCAATTTGTTTTCTGAGCTCAGAAGAGAATGACACTGTGCTAGATGGATTTCAGTTGTCCTTCCAGATCTGCTCTCCACTTCTCCACACTGGCCAGCACCCTTCATGTGCTGCTCACAAAGCCGAGAGCCACAGAGGAGCACACGGGGTGAGCTGTGATGAATGATTTTCATTTACCTTTCCAGATCCTCTGTCCACCCTGCTGTGCCGATAGGCATTTACGGACCATAGCGACAAGCTCCTTTGTCCCCTGGCTTCTGGTTAGAGAGCCAATGAGATGCACGGGCAAAGACTGCATGGAGAGGGAAAAGTGAGGTTGGGGCATTGCCTGCCCTCCCTGCAGGGCTGTGAGTCTCAGAGTCCATGTTCCACGATCTAAGGCCAAGCGCCCGTCAAGCAGGCAGCTCTCTTTCATAGCTTCCAGGTCCAATGACCTTCCCTCTAAGGGTGGTAATAGCACTCCATGCTTAACAATCACTATTCCTTTTAACCCAGTACATCTTTGCAAATTAGCCCTTTTTGAAACTCTTCAGTTTCCCTCATTTGACTGCATCACTTTTTTCTCATGGAAACCCTCACTTGGGGATTATTGTTTAGGGAGAGTTTCCCCAGTATTTTTACAGAGCTAACAGGAAGTTAATTTGCCTGCCCTTTGTACAGCTCAGTTAGATCAGCTTTTGTCTGGAAAGGAGCCTTGCAGGGCTTGGCTTTGTATCCTGTTGGGATGATCATCTCTCCAGTGTGATGACTAAGGGTTGTGTCCAGTTAGTGCACTAGCAACTGAAGTTAGGAAGGCTCGGGTGGACGCTGCCAACCAGCAATCCAATCTGCCTGATGGCCAACCCTTTGACTGCTGGGAGCCTGGAGCTTTCTGAATCAGACAACTTCCAGACTTCACATGTGCTGCCAAGCACAAGGTATGAAAAAGGTTTCTTTTCTTTAGATTCTGCTTTTTCACTAAAGCTGCATCTTTATCCAATTAATTAGAGAAATGTTACTCAAAGCATAGTCTGGGGACCACTGCTGGTATGCACACTGGTGGAGCTTGCACCAGAATAAGTTCACTACGTTCCACTGACAGGCTTTTTTTCTTTTTTTTTTTTCTCGGTAGCAAGACTTTTTGATGACTTGTTGATTTACAATTTCATAAGCTTTTTTTCTCATCACAGATGAGGAACAAATATTTACCAACCTGGTATTTGGGTACTTGCAGTAGCACTGAATTAGAGGACTGTGAAATCAGACCTAGGCAATAAACTAGGTCAGCATTTCCCATGTTGTGCTCCATGGAATCCTAATCTTGTGACAGCTTGTCTATTAAGAGGAGGAAATGCTTAGAGAGTCACAAAGGACATGACCATGTTAATGGCTCTGATAAGTCCTGCAGTTAACGAATGTGCTTATTTTTGTTCAGCACAGAATTTCCCATACTTGTTTAAAATGATTATGTTATGTCATGGCTATTGCCACTTGTGAAATGAGTGTTCTGTGGAACTAACACTGTTGGCAAGGAAATGCTTCAGGAAGTGCTCAGCCAGAGGATCTCTAGAGTCTCTTGGGAAGATATTTATCTTCTCAGGGCCCCTGTTTCCTTAACTATCAATTAATGTCTAACATCTGACTAGTGGTTGGCATTTTCATATGCATGTCCTCAATGAGACTCGGGTTATCCTGTGAGAAATCGTGCAGGAATGGTACATCCCAGTCCACACAGGAGTAATTGAAGGGTCAGACAGATTATGTGACTTACTCAAAGTCACACAACTTGTAAAAGGTGAAACTAGAATTTGACACTCAGGTCTTCAAATTTTAAAATCTATTATTTCCTACTATACTGCATTGAATCTTTGAGCTGGAAGGACTCTTAGTGGATAATATGTCTAATCAGGTAAGTAATACTTTAGCAAAGGAGGGATTCAATGTGAATTCAGTGCTGGTCATTTAACTTTTAGCTGAAGTTCAAACCTGTTTCTTTACATCATTTTGACATCTTCCTCTTGTTATGGTCAAAGACAGCTTTCCAATGTCCTATGCACTCACCATCTCAGGGAATGGGTCACATTGTCATATTCGTCTTCTGAAGTGAGTAGAAGACGGCCTTCCACAAACGTTGGACCTCTGGGTTTGTTCACAGAGCAAGGCAATGACACTGGGGAGATAGGAGGGCACTCTATATTTATATTCTGTATTCCTGAGTCAAGAAAAAGGAGCGTGAGATTTAACAGCACTTGGCTAAAACAATTAAGTCACAGCCTATCTTCTTGTGGTCAACTAAAAGAAAAGAAAAGAAAGTGAGATTATTTTTGTATTTTTAAAAACAAAGGCTAAGAAATAATCTGCTCACAATGTTCTCCATTCTGTATGTGTGTGTTTCTAACTAGTTTTTAAAATTCGAATGATTCATTAATTCATTTGTTCATTCATTCAGTAGGCTTTTCTTGAGTACTTACTCTGGGCCAGGCAATGTGCTAGGGGTTGAGGAAACAGAATGAATAAAATTAATTTGTCACCCAAGTCAAACATGAATCATCATTACCATCACAAACAAATACTGAGCATCTTCTATAAAAGGGGCCAGTACTGGGCACTTCCGGGATCTATAATAAGACATACCAAGGCAGGGTCCTTGTCCTCCAAGAGTTCAGTCTCCTT
Source organism: Homo sapiens (assembly GCF_000001405.40). Classification (NCBI taxonomy): domain Eukaryota; kingdom Metazoa; phylum Chordata; class Mammalia; order Primates; family Hominidae; genus Homo; species Homo sapiens. Next base: position 54,701,431 of record NC_000005.10, on the reverse strand, counting down.
GAGGAAATAGCTATGCCCATAAAAGGCTAAGCATCATTGTGCAATGCTGAGTGCCAGCCCAGTAGCATGAAGAACAAGAGTAACCAGCATTCCAGGGATAAGAAGTCACTCTTGGTCCAGGCAGGTGGGAGCTGTCAGAGTGGCATAATTGTGGTCAAAGCTAATAATAACTCTATTATAAACCACAGCATTGCAAGGAAGCAGGAATAATTTTTCTGAGAGAATGAAATCTTTTTGGTTTAAATTGATCTCACGGAAATAAATCTGGCACTTAAAAGAGTTTTGGGTTTCATTTATGTCATGAGGGTCCATTTGCGGGTGACTAGTTCCCGAAATAAAGAACTCGTCTCTCTAGGCTGGAGTAATTTTGAATCTGAGAGATGAAAGTTCATTATTCTTTTGGAAGTTAGTCAACATTAATTGTGTTTGGCACTTTTTAGGTAAGGAAAATTATCCTACACTGGATGGTTACAATTACATTGTTATGTCTGAGAGGATTTTCTCATGTAATTACTATGTGCCGGCTCTCTAATTACAAGGAGGGCCTGAATTTTCTTCCTGTCACTGCAAATGATGTCTCTACTATATTGAAAAAATAGCGGACTTTCTTTTCCTCAAATAAGGTATCAAAACTGGTAAGCCATGAAGAACTTAAAAATACCGTTGACGATATAGATATTTCTACAGCTTTATTTTAAAAGTTTAGGTATCATATCCTATTGGATTTAGAGAAATTTTGATAATTTGATTAAAATCTTATGTTTATGTTGTTACATTCTAAGTAGAAAATCAGATCCATGCTTAGTGTGGGTTTTAAATTTTATTTATTCTAAATTCTTAGAAAAATGCACAGCTAATATATGACTTACTTGACCTCAACTTCAATGAGCAAAAGAAGCTTGCAAATTTAAGGTATTTAATAAAATGCCTCCCCCACCCACCTTGAATTCTCATAGAAAATACCACAGGGTTTGACTACAAGCAAGAAACACTAGAGGTTTCTTCCTTCCCAATAAGGACAGTTATTAAAAAGCTGGGTGAAATAATTTTCTTACATTATTTCTCTTAAAAAATCCAAGAGTTAATAAGATAGTGAAGATTTAATCTACAACAGTACAGAAGACAAAATCCCGGGAAAGTAAGTTGAGCACACAAAGCTGCTTTGACCTCAATAGCATTTTCCAAACCTGAAGAAACATGCAAAACTGAGGTGCTGTCTCGGTGGCCTCACAAAGCAAGTAGGAAAAAAGTGAAAACCTAGGCCCACCCATAGTGGGGAGCCCATTCTCTCCATAGATATTAAACTGAGATCCAAGGTTTATGCCCTCAGGGAAATAGAAAGCCTAAAGGAAAACAACTTTTGCTTGGATTTGCAGCCCAGGTTTGCATCAACTGGATGGTCCAAGGAGCCTCAAGCCTTGAACTTAGACTAAGCAGATCCCTTACTGGTAAAGCTCCGGGAGCAAATAAGAATGGTCTCCAGAGAAAAATTCTGTCATCTCAGAGTTTAATCACTCTCAAATTATTTTTCAAATACAACAACCAGTCTACAGTCAAATATGACTTGTTGCATAAACATGACAACATAAATGAGAACTAGCAGAAAAAAATAGACAATAGAACCAGACCATAAAGACCTAAAATGTTAAAATTATAAGATACAGACTACAAAATGTTTATTATGTTTAAAGAAATAAACATGTTTCCAAGGAATAAGAAACTACAAAAAGTCCAACAGCACCACCCAACTTTTGTAAAAACAAACAAACAAAATGCCTTTAAACACTTCCAAATACATTTCAACAGAAAAAGTGAGGCCAGTGATTGCCATGGAGAGCTCCATGGCCAAAGTCACATACATTTCCTGGGGTGACCAGTATCCAACAACTGATCAATACTGGTTATGAAGTCCTGGCCAATTCCTGGTCACCACAGCTGCATAAGTTATCCCATCCTCAAACTCCCTGTGAGTCGCCCGACACTTCTGTTGAGTCTTATTGGATGATAAGCTGTGGTTGTTGCTTGGGCACTTTAGCTCCTCATGGCAAGGGACAGGTAGGTATGGAGAAGAATCACCATCTTGGCAGAAGTAATTGACTCCTGATGTTAGGCAATAAGGGCACAGAGGAATATAGTTAGCAACCAGTTGATTCCCCTGGGTGCCTCCTGGTATTCCTTTCCTTAATTGTGACAGTGAATGGTCAAATGCAGCAACCTGGCCTGTGAAAGGCATGGTGATCAGGGGCTCAGACCCTTCCAAGTCTGACTCACAGGACCACATAAGCCAGTGAGTCCACAGAAATGTTAGAGAAATCCAGAATGGAGAGAAAAGGAGGGACCTGATGAGTGTTTGTTTTGGCCTTGAGATCATCGGCAGCTGTAGTTCATCCCACTAACCTTATTCTCCTAAATTTCCCTCTGGAAGAGAGGCCCACTAAAATCCTGGAGGCATTGCTCCCAGAACCTGTTTGAAGCACTGGGTCCAAGTAGTGCAATGTGTGGATTATGATGGATGTGGTTATGGTCAGCCTAGATCACCCTTTAGGATTTGAGGCACTTCCAAACTGATGAGATGACCCTGAGCCACCTAGCTTAAGGACTCACTTCCTTCCTGGGTGGCTCATATCCAGGGACTAATCAACATGGGGACATAATATCCCCTTTCTCTCCTCTTCTCCATGGGGGGCACCACTGAAGGTGATTTCACCTTCAGAACTCCCTGCAGGGTTGACTGTGTCTTCCATTGAGATATCCATCATCACAGTTCAACTGTGCCCAGTCCTACTTTCTTCTCTTCTCTTACACATGTTCAATCTGCAAAGCACTCCTGCGTAAACCTCCTGTGTTCAAGTCTGTTATTCAGGAGACCCAGCCTGTGACACTCGGATCTTCACTGAGTTGAGCTTCTGTACCTTACTGGGGTCCAGATATTTCTTCTTCAGACATTCTCTAATTTTAAGAACCTCATCTAAGGGACAGGAAGTCTTTGTTCTTTCTGACAATCTGGACAAGCTTTCAGGACATTTCCTAGAAATCACGCTGCAAGGAGTGGCAGGACTCCTGATATTTGATATATGCCCTACCAAACTCATCCCAGCTCTTCCCATATTTGACAATGACTTCAGAGAAACCAACAAAGTCTAGATTCTTAGGAGGGGGAAGCTAGTGCCCATCCCTCTTCACAGCTGAAAACACTCAATTGATTCAAAGTATTTGCATTTTAACTTTAAGAGCCCAGGCCATTTATCTTAATGATAGTGGGCCACTGTAGTGCCAGCAGTATCTACAACAAGGTGGAAATTGTAGGAATAGCACTAAAATAGGGACGTGGGGGACAAGCTGCTGGCTATCCCATGGAGAGTTTCAGATGCGGTGCCCCTAGAGAAGGCCACTGTATGACCAAGTTGCTTTAGTTAAAATCACTAAGTGACTAAGGGTCACTTACTATGAGTGTCGGTAGAGACAAAGTTTTATTCCTTCACCACAGCAATGCCCCATTCCCCAAACCACTGAAAATAGACTCTGATTAAATTAGCCTATATTTGAGGACACTCACATTGGTATCATTTTGAGTTTAACGTAATCAAGCAGAAACCTCAGCTGTGGGAACCATTTTAATGCAGAGCCCATTTGTATTTGTCCCCTCCAGATCAATCTAAATGCAATTTCTTCGCATTAGGTTCTTTGCTGGTTTGCAAGTAAGCTTTTTGATTTTTTTATTTTAACAAATACTAAATGTAGAAACATCTATTTTTAACAAGAAAAATAGACACTCTTAAAAACAGAGCATGCTATTTTTTGGTTTTGGGAGTGGAGGTAGAAGAGCAGTTGGGGAAGTTTAACCGAACATGGCCTATTTTACTGGTTCCAGTATAACATAAGTGTTTTCAGTTATGAGCTACCTTGATGGATTTATTTACCTTTAGATGTTTTTATTGGCTTGGGGAGCCACGGGGTTAAAGGAAAAGAGGGAACAAGGAAGTTAAAGCCTTTGAAAGAAGACAACCAGTGGTGTCATCCAAGCATCCCAGCATTAAAACTAAATAGGATTCTGTAAAGTTTCCCTATAAATTGGTTACTTGGAACCCAGAGCCCTGGAGAAAGAGACTTGCCCAGGCTGCCAGTCAAAGAAAGACATATGCATATGGATTCCCTGAAATTAATGCGAGGGGGAAAGTCTACTAGGATTGTAAATGATCTAAGTGCTTAATGCACTTTCTTGGCAGATCCGAAGCAAAATTGTTTCCTCAAATTCAGGCCTCAGAGGCTGTGAGCCAAGCAGTTGTCAGTGGGTCTTGTAGTTAGTAGATACTTCTTCCTCTCCCCACACCAACGCTTATTGGGCCGTCCTTTCCCAGCTCTAAAGCTGAGAACCCTGCCCTTTTGTGCTCCTCTGGCCTAGGCCTGCTGGCAGCAGCAGCTCCACACTTCTGCCTGGAGGGCAAGAAAAGGAGGGGCTTGAGGGTGAGGGGACTCACAGAGTTGGAGGGGCATGCCACTTTGCCCATTTGCTTATTTCATCAGTGATTGATTTTTCTTTCATGAGAGAAGGAAAAACGAGAGGAGAGAGTGAAGGTAAAAAGGAAGTTCTGCAGCCCTGGAAGAATGTCTGAGGGACATTCTGATTCAGGAGTTTATAGCTTGGGCAGGGTTGGCACTGATACTCACATGATGCATAAGAACCAGGCTGATGAGTTGAAAATTAGCTTCTGTTTTGATTTTGTCCCAGAATACAAAAACATTCACTTTCCTTGATAGAAAGCAGAGTTGAGAAGACTTTCTATCTGGCAATATTTATAAACTTTATGGGATCCTTACATAATGAGATGAAACGAAGTTTTATTATCTTAATGGCTGTTGCTTAGAAATGTTTTGGGACCCCGAGGGCTTGAGTGTTTCTTGGCCACAAAACTTCAAAGTATAATGTGAAACTGGCTTGCACTGGATATGAGAGAAATTCACATTTTGCTCTGAGGATAAAGGGAGAAGATAGACAAGAAGAGAAGAAATGCAAGGAGGAGGAAGACAGAGCATGGAGCCAAGTGGACAGAGGAGAGGACCAGGTGCGGGTACTGGCAGGTGAAGCATGCAGTCATGGGGGCGGCTGAGGCTGTGCGAGAGGCATGGTAAGGCTGCTCTTCCACATGAAGTTCCTGGCCTTGCTGTGTCATGAGACTCCATTTCTGCTCCAGAATCACCCATAAAGACTCCTCTGTTCATATTTTCTTTTCCGTGGAACTCAGAAAGGGGGCAGGTGTTCTGTGGTATGGTCCTCATGGTATAGCACATAGTTGAGACAAGCTTAGGAGGAGGACCTCATGAGAAAGTGAGGACTCGTGGGACTCATGGGCTCCTGCCAGTGGTGGATTTGGGAGAGCAGGATTGAGTTAATTTGATCCAGATCTCCAAGGGCCAGGGACTCAGTACACAACTTTTGAGTAATAAAGATGATGGAAAGTAAGATATTATTTGGTAAAATCTGCATGACGTCCCAAACAGTAGGATCCAGAATACATGGGAACACTCTTTCTCTTCCAATGCATTTAGATTTGCAGTCTCATCAGTGCTGGGCCCTGCCTGGCACAGAGTAGAAGGTCATTGACCCTGCTCTCAAGTGAGGGTGGGTATGTAAATAAATGAATACAGGAAAATGAGTACGCTGATACAGCAATGAGGAAAAATGCAGCATTCGTTGAAGGCAAGTCATGCCTTATCAGGTATAAAAACACTACAGTGGTCCTCAGCCTTGATGGGTCAACCCTTCTTAGTGTGAATTTTGTTAACGGCCTGTGTCTGAAGTACCTTTCTAGGCACTGCAACTTTCTGAGTGTTTCCCTTCAGGACTCTATGTTAAAACAAACAAACCCAAACAAAAAAACACTTCTGTATTTCCATGGAAGTGATTTTTAAGAAAAACAAATAATAAAAATGCATGACTTTTGGGTTGCCATATCAGGGCAAAAATAAAGGAAATAGTGCCTAGAAAGGGATTGTGAAGGCAGTGGCACCCTCTGCAAATGGCACCTGTTGCTACAGGTGCAGGATTTCTGGGAGAAGAAGAGGATTTCTTCCTGACAGGCAGGTCCACAGTGCAGCGCAGGCCATGCTGATACAACCTGGAGCATCTCACCATTAAGGGAAATTCCACATTAGGGAACATGGACATTTAGAGATTTTTTTTTCTATTCTTCTGACATTTATACCTTGCATACTTTTGCTTTAGAAGATATAATTGACATAATTTTTAAAATGGCTTGCTGTGTGCTATGATGACAAGACAGGATTTAGAGTCAAAATTCCTGGATTTTTATCCCGACCTCTTAACAAACCAGTTGCCAGAACTCATACAAGCCACTGCTTTGTGAGGCCTCAATTTCCTCATTTATAAAACAGGCTGCTAATAACATCTGACATTTTCACAAAAGCCTTTCTCTGGCTTAATGCTAAGTGTCATGCAATTGACAGTCTTTAAATCACACCTCCTAGACCTTGGGAAAGCAGTTTGTTAGTTTATTATTTATGTAATCCTCTCTGTCTTTCTGAACACTTTCTATGCTTCAGGCACCATACCCAGTGTTTGAATTGATTGTCTTCTTTCTTTTCACCACCACTCTACGAATTTGGCACTATCACGACCCCATTTTTACAACCAGGGACACGGGCTGAGAGGTCAAACAGTTGGCCGTGATCACCCAGCTGAGATCCTGGCCTGACCCAGAGCCCACACCTCAGAGCCCCCTCCAGGAAGCAGCCAGCTAGTTCTGTATCTGTCTTGAGTTTCTGTCTAAAGCTCTCCTTACCCCTCCTCCTTCTGCCTGGAATGAAGACAGAAGTTGCCCAGCGCCATTCAACCACCTGCATTTACTGTAACTATGTCACCAGCATCTCTACTTTCTGAAACCTCTGAGTGGTATCATCTTGGGCCCTCAGTGCATAGATTTGCTAGAGAACCCCCAGCATCCTTCAGTGTTTGGAGAGTTCCGTGTGATGAATGGTACCATTGGTCTTTGTGTGCTTGGCGCTGGAGCCCCTGATGTTGATTAGACCAGGACTGATGAGCTGCTTGGCTCCTGCCCAGCTGGCAGGCCCCAGCCCCCACTTCTCACACCTAATTGAAGCAACACAGCCCAGGCTCTCCAAGACCACTCGCTGCCAAATGATGAAAAATCCTCTGACCTCCCTCCTGATTGTTTTCAAATTAAAAGGTACTTTGGGGACAACTGAAATTCCCCCAAGTGCTTGTCTGAGCAATTTTGGCAGCTTCTCCCAAAGTGCTCTGGCTCCCAGCACAACCACCCAGCCTCAGACTCTCCACCTAGCGCAGGGCCCAGGTCCTGTCTGTTTTCTGAGCTCAGACCTTGAGCACAGTGCCAGCTCCTTGCCTGCTGGGGGCTTCTTCCTGCCCCAGGGGAACTGATACCTTTGCCTCACATTGATACGTGGAAAGAAGAGCAAGGGGAAGGGCCCTGGAATCTGCTCTGGGCTTCCGGGGGAGCAGCTTCTAGTACCGCAGCTGAGGAGCACAACCATCAGCACTGGGCATGGGATGCTTGGGGGCCTTTGCTTAGTTCTATCTGTCAGGGAGGACCCTCACTGATTGAGGGATGCACAGAATCATTAGTTTTCCTCCCCACCTACAAGGATAAGATCCACAGAGAGTTAGAGCTGAAAGGGGCACAGAGGAGCTTGCTTTTCTCATTCAACCTTATGTTTTGAGATTTATATCTGTAGACACATGCATCTCTTTATCAATTGTAACTACTGTAGATGTGTCCATTGTGACTATGCTGCCATTTATTTATTTATTTTTCTGTTGATGTACATTTATTTTCAATTTTTTACAATTAAGAATATACCACAAATGAACTTTCTCATAAATGTGTCTTTATATGTGTATGGGAGTCTTTGAGGGGTAGATAAATAGAATGAAATTTCTGGGTCTAAGAGTAGGCACATCTTTATCTTTCTGTGTTGTCAAATTCTTCTCCAAATTGATTGCACCAATTTGGATCACCTCCCACATTGTGTAAGAGTTATCATTTCACACTCATTAGATTGACAAAAGTGAAAAAGTCTAACATCCCCTAGTATTGGAAATATCGTGGGGAAATGGGAGCTCATGGCTGTTTTAATTTGCATTTTCCAACTCTTAGTTGATTTCACATTCTGGTTTCTGTGTGCACGTGTGTGTGTGTGTGTGTGTGTGTTGCTGGTTTATATCCATTGCCCATTTTTCTATTGAATATTTTGACTTTTTATCCTACTGATTTGTAGAAATTGTTTTTATGTGTTGGATACTTTTCCTTTGATGATTACATGAAGATCAGTTATCTTCCCCCAGTCAGTGGCTGGTTTTTCACTCAGATTACATTAAATTTTAAAACTTACAACAACAAAAACACTATAAGTAATCTTTTGCTTTGCAGGTGCTGCTTTTGTGACTTATGGAAAAAATCCCTCTCTACTTTGAGATCATATTCTTCTTTTTTTATATACAATTGTAATCTGATCCGGGCTGAAAAACGAAGTATAGCAGTTTAAATAGCAGGAAGTAGTCAACAACTCATTATAAAAGCAACAGAAAACACGGAAATGTGCATCAGAAAGTCCCACCGGTTTCTCCCAAGTGTTTGACCTTGAGAAGATCACTGAACTTCTCTGTAAAGCAGGCAATATGTGTCCCTGTGTTTCTCACCAGTTGGTTGGGAAGCCCTGAACACATATCAAGTAGGGTTGCTATTCATGTAGCCTGCCCTCAGCTGCTATTGTAGTCTTGTCCTCTGGGATTTTCTGGACTTGTAAAACCTCAAGCTGCAGTTAAAACACCATCCTCCACATCCTAGGCCAGAATGCCTGGGCTCACCTGGGTGACTCAGCTGAGACATGGCAAAAAAACACTCAAAACTTTGAATCTGAGCCGGCTTCTTTCATTCAAGTAAGGGCCAGTTTACAGAGCCCCTCCAAGGGAGATGGTGCTTGGAGTAGGGAGGTAGGAAAAGGTTGATATAGTTTGGTTCTGTGCCTCCACCCAAATCTCATCTCCTGTTAGGGAGGGGCCTGGTGGGAGGTGATTGGATCATGCGGGCAGTTTCCCCCATGCTGTTCTCATGATAGTGAGTGAGTTCTCACAAGATCTGATGGTTTTAAAGTGTGGCACTTCCCACCTTGCTCTTTCTCTCTATGGCCACCATGTAAGACGTGCCTTGCTTCCCGTCACCATTTTAAGTTTCCTGAGGCCTCCCCAGCCATGCAGAACTATGAATCAATTAAACCTCTTTCATTTGTAACTTACCCAGTCTCAGGTAGCTCTCTGTAGCAGTGTGAAAATGGACTAATACAGGGGTCCACAATGAAGTCCTGGATTCCTCAGAGGGAGGAGTGGGGAGAAATGAAATATTAGTCCGCACTGTCTCCCTCAGCCAGATTCCTGTAGGTTTTCTGGAGTAACTGATCAGGACTAAGTCTAGGAAAACTGGAAAAAGAAGAGATGAAATTTGTTTTGAACTGAACTTCAGTTTTGCTATTCTGCAACTCTTAGTTCCTTTTTTGATGCTCTTTCTCTTTCTCCCACGTCACGCTCATAGTACTCCCACCCCCACCACCAATCTCCTATTCTGCCTACCAAAACTTGCACTTGGAACAGCATCTGGCCTAGAAGGCCTCAATAAATGTGGCTATTATTAGCAAAGAATAAAGGAGTGGCATCCTTTTGTAATGTACTTTACATGTAGGTACAATGATCATCACCCCCATTTTACAGATGAAGAAACTGAAGAAAAAGAGGATACATTAGCAGCCAAGTTCATGGAAATATTAATTAAAGAGGCAGATTCACATTAAGGTGGAGCCCACACTCTGAAGAACTCTGGCTTCTCAGGCCTTGTTGACCTGCAGGTGCCTAGTTCCCTCCTAGGGAAATGGGTGAGTTATTTTTAGTGGAGTCCCCTCTTGGGATGTGTGTGTGTGTGTTGTGTGTATTCAAACAGAGGAACAGGGATGAAGGGAAATGAGAGAGCAGTGAAGACAGAATTTGAGAATGTGGGCTCTCTAAGGGTCAGCTTTGAAAAAGAATTTTTAAAAATAATGGGAAAAGAAAGGCTTTATCTTATTTAAAAGGCATTCTTTAAAAATCACCATCACCCACAATAACAACAGATAAGGAGAAGGCAGTAACTACTGATGGATTTCAGAAAAACTTGGGAAAATATTTAGGAACAGGGAGTCCATCCTCATGCCCCTACTGAATCTACCCACATTCATATCACCAGCCAGTTGTGAGCAATTGCCCCAGAGCCTCTCTGCAGGGAGCCCTAAAGGACCAGAAGACAGATGGAAGAGCAAGCTCCTCCTGCCCTGGGTTCAGTGGTTCAGATGGTAGTCACTGGTTCTAGAAGCCTCATCAGGAACTCCTAAAGGAGAAGGAGCCAAAGTCCATTCCCAGCTGAGTGATTCCAGGCTGTGGAAGGTGGGAAGTTTGAGGGGAAGAAGGAGCCTCACCAACTCTTAAATCTATCCCAAGACTCTAACTCTTGCCTTTCCCATGTAAAGACCCATAACAGAGAGCATCACAACATGGAAGAGAGAAAACATCCACCTCAGCCTAGAGAAAGCTTGATTTAGAGATCACAAAACAATTGTGTGTGTGTGTGTGTGTGTGTGTGTGTGTGTGTGTTTCTTTTTAACACCACTATAGTTGAATTCTGACTCATTTTATAATGTGGGATGTTCATTCAATATTTTAAAGTTTAAAAACCAGTGAGTGGGGCTTCAGGTTTTCAGTCCAGCACATAAGGAACTTAGAATTCATCACTCCATCCTAACAATAAGCAAAAAGCTGAACTAGCTGAAAAATTAGCAGCCAAAGAGGTGAGGTCACAAGGAAAACCACTGTCCCCAAAATTAAAGAGACAGACAAACATCTACAGAGAATCACAACTTATTGTGGCAGAAATCCAGAAGTAGAAACCTCCATAGGAATCAGTTCTGGGTAGAGAAACCTGAACTGTAATTGATAAATTGCTGTAGACTAGATGTGAACAAGTCTGAAGATTAAAACTCCAGGAGGACCCAGTCGTGAGGGAGGTGGCACACTTTCATGAGTTTTACCTCCAGGAACTCTACCAAGTTATCACTGTAAATATTAGAGAAAAATCCTCTTGGGCTTCTGGTCAGGGAAGGGGAAAGGGAACCATTTTAACATATACCAGAGCATTTTGTTCTTCTTAACAAGGCCTGTGCCCGGGAGAAGCTATTGTACTAGAGCCTCACTTGCTGTGGTTTTGTGAGAGCCTAAACCTACTGGAAGAAGGAAAATAAGTCAACTCTAGCCAGCTCTAGCCTTCCACCTGGGGAAAGGGAAACATACAACTACAGTTCTTTCTAGCCTTTCACATGTGGTGAGGTAATTACCCAACTCCAGCTCACTCTAGCCTTCCGTGTGGAAGAAAAATACCCAACTTCAGTTCTTTCTAGCCTTTCATATGGGGGAAAATAATCACTCAACTCTAACCCACTCTTCCCCACTAGAAGAGTGGAAAAAAAAAAGAGAGAAAAACTAAGAAGCACTGGCGAAGTTCACAGTCCAGGGTCACAGACTCACCAAAAGACTGAGACCTAATCATAGCACTGTAAAATACTTCCCCTCCCCTCACACCTTACCACTACATTACTAAAGACCTACCTACCATAGTTTCCTTTACCCAGCACATTGTGTCCCTTTTTCAAGAAAAAATTACAAGGCATTCTAAAAGCCAAAATACACAGCTTGAAAAGACTAAATAAGCAATGGAATGAGAGTCAGATATGGCAAGAATGTTGAAATTATCAGATTCAAAATGTTTTAAACCTATGATTAATATGCTAAGAGCTTTCATGGAAAAACTAGACAACATGCAAGGACAAGTGGATGATGTATGCAAAGGGATGGAAATTCTAAGAAAAAACAAAAAGAAGTTCTAGAGAAAAAACATTGTACAAGGAATGAAGAATGCCTTTGATGGACTCATTAGTGGACTGAACACAGCTAAGGAAAAAAATCTCTGAGCTTGAGGATATGACAATAGAAATTTCTAAAACTGAAAAGCAGAGATTAAAAGAAAGGTGGGGGGGACCTAACAAAATATCCAAGAACTGTGGGGACAACTACAAAAGGAGTTATTTATGTGTATATAAATAACTAAAACAAATTAAAGAAATACCAGATGGAGAAGAATGAGAAAGGGGAACAGAAAAAATATTTGAAGCAATGGTGACTGAGAGATTCACCCAAATTAGTCAAACACCAAACCACAGATCCAGAAAGCTCAGAAAACATGAGGCATGAAAAATAAAACATACAAACAAACAAACAAACAACCCAACTACATCTAGGCATATCATATTCAACTTCAGAAAATCAAAGATAAAGAAAAAAGTCTTGAAAGAAGCCAGCGGGAAAATACATCTTACCTATGGAGTAGCAAAGATAAGAATTACATATGACTTCTCCTCAGAAACCATGCAAGCAAGAGGAGAGTAGAATAAAATATTTAAAGTGCTGGGAAAAATGACCAGCTTAGATTTCTGTATCCTGTAAAATTATCCTTCAAAAGTAAGGGAGAAATAAAACCTCTCTCAGAAAAAAAAAAAAAAAAAAACACCAGAGGGAATTTGTTGCTAGCAGATATGTTTTGCAAGAAAAGTTAAGAGAAGCTCTTGAGAAAAAATGAAAATAATAAATGTCAGAAACTCAGGTTTCCAAAGAAAGAAAGAGCATCAAAAAATGAATAAGTAAAGGCAAAATGAAAACTTTTGTTTTTCTTATTCTTAATTGATCTAACAGATAACAATTTGCTCAAAATAATAGCAATAATGTATTCAATAGGTATGCATATATCCACAAGTGAAATGAATTACAGCAATGATACAAGGGATGGGAGCAATGAATTAGGAGTATTTTCTTATAAGATATTAGTACTACCTGTGAATTGGTATAGTGTTATTTAAAAGTGGACTTAAATTAGTTGTAAACTTCAAACTCTAGAGCAACCACTAAAAAATGTTAAATATAATTGATATACTAAGAAAGGAGAGAAAATGGAATAATATAAAATGCTCAGTTAAGGCCACAAAAGGCAGAAAAAGAGTGGAAGACAAGAATATGAACAAAGAACAAGGGCAACAAATAGAAAATAGTAACAAATATGGTAGATATTAATCTAACTATATCAATAATCATTTTAAATGTCAATGGTCTAAATACACCAATTAAAAGACAGAGGCTGTCAGAGTGGGTGAAAACACAAGAATAAAAAAATTAAGATTCAACTATATGTTGTCTATAAGAAATCCACTTTAACTATAAAAACCATGACAGGTATAGATTAAAAGTGAAAGGATGGAAAAAGATATACCATGCTAACACCGATCATAAAAAAATGAGAGCGGCTATGTTAGTATCATATAGAACAGACTCCAATGGAAGGAGAGTTATTAGGGTTTAAGAGGCACATTATACAATAGTAAAGGATCAGTACTCCAAGAAAACATAACAATCTGTACTGTGTAAGCTTCTAACAACAGAGCATCAAAATATGAGACAAAAACTGATAGAACTGCAGGGAGAAATAGATTATCCACTACCATAATTGGAGATTTTAACACTCTTTTATTAGAAATGGACAGATCCAGCAGGCAAAAAATCAGCAAGGACATAGTTGAACTCAACAGCACTGCCAATCAACTGGATATTACTGACATCTATAAACTCCTTCATCCAATAACAGCAGATTACATATTCTTCTCAAGCTCACATGAAACATTCACCAAAACAGACTCTACATTCTGGGCCACAAAACACATCTTAACAAATTTAAAATAATAGAAATCACACAGTGGCTACTCTAAGACCACATTGAAATTAAACTAGAAATTAATAACAGAAAGATAGCTGGAAAACTTGTGACCTCAAGTGATCTACCCACATCAGCCTCCCAAAGTGCTGGGATTATAGGCATGAGCCACTGTGCCTGACCAACGACACATTTCTAAATAACATGTGGGTCAAAGTAGAAACGAGAAAGTTAAAAATAATTTGAACCAAATGAAAATAAAAATACAACTTTTCAAAATTAGTAAGATGCAGCAAAAGCAATACTTAAGAGGGAAATTTACAAGGTTGAATGAATATATTAGAAAAAAAGATTTAAAATCAGTAATCTAAGCTTCCGTTTTAGGAAACTAGAAAAAGAAGAGTAAATTAAATATAAACTCAGCAGAAGGAAAGAAATAATAAAAATTAGAGCAGAAATCAATGAAATTGAAAATAGGCAGTCAATGGAGAAAATTAACAAAACTAAAATGTGGTTCTTTGAAAAGATCGATAAAAATCAATAAGCCTCTATCCAGGCTAGGAAAAAAAGAGAGAAGACACAAATTACTAATATCATAATTGACAGAGAGAGCATTACTGCAGATCCTACGGATATTAAGTGGATAATAAATGAATATTATGAACAACGTTATGTCCACAAATTTGATAACCTAGATAAGATGGATCAATTTCTTGAGAGATACAATCTGCCAAAACTCATACAAGAAGAAATAGAAATCTAAATAGGCCTACGTCCATTAAAAAAAAGGAACCAACAATTAATAAGCTTTTGAAAGAGAAAGCACTAGGCCAAGATGGGTTCACTGGTGAATTCTACCAAATATTTAAGGAAACAATTATACCAATTTTCTACAATTTCTTTCAGAAGATAAAAATATAGGGAACACTTGGCATGCTATGAGGCCAGCATTACCCTAATTACCCATTACCCTAAAACCAAACAAAGACATTACAAGAAAAGAAAACTACAGGCAAATAACTCTCATAAATACAGATGCAAACTTCTCAACAAAATATTATCATATCAGTTCCCACAATGTTTAAAAAGAATTATACACCATAACCAAGTGGGATTTATTCAAGGTATGAAAGACTGGCTCAACATTAGAAAATCAATATAATCCATCATAGCAACAAGATAAAGCATAAAAATTACTTTATGATATCAATAAATTCAGCAAAAGCATTTGTAACAACGCAACACCCATTCATAACAAAAACCTTCAGCCACTGCTCAATGAAATAAAAGAGGATACAAAGAAATGGAAGAACATTCCATGCTCGTGGGTAGGAAGAATCAATATCATGAAAATGGCCATACTGCCCAAGGTAATTTATAGATTCAATGCCATCCCCATCAAGCTACCAATGACTTTCTTCACAGAATTGGAAAAAACTACTTTAAAGTTCATATGGAACCAAAAAACAGCCCGCATTGCCAAATCAATCCTAAGCCAAAAGAACAAAGCTGGAGACATCACGCTACCTGACTTCAAACTATACTACAAGGCCACAGTAACCAAAACAGCACAGTACTGGTACCAAAACAGAGATATAGACCAATGGAACAGAACAGAGCCCTCAGAAATAATGCCGCATATGTACAACTATCTGATCTTTGACAAACCTGAGAAAAACAAGCAACGGGGAAAGGATTCCCTATTTAATAAATGGTGCTGGGAAAACTGGCTAGCCATATGTAGAAAGCTGAAACTGGATCCCTTCCTTACACCTTATACAAAAATTAATTCAAGATGGATTAAAGACTTACATGTTAGACCTAAAACCATAAAAACCCTAGAAGAAAACCTAGGCAATACCATTCAGGACATAGGCATGGGCAAGGACTTCATGTCTAAAACACCAAAAGCAATGGCAACAAAAGCCAAAATTGACAAATGGGATCTAATTAAACTAAAGAGCTTCTGCACAGCAAAAGAAACCACCATCAGAGTGAAAAGGCAACCTACAGAATGGGAGAAAATTTTTGCAATCTACTCATCTGACAAAGGGCTAATATCCAGAATCTACAATGAACTCAAACAAATTTACAAGAAGAAAACAAACAACCCCATCAAAAAGTGGGTGAAGGATATGAACACACACTTCTCAAAAGGAGACATTTGTGCAGCCAGAAAACTCATGAAAAAATGCTCATCATCACTGGCTATCAGAGAAATGCAAATCAAAACCACAATGAGATACCATCTCACACCAGTTAGAATGGTGATCATTAAAACGTCAGGAAACAACAGGTGCTGGAGAGGATGTGGAGAAATAGGAACACTTTTACACTGTTGGTGAGACTGTAAACTAGTTCAACCATTGTGGAAGTTGGTGTGGCAATTCCTCAGGGATCTAGAACTAGAAATACCATTTGACCCAGCCATCCCATTACTGGGTATATACCCAAAGGATTGTAAATCATGCTGCTATAAAGACACATGCACCCGTATGTTTATTGCGGTATTATTCACAATAGCAAGGACTTGGAACCAACCCAAATGTCTAACAATGATAGACTGGATGAAGAAAATGTGGCACATATACACCATGGAATACTATGCAGCCATAAAAAATGATGAGTTCATGTCCTTTGTAGGGACATGGATGAAGCTGGAAACCATCATTCTCAGCAAACTATTGCAAGGACCAAAAAACCAAACACCGCGTGTTCTCACTCATAGGTGGGAATTGAACAATGAGAACACATGGATACAGGAAGGGGAACATCACACACTGGGGACTGTTGTTGGGTGGGGGGAGAGGGGAGGGATAGCATTAGGAGATATACCTAATGCTAAATGACGAGTTAATGGGTGCAGCACACCAACATGGCACATGTATACATATGTAACAAACCTGCACGTTGTGCACATGTATCCTACAACTTGAAGTATAATAATAATAATAATAATAATAATAAACCTTCAGCAAACTAGGTAGAGGAAAGCTTTCTCCATTGATTAATAATATTTACAGGAAGCCTACAGTGGCCAGGCATGGTAGCTCAGTCCTGTAATCTCAAAACTTTGGGAGGCCAAGGCAAGAGGGTTGGTTGAGCTTAGGAGTTCAAGACCACCTGAGCAACATAGTGAACCCTGTCTCTACAAAAAAATAAAAAAATTAGCTGAGCATGGTAGTGTGCACCTGTAGTCCCAGCTACTCAGGAGGCTGAGAGGGGAGGATTTATTGAGCCCAGGAGGTTGAGGCTGCAGCGAGCTGTGATCATGCCACTGCATTCCAACCTGGGTGACAGAGTGAGACCCTGTTTTATTTTTATTTTTATTTATTTATTTTTTTAAAGCCTACAGGTAACATCATACTTAGTGGAGAAAGTAGAAGCATTCTCACTAAATCAGGAGCAAGATCAGAATGTCTCCTTTTGCCGCCACTTTTCAACATTTGTACTGAAAGTCTTAACTAATATAGTACAACAAGAAATGGACATAAAAGGTATGCAGATTAGGATAGAAGAAATAAAACTCTTTTTTCACAGATGACATGATCATCTATTTAGAAAATCCAAAAGAGTTGACAAAAAAAATCCTGAAACAACTAAGTGATTATCACAAGTGATTATCACGCTAGATGAAAGAGGAATATACAAGGCCCATTGTTTTTCTATATACCAGCAATGAGCAAATGGAATTTGAAATTTAAAACACATTACTTTTTATATGAACACCTCCCAAAATTAAATACTTAGGTAGAAATCTAACAAAATATGTATAAGACCTATATGTGGAAAACTACAAAACTGTGGTGAAAGAAATTTTAAAAGAACTGATAGAGAGAGGTTCCATATTCATGGATAGAAAGATTCAATATTGCCAAGATGTCATTTCTTCCTTACTTGATCTGTAGATTCAAAGCAAATTCAATCAAAATCCCACCAAGTTATTCTGTGGATACTAAAAAATTGATTCTAAAGTTTATATAGAGAGGCAAAATACTCAAATAGCCAACTCAGAACTGAAAGAGAAGAACAAAGTTGGAGGGCTGACCCTGCATGACTTCAAGGCTTACAATAAAGCTACAGTAATTAAAACAGTGTGGTATTGGCAAAAGAACAGACAAATAGTCAATGGAACAGAATAGAGAGCTCAGTAATATAAATACAAATATAGCCAACTGATCTGTGACAAAAGAACAAAGACAAAGCAATGAAGAAAAGATGGTCTTTTCAAGAACGGTGGCAAAACAACTGAACATTCACGTGCAGAAAAACAAAAATAAAAAAGAATTTAGGCATAACCTTACACCCTTTACAAAAAAGTAACTCAAAATTAATCATAAACCTAAACATAAAACACAAAATTATATATAAAACTCCTAAAAGATAAAAAGTAGGGAATAAACTAGATGACCTTGGTATGGCAATACCTTTTTAGATATAACAGGCATGATTCCATGAAATAAATAATTGATAAGCTGGACTTTATTAAAGTTAAAAATTTTTGCACTGTGAAAGACAATGTCAAGAGAATGAGAAGTCAAGCCACAAACTGGGATAAAATATTTTCAAAAGACACATCTGATAAAGGATTATGATTCCAAATATACAAGGAACACTTAAAACTCAAGCATAAGAAAACAGCCAACCCAATTAAAAAATGGACTAAAGAGCTGAATGGACACCTCTCCAAAGAAGATATACAGATGGCAAGTTAGCACATGAAAAGATGTTCAACATCATATGTCATTAGGGAATTGCAAATTACAACAACAGTGAGATATTACTACATACCTATTAGATTGACCCGAATCTAAAACACTGACAATACCAAATGCTGAAAAGAATGAGGAGCAACAGGAACTCTCCTTCACGTGGGTGGGAATGCAAAATAGAATAGCCAATTTGGAAGACAGCTTGGCAGTTTCTTATAAAATTAAACATATTCTTACATTTGATTGATAAATTGTGCTCCTTGATATTTACCCAAAGGAGTTGAAAATTTATGTCCACTCAAAAATCTACCATGGATATCTATTGTAACTTTTTATAATTGCCAAAACTTGGAAACAACCAAGATGCCCTTCAGTAGATGAATGGATAAATAAACTAACATACATCCAGATAACATAATATAATTTAACACTAAGAAGAAATGAGCTATCAAGCCATAAAAACACAGAGGAAATTTAAATGCATATTTCTAAATGAAAGAAATCAATTTAAAAATGCTCATGCTGCATGATTCCTACTATGGAGATGATGAAAGATCAGAGGTTGCAAGGTGTTTTAGGTGGAAGGAAGGATGAATAGGCAGAGTACAGAGGTTTTTTTGGGCAGTGAAATTATTCTATAGGATACTACAATGGTGGATACATATCATTTTATACCTGTCCAAACCCATAGAATGCAAAAACATCAAGAGTGAACCCTGATGTAAACTACGGACTTTGGGTGGTAATGATGTATTAATGTAGGTTCTTCAGTGTAAAAAATGTACCACTGTGGTGAGTGATGTTGACATTGGGAGAGGTTGTGCATGTGTGGGGACAGGGATGTACAAACTCTCTGCACTTTACACTCAATTTTACTGTGAACCTAACGCTGCTCCAAAAATAGTTTATTAATTTTTTAAAAAATGAGCCTTTAATTTGCTTTACAAAACTCAAGCTATGGGTAGTTTGCCTATGGGCCTTTATTTGTACTCATGCTGACTGGGTAAAAGGTATGCTAACTTTTGAAATAATTTTTCTTTAGGAATGGAGAATGAGGAGCTCTGTGAGTAGGACTTAGCTAGTTCCTTCTTTTCTCACTTCTGTCCTCCGGAAAATCTCTACACATCCAGCAATCACAGCAATTCCAGAGCCCATTGATGGATGGAGCCACTCCATAAAGATTTGGGGCCAACTTTTTCTCTAAAGCCAGCTTTTTCTCTTTGTCAATTTGAGTTTTCATCTTGTCTGTCCTCAATGAAAACTTCAGTTTAAATTCATTCCAACCTCTGATGCTTTCTAATTATAGGATGGCTTAAAGAAATTTCTTGATTGTTCAATATTCAGAAGAAGCTACTCCATACTGGAGATTGCCTTTTTAAAATAAACATCCCACCTAGCTTCAGAAAACACTTAACAAATAAAAAATAAGAGTGACAGGGAAATCAGTGTGTGGTTGGATCCAATGTGGGACACTGTGTTTAATGCCAAATTATTACATTCTTCAAAAATCCAAAGAATCAACATTGTGAGACACTTAAGGGAAAAAAATGCGAAAATGGAAGGGTAAAAGTCAGTTGATCCAAAATAAAAAGTAATGAGTTGGAAAATAAGAAAATTAGAATGGTTTAGATTAATGTTCTCCCAAACTATTCCTCTCAACTGAATACAGATGATACCAAGAAAGGAGGATTTTTTTTTCTTTTTAATTAAAGGCATTTGGCAGGAAGTATTTCCCTAAGCTACAAATATATGAGGCGTTCCCAAAGCAAAAATGCTGGATCTGTTCAAGAATGAGCAGCCTTTTTGGTGAGGAGAGATCAGAAGGCAGATCACCCTTCCGAAGAGAAATGTTCCCTCATTCTGACTTGTCTGATATTCACGCACTCATCGTCCATCAGGATTATATTCCTGAAAATTTTCTTGTCAGGCAAATTTTAGGACAGCTCAATCTGTGTCAAGAAGAGCGAATGTACTTTGATTCTAGCACTGTCTTTGTCTTCGAAATACAGGACCAACATGGTCAGACCCTTCTCTACTAAAAATACACAAAATTAGCAGGGCGTGGTGGTGGGCACCTGTAATCCCCGTTACCCAGGAGGCTAAGGCAGGAGAATTGCTTGAGCCCGGAAGGTAGAGGTTGCAGTGAGCCGAGATCGCTCCACTGCACTCCAGCCTGGCAACAGAGCAAGACTCCATCTCAAAAAAAAAAAAAAAAAAAAGAATTAGAAATACAGTCACGTGCTGAATAACAACAACTGTACTGGTGAAAAGTACCAGTGCCTGCCACACCAACCTTTGTTGAAAGTTTGTTTGGGGGTTCAAAAGTGAGTTGCCAGATCAAGCAATTAGAGGGAACTGAACTTGGCATTTGGGAGTTCCTGGATTTAGAAGACGAAAACAGTGCTAGAATCAATGTACTTTTGGTCATGTTGACACAGATTGAGCGGTCCAAAAATTTGCCTGACGAGAAAATTTTCAGGAATATAACCTTCTAGGCATTAGTAGGATTATTCTTCCCAGCCTTCCTGATGTTAGACACATAGCCATATGATTTACTTTAACCAATGACATTTAAATGGAAGTCATATGTATCTCTTCCAGGTGGAAGCCTTTAAGGGTTTGCCAGTGATAGTTTGCCATGGTCCTTTCCCCTTGTCGTTGTGATCAGCAATGTTTCATTTGGTGGAGGCCCATCAGCCTACCTCCCTGAGTGCCTACGTGGAACAGAGGCTCCTGCTGAAGCGCGGTGGGTATGTGGCCTGAGTGAGAAATGAACTTTGCTGTTTTAAGCTACCGAGAATTTAGTTTGTTACTGCAGGATAATCCATCCTATTTTATTTAGAGTAACTGATCATCAAGGCAGCAATAACTAAAGCCAAAAACTATTTCATAGTTTATTTTCAGAGAAAATTCTTTTTAGAAGAATCGGACACTTTCCTATTTATAGGGGACCCTGAAAAGTCAATCATTTAAAAAATGTGACTCACCTACTGCAAATGTTATCAAAGTAAATGTTTATGACACCAGCTAGG
Source organism: Homo sapiens (assembly GCF_000001405.40). Classification (NCBI taxonomy): domain Eukaryota; kingdom Metazoa; phylum Chordata; class Mammalia; order Primates; family Hominidae; genus Homo; species Homo sapiens. The sequence continues at coordinate 54,679,858 of NC_000005.10, read as the reverse complement.
CTTGTGAGACATCATATGCATGGTTAACTATTTCTGCCTGTCTATCCTAAATCTTGTCTGCAAAACCTTGCCTTGTTTTCGAAGTGCTTTCCTGATCTTTATTCATTGATACTATACTGTCTATTAATGCAAGAGTAACTATTTGTACCTCAATGTGTAAATATGGAAATATTTTAAAGCCGCCATAATTTTATTTAAACTGTTTTAGCCTGAAATTAACCAAATCCCCTTAGAAAGGTAATTAGATAATTAGATGGTTATCTTTATTACAGTAATAAAGATAATTATTATAGATAGTTGAGCACAAAGATATTTTCTAAATGAATGGAAATGTGGGGCTACACATGGATTACTGCCACCCATAGTAAATTTCAGGCTTGTTTACTTGTATTCAATTTAGAATTATATTTTCAATATTCAGTCAAGAATCAGTTTGATTATTTAGTTTGTTATACCAAAGTAGTCTTAATTTTGACAAATATTTGACAAGAAAGAAACTGAGCTTCATGAACTGTTTTATTGACTTTAATGTTTTTAAACAAGGAATTAAAGAGAGATGATTTGAGATTTAAAATATGCATTTGAGACAAGGGCTAAAGTTTACATACAAACTCTAATTTAGTTTCTTTCCTTTGGGAGATAATCCAACATGCACTTTTACGTTCAATTTAAATTTCAGGTATCCCATGTTACCCTATACTCATCCATAACATGCATCTTCTGTAAACAAATGCAATATAGCATCAAATAAAAAAATTTTAAAGATATAGAATTCATATAAAATGCTTTTTATCCCCAGATTTTTTTAAGAGAAAGATGATTAAGATAGGCATCTAAGATTTTGCTTTGAACCAGGTCTAACTATCCATGTATTTTTGAGAGCTTTCCAGAAAGGAGCAGAGCCAGATGACAAAATCAGTTCCCCCGGGGCTGAGTTGACTCAGAATATCTCCATATGGATGTCCCAAAACAAATTATACTCAACATGTCCCCAGATGAACTTGTCATTTGCCTTTCAAAACCATGATCTGAGAGTCCCCTTCAACTCTCCTCATGCGTCTCATATCTAACCGTTCACTGATTCCAGTTTTCAACTCTTTCCTCTAGTCCTATGATTACCCCTCTGTCCCGGCCCTCCCTCCCTGAAGGTCTTCCTGCCTCCAATATCTGCCCCCTCCCATCCTCATTCCCACTGCTACCATATTAGTCTCTGTAAAGCACAGGTCAGAGTGTACTGTTTTCACCTCTAAAATGCTGCTATCTTTTGTTTGCCTTTCAGACCCATTATGTACCCTTCTCCCCATTTTCTGTCCCGACAGCTAATCTGTATCGCATCAGCAAACTCCCTTCCCTCTGGCTACTAGTTCAGTTTTGACAATATGGAGCCCTGGAAAGGGAGAGTGAGTTCAGGGTATATATTCCTCAGCTACCTCCTTGCCTTACACACAAATCATCTGCATCTCTCACTTGAAGGCACAGATCCTATCTAGAAGCCTTCCCTACACACCTGGTTTAAATGCCATGTACTCTATACTTCTTTGCATCCCTGCCTTTGTCTTTCCTTTATTTCTCTGTCAGTCTGAAATTCTCTTCCTTCTCTTTACTGAAATATTTTCCATTTAATCCTGCATTATCCTTTGTATTGGGTTTATTAGGAAGATTCCAGAACTGCAAAATGGAAGGAGCCTTGAATTTACTGCTTGGGGAGAAGATGGCCCGCAGATCAGGAACAGCCCTTACAGACTTGACATGAATGAGAAACAAACAACTTCTATTGGGTTAAGACACAAAAACGTGGGGATATATCTGCTTCAACTGCTAGCATTACCTTAATTCATGAGTAAAATTATTTTAGGAAATAGAAAAGTTTCTCACTGAGGTTCCCAAGTGTGGCATTAAGGTAAGTTATAAACATCCAGGCAGGAAAACTGTGATCATGAGAAAGCTATAGGAGTTCACAAAGAATGTGTTTCCTACTGTGATAGTTTACTAGATTGGTAGAGAAAGAAAACCCAGCAGTTCTGGTCTTTCTGGACTTGCCCAAATCATTTGACAAAGCTATGATATTCTTTTATTTTAGAGGAAAAATTATTCACAAGATAAAAATGAAATTAAGTGAATTATTTACAGGTTGAATTAATTTATTCAAAGATAGTGGCTAATAGATAGGGATCAACCTGAAGAAAGTTTTCTAGTGGTAACAAGGCTTGGTTCTGTACCATGAACTTGGGGGCATTTTTGTTAGTTTTAGACTTAGATAAAAAGATAGAGTCTTGTTCATTAAATTTGCTCACATTAAACAATGACCTGAATTGAACAAATACAATTTTATAAGATAAATGGAAATTTTGATGCTTAGGCACACACACACACACACACACACACACACACACACACAATGTGAGTAAAGGATGGGGGAGCCATGGATTAAAACCACTTAATACTCTGAATTTACTTGTGGGTAAAACCTAGGAGTCAATAGTGTGATGTTATCACCTTAAGGTCTAGTGCCACCTGAAACTGCATTGACAGAAGAATAATAGCAATTGATAGGTAGATATCAGGTATTGACACCCCTTTATGCCAGGCACTGTAGTAGGCACTTTACTTGAGGCTACATATTAAACCATGTTTCCTAGAAAGGGAAGTAACTTGCCAAAGCCACGCTGCTAGTGAGTGGCAGTCTCTGAAATCAGATTTAGCAGAGTCTGTTCCTTTCTGCGCTAGTTAAGTCACATGGAATTATTTCTATTCTAGGCAGCCTATTTTAAGAGTAGAAAAGTAAAGCTTCTTAATGGGAAAAGGACCAAGATAATTTGAAAATCTTATCCCATGGAAATGTTTGAAAGATTAGGAGACAGAGGCCTTGGAGAAAAGAAGACTCAGAGAACTTGGCCCCTGTCTTCCAATATTCAACAGATTGCCAAGAAGGAGGATTTGAATGATTCTGTTCTGCCTCCTGGTCTCTCATACAGGATTTATTGGAGGAATAAAGAAAAGCTATGAAGTGATAGATTTCAATTCAATATCAGGAAGAGCCTTCTAACAGAGTTGTCCAAAGACAGACTTGGCTGCATCAGAGAGACTGGACACTTCCAACCTCAACTTGCAGCACTTGGCAGGGATTTTCCTGGGCAATTGACCTCGGGTCATTTTTAAAGGTTCCTTCCAGGTTTGAGAGCCTTTGATTTTCATGCTCACTGTGCTGTACTTGGGCAACTCAGGAAATTTGCAAACCAGCTGGCAGTTGCCTGCATCATTTGTGTGGTGACTTGGCTTTGTCAAGAGATAGTTCAAGAGGCAAATAAAATCCTCCTCCTAGAGATCAGAGTTTATGTTTATAGAATGAATGAAAGAAACTATGAACCAAACATTTATGAACAATGTCTGTGAGCCAGGCACAGTGCCTGGACATCCTCCACATCTTGTGCCTTTCCTCCCACAAAGTACGGGACTGAAGTTATTTCCTTTGAGAAATAATCATTCTAGTCAAAGATAAAATGCTGTTTTTGTTTTCTGTTTCTCTTCAAGAGGTTTGACTGAAAAAAAGATCTCATCACTTCATTTTCATGCCTTATTATGATTGTGTTGACAACAATAATGGATTAATTCTTTCCAACCTCCAGAGAAGAGCTGCCAGATAATGAACATGGGGAGGAATGCTGAGAAACCATTTTCCTTTTTGAGTAGGGTCTGGATTTAGGTAGGGAGGGCAGGGGCAGAACAACCAGAAATAGAGAGATTCCTGTCTTCAAGAGGGGCTTGAAGGGGGGCACAGAGTGAACTTCTGAGAGTGCGTGGCAGTCTTGATACACACACACAAATCCACTTTTAATAACCACCAAGAGCACTGGACCTCGGACAGAGCATGTACACTGTGAAAAGGTATGCTGGTGATTTTCAAGCCTTTGTTTGTCCAAAATAGGCCAACATGGTTGAATTGGGTCTCTAAAGCACCTCTGGAAAACCCCAGGGAGTTTTGAACACAGTTTGAAAAAGCACTATGATAAATAAGTCCAAGTGAATACAGGGCAAATAGATGGCAATCCCTGGGCTTGTTTATTTCTAAACAGAGTTCTCTCCCAGGCTCTCCTAGTACAGCATAGGCTAAGCTGAAAGACAGCCTATTGGTTGTCTGTTCTTTTTTGTTTAATTAATTTTTATTTTTATTTTAAGTTCTGGGGTACATGTGCAGGATGTGCAGGTTTGTCACATAGGTAAACGTGTGCCATGGTGGTTTGCTGCACGATCAACCCATCACCTAGGTATTAAGTCCCGTGTGCATTAACTATTTATCTTGATGCTCTCCCCCTACCCCACCCTCCAACAGGCCCCAGTGTGTGTTGTTCCCCTCCCTGTGTCCAGGTGTTCTCATTGTTCAGCTCCCACTTACGAGTGAGAACATACGGTGTTTGATTTTCTGTTCCTGTGTTAGTTTGCTGAGGATAATGGCTTGCAGCTCCATCCATGTCCCTGCAATGGATGTGATCTCATTCCTTTTTGTGGCTGCATAGTATTCCATGGTGAATATGTCCCACATTTTCTTTATCCAGTCTGTCATTGATGGGCATTTGGGTTGATTCCATGTCTTTGCTCTACCTGTTCTTTATTCTCTGTTTTCAGGGATAGCACTCTGGTCCTTGTCCTCATTACTACTAAAATCCCCTTGCCCTTCTCCCTACCTCTGGTCTCTGTCACTTCCAATGCATGCTGAATATAGAAAACAGACTGTTTTTTTTTTCCTAAAGTATATTTGTAAGGTCATGCTCTTGCCCAAGAATCTACCGAAGTACACTATTACCACCACTTTATTCAGGCTTCCCCGCTTCCACACACTTGTCCTCAAACAATCTCTGTTGCAACCCACCTGTCCTCTCTCACTCTCACCTTCAGGCCTCACCCGGCTGTTCCTTGCCTGGAACACTCTCTGTAGACCCAACCCCACCTCTTCTTTCCCTGATCACTTCTGCTGCTCACCCTTCCACCTTCCTTTGGACAGACTAGGAGCAACCCACTGCCCCCACCATGATGTGCACTATAATAGTACTTTATAACTTTCTATCCAAGGCAATCTAATTATAGTGCTTTTAAAGTTGCTTTATTACTTGTATCTCCTACTAAACTAAACAGCAAAAAAGGAATTTCTATACTTTATTTACTCTTGTACCTCCAGATCCTGGCAGTATAATTATTTGTTGAGTAAGTGATTAACTTCGACATAAATATTTGTTGAACAAGTAAATGAGTGAATGAGTGTGCGGCTGTTGATAGGATGATAGCTGGTTAGTAGCCTTTTACAGGTGTATTTTTCTTTGTGACACTCTTTCAGGTGGTCTTTGCGTTGTGATCCCCACAGTTTTGGAGTACCAAGTAAATGTTCCTTTTCTCTATTCATAGATGGGACAGCATGGCAGGAGTCATGAGTCTTCTGGAAATGAGACACTCTGAGTGTGGAGGAGGCTGTTGAACATCTATGGGAAAAAAAGAAGGAATTCAGGGCACAGTCTCCCTGGTAGCTGGTGGTGGTGGTGGGACAAACCCTGGAGGAGCTGGAAAAATGGCTTTTGTGCTCCTTCTTATTTCCATGTGGTAGCAGACATCATGCCTTATCTTGTTACCCAGAATCTCCCCAGTTTGCCATTGAAGAAATCAAGGTGTAGAGAAGCATAAGGACTTGCTCAGATATGGTGGCAGTGCCAGGCCTAGAGCTTAGTTCTTGCAGCAATACTTTCTGCCACCCTTCCTCTTCTCCCCACTACTCTCTGAAAGCCCTCTTTCCTATTTGCTAACTCAGTTATGCATGCAATGCTTCCTCCACGGCACTCACCACCACTGATGTGTGATGCTGTGAAAGCAGGAGGTCAAGGCCAGGGCACTTCCTCCTGTCTAGCATTTCTTGCAGAGAAGAGCTGTTCCTGTGTGTGTAGTAGGTGGGTGGGGCAAGGACTGGGACAAGCAGCACCAGGGGAGATTGCAAGAAATCCATCCCCATTTATGCAAATCTTTTCTTCTGGGGCTTCAGTAACAGCTTCACTTTTTTCTTTTGAAACTCCCAACAGAAAATGTTGTTTTAGATGGGTGCATGTGTGCAAGTACACATAAGTGCACATAACAACATCAGATACTCACGATAGGCATACTGTAGAGGATGAAAGGCCCACACCTACTTCAACCACCTTCATTCCCTCCTTCTCATGATTCATTTGTGGAGCGGGAGGCTGCTGACATCTTCAAATACAAGCCTCTCTGAGCTTGGAGTCAAGGGGCAACATTTCTGCAGAGGGCTCCTATAGACATCCATTTCCCCATGCTTTATTTCCAAGACCCTGATTTACGATGGATAAATTAAAGTTTCTTTGTTTATCACATGATAAGAAATGCAAGTTCATCTGCAAGATTCTCTGAGTTATTCCTTGCTCTGCAGATTTCATAAGTTCTGGTGGAGTTGACCTCCTTTCTGCTAAATGAGCACTGTTCCTGACCATGGATATTGGTATTGAAGATTTCTCAAAGGATCCAGCTCTTTAATTGGAATGTCCATGAATCAGGAAGAGCAGTGAATAGCTAGTTAAATGGTAATGGCCTTAAACAAGTCCTCAACACACATGAGCAACTGATTTCTTTTTCCTTTTATCTTTTTGTCCTTTCATTCCTTCAACCAATTTTCTCTTAGGGATCAAGGAGCTCACAATCTAGGGAGAGAGACAACAAAAAATTTGACCATTATTGCAAAATGTAGATGTAAGATGCTTGTATTGCAAGCAACAGAAAATCTGGCTCAATCAGGCTCAAACCAGGAAGGAAATTGATTGGCTCACATGACTGAAAACTCTCAAGGAAGGTTTGCCTAAGACAAGCTCACTCCCAGCAGCTCAGCCATTGGGTTTCTTTTCCATTTCTCTACCTGCCTTCTGGGATACTGGCTGCATTCTAAGGCTGACCCTGCTCAGAGTCCCAAAATGGCCATAAGCAACTCTCAGAGAAACATGCTTCCTTTTTCAGATCCCATGAGAAAGAATGTGTCTTTGCCCCAGCACTCCTGGAAAATGTCCTGAGACTCAGTGTGGTTCAGGGTGGGGCTGGTGGCTAAGCTGAGCTAATCAATTACATGACCAAAAGATGGTCACAGGCTCCACCCTGGAGGTAGATGTGAGAGTCAGCTGCACAGGAATCCCTAAATGGAAACAGAGCTGTGGGACAGGAAAAAGCAAGATAGCAAGAAATGTTGATTTCAGGGAAAGGGCTTTCACAGGGGTATTAATGTGATTGCCTGATGGGTTCTTCTTGCTGGCTGCACAGATAAACCCAATTTACTGAGACAGCAGTCTTGCAGTAAAGAAAGAATTTAGTTAATGCAAGACTGACCAAGCAGAAGGACAGGAGTTTATTATTACTCAAATTGCCTCTCCGAGAACTCAGAGGCTAGAGTTTTTATGAATAATTTGGTGGACAGGTGGGTAGGGAATGGGTGCTGCTGATTGGTTGGGGATGAAATCATAAGGGTGTGAAAAATGGTCCTCGTGTGCTGAATCTGCCTCTGGGTTGTGACCACAGGTGTGATTAAGACATGAGTTACGTGTCCAGGTGGGGTCAGTCAGTTGCCAGAATGCAAAAGTCTGAAAAACGTCTCAAAAGACCAATATTAGGTTATACAATAGTGATGTTATCTGTAGCAATAATTGTGAAAGTCACAAATATTATGGCCTCTGGCCACATGCTCTCCAGCATAGGGATTATAAAAACTATGCCTACATTTTAGCAGAATTCAGGCCCCTTCCATAATCCTAATCTCATGGCCTTTCATTAGTTTTACAAAGGCAGCTTCTGTCCCTCAGCAAGAAGGAGGTTAGTTTTAGGGAGGGACTATTATCATCCTTGTTCTAAAGTTAAACTGTAAACTAAATTCCTTCCATAGTTAGCTTGGCGTATGCCCAGGAATGAGCAAGGACAGTCAGCCTGTGAGACTAGAAGCAAGATGGAGTCAGCCATGCTAGACCTCTCTTGCTGTCATAATCTTTGCAAAAGTGGTTTCAATCATGTGACACCTGGAAGCACAAGAGGGGGGTCCCCCTCAGCCTGAGTAGGCTCAGGGTTTTCTGAGCCAAGAATGAGCCGTGGAAATGCAGGAAATTTGAACTGATCAACTACTAGAATATATTCCTATTGTACTTGAGGTGGAAGCTACCCTAGGTTAGAAAATGATGACAGTGTGAAATCTATCTAAAGAAGTCTGAGAACAGACTTTATGCCAGGACTCAAGAGGCTGTGTGTGTTTGGGAGTCCACATTCATCTCTTAAATTCTCAGCAAAGAGGATGAAAATATTTGAATATGTCCTAAGAGAGCTGTTCATACGCAGATTTCGGTTCCAGGGCCTGGGTAATACTGAACTGTATTACACAAGACAAGCCTAGGCTTGATTCCAACCAATCTGGGTTTGAGTCTTAGCTTTACCACTCATTGTGGCCTTGGGGAAATCACTTAACCTCTCTACTTGACCTCTTTGTATTTAAAATTTGAATAGCAGCACTTTCCTTGCAGTGATTGTGAAAAGCAGAAATAATGCCTCACAGTATACGGTGTGAAACAGGCATTAAGCAACTATGACTATTGCTATTTAAACAGAGCTGCCTCTCTGGCACGATGCAAGATCAGAAGAGGAATGTGCACTTTCTGGAAAAGCCTGGCTTTGGACAAGATCTAGGCAGTAAATACAAACATTGGGGAGCTATTAAGGACATGCTAATATGGGTGGAGTCTCTGCTGAGGTTCACGCCATGTTCCTCCTGGATTCACACATGCCTGGACATTCCTGGAAGATGGTCCTCCTTTTGGGAAAGGCGTATTTTAGGGATATAAAGCCTGGCATACTGGCTTGGTTCAAGGTAATAGACCCATATCAGAAAGTAAAACTCATAAACTTCACGCTTTTCTCAAAATCAGAACATTTCTGGTCTAGCCCCCCACAGTTGGCTCCTAAAGAAGAGACGCTGTAGGAACATGTAAGACTAAGAATATGACTGTCAGGCAGCCCAGAAGGCAGCTTTTGGATGGTCCAGAGGAGAGCACAAGAAAGTGTTATGGTGCCTTCTGGTTGGGGTTGAGATTGGAGTTGTATGGAGTCCAGAAAAAACAGAATTTGCACTGTGGCCACCTCGCCCCAATCCGGGCAGAAGAAGGAGAGGGAGGCATCACATTTGGTGGGTGTGAGAGAGACAGAGAAGGGTCAGTGCCAACAGCTCCAGCAGCAGGGGATACATTTTGTGGCTTTGAAGCATAGCCATAGCAGGTTGGAGGTGTCAGTGTCCTCATTGGGGGTGGGTCCATCATGCCCCAACACAAACATCACTGCAGGGAGCTGTAGCAGGGGGAAGCTGAGTGCAGGGTCATATGGTAGCTGAAAGGGCCATATGGTGAGCACACATGTGCCATCCCCTGGGGGTTCCCAGGAGCAGCTAGAGGGATTCTGCAGTGTTGATGAGGGGCAGGGCCAGACAGACCCTGCTGGTTACTCTAACTTTGCCCAGAGTAGTGTGACCAAGGAAACTCAGGCTACACAAATTCTTCACATCCTCCAGGACACTACACAACTGCTTCAAAGCCAGGAGTTCATTGATTACATTGTACCTTTAAGAAACCACGACTTAATGTTGTTATGCCTTTGCCTTTTGCCAGGGATAATTGAGAATGTTTCATATATACTATAAAACTTCCTATAATGACAAATTCTATTATGATGTTTAAAACCATATGTAAAACAAACCCTCCTGATTACTTTCTCTTACTATTCTAGGAATGTTTGTCTCTCATGTTGCACTAGCACACTTCCTTCCTTCCTTTTTCTTTCTTTTTTTTTTTTCTTTTTAATGAGCTAAACAATTTATGAGGTTTCTTTTTGCCTTGGCCACCAGGAGGGTAATAGTTAAGTGTGGTGCTCAGTTAGTTTAACTTTCTTTAGCATAGACAGATTTTATATTAAAACTACCTCTAACCCCTCTTGTCATCAACATGGCTCTTGTTTGGGGTGTTGTGGTTATCATTGTTGTTTTTGTCATTATTTTGATATGTCTTTTCAGTAAAGCCACTTACAATACTTGTTGGAATTAGCTTGTGGATGGCCCAGAATTTATTTCATAAATGCACTAATTGCTGAGAGAATCTGTAAAAATTGAACCTTTCTCAGGGCAGAAAACTCTTTTAAACCTCATATCATTTTTCTCCTAGGCATTAGGAGTTGAGAATAATGCTGCCTTTTTCTCAGTGTATTTTCATATGAGGCAATTCTTTGCTCTGTCAAATAGATTTATTTTCTTTATCAGGCAGAAATGTGGGCAAAAGAAAATGATCTCATTGCATATGATTCCTGACACAATACCCGGGACTCCAGACTGCAGGAAAATTTGGTTTCACAAATGACTTGGGAAACCTTTTTGGTTTTGAACATCTGTTCAAAGAAATCTTCTTTGGAAGTGTTCACTGTTGTTACTTCCTCAATGGCAACACAGACATGCTCTTGTCCTGATCCTTATATTACTATTGAATATGGAAGGACTAGTGTTCAGGTTCTTGCTCCAGCTTTTATAAAAAAAAAATGTATTCAATGATAACGTTTACTTACTGAAGTCGATAAATTTCTAAGTCTCTATTTATAAGAATAAGCACAAGCCAGCTGGGCACAGTGGCTCATGCCTGTAATCCCAGCAGTTTGGGAGGCTGAGGTGGGAGGATCACCTGAGGTCAGGAGTTCAAGACCAGCCTGACCGACATGGTGAAACCCTATCTCTATTAAAAATACAAAAATTAGCTGGGCATGGTGCCCGTGCCTGTGATCCCAGCTACTCAGGAGGCTGAAGCCGGAGAATTGCTTGAACCTGGGAGGCAGAGGTTGCAGTGAGCCAAGATCACACCATTGCACTCCAGCCTGAGTGACAAGTATAAAACTCCACCTCAAAAAAAAAAAAAAAGGCAGAAATCACTGTATAGCTCAAAGAGCTTTTGCTGTAAACGCACTCATAGAACCATGACCATGATCAAACAAACAAAAAGTTACCAGCACCCCAGTAGCTGTCCTCTTGCCCCGACCCCAATCCCTATATCCTCCCAAAAGGTAAACATAACCCTGCTTTCTGACACCATTATTGCTTGCCTGTTTTTAATCTAGGTAAAAGTAATCATTCAGTATTTGCTTTTCTATGTACTTTTCATGAGTTTCAGCCTCATGGTTGCATGTAGCAATTATTCATTCATTTTTATTGCTCTATATTAGCATTTAATTATGTAAACACACCTCAAGTCTTCTATCCACTGTACTCTTGGTTTCCACTTTCATTTTTCCAGTTTTTCTCCCTTACATATAATGCTGTAATGAATATTCTTGTATTTGTTTTTCAGTGAATATACACATGCATATCTTTTGTGGATAGACCTATTTGTTCTGGGCCATAGGTTTTACATATGTTCAACTTTAGTAGATACTAGAAAACAGTTTTCCAAAGTGGCTATACCAATTTTCATACTCGCTGGCAGAGTATGAGAGTTCCAGTTGCTCCACATCTTCATCAACATGTGTTACTGTCAATCTTTGTAATGTTAGTCATCTTGGTGATAACCAGTGAAGTTAGATGCCTTATCTTATGTTTATTGGCCATTTGGATATGCTTCTTTTATGAAATGCTCTTTCAAGTCTTTTGTTCATTCTTTTACCTTATAGCAATGTCACGAAGATACTTTCTTATGTTTTCTTTAGGAGCTTTGTTTATTTTACATTTAGGTTCATAGTCCAAATATAATTATGTATGAGGTACAGGTTAATATTTATTTTTTTCTGTGTAAGAATACAATTGACCTAGCATGATTTATTACAAAGATAATCCTTTTGCCACTACTCTACAGTGCTATTTTTATCATAAAATCAATTGTTCATATATGTGTGGGTCTGTTTATGGGCTCTTTAATATGACCCATTGTTCTAGTTGTCTTCCTTTCATCAATTAATATAATTTTGAGTTGGGAACATTGGTCTATAAGACCTGATGCTCAGGAATGCCTGACTGTAGGTAACAGGAAGGCTTGTAAAATGCTTGAATGGAGAAAATCCACTGAAATATTACAACCAGAAAGAATAGTAGAGATCATTTAATCTAATTCCCTTATCTTAAAAATGAGAAAGCAGGTCTACCCAGGTGTGCTAGATATCTCTACTCCACCTGTTATTCCCTTGGAGATGGGCCTCCAAGCTTCACATCAATGGGCTCCCTTATTTTCTGATTTCTGGTTGGTTCAGCTTATAGGGAGCATTGATTTGAGGATGCAGAAGGGTGAGGGGTCAGATATTTATTTTCTTAGCTACGTCCCTGCAGGCTGCTAGTTCTTTCCATAGAAAGTTATGGCTCCTGATGGGAGGCCCTCAAAGAACACTCTTCTTCCAGATACCAATTAACGTCTCCTTTCTTTTGCCCCAGGCCTGGAGTGGTAACACTTTCTCACTGTTACTAGTCCCAGGGTACTGCACTGGGATTCTGATGACACACGACTAAAGGCATTTATATTCCAAACTGGAAGATAGGAGACAGAATCCAAAGAAAGGGCACATTGCATCCATCTCTTAACAAAGGTTTCTAGAATCTACCACATGACACTTCCACTCAAATTTCATTGACTGTAACATGATCACTTGGCCATAGCTGGCTATAAAGCTGAGAAATGTTCCAGTTAGCTAAGTGTCAAGGTAAAAATCTTATAAGTTAAAAATATCACTAGGGAATAGCAAGCAGTCTCTGTCACCCGTGCCATTTAAGTCTAGCCATTAAACACATATTCAGTGCCACTCCAGGCCATCATGATTCTGAGATTCAGAAATGAATAGTGCATGATCTTGGTCCAGTCTAATGCAGGATGGAGATTCCTACCTCCAGAAGATGACTGTGCCATACCTATGCTTTGCATTTGGGATTCAAGAGGGCACGAGACAGTGTCCCTGTCTTCAGACAGATGACCATGAAGAAGTATCTGTTAGAACTCTTAGTAAATACAAGTTACCCAGGGAGACACAGACAGGAGTAGAAGAAGAAAACTGTTCTCTCAAGGAAGACCAGGAGTTTACCACAGAGACAAAGAGAAGACAGACCTTTCAGGCTCAGAAGCAGCAGGAGAAAGATACAAGGAATGAAAGCATAGTGTTTCAAGGGATCAGCAAGAATTCCAGGGATCTTGGAACATAACCTGCATAAAGGGGAGAGAGTAAGGATGAGGCTGGACAAGTCCACAGTGGCCAAGGAAGGTAGACTCTTGTGTGCCAAGCACAGGCATTTCACAAATGCCTCCACCCACCCATCCTCCAATCTCTTCTGTAGTACTTGCCTGCGGAAGATTTCCACTAAACCACCAATGAACAGTAACGTCACATCTAGAAATACGTCAAGCTCAGGCCCAATTTTCATCCCTCAATGAATTATCAGAGATACAAATCTTGAAATTTCAGCCCCTTTCTTGGCTTGAACTATCTGATGGAATTCTGGAATAACTTACTTGGCCAGACTCACTCTCAACCTTGGGAAAAAAAGCAAGCAGGTGAGGGGAGAGGTGCAAGAGGACTCTTACACCCATCCATTTAAAAATTGCTCCAAATGGCTTATTTTCCAAAAAAAACAAATATTTTAAATGAAATTTTTTTTTCTTCCCACAGATATATTCTGGAAAAGAAGAGGAGGAGGAAGAAGAATGACTGTAAAGGAAGGAGCAGTACTGTTTTCATGAGGACCTACTATGTGCCAGACATTATTCTAGGTGCTGGGGCTACCATGGTGAGCAAGACAGTCCCTGCTGCTTCTAGGAGTTCATATTCGAATGGAAGAAAACTATTTAAAATTGTACTTATTATCTCAAATTTTTTCAGGTATTGATAAATACTATGAAGAGTATAAAATGACACAGTAAAGAGTGATTGAAGACTCTTTAGTTGGGGTTTGAAGAAGTTCTAAGAGGTGACAATTGAGTTATGACCTTGTATTAGTTTCCTATTGCTGCCATGGTAAATTACCAAAATTTAATGACTTAATCCTACAAATTTATGAACTCATAATTCTGAAAGTCAGATGTCCAACAGAGGTCTCATTAAGCTAAAAGCAGGTTGTCAGCAGGGCTGCATTCTCTCTGAGGGTCTAGGAAGAACCCATTTCCCTACCTTTTCCTGCATTGAGAGGATGTCAGCAGTCCTTCCTGTGGTCCTCTTCCTCCAACTGCAAAACCAGCAGATTAGCATCCTCAGACCCTTTTGTGCTTCTGATACTCACTTTCCTGTCTTCTTACACCTAAAAGGACCCTTGTGAATACATTGGACCTACCTAGATAATCCTCCCATCTCTACATCCTTAACTTAATCACGTCAGTAAAGTTCCAAGGATTAGGACATCATCAGGGTTCGGGGGTAGGAGGGCATGGGGGCAGAAGAGGGTTGTTATTCTACCTATCATAGATCTAAATGATGGAACAAAGGCAGCTATGTGAAGATCTTAGGAAAAACCATTCCAAGCAGAAGGAAAAGTAATGTGAAGAACCCGCAGTGAGAATGAACATAGCACTTTTAAGGGACAGAAATATGAAAACGAGGCCACATCTCTGGAATCTAGTTTTCTCTGTTATATCCTAGAAAGGAGTTTTGTTCTGTGGGCATGTCACATCTCAGAAATCAGAGAGAAGCACAGCAAAGCCCCCCAGCTCAGATAACAAGGCTGGCAGGTATTTGCTTATACACAGACTTGCTTGTAGCCTATCTCTGACACTTTGCCAAATTCTTCAAAATCTTACATTCTATTAAAAAATAACAAACCGAGTGCTATTTTTAATACATTTGAAAGTTTTCACTGGAAATACCCACCTTTTGATTTGATGTTGGAACCCATTAGCATTGATTTTTCAAATATACCACCATTGATTCTCTACCAGCACATCAGATCTCCAGCTGAAGGAAGGTAGACTCTGAAGAATAAAATGACAGCTCAGAGAAGGTTTAAAATGTCTAGAAAATAGATGTTTCTCTTTCCACATGGATATGTGGTCCTTTTAAAAAGTGAAAGCATACAGTTTGAATCGTAAAGTAAAATAAATCAAACTGTATTCTACAAATCTCACAGAATAGATGTTTTCAATATTCCGCATTAGCAGGACAATGGAGCAAGAAGGTCAAAACTGAACTTCTCCAGGGTTTATTTTTTGCTGTTGGTTCTCTCACACCAACTGAGCTAATCAAGCTTGTCCAACCTGTGTATGAGTTGCTGCCCTGCATGAAATCAATTGGACACCCTGTCAGGGTGTATGGTATCAAAGGAGATGAGACAGTACATCAGGATGTTCACATACAAAGGAGTCAACTAATCGCTGATGAATGACCAAGTGAGGGATGCTGGGGTCCATTCCCGCTGGACAAACCGAGCCTCCTTACCTGCTATTCTTTACGATGTGGCAACTCTCTTTTCTTTTCTATTTTCTTTACTCGTTCATTTTAATATTTTTAATATTGCTAACATAAAACCTTTTGAAATATAATATGCAAAAGACACCATCATCCCCAATTTATTCTTCCCAAAAGCAACAATTATTAACTGTTTCCTTTGGGTCTTTTCAGAATTGTCCTTCTACATAACATAATATAGTATAGTATTGTATCAGGTCATAATACATCTTATCATATCTGTTTTCCCCTGTGAATGGTGTCACACTGCACGCATTGTTGTGCAACTTGCATTTTTTTCACTTTGCTCAGTACGCTGGGCGACCTTCCATGGCAGCAAGTCAGCATTTTGAAAATGCCCCATGCAGAAATGCAGACTTCATGCTTTCTCTGTGGTTCACTGTTTGTGGCTAAAGAAGAAAGTTACTGAAATGTGTCCAGACCATCGCTTTCAAGAGAAAGGAATCTATTGTGTATGTAACTGACTTCATCCCAACGTATGATTTTGATTTGTCAGTTAGGATATTATTTTCCTTATCACATCATCTGACATAATTAAAGGACTCTGAAATGTCGCCTTCATTCCTCTGATAACTTGTGAACAGAGCTCTTGAAAGGCTTTCAAACTTGTCATCTCAGTACATATCCATTTTAACACCCCAGGTCAAGTAATTTTTCTAAGAGAATGTATTACAAAATGAGCTACAACGTGAATTCATTACCATAAATTATGAAACAAGAGGTCATCGTGCTTGTGAACTTAGAAGAAACTTTAAAAAACAGAATGAATATTTCTTCATAAATCTTATAATGTTATGATCCACTTTGCATTTAGAAGGACATAAAAACGGTATGAATTCCTCCTAGTGTATTTGGCAATTCCCTCTTCAAAGTGGTACCAGTGCCTTAAATAAGGGATTAAATTAAGATTTTTATTAATAGCACACGAAACATAGTTTTGAAAAGTGATGAATCTGGCCAGGCGCGGTGGTTCACGCCTGTAATCCCAGCACTTTGGGAGGCCGAGACAGGCAGATCGCTTGAGGTCAGGAGCTTGAGACCAGCCTGGCCAACATAATGAAACCCAGTCTCTACTAAAAATACAAAAAATTAGCCGGGCATGGTGGCGCGTGCCTGTAATCCCAGCTACTCGGGAGGCTGAAGCAGGAGAATCGCTTGAACCCGGGAGGCAGAGGTTGCAGTGAGCCAAGATTGTGCCATTGCACTCCAGCCCGGGCAACAGTGTGAGACTCCATCTCAAAAAAAAAAAAAAAAAAAAAAAAAGGGAAAGAAAAGTGATGAATCTAAGTTAATGTCCAAAGCACTAAAGCCACATTGAATGAATCTAAGTGAATTTTCCCCTTTCTTAAGCAAAGCCAACTTCAGTGTGGCCTTAGTGTTTTGAGGAGACAATGTAACTCTTTATGGAACTCTCATCCCCATGAACACAAAAATGCAAAACTTTTTTTTTTGTTGTTGTTGTTTTTTCCAAACGCAGAACTTTTATCAGTTTGTTTTGTCAGGCCCTTAGAACTGTTTTTAAAAGAAAATTAATAAATCTCTGCTTTGGGATATATCACACTCTCTTAAAAAGGAAGAATATGACCTGAACTAACCTATTCTTCCTGCCAGCAATAGCCCAACCTAAACCAGATATATTCTGTGGTGTATGGTATATGGGCTTTATGACCAAGCAGACCTGTTTCATTTTGTTTTGTTTTGTAGCCACTTTTTTGAGATAAAATTCACATGCCGTACAATTCACTCAAACTTGGTTTTGAGTCCAAGTTTTTCAACTTCCCTAGGCTTCAGTCTTCTTATCTGTAAAATGGTAATAATAGCACAACCCTCTGATTTGCTGTGCAAATGAGATGCTTGTGTTCAGTCTATCCCATGGCTAAATAAATGAAAGCATAACAGACAGAATAGTTTTTCATTTTTTACACACTCAACTTGGTCATTGAACTTTATAAGCAATCAGATCTCCGATTCTGATTTTCCACTTTGACAGTGAAAACCTTAATTCTGTTAATTTATGTTAATTTCAGGTACCAAATCTAGCTTAATTGAGTACTTTATCAGTCTCTGCTGATTAAACACTCGATCAGTGAAAGATTCTGCCCCTCCCCTGCCTTTGGATGGACCTGGGTTCACAGGCAGCCACTATGGCAGTGTGGCTGGTTTGCATCTGTCCACTGGTGCTGCTGCAGTGGAGACTTCCATCTGGCCTCGTGGGATGGGCAGTGCAAGGAGATGGAGGTTCCAGGGATCTTGCTGGTTTCCTCTGTCATCTTGGGCCCCAGGAGCCACTTGTTGCTGTCTCGATGCCCTCCAAATATTCCGGGCAACAGGGGGCATCTGTAGGGCTTTGTCTCTCAAGGGGCCCTGGCAGAAAATGAGGTAGAGGTCCACTTCACTCTTTTTTTTTTTTTTTTTTTTTTTTTTTTTTTTTTTTTTTGAGACGGAGTCTCTCTCTGTTGCCCAGGCTGGAGTGCAGTGGTGCAATCTCGGCTCACTGCAACCTCTGCCTCCCGGGTTCAAGCTATTCTCCTGCCTCAGCCTCCCGAGTAGCTGGGACTACAGGTACGTGCCACCACGCCTGGCTAATTTTTTGCATTTTTAGTAAAGACGGGGTTTCACCGTGGTAGCCAGGATGGTCTCAATCTCCTGACCTCGTGATCTGCCCACCTCGGCCTCCCAAAGTGCTGGGACTCTTGAACGCCAAACTGTAAGCTCCCTTCAGCACTCGTATGGAGGTAGGAGTGGAAGCAGGGCATTTCACCATTGCACCTGACTTCCTTCTCTCTCCAAATTCTCTCTGCTCCCCTCTCTTGTTCAGGTTTGCTGGGGAGCACAAGAAGCTGCGATTTTTGTTCTGCTGATTTCCATTAACACCCCCTACCCACCCCACCTTCACCCCTGGCAAATAGACGCCGCTAAATGGAGGTGAGCATGAGGAAGAAAAATGGAGCAGGCCCAGCAGGTTGACGTGTCTGATTTGCCACTACAGTCACAGTGGTATTTCACATTATATTCTACATATTTGATGGTTATCTTACCTCTACCATCACAAAAAAATTCCGCATTTCTTTCTCTGGATGCAGATTTTGTTACTTATTTTTCTCTCTTGCAAGATGAAATCTGAAGGAATTCATGATTCTAGTTTATGACTCTTTGCCCTCGCCTCTTGCCTCCATTCTTTGATCTCTGATACCCTGTGTATGAGGCACTGCCCTGTATGAAATCCTATGGGTTGAATAGACCCTTCCAGGGGTGTCCAATCTTTTGGGTTCCCCGGGCCACATTGGAAGAAGAAGAATTGTCATGGGCCATACATAAAATACACTAACACTAGCCGGGTGCAGTGGCTGCTGCCTGTAATCCCAGCACTTTGGGAGGCTGAGGCAGGCAGACCACAAGGTCAGGAGATCAAGAGCATCCTGGCCAACATGGTGAAACCCCACTAAAAATACAAAAATTAGCTGGGTGTGGTGGTGCGCACCTGTAGTCCCAGCTACTCGGGAGGCTGAGGCAGGAGAATTGCTTGAACCCAGGAGGCGGAGGTTGCAGTGAGCCAAGATCACGCCACTGCACTCCAGCCTGGTGACAGAGCGAGACTCCATCTCAAAAAAAAAAAAAAAAATACACTAAGACTAACGATAGCTAATGAGTTAAAAAATAAATCACACAAAAAAATCTCATAATGTTTTAAGAAAGTTTACTAATTTGTGTTGGGCTGCATTCAAAGCTGTCCTGGGCCACATGCTGCTTGCAGCAGGCCTCAGGTTGGATAAGCTTGATTATATGTTGAAATCCTAGCCCCCAGCACCTCAGAATGAGACCTTACTTGGGAACAGTGTCATTGAAGATATAATTAGCTCAGTTAAGATGAGGACATACTAATATGTGGTGGGCCCTAATCTAATATGACTGATGCTTTATATAAAACAGGGAAACTTGCAGCTACTTGGGAGGCTAAGGTGGGAAGATCGCTTGAGCCCAGGAGGTCGAGGCTGCGGTGAACCAAGATTGTGACACTGCACTCCAGCCTGGGCAACAGATGCTGTGTGAAGATGAAGGCAGAGATCAGGCTGATGCTTATGGAAAGCCAGAGATTGCCAACAAACCACCAAAAGCTAGGAGAGAGGCCTGGAACAGATTCTCTCTGAGTCCTCAGAAGGAACCAACCCTGCCAACACTGTGATCTTGGACTTCTAAACCCCAGAACTGTGAAATAATAAATGTCTGATGTCTAAGCCAGCCAGTTTGTGGTAGTTTGTTACAGCAGCCCTAGAAACCTAACATATGGTACGTATGGTTTTGTCTTCCCAACCCACTTATTTTTCTGGGAAATCTCTCTCCCTCCCCAACTACTGCAGGAGCAGCCATGTTGATCAACATGGCCACCTGCCACTGGTAGAGTTCATTGAAAGTTGGCATTTGAAACCAGAGAACAAGTCTTCAGTGACTAAAGCTGAAAAGTATGAAACTCAGGAACTGCCAACAACCATGTTTTCTACAGCAAAAAGAAAGCCAGTCTTCGGAAGACAAAGCTGGCATCCAGAGCGGCAGAGGTGAGGCGAGGGGAGAGAGCTGAGAGTTTCCTGCTTCAGCTCCATTGGTGCCCGAGGCCTCAGCTCTATCCAAACTTGGCTGTGACTTGAATTCCAGGACACTAAAGTGGCTGTCCAGTAAATTCTTTTTTTTTTTTCTCAAGCCAATTCATAAACAGTCTGTGGTACTTACAACTCAGACTTCTATTTAACATCTTCTCCATAACTCACTCAGTCTCGTTTTTCATAAGTGGAAGTTTGCTGCTCTAAGTAACTATGTCCTTACCAGACATGGGTGCAGGATCGAGAAAAGAGCATTAATAAAAATTAATGTTAGTCAAGAAATATGGCGGGACGCAGTAGCTCACGCCTGTAATCCAGTACTTTGGGAGGCCAAGGTGGGCAGATTACTTGAGGTCAGGAGTTCGAGACCAGTCTGGCCAACATGGTAAAACCCTGTCTCTACTAAAAATACAAAAAAATTAGCCAGGGGTGGTGGCAGGTGCCTGTAATCCCAGCTACACCAGGAGGCTGAGGCACAAGAATAGCTTGAACCCAGGAAGCAGAGGCTGCAGTAAACTGAGATTGCACCACAGCACTCCAGCCTGGGTGGCAGAGAGAGACTCCATCTCAATTTAAAAAATAAATAAATAAAAAGTTAGTCAAGAAATATATAACAAGTTTTGTTAAGCTTTCTTTCTTAGATGAAACTTTAAACCATCATAAACTACAAGAAATTAGACTGATTTCTTTGCCTTTTAGATTAAAATCCAAAATAATTCATTAGCAAGCAACTTTTATCTTTCCTTAACAGATGGGTATGTTTTTTAACCTCTGAACACACCATAGTTCCTTCATTAAGATAAAGAGTCATTTTGCAGAGTTGATTGGGATATCTATGAAGGAATCATTTCAACGATTATGCTTTCGTTAGCTTTATTTTTATTATTTATTTATTTTATTATTAATTATTATGAGAAATGCAGTCATACTATCGTTAACCAGAGTGGTCTCAAAGTCCTGGCCTTAAACAATCCTCCTGCCTCGGCCTACCAAAGTGCTGGGATTACAGGTGTGATCCACCATGCCCAGCTAGCTTTATTATTAAAGGTTATATTAGTCCTATGATAAGTTTCAAATGCCTGGCATTTTTCCTGAGAAAATAGTTACTATTTAGAATGTTAACAATAAGGAATTTTTCTGTCTGCCCATTACCACATTTTTTTTAAATCTCAGAAAATAAGTACTTAATCTTAATTCAGATTTACACACTTCTTAATGACTTCTGATGTCTAGAGATACAGTCTCAAAGGCTACCAGCTTCATGTCAGAAAAGAACAAGCAAATAAAAGTTGATCCTGGAGACTAGGAAATAAAATTCAGCAATTCTCATGCTATTTTGTATACTAATCAGGGAATGCATTAATTTTCTGTTGCTGCATAATTACAATTTACCCCAGAACTTAATGGCTTAAAGCAGCATTCAGTATTTATGATCTCATATGGTTTCTGTGAGACAGGAATTCGAGAGTGATTCAGATGGGTAGTTCTGGCTCAAAGCTTCACGTGAGGCTGCAGTCAAGATATCAGCCAGGGGTGGAGTCTCCAGAAGGATTGACATGCACTGAGGCCTTCACTTCCAAGGCAGCTTGCTTACTCATTCATATAGCTGGCAAGTTGATGCTGACTGTTGGCAAGAGGCCTCAGTCCCCACCACGTGGACCTTTTCATTGTGCTGCTTGAGTGTCCTCATGACATGACAGCTGGATTCACCCAGAGTAAGTGATCCAAGAGAGAGCAAAGATAGAAGCTGCAATTTTTTAATTACCTAGCCTTGTAATTAGGTGCCACATACTGTCATTTGCACAATATCCTATTGGTTATACAGGTCAGCCATATTCAACATGAGAGGGTGACAATACTGGGAGGTAAAACTCATTAGGGGGTATCTTGGAGGTTTCCTAGTCTTACTCTGGGTATTCATGAGAAAAACATTATTATGTTAAAAAGTATGGAAAATGCTTTTCAAAATTAATACACCTAAGAAAACTTCAACAAAATTCATAATAGAGCCATAAAATTCTAGAATCAGAAAGAAACTTGGTTATCAACCAGTGTAACTTGGTCATGGAGACTGAGTCTCTGAAAGGTGAGAATTTTTTTAACTTTATATAGCAAATTAGTGACTGGATGAGGCTTAGATCCAGGCCTCTTTACTTCTGGTTAGGGCCGGTGGTGAACAGGCTGGCTTGGAAATTAACATCCGTTCCAATCTCCTTATAGTATGGCTTCCTACTGCAGCGGCTGGAGAACCTAAACCATATGATTCGCAAACTCCCTTGCAGCTAGGGTTTTGGATATGATTTGGGTTAAGGCAATCAGACTGCAGAAGTGAGATCTGGAAACTGGAAGTGATATAGCAAATAGGCTACTGGAACTTGTGCCGCTGCTGTTGGCAAAGGTGGTCATTGCAATGTTGGGTTATACTGTGGCAGAGGTAGCAGAGGTTGTGCTGCTTTGGTTACTACTGGCGACAGCCAAGAGGCAGGACTCAGAGGAGTTACTATGGACCTAGCAGGTGTTGTACGGCTTTAAAGGTAATAGTTAAAATTAGCCTGCAGTCCTAGTTAGCTACTTGGGAGACTGAGGTGGGAGAATCTCTTGAGCCCAAGAGTTTGAGGCTGCAGTGAGCTGTGATTTCACCACTGCACACCAGCCTGGGTGACACAGAAAGATGCCATCTCTAAATAAAATAACACATACAAATATAATAAATAAAACATTTTTTAAAAAGTAGGCTGGGTGCAGTGGCTCATGCCTGTAATCCCAGAACTTTGGGAGGCTGAGGTGGGCAAAGAACGAGGTCAGGAGTTCAAGATCAGCCTGGCCAAAATGGTGAAACCCCGTCTCTACTAAAAATACAAAAATTAGCCAGGTGTGGTGATGCATGCCTGTAATCCCAGCTACTCAGGAGGCTGAGGCAGGAGAATCGCTTGAACCCGGGAGGCAGAGGTTGCAGTGAGCTGAGATCGTGCCATTGCACTCCACCCTGGGCAACAGAGCAAGACTCCATCTAAAAATAATAAATAAATAAATAAAAGTAATAGTTGCAGCAACAGTTTCCTGATCTCTGAAGAGCAAATTAGCTAATGTGTTCCTGGAGCCAAGAATTTCAGCAGCGGTCACCACAATCACAAAGGTGGAGAAGGAATAGCTGGCAGCTCCCATGGAGGACTAGCTCTATGCAGCAGTTCTTGGAGTTGTTCCTGGATTCCAAGCCCAGAGCTGTTATTCCAGTCCTTCCAACAATTTTGTAAGCACCTAATTCCCTATATTAAGTCATGTTCTCATGAGACAGCTAGAGTGGTGTCTGTTGTCTGCACCTAAATTCTATTACAGAGCATGCTAATACATAAGAATGAGAAAAGCAGCCTGACCTCTGGAAACTGGCCTGACACTTACAGCTAGGTCTTGTTGTTGTTAGGAACTAGCCTGGCACTTAGAGATGGGTCATAGTGTTCTTCTGTTGAATGTAAACAATTTCTCAGAACATCAGGATCTTCAAGGTCACTCTGTTGACCGTGATAGATCAAGATATAAACAAGACCACTGTGTATCATGTGTGAACACAGACAAAAATATGAACATTGCCCAAACCACAACAAGGACCAAACATCCCCCTGTTCTTACTAATCTGAGTGACTGCTGTTTCTTTACCAATTACAATCTTAGCCTCCCCTCTTTTTACAGAAGATTTATTAAGATACCCAATCATAGAATTACCCCTTCTTCCTGAGATCATCCAACCCATACAAAAGCCCTATTTCTTTTACTGCTCCCTAAATCACCTAATGCAAGCCTAAATCCGGTAAGTCCTCTCTAACTCCTTCTTACTAAGAGGGTTCCCCATGGTGTGTGGTTTCCTTCCCTGCAATAGTAATAAACCCAACAGATGTGTTCCTGCTGATCTTTGGCTGAAAGGCATGCTAAAGTTAAAAAAAAAAATGTCTGGGTAGCGGTCTTGTGTCACCCAAAGCACAATCATATGTATCAAATGATAAAAAGAAAATTATAAAAGAAAGGATAGACAGTAACATATAAGGCAATTGAAAATTACAGGCAAGCAATTATACAGTGAATTGGACAATAATACAATTTCTTGAATGTCCATTATAGTAGCAGTCTCCAGAGAGACAGAACCAATAAAATATAGACAGATAGATAGATAGATAGATAGATAGATAGGTAGACATGAGAGGGGATTTATTAGAATTGGCTTATATGATTATAGAGGCTGAGAAGTCTCATGACATGCTGTCTGTAAGCTGGAAACCCTGGGATGCTGGTAGCATGGCTCAGCCAAAGTCTGAAAGCTTTTACAGAATTAAGAAAGCTGATGGTATAATTATCAGTCCAAGATTGAGGGCCTGAGGGCCTGAGACCCGGAGGTGGGGGCCTCTGGTGTAAGCTCTGGAGTTTAAAAGCAAGAAAGGCTGGAGTTTTTGATGTCCAAGGTCAGGAGAATAAGAGTGGCCCAGTTACAGGAAAGAGAGAGAAAACAATCACCTTTTCCCTGCCTTTTTTGTTCTATCAAGTCCCCAGCCAATAGGATGGTGCTCACCCACATTGAGGGCAGATATCCCCGACTCAGTCCACAAACACACAAACCAGTCTCCTCTGAAAGCATTCTCATGAACCTTCCCAGAAGTAATCCTTCACTGGCTCTCTAGGTATTCCTTAATTCTGTCAAGTTGACACCTAAAACTAACTGAAACACTCACACTATGGCAGGCACTCATGACAGTCATTTACCTACATCATTTGACTTAATCATCTAACTACTCTGCAAAATAGGTATTTTAATTCCCATTTTATAGGTGAGAAAAACTGAGGCTCTGCAGTCCAGTGACCTACTTGGCAGAGGCCTACCACCTACTAAATAGCGGTTCTGGTATGCAAACTCAAGTTGCTAACAACTCTGTGTTTCCACCCAGTAGTAGAAATAATACAGACATTTCTGAATAAAAACAGTACTAGGTCTTCCACTCAGTGTTATTTATCAGAATAAGAACACATCTATTCAACAATATGTAATGGGTACCTACTATGAAGAAATGTTTCAAAAAAAAATCTTTGATTGGGTGCCCATTTCCTAGTTAAGGCTGAAAGTCAGTTAATAGTTTTTTGATCTCTGTTCTGGGAAAAATATAAAATCCACAAAATGAGAATACAAGTAAGCTACACAAAAATCTCTGTGCCTCTTTCTTAAAAGATAAATTTCATATGAAGTGGACAAATAATGTACCAGCTTGATACTTAACAGTAAAATTAAAGAAATGAGAGGAGTTTACTACATGGAAGAAATGTCATTAATACATACAATGTGAGTTCATGATTGAATTTCATCACCACCAGTCATTTCTGCACTAGGAGAGGTTATAAAAGTGGTTAGCTACTTCCTACATTTTGAAATAATCACATAGTTGTAAGAAAAAGCCTCTGTGACCATCCCCTCAAGTGTAGGAGAGTGAGGAGTGTCTGGATCAGCTCAGGTATCTGGGGGTAAAAGATGAGCTTTTACAAGCAGAACAAAGAAACCAGCATAATTAATATTTGAACATTGTTTATTTTTATATGGAGAAGACTGAAAAAAGGAAGCATAGTTACCCCTTGACCTGACTCTTGTTACCCTGTGACAACAGAAATTGTTCAAGAAGCTGCCAGCAATCCAGAGTAACTAGAGGGGAAAGGAGGATGTAGGGGATTGTGGTGTATACTTTGGTTATAAGCAACAGAAATCCAACCCCATTTGACTTAGGCAAAAAGCGGGCTTTATTGGTGGTGGAATCAATGAAAGGGTAGGAACAACTATGTTGCAAGGAAAGCAGGGATGCAACGGACTTCAGGAGTGACTGAACCAGTACCTGGAACATACTAAGCCTTCAATAAATAATGTTAAATTAAAGAATGAACTAGAGATTGGAATGAAGCTAAGACTGTCTTTGTCTGGCTTCATCCTTCTCACAGATTCATCTTCCCTGCTTGGGATAATATATGGCCACTGACTGCTTATGAGGCTTACATCCTATGACTTCTGCTGCCAGAGAGGACTAATGTCAAGCACTCTCGGTTCCAGGTGGAAAAATCCCAGGAAAAGACTGATTGGGCCAGCTGGGGTCAGGTTCTTTGCCTCCAGGCCAATTAGCTGTGGCCAGCATGGCAAGGTCACATAGTTCCTACAATGGTCATGTGAATTTCAGTGGGATGTGGGGGCAGGCTTGGGAAGTAGGGAAGGAGGAATCTGGGTAAATTAGGGTGCTGTCTTCAGCCTGAAAAGAGGGATGGTACTAGAGATAGCCCTTAGGAAACATATTACTGTATCTCTGTATTAGTTTGCTAGGGCTACCATCACAAAGTACCACAAAGTAGGTGGCTTACACAACAGAATTTATTTCCTCACAGTTCTGGAGGTGAGAAGTCCAAAAAGAAGGTATCAGCAGAGGTGATTTCTTCTGAGTCTTCTCTCCTTGGTGTCTTCTTGTCTTCACATGGTTTTGTCTCTGTGCCTGTCTATATCCTACGGACACCAGTCATGTTGAATTAGGTTCTACCCTAATGATCTCACCTTAACTTAGTTGCCTCTTTAAAGACCTTATCTTTAAATATAATTACATTTTGAGACACTGGGGGTTGAGACTTTAACATATAAATTTAGGACAAGGGGTGGGATGGGGGGAACACAAGTTAGCCCATAACAGTCTCCAATAAGAATATTGTTAAAGATGTTTATTACATAGTGTCTTCTTTAAGTTCTTCTTGATGTGAGTATCAGAAAGAGTTGTGTGGCTTCTTTTTAGATGATTGGAACTATAGTTTGCCCAAATGATCGTGTTTTTCCTTTATTACTGGCTTTTCTGAGCCCCATTTGCTGATGTGCAACCCATTTGGAGCAAGTATATAGGACTTCATGGTATGAATTTCTGTGAAGTCCTATTTTACAGCTATATTTTATGTTACTAACTTGGGTTTCCTTTTTCCTTTCTCACACATTTGTAATTTGTCTTACCTTGTTGTATGGCATAAGTATCTGTATATTTTGTGCATACCATTTATGGCAGCAGTCCGCAACCTTTTTGGCACCAGGGACTGGTTTTGTGGAAGACAATTTTGCTACAAATGTGGGGGGAGGTTTTGGATGATTCAAGCATGTTACACTTACTGTACACTTTATTTCTATCATTATTACTTATTCACCATAATGTAGAATCAGTGGGAGCCCTGAGCTTATTTTCCTATAACTAGATGGTCCCATCTGGGGGTGATAAGAGATAGTAACAGATCATCAGGCATTAGATTCTTATAAGGAGCATGCAACCCGGATCCCTCACATGTGCAGTTCACAATAGGGTTCACGGTCCCATGAGAATCTAATGCCACTGACCAGACAGGAGGCAGAGCTCAGCCAGTAATGCTCACTCACCCACCACTCACCTCCTGCTGTGCAGCCGGGTTCCTAGCAGGCCATGGATCCTCAATGGTCCATGGCCTGGGGGTTGGGGACCCCTCCTTTATGGAATAAAGTGAAATATTAATACCTAGATAAATAAGCTCTAATTCATCAACTGTAGTTACATAAGCAGAACATTATCAAGAAAAAGCAGAGAAAACTTCCATGCTAATAATAAATGTCCTTTGTAATAAGTCACCTCAGATCTTTTTTTGGAAGGAAACAGAACCTATAAAAGACTATATAAATCAGGAAAAAACAAGATGTGTCACAAAACATTTTTTAAAAATCTAACAGTAACTAGGCAAATTGGTGCTTAAATTAACACAAACTGGTAAAAATAAGCATCCCTAAATTGATTTTTCCATATATTTTCCTCAAGGTAGACAAAGTGTAGAAGGAGTCGGATCGTTGCCAGACTGAAAGCATTTTTCTGAGCTCCATCAACTTCTATTAATGGGCAGTGACGCCACTCTGGCCCCAAGCCAGCCACCCATCACACTTCGATTTGTTCGACAGGCTGGCTGGAGGCAGGCATTGCATCAGAAACCTGGCACCATAAACAGCACTGGTTTAAGTAAAGCACCTCCAGAGAGAACTGACTTCTTGTGCCATCAGCAGAGAGCACAGGGCTTCCTCCCAGGGGGCTGCTTGGTGTTGAAGGGCAAACTGACTGGACCCCAAGAAGCAGCACCTCCTAGGGTCTCCGTGGAGCC
Organism: Homo sapiens; assembly: GCF_000001405.40. Lineage (NCBI taxonomy): Eukaryota > Metazoa > Chordata > Mammalia > Primates > Hominidae > Homo > Homo sapiens. Next base: position 54,651,635 of record NC_000005.10, on the reverse strand, counting down.
TCTAAATCACTGCCCCCCAATCCCCACACTGTGAACAGCTAAAGTAGAAATTAACCCAAACAGCCTGGGAACTGTTGGTTCTATTTCATTTGGTTAATGTGGTGGTCCTCCCAAATGTATTTTCAAAGGTACATGGGCTTTTTCTGAATTCTCTGCTTCATAGGCTGTCCCAAATTACATTCAGTGGTGTCTTGGCATGAATTCCAAAATGGCAGTTTAAAGGGAATCCAGCAAGTGACCACAGTGCTCCAAAGGGTGATAGAGGTATCAGTGCTCCTAATGGGGACATGTGTGCTGTGGTATCCTTTCCCAACTAAGTTGGAGCATGGGAGATAAAGATAGGAAGGCGAGGGGAGGAAAGGGTTTGAAATATCATACAGGCTTCCTAGACCTGAAAAACTCACAAATAGATGAAGTGGAGCATGTAACCCAAGACCACAAGGACTTGTAAAGGCAGAATAAAATATCCCTCCAACAGGCTCATGCAACGCAAACAAGACATTAGGGAAAAACTGAGGACATCTGAAGAAAGCATAGACTTTTGTTAACAATAATGTGTCAATATTGGTTCACTAATTATTACAAATGTACCATCCTATTGTAAAATGTTATTAATAGGGGAAATAGAGTGCAGTAGAGAGAAATTTTATGTACTATTTTTAAAATAATTCTTTAAATCTAAAACTGTTCCCAATTAAAAAGTATTTCTAATATACAGGTACACATACATACACTTCCAATATATTTGCTTTAAAATAATCCAGGAGGCAAGAGGAGATATTGGTGGGGGCATTGTCAGAGGAAACAAGATTAACTATGACTTACTAATGATTAGAACTGGGTGACGGATACATTACATTATCCCTTCTACTTTCATACATATTTGAAATTCTCCATAATAAAAATTTCAAAAATATATGCTCCCATTAAGTTGTGAACTGAAAAGATAAGTATATAGCATACATTTACGATATATATATACACATCTCTTACAAAAACCACTTTATGTATACATACACTTAGATATATACATATACTTAGACATATACAGCCAGCTCTTTCATATCTGCAAGTTTCACATCTGTGGATTCAACCAACTATGGATCAAAAATATTCAGAAAAATATACAAAACAATTAAAAATACAATACAAATAATGCAAATAAAAACAATACAGTATAACAACTAGCTACAAATCATTTATATTTTATTAGGTATTATAAGTAATCTAGAGACGATAAAAGTATATAGGAGAATGTGTGTAAATTATATGCAAATACTACACCATTTTATACCAGAGAGACTTGAGCATCCTCAGATTTTGGTATCCATAGGAGTCCTGAAATCAATCCCCCAAGGATATTGGGATGACTGTATGATATTCTGTATATTCATATATGTATATACCAATTTATATATCATATAAACCATTTATATATACATATATGTGTGTGTGTGTATATATATACACACACACACACACACACACACACACCCCTATAAAATAGCAAACAGTAAGAAGAGCTTTAGTCCAGGCTACTTTTTTGCTATGTGAGTGTATGCATACTTTGCAGCCAAAGAGTAGTGTCTTTATCGGTGCTACAGACTGTGGACTTTTCGTTTTGCATGACACACCAATCGTATTAGCCTGTGTCAAAGAATATGCTTCAGTGGCTTTCTTTTGATTGGGATGTTAGGCCAAGTCCCAGCACCATCTTCCCCCTAGAATCAATGGCACACACTGGGTTCTTCAGTGTGATGAAGTGTGACCCCGATGGGGTCAGAGCCAGTGGAGCCATAGCTTTGGAAGGACATTTTTCTCTGTGGTGTTAAAGCAGGCTGCTCCAGTTCTGGGTTTGATCTGAGTGAAAACTCTTTAGCCACCTACGATGTGAAGCTGGGACTGATAAGCTCCCCTGCACTTTGCCTGCCACACTCCTCACAGCTGATAGAGCAGTGCCATCAACAGATGGAAGCCATTAATAAGAGAGAACCCGGCATTCTTTTTCTGAGAGTACCCCATTAAGCTCTTCTTCCTACATCCCTTTCAAATGAGAGGCACCAGTGAGAGGTGACAGCGTGCTGGCAGCCCTCGCTTGCTCTCGATGCCTCCTCGGCCTGGGCGCCCATTCTGGCCATGCTTGAGGAGCCCTTCAGCCCCCCGCTGCACCGTGGGAAACCTTCCCTGGGACTGCTGAGGCCGGAGCCGGCTCCCTCAGCCTGCAGGGAGGTGTGGAGGAAGAGGCACGGGCGGGAACCGGGGTTGCGCGCAGCCTTGCGGGCCAGAGTTCCGGGTGGGCGTGGGCTTGGCGGGCCCCCCACACTCTGAGCGGGCGGCCGGCCTGCTGGTCCCGGGCACTGAGGGGCTTAGCACCCGGCGAGCAGCTGCGGAAGGTGCGCCGGGTCCCCCAGCAGTGCTGGCCCACGGGTGCTGCGCTCGATTTCTCGCGGGGCCTTAGCTGCCTCCCAGCAGGGCAGGGCTCAGGACCTGCAGCCTGCCATGCCTGAGCCTCCCCCACCCCCCGCTGTGGGCTCCTGCATGGCCCAAGCCTCCCCGAGGAGCACCGCCCCCTGCTCCACAGCGGCCGGTCCCATCCGCCGCCCAAGGGCTGAGAAATGCGGGCCCACGGCACTGGACTGGCAGGCAGCTCCATCTGCTGCCTGGTGCATGACCCGCTGGGTGAAGCCAGCTGGGCTCCCGAGTCTAGCGGGAACTTGGAGAATCTTTATGTCTAGCTAAGGGATTGTGAATACACCAATCAGCACTCTATCTAGCTCAAGGTTTGTAAATGCACCAATCAGCACTCACTTTTGTGTCTGGCTCAGGGATTGTAAATGAACCAATCAGCACCCTGTCAAAACGGACCAATCGGCTCTCTGTAAAACAGACCAATCAGCTCTCTGTAAAGTGGACCAATCAGCAGGATGTGGGTGGGGCCAGATAAGAGACCAAACGCAGGCTGCCCGAGCCAGCAGTGACAACCCGTCACCTTCCATACTGTGGAAGCTTTGTTCTTTCGCTCTGCAATAAATTTTGCTGGTGCTCACTCTTTGGGTCCACATTCCCCTTATGAGCTGTAACACTCACAGGGAAGGTCTGCAGCTTCACTCCTGAAGCCAGCGAGACCATGAACCCACCCGGAGGAATGAACAACTCCAGACTCTCCGACTTAAGAGCTGTAACACTCACCGGGAAGGTCTGCAGCTTCACTCCTGAGCTTGCGAGACCAGGAATCCACCAGAAGGAAGAAACTCTGAACACATCCGAATATCAGAAGGAACAAACTCTGGACACGACGCCTTTAAGAACTGTAACATGTAATCCCAGCACTTTGGGAGGCCAAGGCGGGTGGATCACGAGGTCAGGATATCGAGACCATCCTGGCTAACACGGTAAAACCCTGTCTCTACTAAAAATACAAAAAATTAGCTGGGCACGGTGGCGGGGGCCTGTAATCTCAGCTACTTGGGAGGCTGAGGCAGGAGAATGGCATGAACCCAGGAGGCGGAGCTTGCAGTGAGCCGAGATAGGGCCACTGCAGTCCGGCCTGGTCTAAAGAGCGAGACTCCGTCTTTTTTTTTTTTTTTTTAAAAAAACTGTAATACTCTTCGCGAGGGTCCGTGGTTTCATTTTTGAAGTCAGTGAGACCAAGAACCCACCAATTCCGCACACACCAGCATTCCTTCGGGTTCCTAAATAATAAACTGGGAACCATTCACCCTTGACATCTCCATCTCCTTAATCTTCCAGAATCCGGTCAGTCTCCAAGTTCTGCAGATCCTACTCCTTTCACTTCTCTCAAATCTGTTCTCAACTCTTCATCCCTGTTGCCCGTTGAAGTTTCAAGCCTTCATTTTTCTGGTCTATTGCAATGATCTGCTACTTAGCCTTCCCCTGTTTTCAACCCCTGCTGTTCAATTTGCTGTCATGAAGACAAGTAAATATCACTCATTTTCTGGGAATCTCCTCAATATTGCCCCCACAGCCTTCAGGATGATGACTTTGATTCTTGGATTGGAATACAGGGTTCTCTACGATCATGCCTCTGCCTACCTCCCCTTCCTCTCATGCCCCATTCACTACCAACTTCAACTGCTTATAGTTCCCAAACCATGCCAGGCTATGTAATATCTCTTTGCCTTTGCTCCACAGTCCTCTTTCCAGAATGCTCTGTTCTTTCCTCTCCTCTAGGTGAACACCTCTATACTTTTCAAAACTGAGATCAAGCATCACTCGTTAAAGAAAACTCTCCTGGGTCAGGTGTGGTGGTTCATGCCTATAATTCCAGCACTTTGGGAGGCCAAGGCGGAAAGATTGCTTGATGAGATGAGACAGAGATTTGAATTTATAGCCCAGTAAGGGCAATACGATCTTTTTCCTGCGTTTTAACTGTTGCACTCGGCATAGTACTCGGCATGTATTTGGCACTTAGTAAATGATTATTGAATAAATACAGATGTAAATGATGGTCTAATTCAGAACACTATATTGTTAAATATCCTGAATATATTTATTTAAGGCGTAGTTTGCAAACAAGCCATGTATTAGAACATCAGAATTTCACATGTGACAAAGCACGATCTGGTTCAGTGAGCCAAGTTGGTAATCTCCAGCCGATGACGAATTGCTCTTGAGACACTTGTTACAGGCAGCCTCAGGAAGAGGCACAGGCCATTTATACCGCTTCGAGCCGCCAGTCCCAGCTCTCTTGGAGAAAGGCAGCACAGCTGGGAGGGCTCACAACAGGAGGCCTGTTGAAAACAAGTCGTGGTTTCACCCTGTGTTTTGATTTCTGTTCAGGGAAGGGCACTTCCTCTTGCATTTGTAGGAGCCAAGTAACACATTCTGGGTGGAGGGAACTATGGTAGAAAGCCTAGTGTTGGACACATGAAAAGGTGGCAGCATCTTAGAACTGGCTAAACACATATCTTGGCATAAGAACTTGGGTGGCAGGCAACCAAGATTTGGGGAGTGCTTTTCCTGCATCATTTTCTGCTGGGATTGCAATATGAGGGAGGCCTTGTTGATGGGTGTAGTTTGTTATGGTTGGCAATACCTTCTGGTTAGTAGTGGTTGAGTGCTTGCTAACTTGTGAATTCTTCAGAAGAGAGTAGAATATAAAAAGCCTTCAAGCCTCTCCTGTCTCCCCCGCAATGCGGCTAACGCAGGGCAACCGGCAGCAGTGAGCTGTGGATCCAGGCACTGGCTAGAGAAGTTGACAGACCACGAACACGGGGCAAGCTGAGTCTTTCTGTTTCACTTCCGGCATGTTTTTCACCCACAGGGATATTTTGGTCTGTTTCAAAGAAGAGGAAATCAGCCCCTAGCAGAGTGTTTCAGAAAAGCAGCAGAAGAAAAGAAAAAAGATTAAAGCCATATCTCTTGGGGAGAGAGATAAAAATCTGGATTTTGTTTGAAACAATGTTTCCATTTCCAACACCTCAGGTCCATAAAAAGTAGGAGAAAAAAAGTCTTCTTGGGGTTTCAGCATGCACAGTGCATTTATTCTCTCTCTCATTTCTTAATTTGTCAGTTTCTTTCGCCAAGTACCAAATCCAGTAAATGTTCTTTAAATGGAAAGAAAAAAGCAATAATGAATGCCAGAAAAGTTTCCCAACCAGCCGGCCAAACCACAAGTATCCAAAAATGTGATTTCATTTTTAATAATACAGAAAACTGAGGAATATCAAGTAGAAATATAAAGAGAGGAAAAACATTGACTTATTCTAAACACCAATAAAAAGGATTTCCAACTTCAGAATGTTTGTAGAAGACATGAAGAGAAATAGCTAGTCAATGAAGGAATTCAGAACCCGGTGTTCACAAAATTAAGAAGATACTAGTGATCAATGAACTCTAAACACTCATATGGGTTTGCCTTCTCTGAATCCTTTGAAATTCACTCTCTATTCGGTGTCCAAATTTCCTGTATATGTAAAATGGAGCCAAGGAGCCCACATTGTGAACAGAGAAAGTAAAGATCGTGTAGGATGAAGACATTCGTGTTGTAACCTGTGTCTTTTATGCCAACTCTTAGAATTTAAGGAGCAGCTGGGGAGGCCAGCAGGCTGACTTAAGCCCACAAAGGATGGCCTCTGATCCCTGAAACTGGGGGAAGAAGCAAGATAATTCTTAACTACTCAGGTGACATCTCTTCCAAGAAGTTTTCTCTAACTTACTCCCTAGCCCAGGAGGGAAGGCTTAGACCCCTCATCTGTTTTCCCGGAACACCTGGGCATAGCTCTTATTGCATCCAAACGGTTCTTATAATGCAATGCAACACAATACACAGTATCTATATGTCTCCCTTGTTAGACCATGGAGTCTAGAGCAGGGATATCTTTACTTCTCTGGTGCCAGGTATAGTGGCTGGAACATCAATTACCTAATTGACATGAATGCTTTCTTTCTTTGTATCCAAATAACTCAGGGCATTTTAGTTGTTTTATCCTATGGTTATATCATTCTTACCATGTTTTAGTACCGGCAAATAGAATTCATTATTTCCCAGGATATATCAGTTAATAATTTCATAAACAGAGAAACTAACTACATCTGGAGCAGTGCTTCCCAAACTTTACTGTGCATGCAAATCACCTGTGGATCTTGCTACAAAGCCGATCGTCACTCATTTGGCCTGGGAAGGGGCCTGAGAAGCTGCCTTTCTAACAAGCTCCCAAGTGCTGCCAATGCTCTTGGTCCATAAAGTAAGAGTGGCTTGAGCCAGATAGAGTTTAATTTTGTTTCCTGAAAGTTAAGTCCAGAGATTAGCAGTCCAGAGCTTGTTTGGCAGTTCTGCCACATCATCATCAGCCCAGGCTCTTCTATCTTTCTGCTTTACTATCCTAGGTTCTGTTTACCCCAAGGTCTCCCCTTGTCCCAAGATAGCAGCTGCTACTCTAGCCATCACACCTATATTGTAGTCAGTAGAGAGGAGGACACACCAGGGCAAATGGCTGACAGCTGGGTCAGCCCCTTCTAAAGGAGTTGTCAGGAGGAGCCCATCTGACAACTTTCACTCCTATCTCACTGGCCAAAATGTAGTCACCTATCTAAAGGAAGGCTTGAAATGTGATTTTCCTGTTGGGAATATGTTGCTGATTACAACGAATTGAGTTTCTCTTAGGAAGAGGGGGAATGAATGCTGGGTAGATGCCAGCAATCTCTACTATGAGTCAGATGAGATTGTTGTGGATCACCTGTTACTCACCCGTGGTTAGTAACCTCTGGATTGTGCCCCATTCCTGAAGAGACACCAGTTACTCTGTTAAGGTCCATGCGAAACATCAGCTGTCTTTGTGACAAGTTCTGTCTCATAGGCTCCTTGACTGTACTTACTGACTAAAGCTATCATCACTCTTGGCTGTGAAACTTGAAGTAAGATGAGGGGACCAGAACTTCCTACCCTCGCTGCTGCCTCTTTGGAATAACATTAATTGTCAGAGCTTAGTTTGGCCCAGGCCTTATTTGCATCCTTGGGCTCTCGGATGCCAGGGAAACATGGCTACTGTGACAACAGATGAGATCCTGGCTCAAGGATGCTGGCAGGGTCTCTAGCTTATTGTCCCTAAGGTTATGGCTTATAAATAAGGGAATGAGTCCAAAGAGATGTGCTGTTCTTCTTGCTTGGTGCCAATCAGTTCATTCCTTGAGTAACAGTGGAGTCACCCAAAGTGAAGAAACAATTCCAGCCCACTGATTTCGGCCTGAGCACTCACGTTTTTTCCCTGGCTCTTTGCCCAGGATTTCCAGGGAGAAGGCAGGGGCCAAGAAGCAATATACATTCCTGAAAGGAAGGCTTCTTGAGTGATTAAAATGATGGTATCAGTCGGTGGCTCACAGGCAATGACAGAGAACACAGGCAGGGTGCCCTCTGAGATGCACCCCCTCATTTCCTGAGTCATGACGTGGAAGACAGGGAAAGTGCACATCAGCAACAACAGGAAAGGAAAAGGTAGTTGTTTGTTTTCCTTCCGTTCTCCTCCCATCTCAAGGAATTGATACCTCCAAAATTTCAATCTGAGATAACAAAAACAATTTGCAAATAGTCAATAAACAGTGCATTCATTCATTATTACTAGAACTACATTCATGGAAAATAATTTATATAAACTAACCAAAAGTCGTTTTTTAAAAAAGGTAATATGATTTATTTAGATGGGTTCAACCATCAGATTTTTGGGGGGAGGAGGGTAATCCATGAATCTATTTGTGTGCTAAGTATTGCTATAAATTGAATGTGTTTTTCACATCTATTTATTACTATTTTTCAAGTCCTATAGATGCAGTTTTGATTAGTAAAATGCAAGTTTATTTTAAGATGTGACTAAATTTTTATCTGAGAAAATACATTATGGCAAAAAGCAATAACTGGATACTAAAAATATAATGACCATTATGTGAGAGTATGTAGAATTCAAGTATTAAAAAAAGAAGTCCTCCTACCTGAACATGTTGGTGTAACTGAGCCCATATTCAGCTGCCCACTGCTTGAAAGTGAGCCACGAGAAACGAGGTTGGGAATGCCTTGTTATCCCCCCTCCCTTTATAGTTTAGACACAACAACAGCATTAATGTTAAAATAGAGATCATGAGACTGGCAGCACAGCCTGTGGCTATAAGATACCAAATCATAAACAGGACCTAAGGCCATGCCCGGCAAAGGTTAAGTCTCCACCCCAAGATAAACGTGTGTTACATGCATGTTTGTTCAGTACACATGTGTCAAGACCACCTTCATAAATATTTATAGCTACTTCTGTAACCCATTAAATATGTATGTTGAGCTGATCTATCATATACCCACAGGAGCCCTGGATACAATTGACAGTAGGGAGCAAATGTATTGATTTTCTTGCTGATATGGTAGGCCATTCCAGGTTTCTGCCCTGGTGTGAGAACCAACCGATGCTCTAAGAGATTTAACAATTGCCAAATATGTTAAGACGCTAGATATTATACTAACTTTTGTTTATAAGTTTGCTTCCAGCAGAATCATTTTTCCCATGGATATGGACCTGCATCCTTTTCAACTAAGAAATAGGTCCTCCTAAAGACCTGGAAGGAACAAGGGCCTGAACATCAGCTCACTGCCAGGTCAAAAAGTTTCATTCCACAGTTGCCCCACGTTGACCCTGTTTGGCAAGAAGTAGCCAGCTGAGAGATGACATCCCATTGTCCCTAATCCCACAAAATTGTGGAATGAGCCTTTGACAGTGGGGAATTGTAGCAGTGAAACAGCAAAAAAAAAAAACCCAACATAACTAATTCCATTTTTATTTAAGGGGCCTACACCCATTCCTGCACGTTTGCTAGGGTAATTTTAGAGCACTGAGATAATATACAAAAACAGCAATCAAATATTTTGTAAATCGAACTCTGGGATTAAAGAGGAAGTATATAAACAACTAATTATGTTTTGTTAAAGATTTACAGGAGCATTGTGACCCGACCAAGGACAAAAAAGTTCCCAGCCTCCTTCTCTCAGACCTTTCATGGTTCCTGATAGTTGGGGAATGATCCGCTGTGCTGCTGCTGTAGCATCAACGAATACATATACTTCATCAGCCTCCTCCATTTCTAATCTTAGTACTCAGGTCCGTCTCTCAGTCCCAGAGACACTGTCAGCCTTTTATTATAAAATCACTGTCTGATTTTTCAAGAAGTCCTTGAATAGCTCTTTAGTTAAGTAGATCTAAGGCAAGTAGCCACCAATCGTTTTGAAAGAAGTATGGAAGAGAATATTTTTGACTCAGCAAGGAACTGGGGCATGGCTGCTCTTGGTGGGAGGTGATAGGCAATGCTGCCGCGTTGCACCTCCCACCCGCACACGCATACATACACACATTCAGCACCCATGATTTTACAAGGGGCTAAGGAGCCTGCAGGAAAATGAGGTATAGCAAAGCGTCCTCCTCAATGTGACTCTATAGTTTCCCTGTCACTTACAGAATAATTCTTCTCAAGGGATAAAAATTTTTGTTGTGCTGTGAGAAATAGTAGATACTCAAAGCTCTTTGAAAACCTTTGTGGTGCACTCTCTGTAGTGCACGCTCAAAACCCTGAGTGCAGTGCCCTAAAGGTGTTCTTCTCTGTGGGTGGCTAGGTTTGTAGGAAGATCCCCAGCCTTCCCTCCACCACTCCTGGCAGAATGGCTCCAGCCCCATCCCACGCCAACTTCAACCAGAGAGCTCCTGTTTATTTTATGTGCTGAGATTCCAGACATAATTCTGTCAGTTTAAAAAAAAGACCTCTTTTAAATGCATTTTTGAAAGCTGCTGGTCTCTTGTATCCACTGAATTTGGGGAATATCACACACATACACATATAATATGTAATAATACAACATCTATGTAAAAATTTATCAGGATATGACAACAATACTGAAGCAGCAGTGGGTGGTGCACAGGTCACACCTGTGAAAGGATTGTCTTGCATTGTTCTGGCCTGACTCTGGTGAAGAACAAGGTGGTATCGAACCCCTGGGTGAGTCTCAAGAAAAGAAACAGAGTTACGGGACCATGTCAAGCTCTCAGAACTTCTGTATACTCCTTCCTGATTTTTTTTTTCTTTTTATGAGACAGATTCTTGCTTTGTCGTGCAGGCTGGAGTACAGTGGCACAATCTCGGCTCACTTCAATCTCCACCTCCCACATTCAAGCAGTTCTCCTATGTTAGCTTCCTGAGTATCTGGGACTACAGGCATGTGCCACCACACTCAGCTAATTTTTGTATTTTTAGTAGAGATGGGGTTTAACCATGTTGACCAGGCCGGTCTTGAGCTCCTGATCTCAAGTGATTCTCCCACCTCGGCCTCCCAAAGTGCTGGGATTACAGGTGTGAGCCACCACACCCAGCCTCCTGATTTTTTTTTTATCAACCTGATATGGATAGATTCCCAAGTCTTGATTACCCCATCCCCTTCTATTGAAGAGCCCTAGGAGAACCCTCTTTTGAGTTGCCCCCACAAGCTCTTTTACTCATTATGATGGTCAAAGAGAGGTTGTAAAGGGTGCACGATTTTATGAATCCCTTTTTAATCTATCCAGATGATCTCTTGCTGGGAATTACTATTTCGTCTTGTAGGCCAGAGCGTAAGATGAGACCCTACTCTGGCGGGCACAGTGGCTGATGCCTTGTAATCCCAGCAATTTAGGAGGCAGAGGTGGGTGGATTGCTTGAGTCTGGAGTTTAAGGCTAGCCTGGGCAACATGGCAAAACCCCATCTTTTTTTTAAAAAAAAGAAAGTACAAAAATTAGCCAGGTGTGGTGGCACATACCTGTAGTCCCAGCTACTTGGGAGGATAAAGCAGGAAAGTCGCTTGAGCCTGGGAGATGGAGGTTGCAGTGAGCCGAGATAGAGCTACCGCACTCCAGTCTGGGTGATGAGAGTGAAACCTTGTCTTACAAAAGAAAAAAAAAAAAAGAATCTATTTCTAGACAGTGATGAACTTTATTCCCCCATGTCATGGTCCTTGTAGCTTAAGGAGGTATTTGAGGTTAGGCTTCTCTGACCCTTTGCCCATTCTGCCAGGGGATAAGATATTGGACACCACACTGAAGTTAGATGTTGAAAATTGAGGTCCATAATCCCCGTATGTTCAGTCTCATTCACTTATCAAAGAATATTTCTAACTGGATCCCCAACAGAATCCTTACAATGGAGTGCCATCTCCATTGGCCTCAGGAACTGATGATTCTTTTAGTCCTTTCCTTATAGTGCGTGGGCCCACAGCTTACTTTCACTCATTGCCCACCTGGCTTTTGCTGATACATAATGCCCTTGCATAACCTCCTTGGTCAGCCTAATCACTTAACCCCAGGAGGCCCCTTCAGAAAATCTGCAAATCGCTTCTCTGAGTACGCTTGAGCGTAGCTTATTCAGGCCTAGATAAGCTTTGTTTCTTCAAGACAAAGCTTGTCCCTTTTGCTTCCAGCATAGACTCAGGCCATAGGACCCAAGTCTGAATTTTGGGTGCGTAACTTACTTTGAGCAAGTTACTATTTCTGGTCCTCAAGATTCTCGTGAAAAATAAAGATTAAAAATAGTCCTTACCTCCTAGCATTGTTTGAGAGTTAAATGAGTGAGGGCATTTTATACATTTAGACTATACTTGGCATATAATCAGCTATCAATAAATATTAGATAATATTATTTTGGCAAGAACTGGAAGTGACATTGGCTTTACCAAGTTCATTTGTCCATCTGTTCATTTGAAATGTATTTACTGATCCCCTATGATATGCCAGCTATTGTGATCAGCCACAATTAAGAATAGCCACTCCATACATTCTACAAATACATGTATGGATTCTAATGCATTGCTTTTTCTGAAAAATTTTTTTTTAAAACATGATACACCTTCAAAAAAACTGGAATTTTAAAATGCTCATGTCCCTAGATTGCTGGTTATAAACTATAAGTTCTCTGATTGGGAGAGCATTCGGTGGCCTACCCACTGTTACCTCTGAAGGCAAATTTTTACTGTCAGCCTCAAAAGGACTAAGTTAGGAAACTCATGGCAGAACATTAAAATGTTTATTTCTAATGAAGTTTTCAATATGTAGACATGATTTTTATCCACATTTGTATTCCTCTCTATTGAGATAAATCCAATCTAAAGTGAGGCCTATAGAATGAATAAAAAGTAAATAATATTTTAAAAGAGACCTTATGTCTGAGCAGAATTACTGCTCTAGTAGCTGGCCCATGGAGTGGAGGTGGGAAGGGTCCCACCTCAGGCCTTCAAAGGATGATGTTATGAGGTCTTGAGGTCGGGCCCTGGAGGGGTGTGGCCAGGGCTCAGATCCAGCTTCTACCATTTCTCCTGGCTGACCTTAGGCAAGCGGGTGGCTCAACTCTCTCTATGCTTGTTTTCTTTATCTATACAGGTAGATAATAAAAATACATATCTTGTAAGATTGTTATGAGGCTAAAATGAAGTGATACATGTAAAATATTTGTACATATGCAATAAATATTAGCAGTCAGTGCCAGTCATTGGTCTATATTTTTTCCTCATGAGCCATCCTTTTAGATACCAATACCCTATGTCAGGAAATGACAAATAAAAAACAAACAACAAAGAAGATACCAAGCCCTCTTAAAATAAAAATTCTTCACCAAAAAATTTTTTTAAATGTAATCTGCTATTATTCAGCTGTCTCAAGTTTCATTTAAAGATGAGGCATAGTGTGACATCCATTTTATAGATACAAAAACTAAGGATCCAAGAATGGTTCTCTAAGTTTATAAAACTCAGAGGTGTCAGAAAAACATAGCATACGCTCAGGATATCTGTCTCCAAGTCCCTCCCCCTTTTTATTTTTTAGCTTCACATATCTGTGGACTGGGGTTGGGGGGAAGATCACTATCTTTCAAAAACCACAGATTCTCAGAAAGTACCATTAACTATATCTAAAAATGCACCGTGGCAGCTATTTTTAAGTTATTAAAGTCAACATACTATCTATGCAGCAGCCATTGTTAAAGAAAGCTTCATGTAGAGTTAGAATATAAATGGGGAATGAATTCCAAAAGGAATGATGGGAGCCCGCACCTTGGTGACTACTGAACAATTACATGAGTTTTGTACAGAGATTTTGAAATTGGAGAAAATGTTCTCTCTCTCTCTCTCTCTCTCTCTCTCCAGTCCAGCAGTTTGAGTTTGAAAGCTGGGTGAAGTCTTGGAGAAGCTGGAGAGCAGCCCGGGTTTCCTGCTGCGTGAAGGCGAAAGCCTAGAGCTGGTTGGAACAAGCCTCTCTACTCTGACTTAGGTTTGCTCTTCTGGAAAGCTGTGAAAGAGAAGCCGTTTGCAAGGTCATGTAGAGTATGGCCCCTCCAGAGGGCCCGGCACCATCCCAGGCATTTCACACATCTCACCCCACGGAGTTGTTATGCAGGGGATTACCAAGAGGCCATTTTGACACAACTGTTTTAACACAGAGCTTAAAAAATAAATTATCAGGTAATGTCAACTGCCCTGTTTTGACCCTCACACCACTCTGGCGTGTCTCCTCAATTATCATTTTTGTTGAAACCTGTTACCTAGTATGTACTATTTTTATTATCTTTTCTAGCGCCCCTCTTTCCACTCCCTGTCCCTGAACCTAGCCTACCCCACCCCACCACCACTTCATTCCTCCTTGTTGGTACCAGCTGGCAAAATCTATATTATTAGAAAATTTCTTTGATAAAATTGACACTAATAAAATATCTGAAAATCCACTTTTCTCACGCCAAAGGATATTTGATGAAAATGAATTATGGTAACAGTTATTCAAAATGTACAAAAGGTTGAAAGATAATATTTTATTTATGATTAATTCATAAGAAAATTATAGGAGATTTATTTCAGATATTTGGAAGTAGTTCTGTGTTTGTATTCCTTTTTCAGGTGCAAAGTCGCAAAATTCTTCTCTCCATTCTGATACATTTAAGCACTTTTATGATGGCTCTCCCCTTTACATGTTCTGCTTGTATTCTTGGTCTTTTCAAGACTGAACAAATAAAATTCATTTACCAATTGTCACACATCCACTGTTCCACACTGAACTAGAATTTGCATTTGTCAATGTGCAAACTTTGACCAAGTTGTCTATTTGGCTATTGCCTCATTAGTCTCTTAAACTTTATATTTAAGGTAAAAAAATAACATATTTGATGAAGTCCTCACCATTTGACTTGAGGACACATGTGGAGATGGCATAGTGGTTAAGAAAGAATACAGGCAAACTGGTTTTGAATCCTGGCCCCATCCACTTTCACTGTAAAGTAATATTAGGAAATTCATTTAACTTCTTTGTGCTGCAACACACTGTGAGGAGTAAGTGAGTTCTAAAGTGCTTAATATCTGTGCCAGGTATTCTTTCAAGTGTTATATGCATGTTAGCAATTATTTTTACTAATTTAAAATTGGGTGCATTTTCTGTTTAGATGAACATTCCACTTAGCAGTAATAAGCAGTTTTCTTTTTTCCTTACTCATTTTTGATGCAACTCTAGGAATAGAAATTGTAGTTGTGGAAAGAGGCAGGTTTGGGGCAAAAAGCAGAGTAGGGGCTGGGGAAAGGTATAGAGGTTGAGCATGGCTCAGGCATGAACAACGTACAGGTTTACTGGGTAGTTTTGCAAAAGTGCTATTAAAAGAGAACAGAAGAGATGAGGTGATGTTTCCGTTATGCATACAACTCAATTTTTTTTTTCACTGAAGATTTTATTGCTTGATTTTTCTCCCCATAGCAAAATGCTCCAGAGATAAAAAAAAAAGTTGCACCAGGAAGACTTCATCAAAATGTCATGTGCTTCATTGTTTAAGCAGGTAAAGTATTGTTGGGTTGTGAAAATGAAAAAGTGATATCAGTAGACTTAGAGGGCCTCATCCCCGTTCAGGCCCACTTCTGAATGGGCCTGATGGGGAAAGGGAAGGAGAAGAGTGGATGCCCCTGACTGAGCATCATGGAAAGCTTCAGAAGCTTAGGAAGGCTAGAGTCTAGCATCTCTTAGACCAGAACAAAGACGTGAGTGGGCCCAGAGGATTGGAGCACCCAGCTAAGCCTTTCTCCTAAGCTGGTGTTTGCCCCAGTCAGCCAGTGATGGGAAGCATTTAGCATCCCCATTGCCCCTCACCTCTTCCCACATCCATGGTAGGCAGAGCCAACACATCAAAACAGTCACTCCTGATGAGCTCAGGGAACATCTCAGGTTTCCACTGCACATGATGCTCTAGGTAGGTTTCCCCGTGAGTGTGGTCATCAGGACTGAATACATAATTTGTAGGGCCCAGTGCAAAAAGAAAATGTTGAAGCCAATGTTCAAAAAGTATTACAAATTTCAAGATGGCAGCAGCAGAGCATTAAATCAAGTGCGAGGCCCTCTGAGCATGGGGCCCTGTACACAGGTTGTACCTGAAGTCAGCCAACTCTCCCCATAGTTGGTATATGAGTACCTCGTCCTGAAAGATCTCTGCTGAGACCACAGCATCCACTACATATGCTACCTCCAGCCCATAGACGGCCATTATTTTCCATTCCTGAAATCAATGGGGCAATTGATTGACCTGCTGGGACCAACATGATGAGGTCACTTTAATAAAATAAAACAAGGCAAACAGCAAGAAGAAAAAAATGCCAGGAAATGCACCAGGGAAAATGGTGCCACTCCTTAAAGCCTGGAGCAGAAGAAGATCAGAGGCACTGATTTTACAGGGAAACATGGAAGCCCAGCAAGTATTTTAGAAACTTGGTGGCTTTTCTATGGTTTTTATTGTCTGTAAGAATTTTCTTATATTTTCCCTTTTCACAGCAAAGGGAAGCTGGCGTTTTCAAAGTGAACTCTGCTAAAGACTAAGAAAGGAAAACGATATATAGTATTATAATATTAATAATAATAATTAAGGCTTATGATTATAATAAGCACTACTTTGGGAATATTCTCCCCCAAATGGCCCAGAGCAACACAAATATATTTTGAGACTCTAGAAAACACAAAAAACACAAAATGTGTTTATGTCTACCAATAAGGAGACATAAACACATTTTGAAATATGTATTCTTAGACACAAATTTCAAAATATATTTTTCTAGAAAAATATATTCTGGAGACAAAGTTCAAAAATGAATCACTATAAAATTATTTTCCGGCTGCTTTAAAATTGCAAAATTGTAAGTTCAATAGCTTGTAGTTCTATTTGTAACAAAAATTTAGTTTTTAAAGGAAATTCAGTTAGTTAATTTCCAGTGCACTGAAACAAGTATGCTGACAAACATTAATTATCCTAAAGATGCTTATTTTATGAATAAGACGCTCAATTTTTAAAAACATTCCAAAATGGTGTATATTTATAAATGTATTATATGTCTTTCAGCCTTGTCATGAATTTTTTTTTAATTTGGGATGTTATTCCCCTATTTCAACATCATATTTGCAGGGTTTTTGTGTGTAACTGTAAGTGAAGGTGTGCTCAGAAATGATTTTAGTGGGGTCTAAATTGTTGCAGGCGTGTCCAATCTTTTGAGTTTTCTGAGCCACATTGGGAGAAGAATTGTCCTGGGCCACACATAAAATACATTAACACTAAGGATCGCTGATGAGCTGAAAAAAAAAATCGCAAAAAAATTTCGTAATGTTTTAGAAAAGTTTATGAAATTGTGTTGGGCCACATTCAAAGCTATCCTGGGCTGCATGCAGCAGCCCGTGGGCCACAGGTTGGACAAGTTTGGTTTACTGGCTCCTATCCACTGAGAATAACCCAAAGGGAAGCAAACACTAAACTCTGCCCCTCTTTCCTGAATGTATCAGTTCTGTGTCATGGTCCCTCAGAAGTCCTAACTTGCCCAGGACAAAGCCACACCTTGGAATTCTTCTTCCACCCCACTCTCTACACCCAGCAGGACCCTGATTCAACCATAGCCTTATAAGGAAATCCAATAAGCATGTTAGAAGAGAGGAATTCTGGCTGGAAAAAGTGTGTATATGGGGGAGGAGGGAGACCCTTAAATCAATTTCATCTGCCACCCTTGTTAGTTCCCAAGGACCAACAAACTCCTTAAGATATTAAGTATTGAAAACCACTCTTCAGAGTACTGCACATTTTGCTCAGGGCTGTTGTTTGGGGTCAAAATGAAATTATAGCCATGAAAGCAAAGCAGAAAGGATTCCAAGTACTGGCAGATGCTTCTCTTGTTCATAATACTTCGTGTGTTTCTGGACAAGTAAGCCAACAATAAAATAAGTGTCTCCCAACAAGATGAATAGCTCCATGAAGGCAAAGCACCTTTGCACAAGGTAGGGCCTCAGTAAAAATGTGTTGACTCTAAAAGAACATGGCTTACTATCCCAGCACACAAAGTGAAATTTATGTTCAAGCTCCATTAAGCTCTCACTAAGCTGGAAGATCTTCCAAAAGTTCATTAGTGCAATGCAAAATGCATAGTAACAGGTAACATTTGTTGAGTATTTCTACCACACACTGTTACAGCACTTGTAAATGCATTATACACCTATAGTACCTATGAGGTATATAATATTATAACCATTTTTAGATGGAGAAACTGAGACACAGGGGTGTTAAGTAACTTGCCCAATGTCCTACAGCTACTAATATCAGCTTGTTACTGATACAATATGAACCTGGTTCCTGGAGTCCATTCCCTTGTGGGGTCCTATGTTTAACCCAGACAGAACCAGGCACACTTTTAGTTCCAGCTTCATTCAGTCACCCAACTCTATCCTTTTAAAATGCGGAAACCAAGACTCAGGATCTAAGTATGTTTGGGGAAGTGAGTGAATGTCTTATATTCCATTTATATCTTCTATGATGCCATCACCACCTGCTTGGGATACAAAACTCAAACTTCTCAGTCCTTTGCTCTTTCTATTTGCAGCTTGAGATACGATTTCACTGATCTAGGACAAAGGACTCACTTGAGGCATTTCTTAAACCATGCAAATTCTCAGTTTCTATCCTCCGATTCACGTTCACCAGGCAGGTCGAAAGAGGAGACCAGAAATCTGCCTTTTTAATGAGCAAACCAAATGATTCTGATATCAGAGAGATACTACCCTGGGCCGGGCGCAGTGGCTCACCTGTAATCCCAGCACTTTGGGAGGCCAAGGCGGGCAGATCACGAGGTCAAGAGATCGAGACCATCCTGGCCAACTTGGAGAAACCCCATCTCTACTAAAAATACAAAAATTAGCTGGGCATGGTGGCGGTTGCCTGTAATCCCAGCTACTCAGGAGGCCGAGGCAGGAGAATCACTTGAACCCCGGGAGGCAGAGGTTGCAGTAAGGCAAGGTTTCGCCACTGTACTCCAGCCTGGCGACAGAGCAAGACTCCATCTCAAAAAAAAATAAAAAAAATAAAAATTACTGCCCTGGGTTTAGAAGGATTGTTTCTTATCTGTGGCTTGGATAAATATAAAGAGTGTGTGTGTGAAGAAATCACAACAAATCCCCTCATCCCTCCCTGGCCTGGAGCAGACCTCGCTGGTAGTTGGAGCCCACAGCTCCCGGTGTGTGTCTAAGCCCCCTTCTCAGTGGTTTGGCTGGGCTTCTGGTAAAGACCACACCACAAAAAAGGAGCCGTGCAATGTCCTGCATGCAGCCTTCACTCAGCCTGCGTGTGTGCTGGGCTGGGGGTGTGGGAGACTGTGATTTGACTGTGTCCAGGCCACCATGGTGCACAGACAAGCTGGGACTCTGTTTGCAAGGCCCAGTTTCCATTCCTGCTGGTGCCAACAGCTCAATGTGGGCAGTCAAAACTCCAGATTCCTTCAGAAAGAGCCAGTTATCTGCTAGACTTCCTTTGTTTTTCAGGGCTCTGTCTTGGCATCTCTGCCAAGAACATGTTTTGGCTGGATCCACTCCCCTGGCGTCTGCACATCTCTGGGAAGCTATGCTAAGAAAGAAACATGGCCCAAGAGGTAGCAGGGGAGCCAGAGTTCTTGTCTGGTGAAACGCAGGACCCCACATGGGAAATGGGCTTCAGAGATCAGCTGCTTATGGGACCAGGAACCAGCATCTTCCCAAGACTGCTATGCACCCCTCAACCTTTTCGGAGATCAGACTGCTGGTGGGGGCAAGGACATGCCAGGCTTCTTGAAATCTCTGATGAACTCCTCTCTGTTCCCCAGTAGAAGAGGTGCAGGGGGTGGGAGTACAGTTCTCCTTGTCCCTGTTAAAGAAAGTCAATGTTTAGTGTAATCTGCTCTGGCCCAATTTGAGGTTTTGCAGTGGGGCTGAAACAGACTTCAGCATTCATTGACAAGGAATGGTTAAAGTGAATGTGGCCATTCTCCAATCACTTGTACGACATAATCATGTATGACTCTTCTGATCTCACATCTACTCAGAAAAGCCTTGCAAATAAGTGTAGGTACCATTTGAATTCCCATCCTTTAAGGTTCCTCCTCTTGACTTCTAGGGGATCCTTCAGCTAGTACTGATTGTCACCTGGTTTATTGAGATGTTTCATATATGATGATATCTTCCCAGTCTCCTCTTGAGAGGCAAAGAATATCTTTTTCAACTTTACATTTGCCATGGCACCCAGAATAGAGGCCTACATACAGTAGATGCTCAATAAAAGTCACGTGAATAACAGCTTGGTATAGAGGAGAATAAACTCGTCATGTGGACTATGATATCCAGCATTTATTTATTGACAGAAAGAGAGGTTAAAAGAAAAAGCATTACCAAATTGTTTTATTTGAAGCCTTTATAATGATATAAGCTAAACATCTGCTGAAACAATAGCCTTGTTTAAAAGTATGCATTTTTACTCTATGATAATTGATTATCCTTGCAACCATCCTGGATTTATTTTCCTACAAAAGAGCAGGATGTTGAGCATAGTTCTATGAAACATTCCTTTAGAGAGGATTTCTCAGCACTAAATAAAAGAGTGCCTTCTAAACATTGCAAAAGAAGTCCGGCTGTTAGTTTTGGCTGGGGACAAGCACTGAGCTGTCTCCAAATGGAGATGGCAGGATGATATAAATGTGGCTGTATTATGTCATTGAAATGGCCTTATTTTCATCAGAAGCTAAATTCAAATACCTTCAGGGACATGGGTTGTTATGGTTGGCTTTGAATTTCTACAGCTTTCTAAAATTCATTTTTGCCTCTGTAGGTGACGCAAGTTCAGTGAAGAGAGGCTTGAAAACCTGGGCTCCTCTGGGTGCCTGGAAATAGAGATCAACAGTGACTATGCAGTGGCAGATTTGCAGCCTGAGCTCTGCATCCTGCACCAGATGTTGGCTGGCATGTCTTTCCATGAGGTCTCTTTTTTTTTTTTTTTTTTTTTGACTGAGTCTTGCTCTGTCGCCCAGGCTGCAGTGCAGTGGCGATCTTGGCTCACTGCAACCTCTGCCTCCTGGATTCAAGCGGTTCTCCTGCCTCAGCCTCCAGAGTAACTGGGATTACAGGCACATGCCACCATGCCCGGCTAATTTTTGTAGTTTTACTAGAGACAGGGTTTCACCATGTTGGCCAGGCTGGTCTTGAACTCCTGACCTCAAGTGATCCACCCACCTTGGCTTCCCAAAGTGCTGGGATTACAAGCATGAGCCATGACACCTGGCTTCCATGAGGTCTTTAGTTCAAGGGCAAAAGAGTCAGAGGTTGTACTTCACTCTCAGTAGAATCAAGGGATCCAGACCAGAAGCAGCACTTTCGCCAAGATGGTGGGTCAGCTTTCAAAATGAGAAGATGCTCCAAGAGCAGTGAGGGTGCAGATACTCCAAGGGGTCTCCCTGCCTGTTTGCCTCCCCTGCCTGCATCTCTGCACATGCACACGCACACACACACACAGGTACACAAGTCTACTCCATTTCTCTCCCAAACCCAAAGCCATCCTGTGTAAGTAGTCCAAGACTTCCAACTTTGGAGAGAGAGCTGATCCAGACTCTTCCATCAATTTTCCCTACCATGTTCACAGAACAGGGACTAGGGGCACTGAGTACAACAGAGCTGGGGCACATTTGTCAATTGTTCACTGCAGAGGTGGGACCTGATGCAGTTATCAGAAGCTGGCAGGTGTTGTATAGACAATGGGTAAGTCGAGAGGAACCTGACACCAAACTCTCGGTTCAAATCCCATCACCGCCACTCATCTGACTCTGCAATCCTTTAAAGTGTTTAATATGATAAGAGCTCAATAAATATCAGCTAATTATTATTTCCTACTTGTTCTTAAGGGAAAATCTAATTTTCCTCCTATAATGCAAGGGTGGATTGATCTCTTAGCTGGGCATGATCTTGCCTGTTTATGCTCCCAGTTTCTAATCCTCTCTTTCAGTAATGGTCACATTTAAGCTACTCTTTTAGTTCTAATCTATAAGAAAGACGAGATATCCACAAACTCTTCCAGAGAAAGCCAAGCCTTCTGTAACTCAGATAACAACTTTGTACAAAGCACTGTGAAAGTTGCTGTGGAAAATACACAGTAAGTACTTAATCAATGTTTTAATTGAATTATTCGTTGGCTTCAGTAGGAAGGAGACTCACCAAGGTAAATGCAGCACCCTAGGCACAATGGTTATAATATTCACGCCATAGTAGACTTGACCTGCCTTAAAGCTTCAAACAGGGGTCAGAAATCCAACTATCCATCTGAGGTATTAAGTTATATGCTTGTTATCTATTCAGATTCATTTTAAACGCTTCTACAGTGAGGCATACTCTGCACAAACAATACCAGAATCTGAGTGCACAGAAAAGTGGAAACTGAAATGTGTATTTGCCTTTCAAAGTTGGGGCTAATGATGATGAAAAGTTTTGCATTTTGCCTGACAGCACTTGAACTCACTAACATATGTAAATGGTGGCTCCTCTCCACATTCAAGAAGCAGCTGCAGGACTGTGAGAACATGGACCTCAGTCCACTAATAGCTGTGATCATACCCTGATTGACTGGGACACTGAGGTGCAAGATATCAGGAGACTTTCCCGAGAGCCAGGATGCAAGTCTCAAGGAAAGACCTTTCAAGTGAGACAGTGTTTTCAATAATGCTTTGTGAGCAATAAAGAATGAAACAGCATTCTGGCAAATCACAGGCATTTAATAAGCAGCCACTCAGCCCCAGGGGCCATGTTGGACATTGTGGGTTGAAGATCTCCCGACCTTGAAGGACTTTCCGGTGTAGGGGACACAGGTGTGCTGAAGAAGTCTGTTCAAGTTCCAGCAGGGAGCCACCAATTCTGGAAAGGTGAAAACAAAGGGTTTTCTCGAGGGGGAGACACAGGAGTAGACTTGCATGGTTGAGAAGCTAGATGCTCATCAGAAGGACAGGCAGAAAGGAGGCTAAGGCCAAAGCTGCAGCACGGGTTAAAGTGCAGAGCCATGAGGCGGCCTGGTTAATCCAGAACATTGCAAGGTGTTTCCCAGGCCAGACTCCAGGAGCTAGGGGCTCAAGAGAGATGAGATAGGAAGATTGGGTGGAGGCCAAGTCATAGGCACTGTCCCTGCCAGGAAATGGATGATCAGATTTGTGTTTTCACCTTCCTGGGGGCAGCTGCCTGGAGAGGGGACTAGAGGTGGGGACACACCCCATTGTAATAGGTCAGATGACAGATGGTGACCAATGGACTGAGGTGGTGAGGTTCTGAGGGTGAAGAGGTGGGGGTGATGAAGGAGGCACTAAAGAGGCATAGACAGAATCCAGTCACTCTTCCAGCTGGGAGTGAAAGACGGAGGCCAGAGTGACAGCCAGGTCTCCAACTTGAATACTGGGGAGAATGGTGGTGCTACTCACTGAGAAGGGAAACCCAGGAGGGAGAAGAATAGTGCAGTGGGCTTGGAACAGCCTCTCTGCTTCATTTCTTGGATCTGGGTCACTGCAGATGACCTCTCAGACCTCACCTTTTGATTCAAAGTGGTTCCCTTTCACTGACCTTCCTGGTTAAGTGGCTTAGCTAATCATTAACTGCAGGAGGTGAAGCATAACATCCCAGTTCTACTTCCAAATGATTATCCTGCAGTAAAACCTAAAGACATCCTGGGCCTCAAGTGGAAGACACAGGTGCCTGCTCTCAGCACAGTGCCCAACTAATTTGTCTCTGGGTGTGTGTCAGGTCCTATTAAGTACCTGCCATCTTTTCCTGGTTGGGAAGTAGGACTTAATAGGGTCTCGCTGCAATGATAATTATACTGCCTATGAACCCAGATGTAGGCGTGGGTAATGGAAATCTGCAATAAGGCTCCAGGAGCTCAAGAACACCTGCACACATGTTGAAAAGTCTTTGCCAAATAGCCAATGGGTGTTTAGTTATGGGTTCTCATCCTTACAGGGCCTCCACTAGCCTCCACTGAAGGCAGGGCACCCTTATAGAGGGATGTAGTCCCCTAGGGAGCATGGCTTGGCCAGTGGTCAGGATCTTTGGTGAACTCAGCCCCAGGTCAAGCACACAGCTTGGAAATGGGAGCATGGGCTGGAATCTGCACCCCTGCCACTGGTCCCCCCACGTGCTCCCTCCTGCTTGACACAGCTTTAGCCACCATGTGAGGCAGCCCTGGGATCTTCAATAACAAACCTTAACCCTCCCAAGCCCTCAGACCCCAGGAGGGCCCCAACTTATGAACCTGTTTTTGAAGATTGGAGAATCTTTTATAACAAAGAACAGTGTAAAGAGTATTGAATACTCACTATGAGCTAGGCATTCCAGGGGAATATGCAAATGTGTATTAAATACGTGAATAAACAAATGAAATAACATGTTTCCATTAACAGCAATACTGGATGGGCCTCAAAACATATCCCCAGGAAAGGGTAAGAGGAAGCATTAGAGAAGCTAAACACCATCAGATCATGCAAAAATTAAATTTCCTGCTAATAGGAAGAGTACGATTATATTTTTCATTCCCAGTTTTTCCATTCAGATCTTAATGTCAGATTAAAATATTAATTGCTCTGCTTTTCAGCTACAACAAAAGTCCCTCATTGTTAAAATCAGGATGTAGATGTTAATTTTTATTTGTGAGCATGGTATAGAACTAGATCCCATCAAGGGGATCCTAAATCTTTTATTTTTCTTAGCACACCAGATCATCCTGAAATGGACATTGCTCTATGAGAACACAACAGACAGCATGAATGAATATATGTCAGAGGAATCCATCAGTGAACAGCTATTGAAAAACGTTAAGAACCCATTCTCTGTTGTGCCATCTTCCAAGCCTTAGGGCCCACCATATGAAGCAGAATGACAACAGATTCTCCTCCAAGCAACATGTTCTACATGCATGTTCAAGCTTGGACCTCTTTATATTACTAGTTAACCATAAACAAGTGAACACAACCTCCCACTGTAGTTTGCTATCTTACCCACAGATAATTTAGAGCTGCAGTTGTGAACCTTAGCACTACTGACATTTTGGACTGGAGAATTATTTGTTGTCAGGGCTGTTCTGCACATTTTAGGATGTGTAGAGGGTTACCTGGCCTCTACCTATTAGATGACGGTAGCACACTTCCTGCTCTGATGTGACAACCAAATATGTCTCTAGACATTGCAAAATTATCCCTGGTTGAGAAACACTAATTTCTGGTAAAATTACCTTCCAAACCAAAGTTCATCCAGACACAAACAGCCAGCTAAGCATCAGAAGCAAAGCAGAGAGCTGCTCTACCTGGTGTTACAATGAGACAAGGACTTAGGACAAGCGAACTGAAATTCTCTTTGCTGTGTGCAGTGGCTCATGCCTGTAATCCTAGCACTCTGGGAGCCAAGGTGGGAGGACCACTTGAGCCCAGGAGTTTGAGACCGGCCTAGGCAACATAACAAAACCCTGTCTTTCAAAAAAAAAGAAGAAGAAAAGAAATTATCTCATATTTAGGGTACAGAGTGAATAAATAGTTTACTACAATCCTAAGAAGTCATTTTTCTATCATCACTCCAATCACACCAAAGTTCTTGCTGATTCTTTTTTACTAGACAGAAATTTTTAAAAGGTAATGACATATCTTTATTATACTGTATCTGTATATCAGATGTCTTTCAGAAGTAAGTGAAATAAGCCCAGCTTAAGGTAGCTTAAGTTAGCTTAAGCCAAAAAGAGAAGTCTTTTTTATTGGATCATGCAACAGAAAAATCTAGGGATAGGCCTGGCTCTAGATATATCTGGATCAAGTTGTTCAAACAACGGCACTAGCAATATTTCATTTTCATCTTTTGGTCATATTTTCCTCTATGTTGCTCTTATTTTCAAGGTGCTTTTTCCAGATGGTGACAGAGTTGGCCACTGAGGCTCCATGCTTATATCATACAAACTGTAGTAAAAAGAGATTTCTTTCCCAAGAGTTTCAGCCAAAGTTCCAGGGTGAAGTCTCGTTGGCCAGGTTTGGATCATGTGCCTATCCATGAGCCAATGACTGCAGTCAGAGAAATGGAATATTCCAGATGATTTCCCCTAGACAGCCTCCAAGATGGCCTCCGTTGGTTCCTGTCTCCTAGTCTCCATGCCCTTGTGTACTCTTCTCTTCTGAGTATGGGCTGGACTCATTTCTAATAAATAGAATACAGCAAAAGCAATGGGATGCCACCCTCTGAGATTAGGTTACAAAAAGAGTGTGACTTCTGCCTTGCCCACCCTGTCTCTCTTTCCCTCAGAGCCTTCACTCTGAGGGAAGCCAGTTGCCATGTTGTGAACTACCCTTTGGAAAAATCCAAGTGGCACAAAACTGATAGCTGTGTCCAAGATCCAACAAGGACATAAGGGCTGCCAACAGCCATACGAGCGAGCTTAGAAGCAGATCTGCCTGCCTCTAGTTGAGTCTGGAGATGATTACAGCCCTGGCTGACAACTTGATTGCAGTCTTGTGACACATCTTGAAGCAAAGGTGTACAGCAAGGCCGGACCCGCAGAATTCTGACCCACAGAAGTTGTGAGATAGTGTTTGTTGTTTAATCCACTATGTTTTGGAGGTGATTTGTTATACACAATAGAAAATGAATACTACTGTCTCTTTCCCCCTTCCCCTCATACACACTATGGCCTGAGAATGGGGAAATCATAGCCCCAAGGGAATTCTGGTACTCGAAAACACATATTCATTATAACATCCCACTTAAGCTCTTTTAACTGAATATATAAGTTTCAAAATATAAAAGGAAATTGCTCACTCTTCTGACATCCTAGCCATGGAGGGAAAAAAATGTAAACTTTCATATGATTGCAACAGGAATAGATTTGTACCGACCTGGCTTCCAAGAAACTTTGCAAAACCACATTTTACGGGGTTTGGGGGACGCTGGCACAGCGCTGACAGCTGTTTACCCTCCATTCACTCCCTGAGACAGAAACTGCTGGAGACTGAGTTTGAGTGGAACTTTTCTATTGCTTTAGACCTGTCTGCTCTGGATGCCTAGCTTCCATCATTATATTAGCTTTGACATACTCTATTAAAAGGGATACTTTATTTCCCTTCCCGATTGAACAGGAAATTGAACAACCTAAGAAGCAGCTGAAATATCCATGAACCTTTTGCCACGGTATCATGAATGTGCAGTTCAATTTTGAAACGTTGGCTTTGCAGTCTTGATTAAAATCTGTCTTCCAAAATATCCCTGAAGTACTAAAATACGATACTTGTAAGTTCTGAATTGCTTCAGGTGCTCCAAGATATGTTACATGGAGGACTGCATTGTCCTGCTTTTGCTCACTTCTGTATCTTCATTTACTATACCTGGCTCATGGTAAATACATCAGGAAAAGTAAAATCCCTGTAAAATATCTGATCACTAGAAAGAGTGAAAGCCAAGTACTAAGGAGACTGTGGCTTGCTAATGAAAACCCCTGGAGCCCAAACCCCTGCTAACTGCCCATGATGAAAAGTCATAAAGTGGTGAGAACTTGAATACCAGGAGAATTCAACATCATGATACTATTACTAAGCACCATTGAGAATACATTATTTTGTGCAGTTACTGCATAGTGTGGTATATGATTGATACTATATAGTATGCAATTGATTGATTAAGTTATTTTTCCAGGCAGTTTGATCTCTTAAGATGCTGAATGGGACGTTGATGGATTCAGTCAGTATGTGCTTTCAGATAAATAGCTGCTCAATGCGCTACTGGATAGCTGTAATCCTTCCATAAACCTTGAGATTGTTAATAACTACATTTATTTATAATGAACTGAGCACACTTTAAAAGATATGCTTACTCGTAACTGAGGTTAAGTGAATTCTATTCTGTTTCTATACCTCAAAGTTGGAGAAAGTTCTACATGCTGAAGCCATAGGGAAGAGTGATGCATCTAATGAGCCTGCTGAAGAGTGAAGGCAATGAGAGTCCACCTGTTCAGTAAGAGGCTTGTCTTTCTTTACATATTTCTCCCTTCAAAAATGCCTAGACCATCACAATCTCACTAATGGCAATAGGACAGTATTTATCTAGCTCCAACCCATGCACCCCATGCATTTTGGGGAAGTCTAGCTCCCTCAAAATTATCCCAAGTAGTTACATAAGCTCCTGGGTAGATTAACCGAGTGTGGGAATGGAGAAGACTTGGCTGTGAATAGAGAACATCACTCCTCTGGTAAGTTCTTGTAGCTGTAATGTGGTACCTGTTAGTTCCCTCCCTTCTGCTTGGAGACTGCTACCTCTCTATGCTGGATCTAGGCTGGTCTGATCCATCCACCTTGCCCTGTTTCAGAGCCATGCAGCCCTCTGTGGCCTGTGCTCAGGCAGTCCCCACACTGAAGTGCTGCAATGCTGGGCTACACTGCCTCCTGCCATTGAGCTCTTGAAGACACTCGTGAAAAGGCTCCTGGCTCTTTGAGTTTTACTAGTTCATCTCCCTGGTGCTCTGGCACATGTTCTGGAGGATTCAGAAAAAGAGCAAAGCCTGAAAGCTCTAATTGAACTCTCTTCTCATGCTGCCTCCTATTCTCAAACCAAGTTTGTGCTAATGACTCTCTCTGCCCTCAGGGTGAGTCTTGCCACCCCTCTGGCCATCTGTCTTGGCCCTCAAACTTAGACACCCTCCAGTTCTCACGTAAGCAGATTATCACTACAGAGACTGAGCCCACAATCTAAAACATAATGTCATGTGTTTGAAAGGGGATCCAAAATGATTTTTATTGTATTTATAAGCACTATTGATATGAATGAAAGAACACTCAAGAAATGATTTGCATTAACTATGGAGTGTAAGAAAACTAATTAAAGAATTTGATATTTATTCTTTTCTGCTTCAAACATTTCTAACTTTGAAGTATTTTAGCTTGCAATGACAAACCAGAGTCTGAAATCAAACCACCACTTAGAGATTGTGTTAAATTCACCATGTCACTTAATCTTAGAGTCTCAGCTTCCTTGTTTGCAAAATGGGGATAACACCATCATTACGAATTGGCTTCTTGTTAACATTAGATAAATTAATAGATGTAAATAGACCACAGTACCTGGCACAGAATAAGCACCTGGCCAAGCTTTTAGCTAACAGGTGTGTGAATGTGTCAAGATTTCTTTATATTATATTTATATATTTATTTAATATATATACTTATATATATTTATATTTATTATATATTATGTTTATATTCTAATACAGATGTTTAAAAGCATTTGCAGAGCCCTACAGTGGTCAAAGCATTTATGAAAGGGCTAGTTGCTTTTTTTTTTTGAGACAGTGGCTTGCTCTGTAGCCCAGGCTGGAGTGCAGTGGAGTAATAATCATGGCTCACTGCAGCCTCAACCTCCTGGGCTCAAACGATCTTCCCACCTCAATCTCCCAAGTAGCTGGGACTACAGGTGCATGCCACCACACTCAGATAATTTTTGTATTTTTTGTAGAGATGGGATTTCACCTTGTTGCCCAGGTTGGTCTCGAACTCCTGGGCTCAAGTGATCCTCCGACCTTGGCCACCCAAAGTGCTGGGATTATTGGCGTGAGCCACCATGTCTGGCCCTGTTGCTGTTTTTCAAAACTGGCATCAAATCTTGGTTAAGGGTGGCATTTCTAACATTTTCCTCCTACTATGTAAATAGCAAAATATTCTCACAAATAAATAGCATCATTTTGTATAAACAGATTCCTAGTTTTCTTTGCAGCCAAAGGCAGCTCTCCTCGAATTCTTTTGAGAATGCTCTGGTTCGTCCCAGAATCAGCCCATGCTGAGTTTACTATTCAGACCGGATTATTACCAGGCAGTTGGAGCGGTCAAATTCCCACAGCCAATTTTCTATAAAAATCTCAAGTAATTGAAATGGGAGGAAGGTATCCAGTAAAAGTCAGGGTGAATAATTTAGCACAGTGGCTGTCTACAGCCTCTGAGACAACATATTCAGGGCGTTTTATTGGAGGGTTGACTAGGCTGCTTTTGTCTCCAGGGCATCCTGGCTTCAACCCACCCATCTCATCAAGAACAAGGAGTGTGGCTAAATGAGCAGCCAGAGGGGTCTATCTTTAACCCTTCTCTGATACCTGAGTGATCTGTGAATGCCCTTTCATTGCACTTTCTCGTTTTTCTGAATGTGAACAGTAACGTTGTTGTGCTTGATATCTTTCTAAAGGTCCCTGTTGAGAAACATCACCACTGGCTGCAGTGGTCACTAAACAGGGATGTTGTGTCTCCTCCCTGGCTCTGTAGATTCCTTGAAGGGGTAGACCTATCTGCTAGGGGAAGGGATAAGCTGTTGCTATTTTAGAAAACTAGCCTCAAATCTTAAGAATGACATTTCTAATTTTTCCTGCTACTAGAACAAAATTCTCACAAATAAGTGCCCTTTATCCCTGGTCAGGACTAGTCAGGACTTGGGGACACAAGTTGGCAAGAACCCAACTCAAATTTTACTAAATAGACTTAGTAAAAAGGGAGATTGTTGATTCACAATGCTGGCAAGAACGCAAAGTTACTCATAGGACTGAATGAAATGCTAGACTAGAATGAAGTTCTCTGAGTTAGCACCTGGAAATCAATAACCCAGGTCAGAGTGCCTGTGGCCAGAGGGTTAGAAGTGGACATCCAATACCAGAAAAAGGAGGTTAGTGTGATGAACAGTCACACCAGAATGAGAGACTTTGGGAGTTCCATGGGCTACTCTAATTCATACTCATAGCAACCATAAAGGATTTACTGGGGGTGTAAACCTTATCGCCAACTGTTATGGACTGAACTGTGTTCCCCTTCCTAACCCCTAATGTGAATGGATTTGGAGAAAGGACCTTTAAAGAGGTAATTAAGGTTAAATGAGGTAAAAGAGGAGTGGGGCCCTAATCCAATATGACTGCTGTTAAAAGAAGAGACACCAGCAATGCATGTGCACAGAGAAGAAAAACATGTGAGGACACAGTGAGGTGGCCACCTGCCAGCCAAGAGGGAAGACTCCCAAGAAACCAAGTTGGCCAACTCCTTGATCTTGGACTTCCAGCTTCCAGAGCTGTGAGAAATACATTTCTGTTAAGCCACCCAGTCTATGGTATTTTGTTATGGCTACTCTGCCCAACCAATGTACCAGCCAAATTCTAGTTCTTTTCCTGTCTGGCTCCTCCTCCACGGCAACGCCTCTGTTCTTGTGTCACCTCTCATTCTTATGTCAGATATTTTCTGTGGTCCCCTACAGATCTGCTGTCTGCCTGAAGGCAGGATGGGCTACATCAATGGGCTCCAATACTCTCTGCCTTCTGGCTGGGTTTGGCAAGTGGGAGGCCGTGCAGAGAAACAGAAGGAAGTTGACAGTGACCTCAGCATATTCACTCAACTGACACCTCTCTAACAGATTACCTCAGGCTGACTGCATCCCCCAGTTGAAGATGACATCTTCTCTCAAGGCAGCCTCCTCTATGTGACTCTCCTTCCAGGTTCTGGTAGCTGCTTCCTTCCCCAAAGCTCCAGACCCAGGGATGACAGCAGCTCTGCTGATATTTGCCCTGGGATAATGCACCATCTCTTATGCCTCCTGTATGTCCACAGCTCCACAAGGAGTCACTCTGTAAATAAACCCTTGCAAAATCATGCCAGTTTGCCTGTGACATCTGCTTCCTTAACTGACAGAGCTCTTTATAAAACAGAGGTGAAAAACTGAAGGACAAAACCATTGTTAAAGGAAAGTAGAATCCCAGGACCCCAAACTCACTATGCCAGAGAAAGTTAAGCTTGGCAAATGAGTCACATAAAAACCGCCTTCCGTTTGTTCCCAAACAAATAGCTGTAATTTCACATGCTTACTTTAGCTGATGTAAAATGTAGATTTACTGGGCCCCAGATGAATGCATAATTGACTTTTCTCTACTCATGTGTAAAATGTAGATTTACCAAGCACTAACCAGAACCTCACAAGAATGTAACCACTTGCCTTGTTGCTTACTTTTTTCTCTTCCCTCCTGCTTGCTCTTTCCCTTTTAAATACCAAAGTTCCCAAAACTCTCTTTGGAAAAAGCACAGGTCACAAATTCTACTATGAGCTGTGTTTGTTTTTCCTGGGTGCTTTCTCAGCCTTGGCAAAATAAACTTCTAATTCATTGAGATCTGCCTCAGTCACTTTTTGGTTTGCACTTTCTTCTCCTCTCCACCTAGAAAAAGAATCATAGATAGTGTATTCAAAGTGTATTGTGCCCTAACGCATAAAGTACACGTCAAATGAGAGGTTTTTACGTTTGTACGACTGATTTTTGAGACAGGGTCTTGCTCTGTCACCCAGGCTGGAGTGCAGTGATGTGATCAAAATTCAAGGCAGCCTCGACCTCCCCTGGCTCAGGCAATTCTCCCACCTCAGCCTCCCGAGTAGTTGGGACTACAGGCATGCATCATCATGCTCGGCTAATTTTTGTATTTTTTGTAGAGATGGGGTTTTGCTATGTTGCCCAGGCAGGTCTCAAACTCCTGAGCTCAAGCAATCCACCTACCTCAGCTTCCCAAAGTGCTGGGATTATAGGCGTGAGCCACTGTGCCTGGCCTTTGTTGTTTTTTTAATGCACCATCTGTCATCTGAAATTGCTAACTTAAACAATAACTTTTATTTTCTTTGGAGCGGGGGCCTTCCTTTCACCTCTGCTTTCTGATTATACTTATATCTTAGAATCTTTGACACCACAGTGTCAGTGTCAGCTTATTAATGGAAACCTGTCTATGCCTAATTATTTTTACTGCTCAATATTACTACCTACACCATGGTCAGCAATTTCATATGGTTTGTTTTGTTTTGCTTTTTTAGAGTTAAAAAGGTTTCCTTTTTTTTTCTACTTTTCAGATATTAAACTCGAATTTATTATGCTTATGCTTTGCTTATAGAACAGGGGGTATAAAACTTGTCTCCTTTATTAACTACGGAGATGTATATCTTTTTACTTATTGATTTTTTTTAGCACACACTTTAAATTATAACTGAGTTGTCCTGTCTGGTGTATTTTAATCCTAAAAGCTTCCATATGGAGATGTTAATTTAGTCTTCCAGGAAGCAATACAAAGTTTAAACATTTGGGGTTCCCTTTCCTTTTGCCAGTAACCTCAACCCCTTCTCTCACCAGTTTCATTTAGTAACTTTCTACTCCAAAGGAAAACTGCACATTTATTTAACATCTACTCTAACATCGCATGTTATTTTATTTCATTCTCACAGGAATGCTATGAGGCAGATCTAATGATCCCATTTTTGTAGCCAAGGAGACAGGCTAGAAGTGGTCTAGCATGACACAACTGGAAAGTGGTGAAGGATGGCAAGGTCTAAGTGAACCCAAAGACCATGACCTGGGACTCTGCTGGGATTTGATCTGCTTATTTCTACCTTTGTGAAACTTCACCTTACTCTGGAATACTAACTCTGTATATTGGTCCATTCTCACACTGCTATAAAGGACTGCCCAAGCCTGGGTCATTTGTAAAAGACAGAGGTTTAATTGACTCACAGTTTCGCATGGCCTGGGAGGCCTCAAGAAACTTACAATCATAGCAGAAGGGGAAGCAAACACATCCTTCTTCACATGGCGGCAGGCGAGAGAAGTGCCAAGCAAAGGGGGAAAAGCCTTGCAAAACCATCAGATCTCATGAGAACTCACTATCATGAGAACAGCAGCATGTGGGTAATGGCCCCTGTGATTCAATTACCTCCTACTGGGTCCCTCCCATGACATGTGGGGATTATGGAAACTACAATTCAAGATGAGATTTGGATGGGGACACAACCAAACTATGTCACCCTGGAATGCTGTTCCCCTTCCTCCATCATAATCCTCGCATCCCCCAATTTAGACCTTACCTCTTCCAGCATTTTCTCCATGGTTGACCTTACCCAAAGATAGGACTATTAACAGATTAGTCAATGGAGAATGAGCATGGTGGCTAATTCCTGTAATCCCAGCACTTGGAGAGGCCGAGGCAGGAGGAATTGCTTGAAGCCAGGAGTTGGAGACCAGGCTGGGCAACATAGCGAGACATCTGTCTCTATTTTAAAAAAAAGAAAAAGAGAGAGGGGAAAAAAGAGAGATTCATCAACAGAGACATGAACAAATCCTTTCCAGAACTTCACTCAGTGCTATAATTATCTTCTTTGTGGTGTATCTCCTAATCTACAACTTGTGTTTCTTGAGGGTCAAAACCATATTTTCTGTCTCTTTAGCACGCCTCTCTCCATCCCTCCCACAGTCTATTTCAATTCTCTGTTGAACACAGGACATCTTTAGTAATGCCACTGACAGACAAGGAGAATCTGAAAACTGAAAATTTTGAGAAGTTTTACTTGGGAGGGGGAAGTACACCATTTCTACCTTGCTTTCTAAGGAAATATTTTCTATAGAGTAGTAAAAAGCATGTTTTCACTTGTTGTTTTCCTGTGGAACCAAACAGGAGCTATAAGAACTACTAGTGGACAGGTTTATTTGCACTCAATATTCTGTTCTGTTCTGTTCTGCTATGCTTTTATGAATTTTAAAGGCAAGGAATTGTTCAGGTCAGGAATTCATCTGTCAAAATGCTTTATGCTGGAGCCCATGGAAAGGAGAGGCCTTGCGGCTTCACTGGTGAATTAACTGAGAGTTGGAACACTGCTGGTGTGTTTTGCTTTACCACTGACTTTCTTTGAAGGGGCCTTTGACGAAGTTGTTTACTCTCATTCATTGCCTCAGTGTTTATATCTCAAAATCAAGAGACCTCCTTCATGTCGAAGGAACTAGGGGAAGAAAGTTAAGTCTGTGACTCAGAGATAAAAACCAGCTTGATGTGATTGCAGGGGCCCTGGAGAGACTTCCCTGTCCCCAAATATCTCCCATTGGCTTGTCCCAGCACAGGAAAAGAAACCCCACAGTTACCTTGCATCTGAGTTTAGGCAGTGAGCACCTGGTTAAAACACAGGCAAGTTATGAAGGGAGATCTGACATTGTGTTTGCTTTTATTCTAAGATGCACATTTTTTTTTTCTTTTTTGAGATGGAGTCTTGCTCTGTCATCCAGGCTGGAGTGCAGTGGCATGATCTTGGCTTACTGCCATATCGGCCTCCTGGATTCAAGAGATTCTCGTGCCTCAGCCTCCCTAGTAGCTGAGATTACAGGCGCCTGCCACTTCGCCTGGCTAATTTTTTGTATTTTTAGTAGACACAGGGTTTCACCATATTGGCCAGTCTCGAACTCCTGACCTCAGGTGATCCACCTGCCTCAGCCACCCAAAGTGATGGGATTACAGGTGTGAGCCACCGTGCCTGGCCAAGATGCACATTTCTTTAATCTTTTAATACTTTTGAAATTGGGATGTGGTTTTACAATCAGAGTGAATAGTTAATGTAATAATGCATAGTCTATTTCTCCTGAAGAAGTAAGTTGTTATTAAATAGATAAGAACCACCTGGAAAATAGGGAAGCAGTATGGACACACTCCAGTGAGTGGGTGTTGAAAACTGACCCGAGCCAGATAGGTCATGTGCGGATGATTGCAACCTAGGAGTTGTTAAGTCAGAACTGCTAGCTATTCTTCTCCACAAATGTTACACAATCATGAACAAAGCAAGCCACTGGCCAAATTCTGCTGCATACACAGACGCTTGTTAACTAAATATTTGTTAGTGAGCAAGCAAAAAAGTGGTTCATATAATCTTCCTTGCAAAGTTCTCTAAGACAATTTCTGGGATTCCAGAGGCAGAATAATGCTGCCAGTTTAGCCAGCATTGAGCAACCAGAATCTCCCACAGTTTATGGCTAGGCCCAAGACCAGGTAAAGGCATCATTCTAAGAGTGCTGGATATTTTATTCATGCAAGAGTGGAGAGTCTCTAAGCTCTTTTAACTAGTCTACTTATCTTTATATTCACCAAACAGATCCCATTTCTAACTTTCATCATGTTAATCAACATGCCACTAATTTCACCTGTAAGAAACAATTCTGACATGAACTGTGCTAATTGGCAAAGCACCTGTTATTGAAGATACAAATAACATGTGCTTTGTCTGAGGATCATGCACATTTTTTTCCTCCAGAGCTACCCTATTAACTGAAGGATTGTGCACTCTTGTAGAGTCTAGAAACATTTGGTTAAAGCCCAAACTAGGTGGCATACCCAAGATAGGCACTGTATTTTCAGAAGCATTTAAAAATCTTAAGATGCATCAGACTGAAACACACATTGTGATACAATGCAAAGATATCGCTAAGAGAAATAGGCAGTGGGGTTTGAGAGCATGAAAGCAGTGACTAAGTCTGTCTATCAGACTGGGAAGTGAGGGGGCAAGGGTAGAACATCCTTACAGAGGAGATGACCCAAGCTGGATTTTTAAAAGAGAGTAGGAATGCATGAGGCAGACTTGGGGTACACCCAGCAAAGGGAAGCAGTAGGGGCACAAGCCCAGAGGATGAGAAGCTAGTCTAGGGTGGGTAGACTACAGGCATGTGAGAGAGGAGACAGGCTAGAATTGTAGCTGGGAACTAGACAGAACCTTCTAGATCATGCTCAAGAATTTTCTCTTTACCTGGTAGACATCTGGAAGTCGAGAGACAAAAATATTTTACCTACTACAATTTTGGCTTGGAACATGAATGATCGTATTGTTAGACCAAAATGGATCCCACAAGGGTCAGGCTTCCTCCCAGACCTCTCTAACTGAAGCTCCAGAGCCCTGAACATCCCCTCCATCTATAATGTTTTTTCCATAAAAACCAAAGCAGAAGGAGTATGTTTCCTAGAGTCATGTACTGGTTGGGTGAGTTGGACAAGTTTCTTAATCTCTCTGATCCTCAATGTCCTCATCTGTAAAATGTGAATAATTATACCTTTTTCTTAGGGTGTTGTTAAGAAGTTTAAGTTAGTGTGTACGACAGTTTAAGTTAGTGCTTAAGACAGTACCTGGAATAGAATACTCAACTAATTTTATTTTTAGTGTCTATGTCTTTTAAATATTTTTAAAAGATTTAATCACCCAGGCTTGACTGATGTGATCTTGGCTCACTGCAACTTCCACCTCCTGAGCTCAAGTGATCCTCCCACCTCAGCCTCCAGAGTGAGTATCTGGGACTATAGGCACACACCACCACGACTGGCTAATTTTTATTTCTTTATTTTTTTGTAGAGATGGGGTTTTGCCATGTTGCCCAGGCTGATCTTGAACTCTTGAGCTCAAGCAATTTACCTGTCTCAGCCTCCCAAAGTGGTGGGATTACAGTCATGAGCCACTGCACCTGGCCCTTAAATCTTTCTCATTATTTTTCCTTGCTTATGAATTCTTAGAAAGAACATGTATATTATACAAGTAGTACTTTATCTCACTATAATTACAGATTACTAATCACTGATCTTGTTCCATAAATCTTACTCTAAACTGTTTTAAAATCTAGAAGTTTAGCTCTGAGGCTTCTGAGCCTAATAAAACCCCACAAACCCCTCTTATCTGCCTGCTGGTCTTATCAGGGAGATGCTCTTTTTGTTTCCAGCAGGGCCTAGTTTTCCATTTCTAGACCCAGAACCAACAACAGAATTGCAGATTCCAGCTCCAAAGTTTTTTCTCCTCCCTAAGTCTTTGAGAACCATGATGGCCAATGGGCTGGCAGGACTGCTTTCCGTTATCTTTATCAAAACATTTTAACTTCAATGCCCTTGGCAACTTTTGTTCAGGAGAAACATTTCTTTTGCTAATGAAGAACATGCTCAAAATTATCCCAACCATATTCTTATCTCATGCAGCCCTTCACCTCAGAACACCAAACTTGGGTTCTTAAAAGAGTGCAGTGGCTCACGCCTATAATCCCAGCACTTTTGAGAGGCCGAGGCAGGCAGATCACCTGAGGTCGGGAGTTCGAGACCAACCTGACCAACATGGAGAAACCCCATCTCTACTGAAAATACAAAATTAGGGCATGGTGGCACATGCCTATAATCCCAGCTACTCGGGAGGCTGAGGCAGGAGAATCACTTGAACCCAGGAGGCGGAGGTTGCAGTGAGCCGAGATCGCACCATTGTACTCCAGCCTGGGCAACAAGAGCAAAACTCCGTCTCAAAAAAACAAACAACAAAAAAAGAGGGCCTTAGCCTTTTACTGATTGATTAAAACAAGAAGTTCACACTTTCATCTGGGACAACAAACTATAGCCACCAGCATTTTGAATCAAATTTAAATTCCTGCTTGGGTTTGAATGTGTCCTCCAAAGTTCTTGTGTTGGAAACATCCCCAATGCAACAGCACTGAGAGGTGAGACCTTTAAGAGATGAGTAGGTCATGAGGGTGAAGAGGCAGAGCCCTCCTGGATGGATTAAGGCCTGTATTGCAGGAGTGGCTTCCGGATAAAAGCATGAGTTCAGCCCCTTCCCTCTTTCTCTCATGTGCGTGATCTCTTGACCTTCTGCCTTCCTTCATGGGATGATGCACCGAGAAGCCCTTGCCAGATGCCAGCCCTTCAACCTTGAACGTCCCAATCTTTAGAACTGTAAGAAATAAATCTCTGTTCTTATAAATTACGTAGTTTCAGGAATTCTGTTATAGAAGCATAAAACGAACTAAGATAATCCCTATAGGCAGAGTTTTTGCTGCTACCCAAGTTGCCGTCAGCCCAGTATTTCCCAATTATGGCATACCCAACATCTCACATTGGTACCCACCTGCCCTTGAAGGCATGAGCACCGCTCCCATCCTAGGCTCTGGCTGTTACAACCCATTGTCACAATACAAGCAGCTTATCCCATTATTCAGTTACTTGGCAAGGCCAGGAATGTTTAACACACAAGATGACAGCTTTGCTGTGGGGGATGGAATGAAAAGGAGGAAGGGAAAAGGTCTCCGATTAGATGCCTTACGTCTGGATTAGCTGCCCTAGGGTGGGAATCTAGTGTCTGGGGTGAGGGTGGGTTGAGTGATGCTGGTTGGGAGAGTGTCACTGACTGA
This sequence comes from Homo sapiens, assembly GCF_000001405.40. Lineage (NCBI taxonomy): Eukaryota > Metazoa > Chordata > Mammalia > Primates > Hominidae > Homo > Homo sapiens. The sequence continues at coordinate 54,612,832 of NC_000005.10, read as the reverse complement.
GAAACATGACAGATTGCCTCCTGTCACTGTCTCCTGAGTCAGAGTTTGTCCTTGGCGAAGACTGTAATAGAGACCAGCTAGGAACATGGCTCGGGTGACAGTGGAGAAGGAAAAGGGACCTATGGCTGCAGCTTTGGAAAACAGATCAGCTGCACCATGCCTTGTTGCCTTCAAATTAAGTGGACAGTGTTTTGTTTTTTCTAGTGTTTATGACAAACGTAAGCCCCAGTGCGTATGCCGATAAAATCCAAGTTTAAAAATCCCACCCTCAGCCAGGCACGGTGGCTCACGCCTGTAATCCCAGCACTTTGGGAGGCCGAGACCGGCAGATCATGAAGTCAGGAGTTCGAGACCAGCCTGGCCAACATGGTGAAACACTCTCTCCACTAAAAATACACACAAAAAAAGTAGCCGGGTGTGGTGGCACGCACCTGTAGTCCCAGCTACTCTGGAGGCTGAGGCAAGAGAACCGCTTGAACCCGGGAGGCAGAGGTTGCAGTGAGCCAAGACCACGACATTGTACTCCCACCTGGGTGACAAAGTGAGACTCCATCTCAAAAAAAAAAAATAAAAAAAAATTCCCACCCTCTAAGAGGAAAATTGGAAAGAATCTACTCTTTAATTGCTCCTCTGCCAAAGCAATAACTTGAATGGTCCTTATTAGGAATAGCTCATTACTAACAATAATATTAACTATTATAACAACAAGTTATCGCTTGATCCCAGGAGTTCAAGATCAGTCTGGGCAATATAGTGAGACATCATCTCTACATTAAAGAATTTAAAAATTAGCCAGGCATGGTGAAGCACACTTGTAGTCCTAGCTACTTGGGAATCTGAGGCGGGAGGATCGCTTGAGTCCAGGAGTTTGAGGTTACAGTGAGTTATGATTGTGCTACTGCACTCCAGCCTGGAGTACAGAACAAGACCCTGTCTCTAATTAAAAAAAAAGAAGAAGAAGAAGAAGAAGAAAATTCCAGAATTCACAATGTGTTGCTCCAGGCACCCTGCCTCACCCCAACACTGTAAACATCCCCCCTCAAACCAGTCAAGTTGCTTCCCCATCATTTCCAGCCCCCACCCCCACTTCTCCTTTCTTTTACCAGATAAAGGCTTATGTGAGTGGCGTTTATGCTTTCAGGAATAAGCTAAAGTAGGTATAGACTGAAACCTCTTGGAAATATCTGGGGTTACCATTCCAGGCAAGTGAAAGACAAACTAGGAATCAGTAGACACGATTTCCTAGCTGGCATCCTCTTCTTCCTCCCCTTAAGTTGTTCCTGGAGAGGAAAATAATTTCTAGAACGTCATTCCAGACACCATTAGTCAGCAGGAGAATGGAATCTAGAAGGGGACCTGGAGGACAACAGAGAGCAGACTACCCTGGGACCCGCAGGGTGAAGTAGGAAACAAAGGCCCAAGGGATTTTTTTTTGACTGTAGAGTCAAAGTCATGTTCAGGAGACAGGGCATGGTGATTCTCTCTCTGGGTGGGGAAAGGACCATCTTGGGCATGCTTCCTACTGGGGCGGGTGAGGCCAGCAGGCTTAGGGCTACCTTGAAGATGTTCAAGAGACAGCAGAATGATCTTAAAAACCAGAAGGAAGTGATATGTTTAAAATATATCTCTCAGGGAAATGCGTCTATCTTATCAAGGGACTAGCAGCAGCCTGAGACTGACAGACTCCTCAGCAGGTCAAGCTCAGCACCTGGAAAGTAAGCAAAGATTATGGGGCAAACACCCATAAGGAGGAGATTTTTAAAAAGCAGAGGTTGAATGAACTGAATTTACATAGGATGATCCTTAAATATTCAGTCTGTTCTGTTCTGGATTAGGGTAGAGGGTGACCATAGAAATCAACCAAAACATTTGTAAACGTAGCCAATAGATGATTCTGTATTTTCCTAAAGAATCAGACAATGTTAGGGAAATTTGGATGTCTGATTAAGGGTAACTTCTCAAGGACTAATGTCAGGCTACTAACTGACTGTGCTCTTAACGAGCTTGTATCTATATGTTCCCCTCAGCCAGGGCTGCAACAAGGGTTAACCCCCTCCCTGTTACACCCTCCTAATTACTTCAACACCACAACAGGATGTGAAAGTATCTCAGGGACCACATTCTTCTGCTGGCAGAGGAAGAGCTGACTAATAAACATTCGTGGTTATTTAACACACTCCAACAAATAACACACCAAAGCAATAACATTATGCAAATAATCTCTTTGGTTATTTGCCTGATCAGGTTATTTGCCTGATTATTTGCAAAAGAAAATATGGCCAAGAGGGGAAGCATCTGAATCTCCAATCTTGGCTGAGCGGAAAACTCTGCTTGTAAATCACTCTCCATCTGCCCTGCAGAGTGGCCAGCCCAGGATGCTGTGTAGGGGTGGATTCAAGTCTCACCATAGTTACAGAAATCACTTGCTTAAGCTTCTGCTAACTGCTCCCAACCTCCATTCCTTTGTGTGTAAAGTCGGAGCAATGTAGCGACATGTTCAGTGGTGTGAGGTTTGGTAAACCACGGAGTGCTATACACACATTAGACTGAAGCTCTTGACAGATGTGACACAAGGGTGGTGTCACATCATTCAGATACCTACCTAAGTCATACTGTATTACTGTGTGTGTTAGTCTGTTCTTGCATTGCTATAAGGAAATACCTGAGACTGGGTAATTTATAAAGAAAAGAGGTTTCATTTGCTCACGGTTCTGCAGGTTATACAGGAAGCATGGTGCTGGCATCTGCTCAGCTTCTGGGAAGCCTCATGAAGCTTACAGTCATGGAGGAAGGCGAAGGGAAAGCAGGCATGTCACATGGTGAAAGTAGGAGTAAGGAAGACAGAGAGAGAGAGGAGGGGAGGTGCCACACACTTTTAAATGACCAGATCTCACGAGAATTCACTCACTATTCCAAGGACAGTACCAAGCAGATGATGCTAAACCATTCATGTGAAATCTACTCCCATGATCCAATCACCTCCCACCACGCTCCACCTCCCACCACGCTCCACCTCCAATGTGGGGGATTACATTTCAATATGAGATTTGGGCAGGGACAAACATCCAAACTATATCACCACGGCATGGCAATTTATTGACATATTGGCTCACGTTTGTCTTCCCTATACTTCTTTCTTTTCAATTTCAAGGAGGTAGCCAAATCCTTGGCATTTTTTTTATCTCAGCCCTTTTGCAGGGTGGGACAAATAGAAGGATTTGAGGCTTTTTCAGTTTTTTATGAAAATTAAGCTTTAGGGGGCTGAGGTGGGAGATCACTTGAGGCCAGAAGTTGGAGGCCAGCCTGAGCAACATAGCAAGACTCTGACTCTAAAAATAAGATATTATAAATAAATAAGTAAATAAATAGAAAATGAATACCATCATAGAGATTGCGGATGACGTCCCCAAGGAGAGATAAGATGTGTTTTGGGGACAACAAGAAAGGAAGAGAGATTTTCTTCAGGTGTTAGAAAGCCAAAAGAGAAGGATAAATCATAACCAAGAATGTGGCAGTACCCCCTAGGCTGTACTGCCCACCTCAATAGTTAATATCCATGTGTGGTTTTAAAGTTCTAAATTAATTAAAATTAAATATAATTAAAAATTCAGCTCCTCGGTGGCACTAGCTGCATTTTAAGTGCTCTATAGCCTCATATGTCTAGTGGCTACCATACTGGACAGAGTAGTTATGGAACATTTCCATCATTGCAGAAATTTCTACTGGACTGTGAGAAGGTGTCAAGACCTCAGAGGCTGTGAGGAAACATGGGAGATTAGATGCTCCCAACCTCATCACAGAGTCCTATGCACTAAGAACGGGGAATTAGCAGCTGAGCTGCCCAGCATGAGATATACAGGTTGGGACAATGGACTGGTGCTTTAGTGGAAAACAGTGTGGACCCACAGCTGTAAACTAGAGTGACAGTCTTCCCTGTGCCAGAGTGTTTAATAAGACCTAATGACCTTTACACACTTTGGAGGGCAGGGAGAGACACCAAGGGCTGAGTGTGAATTTCCCACCAGCCTAGGAGGATGGGTACTCAGATGATTTAAAGAAAATAAAGTGATGCACACTTGAATATAGGGAACTAAGATTAATACCTGCTACAGTCGTACACAACTATGCATACACATATACACCCCCACACAGACACACCAGTCATCCTTCCTTCTTCAACTGTTTATTTCAACACTGATTTCATAACACTATTTAAACAGCTCAGGCTATCTCCATATCCCAGTAAGTACTTGTCAGTACACAAACAGGTCACAATCCATTATTTAAAAAGCATGGCGGCTGGGTGTGGTGCCTTATGCCTGTAATTCCAGCACTTTGGGAGGCCAAGGTGGGAGGATTACTTGAGCCCAGGAGTTCAAGACCAGCTTGGGCAACATAGTGAGATCCCATTTCTATTTTTAAATAAGAAAACTTTAAAAATAATACAATAAAATAAAAAATAAAAAGCACAGTTCATATTAGAAAATGGGCAAAAGACATGAAGAGACATTTCACCAAAGAGGCTATACGGATGGCAAATAAGCACATGAAAAGATGTTCAGTACCATTAGCCGTTAGGGAAAGCCAAATTAAAGCCATAATATGACCACACACCTATCAGAAAGGCTAAAGAAAAAGATAGTGACCATATAAAATGCTGATGAGGATGCAGAGAAACTGGATCCCTCAAACATTGCTGATAGGAACACAAAATGGTACAACTACTCTGGAAAATAGTTTGGCAGTCTCTTTAAAAAGCAATTATGTAAGTACCATATGACCTAGCAATTGAACTCCTGGGCATTTAATCACAGGGAAAGGAAAACTTATGTTCACATAAAACCCTGCACATGAAGTTTACAGCAGCTTTATTTTTGTTTGTTTGTTTGTTTGTTTGTTTTGAGACAGTCTTGCTCGGTCACCCAGGCTGGAGTGCAGTGGCATGATCTTGGCTCACTGCAAACTCTGCCTCCCAGGTTCAAGCAATTCTCCTGCCTCAGCCTCCTGAGTAACTGGACCTACAGGCATCCACCACCACGCCCGGTTAATTTTTGTATTTTTTTGTGGAGATGGGGCTTTGCTATGTTGTCCAGGCTGGTCGCGAACTCCCGACATCAAGTGATCCGCCTGCCTCGGCCTCCCAGAGTGCTGAGACTACAGGCATGAGCCACAGTGCCTGGCCCATAGCAGCTTTATTTGTAATAGCTAAAAAGTGGAAAGGCCAGAAATGTCCTTCAACAGGTGAATGGTTAAACAAATTGTGATGCATACCTACCATGGAATACTATACAGGCAACAAATTGGATAAATATCCAAGAATTATGTTATTGTAGCCATTCTGTAGAAATAGGATAAATTCCCACCTAAACTATGGTTCAAATGATGACACCAGATAGACATCGAAAGAGTGTGAAAAGGTTTATTACGCACATAATGAGGTTTTCTGGAGACAGCTGGGAAAGCTTCCCAAACAGGTCCAAAAACAGCGTAAGAGAGCAGGGAAAGAAAACTGACTTGAAGTTTTCTTAGGCGTTGGGGAGTGGGGCTGGGGTGAGGGTTCCTGCACACAGGCGGGGGCCCACATGGTTGGAATCTCAGTGCCAACAGAAGAACCCAGGCTTTCTTATCAGCTTGCCCAGATGTGGGGCAAAATGGGAAATGAGAAGAGTGGGGTATAAAAGCTACTAGCAAACATCAGAAAATGGAGTCAGACTCATTATTATTACCCAGGAACCACACAAAGGCCTTTCTCAAAAGAATGCATACTGTATGCATCCATTTATATAACATTTTTGAAATGACATTTCAAAACTGGAGGACATATTTGTTAATGGTTGCCAGGGTATAGGGATGGGGTGGGTGAGGAAGGTAGGAGTGGTTGTAAATGGGCAAAATAAGGGATCCTTGTGATGTTGGAACTGTCAGTATCTTGACTGTGGTGGTGGATACACAAACCTATACAGGTGATAACATTTTATGGAACTGTGCAATTTTCACACATACACACACGTGAGTACAAATAAAGCTGGGAAAATCTGAAAAAGATGGATGGATTGTAGTAATGTCAATCTCCTGGTTGTGATATTATACTAATGTTTTGTAAAATGTTACATTGGGAGAAACTGGGTGAAGAATACACGAGATCTAGCCGTCTGATTTCTTAAAATTGCATATAAACCTAGAATTATCTCCATGAAAATTGCAAATCGAAAAATGCTTAGATCAGAGAGGGAGAGTTCATTCAGATTACAGGACACTCTGGGGTGGGACGAAGAGCAAGAATGAGTGAATGCCTCTGAATTGAGCCAACTGACCCAGTGAACCACCTGGTCTCCCGAAGTCCTCTTCAACAATCCAATGGCCAACCAGAGGTCAGATGTCTTCATTATCATAAAGACCAAAAGTTGGGTAAATGTTTAGAGGGACTAACCTGGAAATACAAAGAAAGGCAAGATAAAATTCAGAGGCAGCCTAATAACTTGAAAACTGATTATTTTTATGATAGATGAATCAATAGCAAAAGAAGATTCATATAAGAATTATCTGATAACCATTTATACAGGGATGTCATTTACAATTCAGTCATTCACAAACTTTTTTAATGAAATGTTCCTTAACAATAGATGAGAGTAGATGTATGAATGGATGGATGTCTGGTGTGTAGCCACAGGCAGCCATCCAAAACCTGAAACGCCTGGAAAATCTATACAAATAGTACATTACACTGCATAATACATCTTTATTTATTGCAATATAAAAGTATGATTTTCAATATTGAATTTTATACTGTGTGTATTTTACCACAATTCAAAGGAAAGGAAGAAATGACTGTTAAAAAGTGGTGACATTTTTTTAAAGTGTCAAAATTAGGATGGGCGTGGTAGCTCACACCCATAATCCAAACGCTTTGGGAGGCAGAGGCAGGAGAATTGCTGGAGCCCAGAAGTTCAAGATTAGCCTGGTCAACAAAGTGATACCCTGTCTCTACAAAAAAAAGTTTTTAGATTTAGCTGGGTGTGTTGGCACATGCCTGTAGTCCTAGCTACTTGAGAGGCTGAGGCAGGAGGATCCCTTGAGCCCAGGAGTTCGAGGCTTCAGTGAGCTGCGATAGTGCCACTGCACTCCAGCCTGGGTGACGGTGCAAGACCCTGCCTCAAAAATAAATAAATAAGTTTCAAAATTGATCATAAAAAATCTCAATAATTTTTATGTTGATTATGTTAAAATAATACTATTCTGGATATCTTGGGTTAAATAAAACATATAATTAAACTTTTTAAAAAACATTGTTTTCAACTAAAAAATTAGTTAAAATTATGTAAAAAAGTTCAGTAATCTGAGCAAAATTTACTCCAAGAAGATGATTACTCTATGGCCCACGTGGTTCCTGGTACGTAACACACTACTGTGATAAGCGTGGCTTTACATTTTCTAAGATCTTCAAATTAAATATTGCTTTTTTTAAAAAAAAGTCTAAACCCCTAACTCTGAGTCTCTGCTGGTACTACTCTGGAACAATTTTGCTAGCTTTCCTCCCCATGAATGTCTATGACTTAAGTCCCAGGTAAAATGTTACCACTATGAATCCATCTAAAATTGCCCAAAACAGGATATATTTCCTCCTTCTCATGTTACTCAACTGCTTAAAATCCCCCAGAGAGTTCCTATTAAGGTAGAATAAAGTCCAGTAGAAGTCAGCCCTCATGCTGACTGGAAAAAGTCTCCTGCTTACATCTTAGATCTTACATTTTGATCACTCACCACCCCTCACACTTCCTCCACCAGAGGAAGACCAGAGGGTCTCCTTTCTGTTCCTCCAATATCCAGCCTGTGTCTACCTTCAGGTATTTGATCTTACAGTTTCATATTCGGGGACTGCTTTTCCTTCTGATTGTGCCTTACCTCTTTCTTATTCTTGACATTCAGATCTCAGCGTGGATGACACTCCTCAGAAAGGCCATCCCTAGACATCCAATCTAAAATCAATATCCAGTCATCCTCTTACCTTACCAGCATGTCATTTTTGGTTTGTCTGTTTATTGTGGCAAAATATACATCACAAATTTTGCCATTTTAACCATTTTTTAAAGTATACAATTCGGTGACATTAAGCATATTTACAATGTTGCACAACCATCACTACTATCCATTTCCAGGACTTTTTCATCTTGCCAAACTAAAATTCTGTACCATTTAATAGTGACACCCTATTACCTGCTTCTCCCAGCCCCTGGTAACCTCTATGATACCTTCTGTCTCTATGAATTTGCCTATTCAAATTACCTCATATCAGTGGAATGACACAATATCTGTCCTTTTGTTTCTGGCTTATTTCACTTAGCATAATGTTGTCACGGTTTATTTATGTTGTAACATGTACCAAAATGTCATTCTTTCTTAAGACAATAGTATTTCATTGTATGTACTTATCACATTTCATTTATCCATTCGTGTGCCAGTAGACCTTTGGGTTGTTCCCACCTTTTGGCTATAGTGAATAATGTTCATATGAACGCCAGTGCCCAAAATATCTGTTTAAATCCCTGTTTTCAATTCTTTAGGTGTTATACCTAGTGGTAGATCATATGGTAATTCTATGTTTAACTTTTTGAGAAGACACCACACTGTCAGCTGGATCATAAGGTAATTCTATGTTTAACTTTTTGAAAAGCCATCATACTGTCAGCATGGCATTTTTATAATGTGTTTGTCTGCTCTACTAGGATGAAACCTTCACGAGAGCAGGGACCACATCTGTCTTCTCCATTCCTGAATCTCCAGTACCTTGAACAATATTTGGCACATAATGGACACTCAAAAAGTTTTCGTTAGATGAAAGAATGAGGTAGATCTTCAGTAATTGTTAGTGTTCTTTCTCCTTTCCACTTTGTTCTTCTTAAATAGATTGCAAAACCCCCCACTTGAGGGCAAGGATAGCTGTCATTCACCTGTGTAACCATAGCATTTAGCACATAGAAGGTACTCAATACATCCTTGTCCAGTTGAAGAAAATATCCATTCTTTGTTGTAGTTTGGTGTTCTTGGCTGAACTCAGTAGGATTGACCTGATAATTATGTGTTAGTAAGAATGGAGGACGTTTTTCAGTAAGAATGGAGTTAGCAAAGAAAAATGCCCAGTGTAGCCCCAGGACAGTTGCCTTCCAGGAAACTCTGACTTTCTTTTTTTCTTATTCTTTTTTCTTTGGCTTCTGGACTCTAGCATTTTCCAGAACCAAGACTGAAAGAAGCAAAAACAGCTGAAAAATCTCTTAAATTACATCATCTTCCTCTGGGAATTCAGGCATGTTGGCTGGGTTTGACTAAAACATAACCAGGATTTGAGTCTTGGGTTCAGATAAAATATAAGTTCAAATCTCTCAAGCCTTCTTAAAAGATCAGATAACAGTCCTTAGGTTAAAAATTCTTTAGGCCAGGCATTGTGGCTCATGCCTGTGTCCCAATACTTTGGGAAGCCAAGGTGGGAGAATTTCTTGAGCCCAGGCATTTGAGCCTCCAGTGTACTATGGTTGTGCCACTGCACTCCAGCCTGGGTGACAGAGTGATAGCCTATCTCTAAAAAAATATATATATATATATATATTTTTAAATAATTTCCAAACAACTTTGATCCTGATAATTCTGATTATTCATGCCATATAATAATAATATATTTACAACCCTACATTATATGAAATAAATTATACGCAGATACCATATGATACATTTTATGTGTAATAATTGGTTGATGAATGCAGTTGGAAAATCCAAGTTAAAGAATGCCCAAATAATACTTGGAAACATTGCCATGAGGTTTCTCCCCCAATTCGGTTACAGCAGGTAGCTTGTCAGGTATGAGCAGGGCAGGAGAGGGCTCGATACACACCAGGAGTGTTGGGTGACCATCAGGTGATGGTCAGGCAGTTGTTAACTGCTTCTCTAAAGTAATAATTGCTCACAGCCAGTGCCAGGGAAAGGCAGTCTCCTAATGGACAGAAAACACCTGAAACTGATCAGCAGCTTCCCAGTAAGACCTCAGGAGTGGGGAGAAGTAAGGCAAGATCCCGGAAGGAGGCCAATGTATAAAACCCCAAGCCAAGAGATCAAGCTGTGTACTTGGTTTCTCAAGTCACCCACTTGGCCCTCTTCCAAGTTGTATATTCCTTCCTTTCTTTCCTCTCCTTCCTGTTCTAAAGTTTTCAATAGACTTTCACTCCCGCTCTGACACTTGCCTCAGTCTCTCCTTCTGCCTTATGCCCCTCAGTCTAATTCTTTTAGGGAAGTCCACCCTGAAGTTGCTGCACACTCCTATGGATTCGCCTCAGGTAACTCGGATCTCTGCCACCGCTAACGTCCCGTCAGTTCCTGCTACTTAGAAACACTCTTTATTTCAGCCAGCAGTGTTTGAGGCAAAGGTCAGTGAGAAGACCCTCCTAGAATCTCAACATTTGCAGGCTCCAAAAGCCTGCTAGACTATGGCCATTTTCCCAGTGACACCTACCTATCCTCCTGGCCATTGCCTGCCCTCTCTATTGGGGCCAGCTGCCTCTACCCAGCTGCTGTCTCCATATTATGCGGCCTGTGTGATTCCCAGATAGGCAGCCTCAGGTCTTCAGCCTTTGCTTACAGAGCTTCAATCACCCCTCCAATTCCACATCTCTCTGTACTTAAAAATCTCCTAACACTTTATCACTGCCAGGGCTCTGCCTTGAGGGATGGCCATTCCAGTAGGGCCATATTCTTGGAGGAGCTTTGCTTACTTAGCGAGTACTGTCTGACTATTGGGTGTAAGGAGGGTGTGTAAGATAACTGTCAAAGGAAACACTAGTTTCAGGAAGTTGGCAAGCAGTGCAACAGAGAATAGGGAATTATGAAAAACTCCAGACGTGTCTTAAAACCACACCAAAGTCTGCTCCAAATTCCTGGTTTCTAATGTGCCCTTTTTTTTCTTTAAAAAATTGTTTGCAATTTTTTTCCCGATCATGTGTTGTTACCTCATGGACTGAAGCAGACAGGTGAGAAATGAGGAAGAAGGAGCGTAAACCCCAGTTCACGTGATGCAACAGTGAGGAGAAACTGAGTAGAGTAAGAGAGAAGGGTCAAGAGGAGCAGAAGGCAGAACTGGAAACCAGTGGGGACTATGGGGACGATAACCTCGGGTGGAACTTCATCTGCCATCCCTCCTCCCCCCACTTTCCTGTGCTGCTGCTGGTCACTGTCCTGGGGCAAAGGCTGTCTAATATGAACAGGAGGGAAGATGCAGTTGGCTCATCCACACATGCTAGGCTGCTTCCTGCCTCAGGCCTCACGTAGTTTCTGGTCTAATCATGGGACAGAAATTCTTCCCAGGATGTACCAAAGCAAGCAGTAAAACAAAGACTCTCCTCATGCTCTCTCACTGTTAGAGTCTAGCAAACATTCAGGCTCAGAGTAGAGATACAAAGGGCCTCAGAGTGCCTGGTACATCCTGGGTAGCCAATTCATATGAGTCCCATGAATGCATAGATAAATGGTTAGATGGTTACATAAAAGAGAGGACTAGATAGAATCAGTGGCATGCTAGTGAATGTTTAACAACTGGATCTACAAAAATCCATGATTTGTAATGGCTGCCAACTTGATTTTCAGGATATTTATACTACCACATGGCCAACTTCAAGCCATTATTGGATACAGAGTTGGGAAGAGGTGTTCCAGCACATCACTACATGGATGGATGGATGGATGGATGGACAGATGGACAGACAGAGGGAGGACGGGAGGGATGGAGGGAGGAATAGATGAATGGATAGATGATTGATGGACAACAAAGTTTCCATAGTTCATCTTTTTAAATCATTTTTAGTTCTGGTACATGTTCTAGTACATGTGCAGGATGTGCAGGTTTGTTACATAGATAAAAGTGTGCCATAGTGGTTTACTGCACCTATCAACTCATCACCTAGGTATTAAGCCCAACATCCATTAGCCATCCTTCCTAATACTCTCTCTCCCTCCACCCCACCCCGCCAACAGGTCCCAGTGTGTGTTGCTCCATTCTCTGTGTCCATGCGATCCCATTGTTCAGCTCCCAGTTATAAGTGAGAACATGTGGCCTTTGGTTTTCTGTTCCTGTGTTAGTTTGCTGAGGATAATGGCTTCTGGCTTCATCCACATCCCTGCAAAGAACATTATCTCATTCATTATATGGCTGCATAGTATTCCATGGTATATTTATACCACATTTTCTTTATCCAGTTTATCACTGATGGGCATTTGGGTTGATTCCATGTCCTTGCTATTCTGAATAGTGCTGCAATGAACATATGTGTGCATGTATCTTTGTAACAGAAAGATTTATATTCCCTTTGGTATATACCCAGTAATGGGATTGCTGGGTCAAATGGTATTTCTGGTTCTAGCTCTTTGAGGAATTGCCATACCATCTTCCATAATGGTTGAACTAATTTACATTCCCACCAACAGTGTAAAAGTGTCCCTATTTCTCTGCAACCTTGCCAGCATCTGTTGTTTCTTGACTTTTTAATAATGGCTATTCTGACTGGCATGAGACGGTATCTCATTGTGGTTTTTTGATTTGCATTTCTCTAATGATTGGTGATGTTGAGCTTTTTTTCATATGTTTGTTGGCTGCATGAATTCTTCTTTTGAGAGGGGTCTGTTCATGTCCTTTGCCCACCTTTTAATGAGGTTGTTTGTTTTTTCTTGTAAATTTGAATTCCTTGTGGACACTGGATATTAGACCTTTGTTGGATGGATAGACTGTGAAGATTTTCTCCCACTCTGTTTGTTGCCTGTTCACTCTGAGTTTCTTTTACTGTGCAGAAATTCTTTAGTTTAATTAGACCCCATTTGTCAATTTTTGCTTTTGTTGCAATTGCTTTTGGTGATTTTATCATGAAATCTTTGCCCATGCCTCTGTCCTGTATGGTATTGTCTAGACTTTCTTCCAGAGTTTTTATAGTTTTGCGTTTGACATTTAAGTCTTTAATCCATCTTGAGTTAATTTTTGTATAAGGTGTGAGGAAGTGGTCCAGTTTCAATTTTCTGCAAATGGATAGCCAGTTTTCCTAGCACCATTTTTTGAATAGGAAGTCCTTTCCCCATTGCTTGTTTTTGTCAAGTTTGTTGAAGATCAGATGGTTGCAGATGTGTGATCTTATTTCTGAGTTCTCTATTCTGTTTCATTGGTCTATGTGTCTGTTTTTGTACCAGTACCATGCTGTTTTGGCTATTGTAGCCTTTTAGTATAGTTTGAATGAAGTCTGGTAGGGTGATGCCTCCAGCTTTGTTCTTTTTCTTTAGAATTGACTTGGCTATATGGGCTCTTTTTTGGTTCCATATAAATTTTAAAATAGTTTTTTCTAATTTTGTGAAGAATGTCAATGGTAGTTTAATGGGAATAGCATTGAATCTATAAATTATTTTGGGTAGTATGGCCGTTTTCATGATATGGATTCTTTCTATCCATGAGCACGGAATATTTTTTCATTAGTTTGTGTCCTCTCTGGCTTCCTTGAGCAGAAGTTTATAGTTCTCCTTGAAGAGGTCCTTCATTTCCCTTGTTAACTGTATTCTTAGGTATTTTACTCTCTTTGTAGCAATTGTGAATTGAAAAGGATGGATTCCTTTCTAACACATTCTATGAGGCCAGCATTGTCATGATACCAAAACCTGACAGAGATACAATTCTCTTTGTAGCAACTGTGAATGGGAGTTCACTCACAATTTGGCTCTCTGCTTGCCTGTTGTTGGTGTATAAGAATACTTATGACTTCTGCACATTGATTTTTTATTCTGAGACTTTGCTGAAGTTGCTTATCAGCTTAAGAAGTTTTGGGCTGAGACAATGGGGTTTTCCAAATATAGGATCATGTCATCTGCAGACAAAGACATTTTGACTTCCTCCCTTCATATTTGAATACCTTTATTTCTTTCTTTTGCCTGATTGCCCTGGCCAGAACTTCCAATACTAAGTTGAATAGGAGTGGTGAGAGAGGGCATCCATATCTTGTGCCAGTTTTCAAGGGGAGTGTTTCCAGCTTTTGTCCATTCAGTATGCTATTGGCTGTGGGTTTGTCATAAATGGCTCCTATTCGTTTGAGGTATGTTCCTTCAATACCTAGTTTATTGAGAGTTTTTTAACAAAAAGGGATGCTGAATTTTATCAAAGTCCTTTATGTGTCTATTGAGATAATCATGTGGTTTTTGTCTTTAGATCCGTTTATGTGATGGATTACATTTATTGATTTGCGTATGTTGAACCAGCCTTGCATCCCAGGAATAAAGCTAACTTGATCATGGTGGATAAGCTCCTTGATGTGCTGCTGGATTCGGTTTGCCAGTATTTTATTGAGAATTTTTACATTGATGTTCATCAGGGATATTGGCCTGAAGTTTTCTTTTTTTGTTTTATCTCTGTCGGTTTTTGGTATCAGGCCTGGCCTCATAGAATGAGTTAGGGAGGAGTCCCTCCTTTTCAATTGTTTGGAATAATTGCAGAAGAAATGGTATCAGCTCCTCTTTGTAGGAGCTGAGTTCTGGTAGAATTCAGCTGTAAATCCATCTGGCCCTGGGCTTTTTTTGGTTGGTGGGCTATTTATTACTGCCTCGATTTTGGAACTTGCTATTGGTCTATTCAGGGATTCAACTTCTTCCCAGTTCAGTCTTGGGAGGGTGTATGTGTCTAGGAATTTATCCATTTCTTCTAGATTTCCTAGTTTATTTGCATAAAACTGTTTATTCTCGGATAGTTGTATTTCTGTGGGATCCGTGCTGATACCTCTATCATTTTTTATTGTGTCTATTTGATTCTTCTCTTTTTTCTTCTTTATTAGTCTAGCTAGTAGTCTATGTATCTTATTAATTTTTTCAAAAAACCAGCTCCTGAATCCATTGATTTTTTTGAAGGGTTTTTTTGTGTCTCTATATCCTTCAGTTCTGCTCTGATCTTGGTTATTTCTTGTCTTCTGCTAGCTTTGGGGTTTGTCTGCTTTTTGTTCTCTAGTTATTTTTGTTGTGGTGCTAGGGTGTAGATTTGAGATCTTTCTAGTTTTTTGATGTGAGCATTTAGTGCTATAAATCTCCCTCTTAACACTGCTTTAGCTGCATCCCAGAGATTCTGGTACGTTTTCTTTGTTTTCATTGGTTTCAAAGAACTTCTTAATTTCCACCTTAATTTCATGTTTTACTAAGGAGTCATTCAGGAGCAGGCTGTTAAAGTTCCATGTGGTTGTGTGATTTTGAATAAGTTTCTTACTTTTGAGTTCTAATTTGATTGTGCTGTGGTCTGAGAGACTGTTATGGTTTCAGTCTTTTGCATTTGCTGAGGAGTGATTTACTTCTAATTATGGGATCAGTTTTGGAGTAAGTGTCATGTGGTACCAAGAAGAATGTATATTCTGTCCTTCTGGGGTGGAAAGATCTGTAGGTGTAGATATCTATCAGGTCAACTTGGCCCAGGGCTGAGTTCAAGTCCTGAATATCTTTGTTAATTTTCTGTCTCGATGTTCTATCTAATATTGACAGTGGAGTGTTAAAGTCTCCCACTATTATTGTGTGGGAGTCTGAGTTTCTTTGTAGGTCTCTAAGAACTTGTTTTATGAATCTGGGTGCTCCTGTATTGGGTGCATATATATTTAGGATAGTTAGCTCCGCTTTACCAATATGTAATGCCCTTCTTTGTCTCTTTTGATCTTTGTTGATTTAAAGTCTATTTTGTCAGAAACTAGGATTGCAACCCCTGCTTTTTGCTGTTTCCCATTTGCTTGGTAAATTTTCTTCCATCCTTTTATTTTGAGTCAATGTGTGCCCTTGCATGTGAGATGGGTCTCTTGAATATAACACACCGCTGGATTTTGACTCTTTATCCAGCTTGCCACTTCGTGTCAGTACATCCTTTTTTGATCCACTCATCTGCATCTGGTCGAGAGACCTCTCTGGTCACCAGTCCCAGATACTAACCAATACCCAAGTACACACTGCCCAGGGAACCAATGTAAGAAAGGGAGGGGAAAGGGGCACATCCATTCCTACTGCAGGTTCCCTCATTCTGATGGCTGCAATGCTGTAAAAATCTATAGAGAGGATAGAGTAGGTGCTATCTGTCTCATGGACAGATAAGAAAATTGAGATCTAAGCAGAATGTGACTTGCTAAGGGTACAGAACAGCCAGTTGGTGGCTGTGGAAGGTCATAGAATCTAGGTCATCTAACCCCTAAAGTGGAACATGCTGCTACAGATGGCCTCTGCTGCTATGGTACCAGAGCTAGCAATGAGTATGAACTTCACTTCTTCATTTATTAATCATCTAGTTGATGTATTGGAGAAGAGTGCTTTCCTTCTTGTCCCAAAGTGGGCATGCAGCAACCAAATTAGCAAAGCAGGCGAATGCTGAACAAATGCCCAATGTAGATGAAGGCCTTTTTAAAAGCCTCAGCCTCTCCTAGGCCCCTTTTCCTCCATCAGGATGCTCTCATTATTCCCAAAGAGTCTGTTTTGGTAGAGATGGTGGGGAGAGCTATAGTGCTGGCCCTCAGACGGGAGGACACCACCATAAGCTCATTTGTGTTATATTATACAATTCCTTTTTCAAATAACATCATAAGAAAAGCGTTATACTCTACACATAATTTTATCCGCTTTGTCACAGATATTTGCATTTTAAAAGGGGAAGACCAAGACTCTGGAATGGTTCTCTCCAGTAGCAATGCTGTTGGCATTATCTGGAAATGACAAGGGACTCTGGAGATCAGAGGTCTTTCCAGCTGGTGGTTGACACCCACTCTGACCACAAGGCCAGCCTAGTAGCCAAGAAGAGATTTGGGAGGGAGGAAAGGGCCAGAGGGATCCCAAGGCTTTCCTTATAAATGAAACACAGGGGAGAGACAGGCACAGAGAAAAGGAGGAGGAAATGTGACTATGGAGACAGAGATAGGAATGATGCAGTCACATGCCTGGGAAACCACCAGAAGTTGGAAGAGGCAAGGAATGGAATCTCTCCTAAAGCCTCTGAAGGGAGTTCAGCCCTACCAATATCTTTATTTCAGACTTTTGGCCTCCAAAATTGTGAGAGAATAAATCTGTTTTAAGCCACCTAGTTTGTGACAATTTGTTACAGCAGCCCTAAGACACCAATACAACGTGTGTCCCATTGGAATGGTTATTATTAAAAAGTCAAAAAAACAACAGGTGCTGGTGAGGCTGCAGAGAGAAGGGAATGTTATACACTGTCAGTGGGAATGTAAATTAGTTTAGCCACTGTGGAAAGTAGTTTGGAGATTTCTGAAAGAACTTAAAGCAGGCTAGGCGCGGTGGCTCACACCTATAATCCCAGCACTTTGGGAGGCTGAGGCGGGTGGATCATGAGGTCAGGAGTTGGAGACCAGCCTGGCCAATATGGTGAAACCCTGTCTCTACTAAAAATACAAAAAATTAGCTGGGCATGGTGGCGCGTGCCTGTAGTCCCAGCTGCTCAGGAGGCTGAGGCAGGAGAATCTCTTGAACCTGAGAGGCAGAGGTTACAGTGAGCTGAGATTGTGCCACTGCACTCTAGCCTGAGTGACAGAGCGAGACTCCATCTCAAAAAATAAAAATAAATTAATTAAATTAAAGCAGAGCTATCATTCAGCCTAGCAATCCCATTACTGGGTATATACCCAAAAGAAAACAAATTGTTTAATCAAAAAAGACACATATATTTGTATGTTTATTGTAGCACTATTCATAATAGCAAAGACATGGAATCAACCTAGGTGCCCATCAACAGTGGATTAAATGAAGAAAATGTAGTATATATACACCACAGAATACTACACAAACATAAAGAATGAAATAATGTCCTTTGCAGCAACATAGATGCATCTGGAGGCCATTATCCTAAGTGAATTAATGCAGGAAAAGAAAACCAAATACTGCATGTGCTCATTTATAAGACGGAGCTAAACATTGGGTATTCATGGACATAAAGATGGCAACAATAGACACTAGGGATTACTAGAAGGAGAGGGAGGGAGAAGGGTGAGAGTTAAAAACTATTGAGTATTATGCTCACTACCTGGGTGATAGGATCAATCGTACCCCAAAACTTAGCATCACGTAATACCCCTGAATCTAAAATAGAAGTTGAAATTGTATTTTTAAAATACAATTTGGGTGAATTTTCTCCCCAGAGAGCCCATTAAAGACTCAGTCTCAAGGTTTTAACTGGGGGCTATTTACATAGGCACCTTTGCCTAACGTGTACCAAAATTCCAGAACTTCCAGAAGGAAAGCAGATGTTTAGCATAAAGCACATTATTTGCATAAACAGTCTAGACACAGCAAACCACCCTCATAAGTTAGAGAACAGTGAGAAGACTCCAAAAATCCAAGTTCCCAGACACCATCCAAGAGCCAACCTTCCAAGCAGGCCTTTCTAAGAATAGCAACCTCAGATTGGCTGTGTTAACTCTTTTCTGCACATAAGGGTACAGTCTCATGAGTTTTGACAAATGCATATGGTCACACAATCAGCACCACAAGGCATATTTTCCAAAAGTTTCCTTATGTCCCTTTGCAGTTAGACACTTGCCCTGGCTCCATGCAAAGACTGATCTGCTTTCTAACACTAAAGTTTTGCTTTTTCTAAAATTTCATACAAATGAAATAATATAGCCTGTAATCTTTTGCATTTGGCATCTTTCACTTAGTATTGTGCTTTTGAGATTACCATATTGTTGCATGTATCAGCAGTTTATTCCTTGGTAATGCTGAGTAGGGTTGCTTTGTATGAACATGAAACAATTTACTTATCATTTATTTTTATGGCTCTTTTATGGCAATTATCTGTTTTATAGCTCATGCCTCTGTTGCCTCTCTAGGAAATGTTTGTCTACCCAAGATCACAAGGATTTCTTATCTTTTCTTTAAGTTTTATAGTTTTAACTCTTATCATTAGGTCTATGATCCATTTCAAGTTGAGTTTTCCATAATAGATGAAGACTGAAATTCATTTTTTTCCTATGTAGATATCCAATTGTTTCTACACCATTTGTTGAGAGGACTATACCTTCCCCATGGAATTACCTTAGCACCTCTGTCAAAATCAGTTAGCAATATATGAATGGGCCCAGGTTAAGAATAGTTTTTTCAGTAGTCTATATGTCTATCCTTTCACCAACACCACACTCTGTGGATTACTGTAGCTTTAAGTCTAGAAATCGGGTCATATAAGTGTTCCAAGTTCGTTCATCTTTCTCAAATTTGTTTTGGCTCTTCCAGGTTCTTTGTATTTTCATATACACTTTAGAACATGATCATCAATTTCTACAAAAAATACTGCTGAGATTTTGACAGGTAATGAGTTGGATCTATAGATCATTTTGTGGATAATTAATGTCTTAACAATATTCAATCTTCAATCTTCCAATCTATGAACATGGTATATCTGTCAATTTATTAAGGCCCAGACTCTATTCTTAACTTGCTGTAGTTTCTCCCCACTCCAATCTCCAGGATCAGTCAAGAAAGACTTTTTACTTTTATTTTTACTTTTGAGCCCCATTAGGTTCTGAAGGAAAGATTTCTTATACAGTGAGTTACAGGAAAATATATTAATGATTTAATGTAAATTAAAATGTCTACAATTAAAATTCCTTCCAGAGAAAATTGCAACTTTCACTTACCTATATTCCTGAAGGTAGATCCCTTAGAATTTTTTTCATAGAGCAGCCGACTATCAATAATATATTTGTGGGGCCAGGCATAGTGGCTCATGCCTGTAATCCCAGTACTTTGGGAGGCTGAGGCGTGTGGATCACATGAGGTCAGGGGTTTGAGACCAGCCTGGCCAACATGATGAAACCCGGTCTCTACTAAAAATACAAAAATTAGCAAGGTGTGGTGGCACACGCCTATAATCCCAGCTACTTGGGAGGCTGAGGCATGAGAATCGCTTGAACCTGGGAGGTGGAGGTTGCAGTGAGCTGAGATTGCTCCACTGCACTCCAGCCTAGATGACAGAGTGAGACTCCATCTCAAAAACAAAAACAGAATTGTGATTTTTCTAGGGTAAGGACTCAGCAAGAGGCAGAAATGAGAACAAACCCACGTCATTATCATCTTACATTGAAAATCCACTGCTCTCCTATGTTGGCAAGTGTAGAACATTTATCCAAAGGCAAAGCTCAGTCTCCCTATGTTATTCATGCATTGCCCTGTTACAGTCAAGCCAATTGTGGGAGACAGTGTCAGTGTCCTCGGATTGAATTGTTGACTGACCACAAGTTAATTTAGTCATGTTTTGTTCATTAAGCTTCACGATCATCATCTCAGTAATTTTACCAGTGAAAGTGTCCGTGGGTCCAGAGCTAACCAGTGCCAGGCAACCATTGAGAATTAGATCTGTCTTGCACATTCAGGGAAGCCATGTGTCCACAAATGGAGAGCAATTTGTTGTCCATGGGCTTTGATTTCACAAGTGCTAGGAGTTAGTTACTTCTAGAAGAATTCCTGGCACCTCTGTAACACCCATCTGAGAAGAGTGTCGTGAGGTGGAGGCAGCTCAGGTGAGATGAAGAAAAGAAGGGAAGGTTGATTCTGGAGTTGTGGAGGCCAAATTCGGCAGATCTCACATGAAGTGTCCCAGGTCACCATGTGTGGGAAGGAAGTGGGAGGCGAGGGTATAGTAAAGGGGCAGATGAAGAAAAGCAATAGCTCCCCTCTGGCACATTTCCCAAGTGAAGCCTTTTGAACAATTTTGAAAGTGATATGTTGCCATCACATTTGTTAAAGACCATAAGAGCCACTAGCCTGACTTTTGCTTTCACAGGGCACCTTATGATTAATAAACAATTGAAATATGGACAGAGTAAGCAAAGTACAGAAGGTAGTTATATCAGCCAGGATAGGCCAAGATATTTGTTAGCAACAAACAATCTCCAAAACTCGTAGTGGCTTAAAACAACAAATATTTATTTCTTGCACATGCAAAGCTCATTGGGGGTCAGGGTGACTCTCCTCAGGTGACAGCTCAATGATCCAGGATTCTTTGCTCTTGTGGCACCTCTGTCTAAAAACACATTTGTATGCACTGCTCTGACAACTGTGACTGGGGCAAAGTGTGGAAGCTCTTAATTCTTATGCCAATGCAAGTCACATGGTTACACCTAACTTCGAAAGGGCAGAAAAGATATTTCTCTTTCTACTAGGAGGTAAAGGAGAACATTAGTGACATCTACCACAGTAGTCAAAGGGGGACATCATTTTGAGTGCTCACAGTGCCACCAACAAATGGTGCAAGCTTTCCTGCCCACCTTCCCTTGCATGGCTCTGTGCTCAGCACTTTGCAGCCAAAGGTCCAAGACAGGCTGAGCATGGTGGCTCACACCTGTAATCCCAGCACTTTGGGAGGCCAAGGCAGGAGGATTGTTTGGGCCAAGGAGTTCGAGACCAGCCTGGGCAATATAGCAAGACCCCATTGCTACAAAAAGTAATAATACAATTTAAAAATTAGCCAGGAGATGTACAGCAGGCCTGTAGTCCCAGCTACTCTGGGGGCTGAGGTGGGAAGATTGCTTGAACCCAGGAGGTTGAGGCTGTAATGAACTATGATCACACCACTGCACTCTAGCCTGGCTGACAGAACAAAAGCGTGTCTCAAAAAAACAAAACAAAACAAAAAAAAAACCCAAAAAACAAAAAAGCAAGGTCTGGGTCAAATCTCAGAATGTGGTCAAGAGTGGTACCTTTAGGTGTTTATTCCTGTAATTTATGGAAGCTGACAGTGCTTCTGAGACAGGGAGAGAGATGAGGACATCAGGGGAAGGAAGAAAAAAGGAGAAGTGAGGGGGGATGGGGAGGATGAGCTGAACTTCACTTACTTTACTCTGTTTCTTTAGCTTTCACTAAGCCATGCCAGTGAGGGGAGAATTCATATCAAATGAACATTTACTCATCATGCACCAAGTGGCGAGCGTCAGGCAGGAGATAACCATGCCATGCTTCCTGCCCTCATGGAGCTCAGGATCTAGGGAGGAAGGGAGACCAGTAAGCAAGCAACGGATTACACACTAGCCGTGTGGACAGGATGCCGAAGCAGGGGACTGTCTGAGAAAAAAGGGCTTGGGTTTGAAACATGTCATCATACTTTTTTTCAAAAATGTATTTTCCTTCCCATTTAATGTCTGCTTAGTTGGATATCTAAATAGGTTTGCATTTTTGGAATAAAGACCAAAGATTGGGGTTGGGGTTGGGGAGAGCTAGTCAGGTATAAGTAGGGGGTCACTGACCAGGGCGAAATCCACATCACCTGCACTAGCTACACTCCTGCCAGTAGCTGTCAGATCAAAAGCAATGATCACATGGATCTGGCTTAGGGAGACAGGCCTTATCTGTTGCAGTTTCTGCTCAAAAGAAACCAATAATCTGACTTAGGCTTTAACAAAGAATGGCACTAAAACAAAAGGGGCTTAGGGAAGTGATTCAGAGTAGGATTCTCAACTATTTCAGTTACTAGAAATGCCCCCCGTCTAGAACTACATAAATCAAACACCCTCTGCTGGACTCAACTCCTCACAGAAGCTGACACATCTGACAGCATTGGAAATACTCCTTTTGGCCTTACTAGCCAGCATCAGAGGGAATGGATTGCTATCTCATTTGAATTTCTAACTACTGAAACATATTGGAAGAAGTCAACTGGAAGAGGCCATGTCTACTTTACCTCAAGAGGAAAGTGGCTACAGTTTGCCTTAAGACTTGGAGAGGGCTGGGTGCAGTGGCTCACGCCTATAATACCAGCACTGTGGGAGGTCCAGACAGGAGGATGGCTTGAGGCTAGGAGTTTGAGACCAGCCTGAGCAACATAGTAAATGCACATCTCCACAAAGAATTTTAAAAATTAGCTGGTCATGGTTGTGTGTGCCTGTAGTCCCAGCTACTCGGGAGGCTGAGGTGGGAGAATGATCTCGCCACTGCATTCCAGCTTAGTTGAGAGAGCAAGACTCTGTCTCAAACAAAGACGTGGAGAGAAAACTTCTCTGTAGGAGTTAGAAGAGAATCAATATCACAGGGCCCTGGTTTCCTCTAGTTTTGCAGAATCCATTGACTGGGCATTTCCCCCTCTGGCCAGTAGAAGTAATATTAGAGCAGCATCTTCACTTTCAAAGGTCAGCTTTGGGAAGGAAACGACTTCTCTTCCAAGCTCACGGCCTGTTGGGCACCCCCATAGAGTTTGGCTTTAGGTGCTTGCCGAAGGTTAAATGATTTTCATACCTGACTAATTCTTTGTACTTCAAATTCTTTCTTCATTTTGAAATATACCTCTTAAGTGGTTTAGAGGACTCAACCTATCGTGCAACCAAAACTTTGCTTTTTACCCCACTTCTTTAATGTTCCCTGAAGGGGAATGGAATTTTTTCCCTTAAGTTAAGAAGGCATATGTGTGGTGAGGGGAGAAAAGCTGGCCCTCGTGCCTCAGGGTTTGCCACACAAGCAAATATAGCTCCTTCAACAAGGCACAGCTTGGGCAGAGACACAGGGGTCTCTGGAAGGGAAAGGCCACAGGGATCATGGAGGGCAGCTGCCCTGAGAGCCGGCAGCTAGTGAAATGGAACAAATTACTAGGCAGAAGGAAAGAAATGAGAGGAAAAGGGATGCAACTTAGAGGACTGGCCTGGGGGAACAGAAGGTGACCGCAGGGCAGGGGGTTGGGGGTGTCAATGTATATGTGCAACTTTCAGGTTAAACTGCCTAGTCATATTTTCACTTTTGTCTTAATAGTTTCAACCTTCTATAAGATAAGATTAGTGTGCTCTTAAAGCTCTGAAATCATAGTGGTTTAAAGACAATAGAAGTTTATTTTTCTCTTATATAAACAGTCCAGAGCTAGTATAGTTGCTCCACAGACATGGTTCCCAAACTATGCACCCAGGCACCACAGGATACCATGGTAAATTTTTCTTATTCAAAGAAAATTCAGTGATACCTTGACATTTGTCATATTACTAGCTTGAGGTAGTTCAGAGTTCAAACCTCAGATCTTGTTACATTCTCTTTGATGATATCATACCTTTGCAAAGCTGGGTTTTCAGTGGCTGGTCTGATAAAATGCAAGTAAATGACAGTACTGTTACCCAATGTGATCCCAAGGTTTGAGAAGGTGTACAGTGCTCAACAGGTGCACGCATCCCACTAGTAAGTGATTGTGGTTATTTAAGAACAGAAATAAGAGCTGGGTGCGGTGGCTCACGCCTGTAATCCCAGCACTTTGGGAGGCTGAGGTGGGTGGATCATGAGGTCAGGAGATCGAGACCATCCTGGCTAACATGGTGAAACCCCATCTCTACTAAAAATACAAAAAATTAGTTAGGCGTGGTGGTGGGTGCCTGTGGTCCCAGCTGCTCGGGAGGCTGAGGCAGGAGAATGGTGTGAACCTGGGAGGCAGAGCTTGCAGTGAGCTGAGATCACGCCACTGCACTCCAGCCTGGGTGAAAGTGAGAGACTCCGTCTCAAAAAAAAAAAAAAAAAAAAAAAAAAAAAAAAAAAAAAAGAATAGAAATAACAGTATTTTTTCTTTCAATGTATTTGAATTATTTTTTTTTCAAATGACTTCTAAGTTGTTAGGACATAGCAAATTGCTTAGATACAACTGCCTAGAAACAGAATTTTTAGGCATTCTTTTGGCCTAGAGTCAATATGAAAAAATTATGGCGACACTATACTATGAAACGAGAGTGTTTGGGAACTTCTGCCACTGAGTACTGGTGTCAGAAATCCAGATTTCCTTGATTGGGTTGCTTGGATTCCCTAGAAGATTGGCTTCTTCCGCAACTTGTCCTCCTTCTATGAAAGGAGAAAGGGCAAAAGGGGTGTACACCTTCCTCTCATGGACACAACCTGGCAGATGGCCTCATCACATTCGTTCACAATCCATTGTCCAGGATGTCATCTTATGCCCACATCTAACTGCAAGGGAAGCACAGACAGTCACACTGTATCCTTGATGGCCACGTGCCTTAAAAAATATTGGGGATTTTGGTGCTGTGCACAAAAGTGAAAGAATGGAAATAGGTGACCACTTGTAGTCTCTACCACAGACCATCTGAATTGAAAGCAATGGTGCTGTACCCCTCCACTCTTAATGAATGGTGGTGTTTTCAACATCATATTAACTGCCAAGTGAACTAAAGAAGAGCAGCAGGCTCTGAGAGCATTGCAGGGTTCAGTAGAAGGGATTGGAACACTGGCAGCACCAACAATGAGTGCATGCCGTGTGCAGGTGCAAGTAATTGGGCACCACGGAGAGAAAGGACATTAAGGAGTTTTTTGCTTTTGGAAGTTATTGACAAGTTTTTAGTCTATAGAGATGAAAACATTAATTCACCTTTGGAGCACAGTCCTTTATTCTGGTAAGAGCAATTCTCTTTTCCAGCAGAAGACGCAATAGATTATGTCTTTGCCTTGGCCAGGGACTATTATTTATATACTGTTGATGTATATAGTACTTAATAGGATATAAATAACCACTTGTTTACAGAAAACCACTTGTTTACATACCAACCTGTTTATAACCTTTTGTTTACATACCAACTTTTACGTAAGGACAATTCCCTTCTTTTTTTGAGATACAAAATTATTAAAAGATATTGGATGGACTAGGGTACTCAAAATAAGACTTGAATGGATTCTCAGATTTAAATAATTTGCCATGAGATTAGAGGTTCACTGTTGAGCTGGCTGTTCCCCAAAAGCTGAATATCCCAGGGGAATATCTGTTCAGACCTGTGAGGCTTTAACTCTGCCATCAGGAGTTTGGAGTAATAGACTTCCTCCCTAAAAGAGGGGCTGCTCAGGAAAAAAAAAAAAAAAGGAAATAAATTCCCATTAACCTTACAGAGTGCTCACCTCTTTCTCCAGCAAGGGTTCCTTCCTCTGCTGTATTTGTGAGACATATCTATATTTATATACAAATGCCTGTTCATGAGTCAGGCCACTCTCCTCTGTATCATGGGCTCCTTCCATCCTTGGCTTGCCCTGACTTTGCTGCTGGCTTCATAGCAGGGTGACATGGAGCAAGCTATGATCCTACTATGTATGGTCTGAATGTCTCCTCTAAAACTCATGTTGAAATTCAATTGCCATTGTGATAGTATTAAGAGGTAGGACCTTTAAGAAGTGATTAGGCCATAAGGGCTCCGCGCTCATGAATGGATTAATGCTGTTATTAATGGGTTAGTTATCACAGAAGTGGGGTTTTCATTAAACAATGAGTTCAGCTTGATTTAATCCGTGTCTTGCACGCTCATATTCCTTCTGCCCCTCTGTCATGGGGTGACCCTTGCCAGATGCCAGTGCCATGTTCTTGGACTTTCCAGCCTCTAGAACCATGAGTCAAATCAACATTTTTTTTTCTTTTTAAATTACCTACTCTGCAGTATTCTCTTATAGCAGCAGAAAATGGACTAATATAGCCCCCATGGCCAGCTCTGCTCTGTCCCTCATTTCCCCACGGCATCATCACGCCAGGCTGCAGATGTAAATAGTTGCTAGTGAAGGACTTGGTGGCTAGAGGATATAATACACAGGAGAAAAACTTAAAACCTGGCACTAAATTGGGCCATTTCCAGAGTCCAAGGTAAAGGAAAACAAAATTTACATAATTCACACCCAATCCCTAATTCTGCTTCCTGTCTTGAGGGCCATTCTTCTCCATTTTTCCCTTAGGAAGGTTTACCTTTAGGAAAAACCCACCTTCTTTCCACAGGGGTTAGACTTCCCTTGGCCTGTGGAAATATACAGCTGTGTGTTACTGACAGTGTTGCTGGGGAAGGAGTATTTTTTTTTTTTTTTTTGAGACGGAGTCTCGCTCCGTCGCCCAGGCTGGAGTGCAGTGGCACGATCTCAGCTCACTGCAAGCTCCGCCTCCCAGGTTCATGCCATTCTCCTGCCTCAGCCTTCCTAGTAGCTGGGACTACAGGCACCCGCCACCATGTACAGCTATTTTTTTTTGTATTTTTAGTAGAGACGGGGTTTCACCATGTTAGCCAGGATGGTCTCGATCTCCTGACCTCGTGATCCGCCCGCCTCGGCCTCCCAAAGTGCTGGGATTACAGGCGTGAGCCACCGCGCCCGGCCGGGGAAGGAGTATTTAAGCCACCTCTGTTGGAAGGCGCTTCATCAGCCAGGGCTCTTTTTTTATCCTCCTGCTACAGTCACCACCTTACTGTACAATTTGCTCTCACTCTGACTCCATCCTACCAATCCACACAAGCTGGGCCCAGCAAATCAGTCACACTGGTCATCTAACTCAGGGGAAGTCCCATGTCCCTTCATTCAAGATCGCAGAAGTCAGTGTGACAGAAGACCAGCAGGCTGGAACCAGGCCTCTGTGACTCTCAACCCACCCCACCCACCCAATTCAAAAGGCTGCTTTATAAGTATAACCATGGATTCTTCCTGCTGCATGATTCTGTGTTGCCAATTCCTCCTCGTAAGCAGAAAGCAGGGAGTTTGTCGGGATATGTACATTGTGATATTACTCTGTTTTTTTTTTTTTTTTCTTTTTGGGACAGAGTCTCACTCTGTCACCCAGGCTGGAGTGCAGGAGCATGGTAACAACTCACTGCAGCCTTGAACTCCCAAGCTCAAGCAATCTTCCCACCTCAGCCTCCTGAGTAGTGGGGACTACAGGTGCATGCCACTAGGCCTGGCTGACTTAAAAATTTATTGTAGAGATGGGATCTTGCTATGTTGCCCTGGCTGGTCTCAAACTCCTGGACTCAAATGATCCTCCTGCCTCAGCCTCCCAAAGTGCTGGGATTACAGGCGTGAGCCATCATGCCTGGCCTGTGATCCTACCTTTTGACCTTCTGTTTACATTTTAACCACAGAGTGAGTGGCAAACACGTCGGCCACATAGTTAAAATACGTGTGTTGGCCAACCAGCATGGCCTGTCTGTCCAGGAGATTCAGTCTAGGATAACACTGAGGCATTTCCACAGGACAGCTCGGAAGAGGTCTTGGTACTCCAGGTTTGGTCTTCTTCCAAGACCAGCCATCTGTGTGAGGCAAAGCTATGCCTCCTCATTCTTCTGGTGGTCAAGGATTGCAATACACACACAAACCCCAATCTTAAGGAAAATAAACATTGTGCCTAAATGCCATGTAATCTATAATTATTCCCCTACCTGCATTTAAGCAAGATAGAGACAAATGGTTGTTGTTGTTGTTCATATTTTTTTGTATTCAGAACCATCTCCCATAGGCCTTCAGTGCATAGACACCTGGCTTGTCATTATTAATCTTTTCGAACAACAAGGCCACACTCCACCTATGCAAATACCTGATTGAAACGTTTTTACCTTAGGCCAGATCACACTTTTAGCTGAAGTGTCCTCCCCATTAGTCTCCATAAGCACATTGGGGGTAATATATGAATTTATTATTGCTTTTAACCCAAAGTAAACCCAAGCAGCCATGGGAAGTTCTATTAAAAAGCTACACACTGGTGCCTGGACGCAGTGGCTCACACCTGTAACCCTAGCACT
Source organism: Homo sapiens (assembly GCF_000001405.40). Classification (NCBI taxonomy): domain Eukaryota; kingdom Metazoa; phylum Chordata; class Mammalia; order Primates; family Hominidae; genus Homo; species Homo sapiens. The sequence goes on along the minus strand of NC_000005.10, from coordinate 54,584,309 downwards.
TTTGGAGGCTGAGGCACGCGGACTGCCTGAGCTCAGGAGTTTGAGACCAGCCTGCAACATGGTGAAACCCATCTCTACTAAAATATAAAAAATTAACCAGATGTGCTGGCACATGCCTGTAGTCCCAGCTACTTGAGAGGCTGAGGCAGAATAATTGCTTGAACCCAGGAAGCGGAGGTTACAATGAGCTGAGATTGTGCCACTGCACTCCAGCCTGGGCAACACAGCAAGACTCCGTCTCAAAAAAAAAAAAAAAAAAAAAAGAGCTACACACTGGCAACCCAGAAACAGCCTCCCTCCTGGCCTGAGGAGCCACTGCAAGGCAGTCAGTGTCAAGGGCTCTGCTGTGGCTCGCCAAGCTGCAGCAGGTGTAGCAGCACCATCAGGCTCTGGCAGCAATGTCATTACAGCAGAGGGCATCTGGGGAGCCTGGAACACCCGGCAGGGTGAGAAGATCTAGGACTGACCCTTGAGACCAAATAAGCACTTCTGGGTATCCAGGCTGGACCCTGGAAGGGGGTCCACAAAGAAGGGACAGGATTATGAATTTCCTAATCTGGGAAAATTACATTACTTACATACCCAGCTGGGGAAGTGGGGCATATGGTTCTACATATCTTATTTTATTTCTCCAAAACATGCTAAGTGGTAGGTACTATTTTGATCTTCATTTTATACATAAGGAAGCTAAGCATTGGTAAAATAACTTGTCCAATGCCACACGACTAATAGGTGGGAAAAGTAAAATCTGGGCCCAGGTTTGCTGACCCCAAGGCCTTTGTTCTTAACCAGAATGTCCACTGCCACTCGTGGCTGTCAATAACAAGTGACTGACTTTATCATGACACAGCTTCTCCAGATAGCAAGGCCTGGGTCACACTGAGCCTGAGCTCTTCTTGTAGTGAAGGGAAGACCCAGAGCCAGATCTGAAATGAGCCCAACTTCCATGCTCAATGTTTTCATTCAGTAGGTGTTTGTCAAATACTATGTTCTCAGAAGGAAGCTTGCTTTTAGGAAATAAGAAGTCTAGCAAGGCCAGGCACAGTGGCTCACACCTGTAATCCCAGCACTTTAGGAGGCTGAGGTGGGAGGGTTGCTTGATCCAAGGAGTTCAAGACCAGCCTGAGAAACATAGCTTAAGACCCAATCTTAAACAAACAAACATACAGAGTCTAGTAGGATCCTTGCTTTCTAACATATCTTACCATCTGGTTGGGGAAACAGGAACAGCACATACAATGGTGAATAATACAAGGACATTTCCAATGAAGGACTAAATTGTATAGTACTGTCACTTTTACAGTAGCCCAGAGAAGAGGTGACTATGGGCTATACTGACTCAGGGAAGGTTTTATAAAGAATAAGCAACCTAAACCAAACACCCAAGAATGGGTGGGATTTGATTTAACACACTTACTAACCTTCTCCCCAGAACCAGCTATCATGGTTGGTTTGCTTCTTTTAAAGTCAATGATGGTAAGTTATGTGTTTAACTTTTCTTTTTTTTTCAATTCCGAACAGATTCTAATTTATTTTTCTCTTTGAGACAGGGTCTTACTCTGTTGCCGTAGCTCACTGCAGCCTTGAATTCTTGAGCTCAAGTGATCCTTCAGTCTCAGCCTCCCAAGTAGCTGAGATTACAAGTGCACACCAGCATGCCTGGTTAATGTTTTTTTTGTTGTTGTTTTTTTGTTTTTTGGTTTTTTTTAGTAGAACGGAGGTCTTGGTGCACTATGTTGCCCAGGCTGGTCTTGAACTCCTAGGCTCAAGCTATCCTCATACCTCAGCCTCCCAAAGTGCTGGGGTTACAGGCATGAGCCACCACACCCAGCCCAAACAGATTCTACATTTAGGAAAGAAAAAGATATAAACACAACATTAAAAAACATGTTACAACTGAAAGTATCTAACATTGCATCATGAGCTTTTCTAGTCAATGCTCATGGGATGTCTTATGATTTCCTAAGAGTATTCTGGCCCAGAGACAAATAATTTCAGTTTAGGATACAGGCATCTGCTACCATCTGAGATATTTCAAGAAATATAATAGAGGAAAAAGGAACAAGATGCCTGGTGCCAGGGGCCTATACTAGCCAACCGTAATCTGTTTTTCTCTCTTAATTTCTAACAAAATGACCAGAATCCTTCAAAGGAAAACAGAGTTTTACCCATGAAGTTAGTTTTTCTCCAAAGTTCTCCACTTCTCGTTTCTAGGGAGGATCTGTTCTGTTCCCAGGCCTTGCCAGGGTATAGAGGCGAATTCTCATGGACAACTTGAACACAGTGGCTTTCTTGGCACTCATATTCCAGATGAAACTCTGCAAAGGGCTGAAGTGAATCCCCCAAGCTCAGTCTGGTGAGCAAATCTCAGCTGGGGAGGGGTGCAGGTGTCTCTGATTCTGGGTTTGTCCCCTAACACAGAGGGCTTAGCAACTTCAGATCTAAACTGGCATTGACAATCAGATGTTTTGCTTGCTACATTGCAACAATTCACTGAACAGAGATTAGGTTCAATAAAACCAGCACCACCCACGTGGAGGACTTTGATAAAGAGGATGATTTGAGGGAGGCTCTATCTGGACAAGAAACCCCAGAACTAATCAGTTTCCAGCAAGCCTTGTTAGTCTTTGCTACATTCGCTAAAGGGAAGTATTTCTTTGCTGACTGTTGAATGATGGTAAACACAAAGCTGCAGTGCCCAGAACAAGGGAAGAAGGGAGGGGAAACGTGGGAGCAGGCAGGGGTAGACCCACAGAGAGAGCTGAGCCCAGGGAGAAGTCTGGTGGGAACGCCAGACGTCTATCCTCATTCCCTCCCAAGTGAAACCTAGATGTGGTCATTTTCCTTTTTGCCGGGGGAGTCATATTTTAAAAACCCTCATTTCTGCTTGTGTAGTTCTGGAATCTAAAACCCCAGAGCAATAGCAATCCCATCTAAATTCCTAAAATTCCATTGTTTTCCTAGACAATTGCTTCCTAACTTGTTGCCTCTAGTTTCTTGCTCTCTCTCATCTTTCCCACACAGTGGAACCACATGAATCTTCCCAAATATAACTTGGCATGCAACTATATTTATTCAGGATCTGTTCATGTTACCCCTTGACACAGAGAGGACATGGAAGAGGATCAAAGTAGACTGCAGTCACAGAATTCAAAGGTGCAGCACAACCTGGCCAAGTGGACCTCTCCAATCTCATCTCCTACAGGGAGGGCTCTTTAACTGGCCCTCTGCTTCCTTGCGACCAGGGGTCAGCCTTTGCCCTTTCTCTCTGCTCTTCTAATGCCAATGCTTCCTCAGCATCCTTTTTGAGTCCTACCTCCTCCATGAAGCCCACCGTATTGCCCTTCTCTGAAGAACCCCTGACCCCAGCTTCACGCCACTTCTGACACTCAGTATTCATGAGCAAAGTTTCCCCGAAGCAAAGGTCAAAATTTCTAAGCTGTCTACTACTATGACATGTAACATTAATTTTTTAATTTACCCAAGAAACATACTGTTTTCATCCTGGCAGGAATGCCTCTGTTTATGAGTTCCTTGCCTTCAGAGATTGTGTTTTATTCTTCTCAGAGATTGTCTTGGACAGATGGGTACTTACTATATAGGTTTGATGAATATTTTCAGGAGAAAATGAAAAGGAGGATCCATTTTTCTTTTTCTGCACTAGTCATTTGCAGACAAATCTAGTTTTACACACTTGCAAGGAGTCCTGGAGATGATACAAAACTTGGCTTGAAATCTTAGCACACTCCAGAAAATATATTCCCAGTCTTTAGCTAAATAGAAGATACATGTCTCACCTAGCTACTGAATGAATAAAGTAACTTAGGGCTAGAACTTCTTGGCTGTTAGGAACCTTAAAATAATAAAAGTGAACCATAAAATTTTAAAAGAAAGCACAAAAAAATGAGAGAGCAAGAGAAAGAAAACCTCATTCTTAGTTAATAAATTTCATGCTTTTTAAAAAGTACCCTAAGAACATACTTTTCAAGGCATTCTGCTAACTGTGGCAATCATACAAAAGCATAAATAAAACACCATTGTAAACCTAAACTTAGTGAGAGGAAATGACAGAGACTAGTATTTGTTAAGGCCAGCTGTAGTAAATGCTTTTTATTTTATTGACGAATTTGAAAGTCCATATCAGGAAGTGCTTAACTAGGAGCTCTCTCTCTTGCTCTTTCTCTCTCTCTGTCTCTCTCTCTCTCTTTCTGACACACACACACATGCACACACACACCCTCTAATGCACTTCAGCCAGTGTAACCTAAGCCAGACTGTATGGACATATTAAATGTGTCAGTACTTAAAAAAAAAATTACAGATAGGCAACTATTGGGTACAACAGACAAATGCAAAAACATACATTGCATATATTGTACCCAAGAAAAATATATATTTTTGGTTCAACTCCTATATTTAGAAACTATTGTTTATTTTTCAAGAGAAAAAGTTTCTTGAGAACTTGAGAAGGAGGAAAATGCACTTTGCAATATTCCTAAGGCCAGCCCCACCCTCCTGTGGACCTTGCTATGCCTAACCTCTTGGGAACCTTCTAAAATTTGTTCCCATCCTTGATGAGCTTCTCTTTCCAATCTATGATAATTCTAGTCACTGAATGCTGTTGACTTTACTCCTAAAAGCCTCACATGTGTACTTCTCTCTGTATTCCTGTTTACTAGACTCTCACATCCCCTTACATTTGGGTGAGTACAAAAAGCTCGAACTGTTCTAGCTTCTCTCCAACTGCAAGTGAACCAGTGACTCTGTAAATAGATGGATGAAGGAGGTCATAAATGAAATTTGCATTTATTAAATCAACTTGTTGGCTCATGATTCTATATTTACATCCTTTTCCATTTAACCAAAAAAGTTAATATAATTATTGGCTAAAATATATCTGGCACTGTTAGGGGTTACAGAAAATATATATGATGTGGTTCTCATTATTACTTTTTTTTCTTTTTTTTTTAACAGGGTCTGGCTCTCTCACCCAGGCTAGAGGGCAGTGGTGCAATCTTGGCTCACTGCAGCCTTGACCTCCTAGGCTCAAGCAATCCTCCTGCCTCAGCCTCCTTAGTAGCTATAACTATAGGTGTGTGCTACTATGTCCAGCTAACTTTTTGTATTTTTTTGTAGAGACTGGGTTTCGCCATGTTGCCCAGGCTGGTCTAGAAACTCCTGGGCTCAAGTGATCCTGCCACCTCAGCCTCCCAAAGTGTTGGGATTGCAGGCATACGCTACCACACCCAGCCTATGGGATGGTTCTTGACATCAGGGTGTTTTCAGCCTAGTTAGGAAAGATGAACAAACTTTGACTAATTAGCCAATACTTCAGTGCTTAAACTATCCAATAAGTGTAGGTGTAAGTATGAGGGAACAAAATACATGGGAGGTTATTTCAAAAGGATGAAGCAGCTCCTTGTTGTTCTACATTCCTGCATCTCCCCACCACCTAGGATTGAGTCCAGTGTGTATCTTAATCAAGAAAAGTGGTTGTAAGAGATAGAAATCCCTTAGGCTCACAGAAGTGAAGGGAAATTTATCCTAAGGATCCGGGGTCATCTCGCAAGACCAGAGCAGGAGGTACAGCTGGCCTCATGCAGACAACAAGAAAGCATGTGAAACCAGCTCACCTATTGTCTCTCTGTCACCATCTCTCCCTGGGGCAGGGGGACCTCTCACTGCTGCTGTACAACTAATTGATTCTGGGCTGTCAGGAGAGAAGTTCAGCTCCCCACAAAGGCAGCTTCTGCTCCTCTGTCTTCATGACCTTTAATTAACTGATGGTGCCTGCCTATTCCCAAGTACGTAGCTGGACTCGTCATGGGCTGACCCCAGGCTTCCTTGGAGGCAGAGCCACTAAGGCCGCAGGGCCTCTGCTGAAGGGCTGTGAGGGGCAGGTGTGTTGGGGACGGGGGAAAACAGTTGGCATCTCCAGCACAGAAGATGGTAAAAGCACATTCAGATTCTATCTCCTGTCTCTGGTCACACAAAGGGAGAATGCCTTTGTTTAGCAAAAGGTTTAATTCTTCTCTGTTCGCCAGAGGTAATTCCCCTGGGATTTGGGAAGTAGAAATGTTTGTGATGGATCACGTTGTAAGTGGCACGTTCATTTTCAAAGTAAATTAAGTCATCAGATCTGATTAATGGGCCAAGGCTGAAGAGTTGTGTTCATGGAGCTCACCTGACATCCAGAGATAGTGCATTGATTTGCCTGGAATCTTCCACAGCTATAGGACAAGCCCCCCACCTTGAAGAGCTATAATTGCAGATGAGAAGGAGGTGGGGCCTGGCCAGTCTGGGAGCAAACTGGGCATTTTTGTGTAATAATGAGCAACCTAACTTGCAGATCTGCAGAATTCTTCTTGCTTTGAGTCAGGCTTGGATCTGACTTAGTTTACTTCTTCACACTGTGGACCCTCCCGATTCTTGGGCATTCCCACCACCACCATGTGGTGTTATAGCCACTTCCTCCATTTCTGCACACACAACCCAGAACTGGGTGGAAGGAAACAACTGTGAGGAACTCTGGTGGCTTTCCTGGTGTCCTTTCCAGAGCTTCAGCCACTCTCTGTTTGCACATGCCTGGGGAAGGCCAAACCTCAGCGTATGCTGGACCCCACCCCTTCCCTACATCTGCTTTAGCCTCTAGCGTCCCTCTTCCTGAGTTACATTGTTCATCTTCATGTGGCTGGAAGAGCACAGAGACTGACAAACTAATCCTCGCTCTGCCATAAACCAGCTATGTGACTGTGGGCAAGTTGCGTAAACTCTCTCTGGGCTTCAATTTTCTCCTCAATTAAAGTAAGCCCTTACCAAAAGCAAAAGCCGTAGACCTAGGATTCTGCTCAGTCTCCCCTGACCTGGCTTTAATTTGTACTTTCCAGAATTCATCCCTTCTGATATTTTCTCCTAATAGCTGCTGGAGCAGTTGAGGTGGGAGGAGGGGAGGGGGGCGGGGAGTGGGCCAGAGGTGATATTTTGATATGTATTTATGAAACATCTATGTTCCTCATCCTCCATACTCCTATGACATATTCCTGTGACATGGGTTTTCTCATCTCCCATTTCATTGATAGTAAATGCTTTGAGAGAGGATAAATGACTTGCCAAGGTGTCATGGCTAAAAACTGATGGAATTAGAGTTTTGAAAGTTTGAACTTCAGCTCAAAATCCAGTCCTCACTTAGAACAACCCACAGCTACTTATGGCCGGGCACGGTGGCTCACGCCTGTAATCCCAGCACTTTGGGATGCCAAGGTGGGTGGATCACCTGAGGTCAGGAGTTGGAGACCAGCCTGGCCAACATGGTGAAACCCATCTCTACTAAAAATACAAAAATTAGCTGGGCGTGGTGGTGGGCGCCCGTAATCCCAGCTACTCGGGAGGCTGAGGCAGGAGAATGACTGGAACCTGGGAGGCAGAGGCTGCAGTGAGCTGAGATGGTGCCACTGCACTCCAGGCTGGGCGACAGAGTGAGACTCTGTTCCAAAAGACAAACAAGCAAGCAAACAAACAAACAAACAAACAAACAAACACAGCTACTTGCTTTATGCCAAATAAACGCCAGGCCTTCAAGGTTTCTGTGTCCTCTTCAGGAGGCTGGGAATGATCCTTGTAACATTCAGCCATGCCTTGAAGTTCACACTGCTACTGTAATAAAGTGGGTGAGGACAGGAGAATGAGGAAGGGAGGGGTGCACATAAGAAACGTTGACACCATGAAGATTCAGAGTAAGACATTCTGTCCTTAGTCCCCACCAGTGCCGTTAGGGCAAAGGCTGTGGGTCACAGTGGGTGGAGATGCCCTGCGATCAACCCAACTATGTACTTCAGATTGGGATTAAGATGCATAAAACTCCCCAGGTGCTTCATTCCCATTGGTTGCTCTGCTGAAAAGGATCCAAACCACTGCATCCATAGGTCTCTAAGCCTTGGGGAGACCTGCCACGTACCATAGCCTTGGGTTCCTTGCTACTCTCATTACTGTGGTTGTATAACTTGTCACCCAAAACTTAGTGGCATAAAAGAACCATTTATTATGCTCATGGATTCCGTGGGTCAGGAATTACACATACGGCTCCAGGGATGGCTTGTCTGGGGCCTCAGCTGGAAGACTCAAAAGCTGAGGGCTGGAATCACACATGAAGGCTCACTCACTCAGATGTCTGGCACCGTGGCTATGGCTGGGGAGAGAATAAGCTCTCCTCTACCCCTGTGGGATCCTTGGGTCGATCTAATAAACTGACATAAGATAGATTAATAGGAGCAAAGCATATATGTTTTGATAATTTTTGCATGTGTATACTTACTGTCTTCAAAAGAGTGTAGAGACTCAGAGAAATGGCCAAAGTAGAATGCTTGTATGCCTTTTAGACAAAGAAATGATAAGTTTATGAAGAAATAAGAAGACAAAGGGTCTGGACTAGTGGCAGGAAACTGAGGGGAAGCCACTAGGGGTTACATGGGGGTGAAGGATGTAAAACTAATGGCAGACAAGGGTTTCTTTAGTAAGCTTATCTGTACAGATTTGTTGATTTCCAGGCTTTGGTGAGAAGGGTGTTCTCTCCTGGTATGGTGGGGTGGGGCTAGTATCTTTCTCATGGAAAATTGTATGTCCTGCTTTAGGTTTAAAAAAAGGGGGGTCTGCAGGATGTGGTTGCTCATGCCTGTAATCCCAACACTTTGGGAGGCCGAGGCGGGCAGATCACGAGGTCAGGAGTTTGAGACCAGCCTGACCAAGAGTAGTCGTCTCTACTAAAAATACAAAAGTTAGCCAGGCGTGGTGGTGAGCACCTGTAATCTCAGCTACTCGGGAGGCTGAGGCAGGAGAATCGCTTGAACCAGGAGGCAGAGGTTGCAGTGAGCTGAGATCATGCCACTGCACTTTAGCCTGGGTGACAGAGCAAGACTGTGTCTCAAAAAAAAAAAAAAAAAAAAAAGCAGTGGGGAGGCACATCTGTTGTTTCTCAACTGCCTTCAGCTCAAAATAATTCTTATTCTGAACTGGCATATTTTGGGGTGGCATGTTCTTAACTCCTTCACTAGGAAGACTCAAACGCTGGGGCTCCTTGGGCATCTCTTTCTCTCCGGCGTGGTGGCTTTGGGGTAGCTGGACTCCTCCCAAGATACGTCAGGACTCCCAAGGCACATGTCCCTGTACAACCAGAGCCAAGTGGAAGCCAGAACACCTTTCTGACCCAGTCTCAGAAGTCATGTAGCATCTGTTCCTCCATATTCTATTCCTCACACAGTCAGAAGGTTGACAGGAAGTGGCAAGGTGCAACAAGAGTAGATTGGACCAAAAACACTGCTGTGGCAGGTTTTGAAAACTAGGATCTGCTGTACTTAAGATCAAGATGCTTTGGAATCTGGCCTAGAGCTCTGGAAGGGTAATTCTTGGTCATCTTAGTCTTGATGAATGTCTAAAAATTTCATCTGGTATCAGACTAACCTTGGAAATGCAAGTTGTTGGCTCTGCATCTCGCTGGTAGTCTCTAGACAGCCCTGGTGGTTCCAGCCCTTCATACATGTACACCCTTACCCGCCCCTACACACATCCCCAAACATGGCAGCCCAAGTCATCTCAGAGCCTGCTGGTTCTCGTTCCTTAGCATCTCTCACACCCCCTTCCTTTCCATTACCATACGTGCCACCTGAGTTCCTGTGTTCAAGTCACTTGTGGTTTGCTGTCAGCAGCAAAGACTGCTAACTGTCCCTAATAACCATTTTCTCCTTTTTTCCATAGTAATAAATGTCTCATTTTTAACTGGGCATAGAATCCCCCTCCAGAGTAAAGGTTACATTTTCTAGCCTCCCTTGCCAATAATAGTGATTCTGACACTGGTTCTGACTAATGACATGCATGTTCAGTGGTCCTACCTTTGGGAGCTGGGGTCTTTGCCAACCCCTGAATATAGGCACTGTGATTACTTGGCCAAATGTGATGCTTTGCCCACTCCGGGATCTAAGTGTTAAGAAATGGGCAGCTTCTGCTTCCTACTTCTTGAGATTCTCCTCTTAGCGCCCAGCCACTATGCTGTGAGGAAGTAGGGCAGCCTCATGGAGCAGCTGCCCAGACATATTTCCAATCACAGCCTTGTGAGGTCCCAGGTGACAGCCAGCATTCACCATCAGGTGTGCAAGTAGTCAAGCCTGTAGGTAATTCCACACACCAGTTGTCTGGTCGAGTTCTCAGCAGCCTTTGGGCCACTTAAGCTGATGCCATAGGGAGCAGAGATGAGTTGCTCCCACTGTGCCCTGCCTACATTGTAGATTCATGGGAAAATGATTGCAATTGCTTTCAGCTTCTGAATGTGGGTGGTCTGCTGTGTAGCCATTGGTAACAGGATAATGCTAAGTGGATATGGGCCACCTTTCCTGCACTGGACTGCTGACTTCCGAGCTACTCCTTAACTCTTAAGTAAATAATAAAAATCTATTTTGTTTAAGCTGCTATTTTGCCTGTCACTTACAGCTGCACTGAGTCTACCAGATGCACTACAATATCTCTTACCTGCTTTTCCTGTGTCTAGTCTTGCTCAGTCCCAGGCCTACTGCCACAATACTCTTCCTGAAGTGTGGCTTTTCAGAATCTTCCTGATGTGTCTTCTGTGGGGTGTCCCATTTCTAAAGGAATTTAATCCAAATCCCTTAGCCTGACACCCGACAGCCCTCATGATCCCAGCTCTACCTACCTCTTTATCTTCATCTCTGCTACTTCTTGTATTCTGATTTCTCAAATCATGGTATTTGTACCCCTGAGAGGATGGGCAATGCATCAGGGGATACTCAAAGCCCCAGGAAAAAGCAAACTGCCTCTTCCCAGAACATGCAATTTGAGGCCGGGTGCAGTGGCTCACGACTGTAATCCCAGCTACTCCAGAGGCTTGTTACAGGAAAGGGGTCCCAATCCAGATCTCAAGGGAGAGTTCTTGGATCTCGCGCAAGAAAGAATTCAGGGTGAGTCTGAAGTGCAAAGTAAAAGCAAGTTTTATTAAGAGAGAAAAGTAGTGAAAGGACAGCTACTCCATAGACCGAGTAGGATGTTCCTGAAAGTAAGGAGGAACGCGTCTGCCCTAGTTACAATGCTTGTATATATGGGAAGATGTGCTCTGCTACAAGGGTTTGTGATAAAGGATTAATTTTCTTAATTACTATATTTTGCAAGAATCGATATTATTATCTTTAAAGTGAAATTTGGAATGCCTTTGCTCTCAAGATATCAGGATATTAGGACTCTCCCAAGTCTGGGTGTGTTTAGCAAACATTATTAATCTATTCCCTTAACCATAAACATCGGGAGGCTATTTCTGGGAATCAGCCCAGCAAGTCCCAGCCACATTTTCCTAGCCCTTACTCAAAATGGAGTCGCTGTTGTTCAAACGCCACTGACAGGCTGAGGCAGAAGAATTGCTTGAACCCGGGAGGCGGAGGTTGCAGTGAGCCGAGATCATACCACTGCACTCCAGCTTGGGTGACGAAGTGATACTCTGTCTCAGAAAAAAAAAAAAAAAAAAAAAAAAAAAAAAAAAAATATATATATATATATATATACACACACACACACACACACACACACACAATTTGGAGGAGAAAGTGTTTTAAATATTTTTATGGCAATTTAAATATTTTAATAAATTAACATAAGCATCAACATATTATGAAATAGAACGCAACATTTATATATGTGTCTCAGATAAAATATGAGGCCATTTCTTGCTGGTAGAATATCAATTTGAGCTATGCCCGAGGCTGCAGGTCACTACACCTCTAGTATTTGGCATACTTTGGTATAAAATTTGGTATAAAATTTGAGAAGTGTGCATTTGACTGTGTGGTGATTATGAGTCAAGAGTAACTTAAACAGCAAGAAGTAAGGAGTTAGGCAGTTAATTGCCATTGATTCGGGTGCCCCATGACCTCAGAGCCAGTGATGGTGGGACTCTCTCAGCTCTTTATTCATGCTTGTTTACAGACCATTCCCTTGGCCATTTTATCCCTGCTGTCACAAAATGGCTGCTTATAGCTCCAGACGTCAAGTCTATGTTCCAAGCAGTTAAAAGACAGAAAAGGATAGAGCTTTGCTAGCCTCATATTCCATTTATATTAGACAAAGTACAAGCCTTTTCCCAGACCCCAGGAAAACTCCACTTAGTTCTCAATGGCCAGAACAGTCATGTGGTCACCTCTAGGTGAAAAGGAGGCTGGCACCATGAGTAAATCAATCATCTAGGGCTGAGCAGGTGGCCCCACCAATTTAAAAAATAAAAAAATCAGAGTTCTAATAACAAGATCTTGGGGAAGCACTAACAGTGATTGCAACAGTATCCTTCCCTCCAGCCAGGTTTGTTTTCTGGTTGATCATAGAACTGATACATGGTAGGGGGTGCCACAAAAAATTCACTATCATTTACAGGGGAACAGAAATGGCCATTGTGCAGCACACACAGTCTCCCCCGAAACCCCTGCACCTTCAGACACCCTAACACACATGCAGTCTTCATGGAGTACCTCCAGCCTGCTGAGACCATACATAATCATGAGTCCAGGGAAAAGCCCTGCCCTTCCAGGCACAGAACCCAGCTCAGGGAGTGGCAGAAAGAATTCTCCATCCAGGTAGGAAATACCTTTCCATTCACACCAAGAGAAAAGGGGAAATTCTTGCAAGGGCGTTTCCCAAGGACACCACCTCCCAAGTATTTGGAAAATGTGAAGATCTCAAGTCATTCCAATCCGTCAGTCCTCAATGAGCCCCTATTCGTGGAGCACAGTTTTCTTGGGATCTCTGTAATGAAATTGGAACGAAGACTTCAGAGAACAATTCTTACCACAATCCAAATAGTCTCTAGACAGTTGTGTCCAGAGCAGGTAAAGATCCCTTGAAAATGGCAAAAGCACTGCCAAGCGTCTTAGAATTAGAACAGGCTTTATTCTTCCTACGGGGACTTTTTTAGAAGATTCATGGACTATAGAAGAAAAAAACCCAACAAGCCTGGAAGGCTTGCAGCCTCGTAATTTACAGAGTGGACAGCCTCGCCTGCTGCTCCTTTCCCCTCCCGAGAGACTGGGAGGGGTGCCCTGGCTCCTTTCCCCATGTGCCCATGTCTGCCCTTCTGCGTAGAGGAAGTCACAAATGGGGCCAAGGAAAGAAAACAGAAAACTGAACTTGAGAAAAAAAAAACACAGGAGGCCTCCTCCAATCCAGAAATCATAAAGGGACAGCAGAAAGGGACCAAGGGGTGCAAGGCCTATAAGGCATAGAGTATGTTTCCATGGTCGTCTGCCAGCATTACATTTCTGACTCATTTCTTAACACTTGGCAAGAGGCTTGAGTGTTCAATACTTCTTTTGTGGCTGGAGAACTGGAAGCATTACATCTGTAAAGAACAATGGATTTTAACCTTTTTGTACTATAATCACTTTCATTTAAAAATACTTAAAGCCTTACTGAATCGCTCTTTCAGACTGAAGTTTTTAACTGTTCTTTGTTACCTAACCAACCAGGTTTCCAGAAGAGCCAAGACTCTCTTAAAATCCTTAATATCCTTAATATTTGGAATCCTTTAATTTAATGCTTAGGAGCTATAGGGGATCAGTCTTTGTATGTTCTGATACTCTGGCTGGTGGTGACAAGTTACTTGATCTTTGCTGAAGCTAACTCCATAACTGTGCTAGGCTCTGTGGAGGAAACAAAGGAAGTCTATGAGAGAGATTATGAGCCATGTACTTAATTGCATAGAATATAAGCTCATGCTAATTATTGGGTTACGTGTCTTAGGCCTATTTAAGATTGATTAAATACATGATGTTAAGCATTCAATGGATACTGTGCACTTATGAAATGATGGTGCAGACCTAGGCAAATATGGAAAACCGTGTTTGCCTCCTGGGGCTGCCTTAACAAAGTACTTGCCACAAACTTAAGGCAGCTGAAAACAACAGATATACATACTGTTATAGTTTTGGAGGCTAAAAGTCTAAAATTAAGCAGTCAGCAGGGGCACGCTTCCTCTGAAGGCTCTAAGGGAGGGTCCTCCTTGGCTCTGCCTACCTTCTGGTGTTGCCAGCAATCCTTAGTGTCTCTTGCCTTGTAGATGTGTGACTCTAATGTTCACCTTCCTCATCACTTGGTGCTCTCCCAGTGCATCTGTGTCCAAATTTCCCTCTTCTTATAAGGACACCAGTCATTAGATTAGGGCCCACCCTATTCCAGTATACCCTCATCTTAAGTTGTTTTCATTGGCAAAGGCCCTGTTTTTAAGTAAAGTCACGTTTACACGTACTGAGTGTTAGGACTTGGACACATTTCTGCAGGGGACACAACTCAACCCAGTACACTGTCCATGTTATATATATAAAAAAATAAAAGGTTGTCAGAGTTTTAAAACACAGTTGAAAGTCCTTTGGTACTCCTCTCTTAGAGAGTGGGATCTTGCCCCCTCCCCATGAATCTGGGTGGGCTTCCTACTGCTTGGACCAATGTAGTAAGAGAAGTGACACTATATGTCTTCCAAGCCTAAGGCTACCCAACTTCTACCTTATTCACTAGGTAGAACACTCACTCTTAGAGCCTTGAGCCACCATATAAGAAGTCCAACTGTCCTGAGGCCACCATGTTGTAAGTCCAAGCCACATGGAGATATTACATGCAGGTACTCCAGTCAACAAACCCAGTGAGCTCAGAATTCCAATTTACTCAACCCAGGTGCCAGCCATGAAAGTGAAGAAATAAGTCTTCAGAAATTTCCAGATCCTAGATGCTCCAGTCATCCCTGGCCATTTGAGTTTTCCCAGATGAGGTCACAGACTTCGTGGGGCAAAGGAAAGCCACTGTGCCCTGTCGAACTTCTCAACCACAAAATTCATGTGATATAATAAAATGGTTGCTATCTGATAGCTCTACATTTTAGGTTGGTTTTGTGTGGCAATAGATAATGGATCAAAGGCTTACAAAACATCATGAATAGTGCACTCAACTTTTTGCAAAAAGTATAAATGTATTTGCATGCACAGGGAAAGCATAGAAGGTTTGACCTGAAACTGTGAATGGTGATTAACGCTCTTCTTTATACCTTCCTCTAGTTTCTGAATTCTTTACAATAAGCTCATATTACTTAAATAATCAGGAAAAAACTAAAGCAATTTTTATTTGGAAAAAAAAAATGTGGTTGGGCGCGGTGGCTCATGCCTGTAATCCCAGCACTTTGGGAGGCTAAGGTGGGTAGATCACCTGAGGTCAGGAGTTTGAGACCAGCCTGGCAAACATGGCAAAACCATGTCTCTACTAAAAATGCAAAAATTAGCTGGGTGTAGTGATGTGCACCTGTAATCTCAGCTACTCAGGAAGCTGAGGTAGGAGAATGGCTTGAACCCAGGAGGTGGACCTTGCAGTGAGCCAAGATCGTGCCACTGCACTCCAGCCTGGGAGACAGAGCAAGACCCTGTCTCAAAAAAAAAAAAAAAAAAAAAAAAAAAGTACCACTGAAATATAGTGGTTGTGCTTCCAGTTGCAAGAACTAAAGCACTCCTAAAAGCAAAAGTAGTTGAGGCCTCTCTGTCCTGCAACCATAATCAACACACAAATGATTCTTCAATTAAAGCTCATTTTAGCTAAATAAGCCCACTAGGGCTCAGAGGGCTGAGTCTAGTCTCTTTAGAGTTGAGTCACATGGAAGCAGCGTGACTGAAAAGGAGGTTCGGGCACTTTCTTTGGCACTGTCTTTGGGTGGCCAGGCCAGAGCTCGAACAACCACCCCTTCCTTTGGAAATGGGGGAAGGCAGTGGTTTTGCAGCAGTCTGGGGAAGGGAGATGGTGGAAAGAGCAATGAGTCAAGTAGGGGTTCCCATTGAGGGCCTGGAATGTGGGGACCAGGGTGCCGTTGCATCCTTGCCTGGCAGGGAGCAGAACATCTATGCATCCCTATAGCTTGGCAAAGGAGTGTGTGTCCAAACCATAGATTTGGGCAGGTGGACTGCCAATGTTGTTTCTACCACTGCTAGCGAAGTTCCTACCATAAAGTGTGTCACTAAAGCACATCCTTTTCCTTCAGAGACATAGTATTCAAAGGTTAGCAACACATTCTGCCAAGAGCACAAACACAAATCTTGGCATGACAAATGAGGTCTTTGCCCTCTTGAATGGTCAGACTTTAGAAACCAAGGGAAAGTGGGGAGAAGCGAGGCCATAACTGAAAAGAACAGACCTTGTGACTTGCACACACACACACAAAAGTGTTTGAATAGAGCCAAGGGTGAGTTAAGCATGATATGCATGGTTTATAAGGAAATTTTAGAAGCAAGTAGTGCATCAGTGAAGAAGACACTCATTAAACTGGATAGAAGTTCCCAAACCCAGAAACCAATGCTTTCCCTTTCAGCAGCAACTTCTCAGTCCTACAGAACATTCCAAATCAGGAACCCCAGGCACGATCAGCACCAGTGGGCTCTGAAGGTGGAGGGAGTCCCCAGAGACTAAGCAAGCAGCAGGTGACAGGGTGCTCTGGGCAATGCTGGGTCGAGGTGAGGTGCCTTCCGAGTATCCTCCAGGGCACCATCACTGTACTTACATCCCATGGCCACTTCTGTTAAACTTGTCATCTTGCCTTGTAACCAAACTGCTCATCAGCAGACACTTGGGTGCTTCAAGTTAATGACTTAGGTGGTTCTGGATTGTATAAGGGGAGTAAGGCATGCAGTGAAAATCATGCATTTCCTTCCAGCTCCCTCCTCTTGTTCTTCCTGCCACATCGCCCTGATGTTTTTGTAAGGACAAAATGAAACATCTTCGATTCCCAGGCCCCAAACTTCCAACTTTAGAATTTCTACAATACCCACAGCCTGTTTCAGGTCTCCTTCTTCCTTTTGTCCCCCACAATCCCCATCTTGGGTGCAGCAGGTCCTCTTCTGATTGGCCTTTCCTGTGGATACAGCTTGCATAGGATCCTTCACGCTCCACCTCTCACCAACCTTTCCTGGGCCAGAAAAAGCTCACTGTCACTCATTTACCTTTGTCCTCACACACAATTCCTGAGGACCATGACATACTGGGGACATCATCCTCCCATCTCCACACACACACGCACACACACACACACATACACACACACATACACACATCCATGTCTCTGCTCTAAATGGCTATATTTAACCTTAATGACAAAGTCACCTTTGCTCCCAAGCTAGCAAAATTTGATTGTAATAACACAAATTTGATGAGCCCAAGGAGAGTGGGGGTGGGGAAGGGTACATTCTCAAATCCTAGAAAAGAAGAGTACTAGAGAAGCAAAATTTGGCCAAATCCACTTAAGGGCTGACAGGAAAGGTGAGGCCCAGCCAATGAACTTCAGTGATTTCTGGCCATAAGGCCCAATGGTGAGACTTTCTCTGAAGTCGGGATGGGGAGTCGTAATGAACGTAGACTATTTCCAGTCCTGTTGGTGAGACCAATTGTGCTGGAGAAGCATAGCTGTCCACCAACACCAGTTCTTTCCTTCCTCCACAGTAATGAGTCCCTAGCTGGGGGACCTGGGGTAATGCCTCTGTTTTCAGGCATCCCTACAGTTAGGTGTGGCCATATGCCTAGGTTGCCAATGGAAGGTGAGAGGCAATTTCCCACTTCTGGCCTAACCCTTAAAACAATGCACATATACATGAACATGGGACAGGTGGAAGGAACCTTGGATTCCCAAGTGACTGTGTGGAGCAGAGGAGTCCCTGAAGCTACATGAAGAAGAAATAAACTTCCATAAGTCACTATATCATGAGGTCTCTTTGTTAGGGGAAAAATCTAAGCTTCTGTGACAAGGGCTCCAATGTCTATTGCATCCAGCCAGCTGCATATACTTTGTCCACACAGGCTGAAGTAGAAGCAGTGGCGAGATGCCCTGTACTGGCTGGCATTTAATCATTAAATGCTTTAAGTTCATCATCTCATTTACTCCACACAACATCTTAGGAGATATTTTAATAACCTACCTTTCTTGTTGAGAAAACTGAGATTCAGAGAGGTTCAACAACTTGTCCATTCTATACCATAGTAACTGACGGTCAGGATTTGAACTCAGGCTGTTTATATTGGACATCAAAGTCTGTGCTCTTAACCTCATCTTTCTGAAGATTAGCCTGGTGAAAGAGAATTCTAGGGCAGAGCAAACCATTTCAGTCTCTGTGGCTATTATTTATTTGTTCTGATTGTAGCCATTGGACCACCTGAGTTTGGTTAATAAGACCATATCCAGGTTTCTGACTCACAAGGCTGAAGGACGTGGACACAGCTGATTGATGCGGGTTGAGAAGGACTATGATGAGCACCCTCAAAAGACAGTCTGCCAGGCTTTTCTCAGGCAACAGGCACCCTTCTGCATCTCCACATATGGCCCAGAAAAAGTCAGTGGGTTCTTTTCTCTAAATGGGAACATGTTCATTGGTTAATTTTTGTAATAAACACGCAGCTCATTTGATGAGCAAAATGTCAAACAAAGTTGAATTGTATAAAGTTGAAAGTACAAATTTACCCCTCGCCCTATCCATCCCCAGCTTTCCAACCTTCTCATTCCACTGCTGACAAATTCAAGTCCCTACTGATAACAGTTAGAAATATGACCTTCTAGGCCCCTTTTAAACAGGTACATAAAGTTTTATTTACACAAAATGATATTCTTTTTAAAAAGTAGATTGCAGAACAATATCATGAATACCTGTATTTATAAAGAAAATATTTACTGTACTTTTTTTTTTAAGACAAGGTCTCACTCTGTCACCCAGGCTGGAGTGCAGTGGTACAATCATGGCTCACGGCAGCCTCAATGACCTGGGTTTAAGTGGTCCTCCCACCTCAACCTCCCCAGTAACTGGGACTATAGGTGCATGCCACTGCACCCAGTATTTTTTTTTTCTTTCGTAGAGACAGGATCTCACTATGTTGACCAGGCTGGTCTCAAACTCCTGGCCTCAAGCAATTCTCCTGCCTTGGCCTCCCAAAGTGCTGGGATTATAGGCTTGATTCTTTCTACGGGATGGACTCCTAGAAGCAGAATTACTGTGAGTGGGAGGCAGAATAATGGTCCCCCAAATGGGCTCCCACGTCCTAATTCCAGGAACCTGTGAACATTTTATGTTATATGGCTAGGGGAAATTATGTTGCATGAAATAGAAGTTGCTGATCTGGTGCCTTTGAAATGAGATTATCCTGGATTATCCAGGTAGACCCAAATTGGGTCCTTACAGGTGAAAAAATGGCATAGGAATCAGTGTCAGAGTAATGCCATGTGAGAAGGACTCAGCCATCACTGGCTGTGAAGATGGAAGGCAGCCATGAGCCAAGGGACATGAGCAGCCTCAAGAAGATGGAAAAGGGAAGAAAACGAATTTTACCCTAGACCCTCCCACATGAATTCGGACCAACAACATCTTTTTTTGTTTGTTTGTTTGTTTGTTTTTGTTTGTTTGTTTTTTGAGACGGAGTCTCTCTGTTGCCTAGGCTGGAGAGCAGTGGCGCAAACTTGGCTCACTGCAACCTCTGCCTCCCAGGTTCAAGCAATTCTCCTGCCTCAGCCTCCCAAGTAGCTGGGACTACAGGCACGTACCACCGCACCCAGCTAACTTTTTGTATTTTTAGTAGAGATGGGGTTTCAGCATGTTGGCCAGGGTGGCCTTGAACTCCTGACCTCAGGTGATCCACCCATCTCAGCCTCCCAAAGTGCTGGGATTACAGGCGTGAGCCACTGCGCCCAGCCTAACAACATCTTGATTTTAGCCCAGTGAGACCTATTTTGGACCTCTGGACTCCAAAACTACAAAATAATACATTTATGCTGTTTTAAGCCACCAAGTGTATACTAATCTGTTACAGCAGTAATTGAAAACTGATAAACTTAGTCAAAGAAGTAGTCATTTATGCAAGTAAAAATATGGAAAGAATCTAAGTGTTCAATTATAAGGAAATAGAAAATAAATTAGGCTGTATTTATTTGGAGAAATATTATGGAATCAATAAACCCTTTATTATTTTATTTTGTTATTTATTTATTTATTTATTTATTTTGAGATGGAGTTTCATTCTTTTTGCCCAGGCTGGAGTGCAACGGTGCGGTCTCGGCTCACTGCAACCTCCGCCTCACAGGTTCAAGCTATTCTCCTGCCTCAGTCTCCCAAGTAGCTGGGACTACAGGCGCCCGCCATCACGCCTGGCTAATTTTTTTGAATTTTTAGTAGAGATGGCCACGCTGTCTTGAACTCCTGACGTCAGGTGATCCTCCTGCCTCAGCTTCCCAGAGTGCTGGGATTACAGGCATGAGCCACCGTGCTCAGCCTTGATTTTAAAATTTGCAAAATGTTTACAAGGAAATGTTAAGTTGAAAAAGAAATGTATAAACCTTTATCTGACTTCAATTATAAAAATTATATACATATATTACATAATTATACACAACATATTCCTATATATAAATAATATATATGTTATATTAGGGTTCAGCTGCAGAAAAGAGCTCCACTCAAGCTATTTCAAATAGAAGGGGAAATGTAAAGAATCAGATCCATACAAAATCATGGAGAAAACTGTAGAAGTGGGTTCTCCAGGGGCCTCTTTAGAGGTCAGATCAGACTGCCAGAGTCACAACTACCTGTACCTGGATCAGAAAGGTGGAGCATCAGGTGGGGCCACTAGACTGAAAACATACAGTCATGTGTCATTTCACAACAGGAACACATTCTGAGAAATGCATCATTATGTGATTTCATCATTGTGTGACCATCACAGCGTGCACTTACACAAACTATGACAGAATAGTCTACTGCACACCTAGGCTATATGGTGCAGCCTATTGCTCCTAGGCTACAAACCTGTGCAGCATGTTACTGTACTGAATACTGTAGGCAACTGTAACACAATGGTATTTGTATATCTAAACATAGAAAAGGTAGTGTAAAAAGACAGTATAAAAGATAAAAAATGGTACACCCATATAGGGCACTTACCATGAACAGAGCTTGTAGGACTGGAAGCTGGTCTGGGTGAGTCAGTGAGTGAATAGTGAGTGAATGTAAAGACCTAGGACATTACTGTACACCATGGTAGACTTTATAAACACTGGACTCTTAGACTACACTAAACTTATTTTAACATTTTTTTCTTTCCTCAGTAATAAACTAACCTTAGCTTACTGTAACTTTTTTACTTTATTTAAACTTTTTTTAGCTTTTTGAATCTTGTAATAAGACTAAGCTTAAAACACAGATTGTGTAACTGTCCAAAATTATTTTCTTTTTTAATATTCTTATTCTATATGCTTTTTTCTATGTTTAAAATTTTTATGTATTTACTTTTTAAACTGTTTTATTAAAAACTAAGACACAAACACACATTAGCCTGGCCTACACAGGGTCAGGATCATCAATATCCCTGTCTTCCACCTCCACATCTTGCCCCACTGGAAGGTCCTCAGGGACAACGACACGCATGGAGCTGTCATCTCCTGTGATAACAATGCCTTCTTCTGGATACCTCCTGAAGGACCTGCATGAAGCTGTTTTACAGTTAACTTTCTTTTCATAAGTAGAAGGCGTATACTCTAAAATAACCATAAAACGTATAGTACAGTAAATACATAAACCGGTAAACATAGTCATTTATTAAGATGATCAAGTACTAGGTACTGTACGTAGTTGTGTTATCCCTTCACACGACAGGCAGTGCAGGAGGTTTGTTTACACCAGCATCACCGTAAACACAGGAGAAACGCGTTGTGCTGCATTACCATGGCTATGATGTCACTAAGCTATAGGAATTTGTGGGCTCCATTACAGTCTTATGGACCACCAACCTACATGGGGCCTGCTGTTGGCCAAAACATTGTTATTTGGTGCATAACTGTGCATTAAAAAGGTGACGGAGATGAGATGGTCCCTTTTCTTACCATTCCTTTCTCATACTTATATGGTATAAGGAATATTTAAATCTAACCACCACATTTTTCTGCCTTCATATTTTTAACATTTTTAGAAGAAACCCAGAATCCATCGTCATTAAGAAAAGGTTCTGAAGACTTAAATCCAGCACAACCTCCCCCTACCATGGCCCTCTGGCAAGTCACCTCCTCTTGGTGTCCAAACACCTTCATCAGTAACAGGGAGTGATTTTGTGCCCGCCCGCAAAGAGCTGTCTGAGGTTTGAAAGAGCTAACGAAGGCTGTGCACTTAGCAGGGAATCCCATTAAGTAAAATGTCTCAATAAGTGGTAGTGAATGTTATTAGAATACTTCACTACACATATCAAGTATTACTTATCATATATTAATTTTATCATCAGAAAAAAACCTCATTATAGAAAAATCCAAGCTGGATGTTAATCTTCCTCAGAAAGTAAAATAATCATAGTCTGATGAAAAAATATCAAACTTTAATACTGTTGCCTTGCATCAGGTTCTGCCATTGTATATCTGCTTCCTGTTGATAAGAGGAATAATAAAGACATACAAGCTCTATTTAAAAGTAGAGTCAAAAGGCCCTGCATATGTTCATTCTCAAGGCCATTATTTCTACATAACAAACATCACTGTTAGTCTGTTGTACACATAATGTATATGTCAGCATCTAGAAATGAATGAATAAAATGGCACCCCAAATGTTTTGGGAGATGAAGAGGAGCATTTATGATAATAAAAGGGGGCAAGCCAGGTGTGGTTGTTCATGCCTGTAATCCCAGCACTTTGGGAGGCCAAGGAGAGAGGATCACTTGAGGCCAGGAGTTTTAGACCAGCCTGGCTAACATGGAGAAACCCTGTCTCTACAAAAAAAAAAAAAAAATTAGCTGGGCGTGCCGGTGTGTGCCTCTAATCCCAGTTACTTGGGAGGCTGAGGTGAAAGGACCTCTTGAGCTCAGGAGGTTGAGGCTGCAGTAAGCCACTGCACCCCAGACTAGGTGACAGTGTGAGACCCTGTCGAAATAAAAATTTAAAAAAATAAAAGGAGGCCGGGTGCAGTGCCTCATGCCTGTAATCCCAGCACTTTGGGAGGCTGAGGCGGGTGGATCACCTGAGGTCAGGAGTTCGAGACCAGCCTGACCAACATGGAGAAACCCCGTCTTACTAAAAATACAAAATTAGCCAGGCGTGGTGGTGCAGGCCTGTAATCCCAGCTACTTGGGAGGCTGAGGCAGGAGAATCGCTTAAACCCAGGAGGCAGAGGTGGCGGTGAGCCGAGATCATGACATTGCCCTCCAGCCTGGGCAATCAGAACAAAACTCCATCTCAAACAAATAAACAAATGGACACAGAATAGACGTTTGACTATTGATTTGACCATAGAGCTATGTAAATATAGACATTTATAACTGATCAAATGTAACATCTTAGATGTCACCCCTTTGGTGGTGGCTACTCAATTACCAGCCTGGTTCCCTCAAGAGGAACATGGATTTGGGTGCCACTCTCTCTCCTTGTAGGGCTGGAAGCCTGAAGGATCTGCTTGATGGTTCCAAGCACTTTCGCAGACATGATTGTCACCTGGTGCCATGGCCTCCCCTTGGCCGTGCTGGATTCTGCTGCCAAAATAGGAATATAAGTCCAGTGCTCTTTTCAGGGTCCCACACTGCATGGGACATCTTTCAAAGTGCCACACAAAGTGATTTAGTTTATAATGATAGCCACTCTTTTCTTTTATTTTTATCTTTAATTTAGCTTTCATTTTAAGTTCAGGGGTACATGTGCAGGTATTTACATATAGGTAAACTTGTGTCATGGGGGTTTGTTGTACAGACTATTTCATCACTCAGGTATTAAGCCTAGTACCCATTAGTTATTTTTCCTGATCCTCTCCCTCCTCCCACCCTCCACCCTTCAATAGGCCCCAGTGTGTGTTGTTCTCCTCTATGTGTCTGTATGTTCTCATCATTTAGCTCCCACTTACAAGTGAGAACATGTGGTCTTTGGTTTTCTGTTCCTATATTCGTTTGCTAAGGATAATGGCCTCCAGCTCCATCCATGTTCCTGCAAAGGACATGATGTCATTTTTTATGGCTGCATAGTATTCTACGGTGTGTATGTACAACATTTTCTTTATCCAGTCCACCACTGATGGGCATTGAAGTTGATTCCATGTCTTTGTTATTGTGAATAGTGCTGCAGTGAACATATGCGTGCATGTATCTTTATGATAGAATGACTTACATTCCTTTGGGTATGTACCCCATAATGGGATTGCTGGGTCAAATGGTATTTCTGTTTTTAGGTCTTTGAGGAATCGCCACACTGTCTTTCACAATGGCTGAACTAATTTACATTCCCACTGAGAGTGTAAATTAGTTCTCATTGTGGTTTTGATTTGCATTTCTCTAGTGATCAGTGATGATGAGCTTTTTTTCATATGCTTGTTGGCTGCATGTATGTCTTCTTTTGAAGTGTCTTGTTCATGTCCTTTGCCCACTTTTTCATGGGGTTATTTTTTTTCTTGTAAATTTGTTTAAGTTCCTTATAGATGCTGGATATTAGACCTTTGTCAGTTATATAGTTTGCAAATATTTTCTCCCTTTCTGTAGGCTGTCTGTTCACTCTGTTGATTCTTTTGCTGTACAGAAGCTCTTTAGTTTAATTAGACCCCATTTGTCAATTTTTGCTTCTCTTGCAATTGCTTTTGGTGTCTGTCATGAAATCTTTCCTCATTCCTGTGTCCAGAATGGTATTGCCTAGGTTGTCTTCCAGGGTTTTTAGAGTTTTGGGTTTTACATTTAAGTCTTTAGTCCATCTTGAGTTGATTATATGATGTAAGGAAGGCGTCCAGTTTCAATCTGCATGTGGCTAGCCAGTTATCCCAGCACCATTTATTGAATAGGGAGTCTTTTCCCCATTGCTTGTTTTTGTCAGCTTTGTTGCTAATCAGATGGTTGTAGGTGTACAGCCTTATGTCTGGGTTCTCTATTCTATTCCATTGGTCTATATATTTGTTTTTGTAGCAGTACTATGCTGTTTTCCTTACTGTAGCCCTGTAGTGTAATTTGAAGTTGGGTAGCA
Source organism: Homo sapiens (assembly GCF_000001405.40). Lineage (NCBI taxonomy): Eukaryota > Metazoa > Chordata > Mammalia > Primates > Hominidae > Homo > Homo sapiens. Next base: position 54,559,303 of record NC_000005.10, on the reverse strand, counting down.
TGATGCCTCCAGCTTTCTTCTTTTTGGTTAGAATTGCCTTGGCTCTTTGGGCTTGTTTTTGGTTCCATATGAATTTTAAAATAGTTTTATCTAGTTCTGTGAAGAATGTCATTGATAGTTTAATAGGAATAGCATTGAATCTACAAATTGCTTTGGGCACTATGGCCATTTTAATGATGTTGATTCCTCCTATCCATGAGCATGGAATGTTTTTCCATTTGTTTGCATCATCTCTGATTTCTTTTCAGTGTTTAACAGTTCTCCTTGTAGAGCTCTTTCACCTCCCTAGTTAGCTGTATTCCTAGGTATTTTTTTTTTTGGTAGCAATTGTGAATATACAGTCACTCTTTTAAGTTAGTTTTAAAACCTCCATACTAGTATGATTTTGGTTTTACTTATTCCAAATCTTCAGCAAGTTTACAGGTTGGAAATACATTCATTAGAACATGGGTACCAGGTAAACCATGACTCTCACTGAATTTCGGCATGGCATGTGTTATAATTTGTTCCTTTTTTACATCGAACAACCTGTAGTCCCCAAATAAGGAAAAATTGCCCAAGTACATGAAATTTAAGGAGCCTAAGTATAAAACCCAGTAGGAAGTGATTTTACTTTTATTCCCAAATTCCATACACACAAGTAAAGGAAGTAAGACTATTAATTTAGTCAGCATTAGAGATAAGGACCAAGCAGGAAATGACTTTTTATATGATATCATCAAGGGCCCAAGTCAGAGGAGGAACAGGTGGAGCATTTCCTTTGTCCAATCCCTTACAGATCTTTCCCAGCCCTCTGAATAGTAATGTATGGTCAGGGGCTAATTTAATAAGTTACCTCAACATGGGTTGTACTGCTCTACGTGACTGTGATTTAGATATTACTCTAATCTTGAAAGAAAGAATGAGAAAAGAATGATGGAATGGAGAGAGGGAGGGAAGGAGGAAAAAATAAAAGTCCTAATTATTTAGTAAGATAAACTTTATCTGGAGAAGCCAGTAAATGTTTCCAGGAATTTTATATTCTAGCTAAGTAATTGTGCCCTTGAGTCATTTCTAATATGGGTATTTCTACTTTAAAAAATATTTAGGGTGATGTTTACAGTGAAAATCCCATGGATCTTACTTATGTACCAGGACACAGGAGAAAGACAAGTTGGGCTCAAATCCCAGTTTGTGTGACTCTGGGCAAGTTACAGAGTCTTTTTTACCTGCAAAATAGGTCAATTATATCTGCCTCATAGAGTTGTTGGGAGGACTAAACAATACCCAGGGCACAGCACTGTGGCTCACACCTATAATCCCAGCACTTTGGGAGGCCAAGGCAGGAGGATTGCCTGAGCCCAGGGAGTTTGAGACCAGCCCGGGCAACATGGTGAGGTTCTGTCTCTATTTTAAAAAACAAATAAAAATACATTTAAAAAAAAGACAATACATGGGAGCGTCCAACACAGTTGGCACTCAATAAATGTTTGCAGTAACTTTCTCCCATGACTGCTTAGAAGATAACTATTTTTTCAAATTTTTTATAAATTATACACAACATAAAATTTATCATCTCAATCATTTCTAAGTGCACAAGTCAGCAATATTAAGTACATTCATGTTGTACAATTGAATTTTTGTCATCTTACAAAACTGAAACTCTGAAAATCTGTAACATTTTAACAACTCCCATTCTCCCTTCCCTCCAGCCTGGGGCAACCACCATTATATTTTCTGTCTCTATGAATTTGACTACTGTAGGCACCTCATATAAGTGGAATCAAACAACATTTGTCTTTTTGTGGTTGGCTTATTTCAGATCATCGATCTTTTAGATTCCTCTTTCAGGCTTGAGAAATTGTTGCACCCAAACAAAAGTTTTGGCAACCGCATGCTATGTTGCCATATTGTATGATTATCCAACTATTTAGCTAAAAACATGAAGTTTTCCAAAATAAAGGTGATTCATTGTAACAAGTTACAATCACATAAGTTGCAATGGATGGATTTTATGCAAATACAGTCAACTCTCAAATCCCCTGCCATGCATTCTGCACTTGTGTCTTATTCCTTTTACTGCTTTGTAAATTTCTGGAGGTCAGGTGGTGCCTGACATGCATTGGGTGTATGATAAATACTAATGAACTAATTATTAAGTTAATCGGTGTATTAGAATACTCTTTTATGAATTGCTAGCAAGAAAATGTTCATCATAAGGCATTTTCCTTGCCATTGATTCTGTGCTGTATCTTTGCTGATCAACTGATGGTCCTCAAAGAAACGCCAAATTATTTAAATATTAACCTAAGCAAAACACAGTTTGAAAGATAAAGCAGATGAAAAATGCTGCTTGTGTCCTTTGAAAGGCAAACACAATTGGCTTTTGGATCATGGACAATTCAGTGTCCTATCAGCTTCTTAATGTAAATGGACATGCCAGATTTAAAACATTAAAATATTCAAGATGGGTCACAGTGATGAAAATAAGGCCTGCCACACTGTGCTGGTGGAAATCTAGACTTTACAAGGGCAGTTGAAGTTTTTTGTGCATACCCCCCAATCCTGCAAGTTCATTTCTAGTCATCCTACACAGATAAGCATGCAAGTGTTCAAAGATGGGACTGCAGTAAGCTGCATACCAACCCCCTCCCCAGCCCCACCCAAAGATGTCCATATTCTAATGCCCAGAACCCAAGAATCTGTGAATAGGCTATGTTCATGGCAAGAGAAAATTAATGTTGCCATATGGAATTAAGATTGCTAATCAGCTGACCTTAATATAAGAGTCTCCTACATTATACCAGGTGGACCCAATGTAATCCCAAGAGTGCTTTAAATGTGGACAAGAATGTTTTGTGTCAGAGTGATTCAATGTGGGAAAGATTCCATGAGACTTTGCTGACTTTAAAGATGGAGGGGAGCCATGAGCCAAGGAATGAAGGTGGCTAGAAAGGGCAGGGAAATGGATTCTCCCGCAGAGTCTCCACAGAGGAATGCAGCCCGGCCGATGCCTTGATTTTTAGCTCAGAAGTCTCTTTTGGATTTCTGACCTCCAGAACTGCAAGGTAATAAATCTGTGTTGTTTTAAGCCACTGAGTTTGTGGTGAATTGTTATAAAAACAATAGGGAACTAACATAATGACTAAGGATGTTCATTGCAGCATCATTCATAATAAAAAATTAGAAGCAACCTAAACACCCACTAATAAGAGGCTGATAAAATATTGTGTTAGTACTATGGATGTTGAAGATTTTAGGCTTTCACCAAAGAGCTGCTGGTGGTACCCTCTCTTTCTGCTTTTGGTGAGGGCTGACCAAGCAGTTTAGACTAGAAAGGAGGGAAATTATAGCAAGGAAACCTCAGTTAATAAATCACCCTGCTTATAAATGTATAGCAAATGTAACACAACACTGAGGCTTTAATACTTTTAAAATACTTTTTAATACTTTTACCCAATCTTTTTTTCTTTATTCTTTTTTCTTTTTTTTTTTTTTGAGACAAGGTCTCACTCTGTCGCCCAGGTTGGAGTGCAGTGGTACACTCTTGGCTCACTGCAACCTCCGCCTTCTGGGTTCAACTGATTCTCCTGCCTCAGCCTCCTCAGTAGCTGGGACTACGGGCATGTGCCACAATGCCCGGCTAATTTTTGTATTGTTTGGTAGAAACAGGGTTTCACTGTGTTGGCCTTGAATTCCTGGCCTCAAGTGATATGCCCACCTTGGCTTCCCAAAGCGCTGGGATTACAGGCATGAACCACCACACCTGGCCTCAATTTCATTCTTACAGTAAATCTATAGATATGCCAGGCATTAGCCAGGTGCCATGATGTGCATCTATAATCCCAGCAATTTGGAAGGCTGAGGGTTGAGGATCACCTGAGGACAGGAGTTTGAGACCAGCCTGGGCAACATAATGAGATCCCCATCTCAAAAAAAAAAAAAAGAAAGGTATGCCGGGTACTATGCTGAACACTGGAAAATGGAGAGAAAAGAAGCCAACTGACTAGAGAAGGAGGAATAAGGAAGGCAGGAGAATTATACCAAGTGCAACAAATGTCAAGGTAGCAGAAAGCATCGGGTACCCCGGGTACAACAGAGGACACCTAACCAAGACAGGGTGGGAAGATGGGACAGGGACAGCTGCCAGTAGCAGGTAATGCCTGAACCCCGTCCCAAAGGAGGAGTAGGATTCAGCCAGACAAAGAAGACTTGGAAGGCTGAACCAGCGGAGGAAACAGTTTACAAAGGGCTGGCTGGCGTGATTTCCAGTGTGGGTGTATGGCTGTATGGCTGGGGTGGCATGAGAAAGCCAGCAAACTGTGCAAAGGACTTTGACACAATTATCTTTCTGAAGTTCTCTGAACCTCAGTTTTCCTACCTTGACGATAAATGAATCATAAAATCTTCCTTTTGGAGGAGGGCTTAAGGAATCTGCCCAGAGTCTCAGGACTAGAAAAAGGAAGACCCCGATATAATCTGGAAATCCCTGCTCGATATTATTTTCCCCAGGCCATGGCTGCTCCTCAGAAAGTCTTGCCCTTCCCATGCAGCCTGGGATGACTTCTGGTTTTTTAAAGGCATGATGCATTAAAGAATGGAAAACATTTTATTATAATCACTTAAAATTAACACATCATTGCTTTTAACACATACACACAAAATACAATGAAATATTGTGCTATTCAAAATGGATTATGGACTAAAACTACATTAATTCATAGTTCATTACAGGCCATGTGTTCTGGTAACCGAACAGAGAATTTAATTCATATAATGAACGTTTTCATGTTTCAGCCCCTTCACTGACTCTCTGTGACTCTCTAAGGCCTCATTTAGAGATGAACCTTTGAGTTGGTGAACGAGAAGCCTGAACAGCCTGCGGAGCTAGGCCCTGTTTATGTCTACTTGTAGCAAGAAAGTGAAATTGTACATCAGAATCATCTGGGGAGCTTTTAAAACATAGTGAAGCCAAAGCCCCCCTTCACGTTCTGATTCAATGGGTCTAAAGTGGGGTCCAGGCACTGTAATATTTTTAAAGCTCCCCAGGTGATGCTAAGGTAAAGCCAGGGTCCAAAAATACCATTACCAAAAGTAGGAGAGATGGAGGAAAGAATTCTTTAAAGTTTTATCAGCTCATTTGCAGATATTTGTTTAGAAGACAAACAATGGTAGCAATAGATGAACAAATGGAAGCAGAAGAAAGGTTCAATACAAGCCTTGCCAAGGGCAATCTGGTGGTAAAAGAGCAGCAGAGCCCTGGTGAGCAGGCAGAGCATGGGAGCTCCACGGAGGCCCAGCCATGCAGAACAGCGAATCCAGTGTTTGCACATTAGGGCATGGGAAGGAATCCAAAAGAATTGTGAACAGTGTGCTAAAGTTTGCTGATTCAGTTTGCAAATGTCATGTAGCAGCACCCTGACTGGGCAGTTATAAGGTCCCCAGAGTGCATGGAGAGGCAACCACTGGGCCTCAACCCCCACGTTGGAGATGCTAGAGCTAATCAGAGGCAGCCCCTATGGGAACCAGGCAGATGTAATTGCACTGAGAGAGACAAGGTTCTCAGGCCATAACCAGGATGGCTGCTAATCTACTGCTGACATACAGATGTGTGCACCCAGAAACTTAGAAGGCAGTTTTCTGCGTCTGACCTCAGTCAATCTGTTACATCTCGGGACAGCAGTGAGGTGGCCCCAAGAATCTATAAATAAAATTATTATCTGAGAGCTAACTCATAAAATAGTACTTAATAGATAATAAGAGTCACTCTAAGGAGAATGTCCCTTGCATCACACCAAGATGATTGTTAATTAAACTGGAAATTATTGATCAAAAGCAGGTGGCTGTCTGCTGTGGACGCACAGAATACAGAGGAGGGACCTGTTGCTGTGCTTGCCAAGACTGGGGACATGGTGGCCATCAGCTCCCCGACCTGTTGCTGTGCTTGCCAAGCTCTATACTGGGGACATGGTGGCCACCAGGTCCCCAGCCTCCACTGCCAGTGTCTTGGTGTGGGCCACCATGTCTCGTTTATCACGAAGCCTCCAATGTGGTCTCTGCTTCTGCCTTTGCCCAAAGTGCCCTTGTCACACGAGGCAGATCATGTTCTTTCCTGCTCAACGCCCCTGGGAGCCCCACATCTCATTCAGAGAAAAAGCCAAAGTCCTCAGAGCAGCCCGTAGGACCCTCTAAGATCTGGACCTTCCCCACTCACCTCTGGGTGCATCTCCTCCTCACCAGTCTGCACCCCCATCCCCTCCCACCCTTCTCCCACTCCAGCCATACTGTCCCCGGCTGTGCTCCTGCCTCGGGGCCTTTGCACCAACTGTGGAAGCTCTGGAATGTTCCTCCCAAGGTCTTCCACATACTTCACTCTCAGTCCTTCAAGTCTTCAGGTTCGGAGGCCTTTTCTGACCACCTCAATTAAAATAACAAATTCTCCTCACTCCTCATACTCCCTCCCTCCTCCCCGCTTAGTTTTTTCCCCATAGCACTTACCACCTTCTACATATCATCTAGTTCACTAATCTATTTCATTATTATTGCCTCACCTACTAGCTAGAAAGTAAATTTTTGTTGGCTTTGTTCACTGCTATATTCCTAGTGCCTACAACAGTGCCCGAAGCACAACAAGCATTCAATAAATATCTGCAGAATGAAGGACTCTATCGGTCCCAGCGTCCAGGATGTCTCCACCGTGCCGATGGCATCATCAAGCTTTTCAAGCAAAATGACTCCAATGTGTGCTGGCACTGGGGTGACTACCTTTCTCACAGCAACCTTTAGATGACGATGATTTGGTTTCCCACAGGGTCTGTCCACAGGACAGAATATGCTGGTCCGAAGTCTGGTCTCATTGAAAGTTTTTGTATTGAAAGAGTAAAAGAGCCAGCAAGATGATTTATTACTTTTTCATCTTATTAAGGGCTTCAGAATCCAAAGGCTCTGATGGTGGTGAATTCCTTGGTCTTAGCCTCTTTAGACCCCTTGGGCCACCCCCTCTGAGGCCAGCTTTCTTCATGAGGAATCAGCCTGAGCCTCTTTTGAACTCTGCTAGATGTGTTTAAGGAGAACAAATGGCAGCAACTTGGCAGACGCAGATGTGACAGTCAAAACACCAGCCAGCCGCTCACGAATGTCTCAGAAGGGTGTGATGCGTGGTAATGGGTCACGTCGCGGAGGCACAGATTTGAATTCCGCAGGCTGGTGGACAGACGCGGCACCCACAGCGGAACAAAGCCAGCACTGTGGCTGCTCTCTCCTCCTGGAGCCAACTCCTCCATTCTCCTGAAACTAGCACAGAGGTCTTTGTGAAAAGCTGCCTTCCTAAGAAGGCTGACTGCTGGTGCTGGTGATGCCAACACTGAGGGCTAGCATATCACTATTTTCTTTCTTTCATAGAGGGCAATTTAGGATTGTGCACACACAGAGGATCACAAAGGTCTCTGTTTCTAAAACCACAGTTCTGCTGTATTTACTGCTCTGGGCCCGGTGTGCTCCAGGGACCCCAGAGAAAGTGTAGGATAGGATAGGCCTTGTCCTCCAGGAGACCACCACATCACCACTTAATCAGGGCTTGTATGTTTGCCTGGTAGTCTCAAGTAAATTGGAAAAGAATTAAGATCGCAAGCTGTGGAGTCAGGTGACTGCATTCAATTCCCAGCTCTGCCGCTTTATGTGACCATTATGGAATATCTATAAGCCTGTTTCCTTCTTTGTAAAATGGTTTTGTAGGAGAGTTCCGTAGATCAAAGAATGAACGTAACGGCAGTATCATTCCTAGAGCAAAATAAACACTCGATGTGGTAAGAAAAAGAAATGATGTTAGCCCAGGATCTTACGTAATTAGTTGCAAAATGCCATCACAAAAGTGATCGGAGTGCAGAGAAGGGACAAGACACTGGGATTAGAGTTTCATGGAAGGCTTCACAGGGAAGGGAGGAGGAGAAGGATTTTTGGTTCAGAAGACAAAAGAATACCCGGTACCATATAAAACAACAGACTATGGTCCAGTGACATTTGTCTTTACTGCCTACATTACACATTCTCTTAGCAGTCCGCTTCCCAATGCTGTTGAATTTTTGCAAAGTAACACAATGAACATTGACTTGATCATTGAGTCCACTGTCCAAACAAGATAGTTCTTCCTGTGCCTTGTACAATTCACTTCCAGGTCTCGAAGGGGTTGGCACAGAGCTGCAGCTCCACCCACCTTTTGACATCTTTTTTTTTCTTTTTTTTTTTTGCTAGTCCCCTTGTCAAATTTAACATTCATTTCGTTATTTTTAAAATAGGAAATACATTCAATCGTTTATATTCAAAAGAGATAATAGGGAATACAGTAAGTTTCTCTCCTGCCCCCCATTCCCATTCCTGAAAGCAAACAATGTTGCCTTGCTACCAAGTTGCTGCATTTACTTTCATAAATAATCTACACATAGGCCAGGCGCAGTGACTCACACCTGTAATCCCAGCACTTTGGGAGGCCGACGCAGGTGGATCACCTGAGGTCAGGAGTTCGAGACCAGCCTGGCCAACATGGTGAAACCCCGTCTCTACTAAAAATACAAAAATTAGCCAGGCATGGTGGCGGGCACCCGTAATCCCAGGTACTCGGGAGGCTGAAGGCATGAGAATCACTTGAACCCGGGAGGCGGAGATTGCAGTAAGCTAAGATCGCACCACTGCACTCCAGCCTGGGCGACAGACCAAGACTCCATCTAAAAATAATAATAATCATCTACCGCATATATAAGCAAACACATTCGCTTTGTTTTGCTCAAAGGGTAGCGTACAAATATTTCTCTGCCTCTTTTTTTCATTTAATTTTCTTAGGAAAATTCTGTATTGGTATATGAAGAGCTTCCTCATCTTGTTTTTTTTAAAAATGATAGATACCTACAGTTTTTCATCCTTTGGATAGCTGAGAAATTTGTTATGAGACCACCTGTCAGCATGAATACCTAAAAGGTCCAATTTTCTTTCCATTGATTCTGGGATAGGAGCCACTAAAAAGCAACATTTGTGAAGAAAGCTCCTTTTCTCTGGAATTACAGGTTCCACTTTCCCCATAGGTCCTTTGTTTCATACAGAGAACACAGACTTATGGACCTGACACTCTCAGGAGGTTATAGCCATATGTGAATATGTAGTTAGCATCTGGGTAACTCAGTTGGCTTACAAGGGTCCACAAACAGGAGCCAAGTAATTTTTTAAAAAGTGACTAAAAATACAGATTCTGAACAAACACCAACAGAAGCACCATCAGCTTTAAGCTGAACCTTAATTTGGTAAATCCTGAACTGCACTCCAATGTTTTTAAGATTTTTCAAGCAAAGGGAACCATTTTGAACTAAGACTCTGCATTCTTTTAAAACTGCTGGGTTGAACAAAAGTGGAACAAACAAGTTGCCTAATCAAACTTGGTCTACACTAATATTTTGATTCAGGGCATGGCTGCCCCAAAAGCCACTCAGAGGCACTAAATTCAACTTCCCAGAGTGACACATTGACCATCATCTTACAATGTCTGTATGTAACACGAGGCCAGGGTTGGGACGTGAACACAGAGTAGGCTGCCTCTCTCTGTCCTAGGTCCCAAGTACATATTTTCAGGATGTGAAAAGAATTCAATAAAACCACTATTAATTTGGTGAATAAAGACAAGTTCTGAGCTGTCTTTTTCAGATCTTCCTAGTTAGAGCTACGGGACAAATTCTTAAACATATTAGCACTTAGCTTTTGGAGACCAAGGGCTCCTTTGCCTTGCTGCAAAGGGCCATCTCTGGAGAGCTGAACCTCTCCCCACCCTAACAGGAGGTGCTGGTGGGTCTGAGAAGCAGTGGAGAAGTAGGTTTCCAGGCAGAGTAAGAAGGATGCTGTGCCAGGGCTCTGCAAGACAAGAAGCTGGAATGGGGTTTGGTCCTGTGACCCAGGTGGGCAAAGTGGGCAGAAGGTGAAGTTACCAGGGCTAAAGCAGGAACCTCTGCCTACCTGGGACCCAAGGGTGAACTCCTTAATTTTCCATAGTACAGGTGACACAATGTTCTTATTATTTAAATACTGCAGCTCTTCCTTTCTCACATAACCACAGAGGGTCTTTACTCTATCCCTCCTGTCAATGCCTTGGGCTCAGGGCTTTCCACCTGCCATTCATTTCTCACAATATGTCCACAAAGGGGATTCTATAGTTGGCCCTCAGTATCTGTGGGTTCCACATCTGTGGATCCAACCAATGGACGATTGAAAATATTCCACCTCAAACAATAAGAAATAACAATACAAAAAAATACAAATAAAAATATAACAGTGTAACAACTATTGACATAGCCCTGACATTGTATTAGGCATGGCAAGGAATAAAGAGATGATCTGAAGTATACAGGAGAACGTGCATAGGTTATATGAAAATATTATGCCATTCTATGACTTGAGCATCTACAGATTTTGTTATCTGCAGGGAGTGGGGTGGGATTGAGGGTGTCCTGGAACCAATGCCCTGCAGATACTGAGGGATGACTGCATACCCCATTATAGATAAGAAAACTGACTCACGTTAAGTGACTAGCCCATGGTCACATGATGTTCAGGAATAGAACATTTATTAAGTATCTACTTCTAAAATTGTTATCATCTCCCATGTCTGTCATGGAGGGAGTATTGCAAAATGGTTAAGGCTTCACATGGTGGTTTATCTAATACTCTCAATAATTCAATACAATCTAAGTCAGTCAATCATACAATTGAGGAAACTGAGGGTCAGAGCTGGGTTAGTGAGTTGCCTGAGGTCAGAGAGTGGAGCAACTAGGATCTGACCCAGGTCTCTGGCTCCAAATTGCTGCCTTTCTCACTGATATGCTGGGTCAGCTTGCAGAGAAGCTCAACAACTCAGCAATTCCATCCTGAGAGCCATTTCCTGGAGTGAGAGAAAATTTAAACCACTGCAAAAATAAGGTCTGATGCATCTGGCCACTTCAGACTTAGAGATCAATTCCAGGGTAGGCTGATGGGACACACAGCAACAAAATACCACACACCTTGTTTTTAAGCTCCCTTGGCAGGTGGCTTCACATGGACAATTGGTCTTGCCTTTGGCATGCTTCTGGTACAAGTCACTCAATGAAGCTGAAATGGCCTTTAAGACAGGCAGGCAGTTTGAGAAGCTCTGACACAGGGATGTTAGGATTGAGACATCCTGGGATCAGGGCCAAGTAGGGAGGACTTGTGATCCCTGGAAAGGCTATAGCCATGAGCCAATCCCAGATTAACTTCCCCCACCTCAGAGGCCTGGCTTCCACTGCTGGGTTTTTCTGGTTTCCTGCCCATGGAGCCCTAGCACAGCAGCATCCCTCTATACGCTGCCTAGAAGTCTACCCCACCACTCTTCAAACTCTCCAGAGCTTATTACTCAGCAAATTCTGTTGCTCTCACCTGAGTCCCACCTGTGGCCAAGTGGTACTCATGAGTAACCCTGACTCTGACCAACTGGAGTTCAAATTTTTGACTTGTGGTTCTGCCAAGGCCATTGTTATGGCAACTGGAATGTGCTTCTATTGGCACTGCATGGAGGTGAAAGTTGGAGAGAAGGGGAAACAGTCAGTTTTGGACCCTTTCTCTCACTCTTCATAACAATACTGGAAGGTAACATCTGGCATGCTTCCCAGTCTACGTAAGACTGCAGTCAGACCTTCTGTTGAGAGACCAGACATAGCAGCACAGACTCTCACCTTTCCCAGCAGAAATGGGTGCAAACAGCAGATTCTGGGAAGTTCCCTTTGTACTTTTGTGCCCAGTGCCCAAAGAATGATGGAATCTCTATCATTCCAGGAGTGGAGACTTGGGAAGATGTTAGGGATTTCTGAAAAGCAGAGAAATCACATTCAGTGTAATCTAGTTTAAAAATAATAGGCTTGAGCCAGATCCCAATTTGAATCTCAGCTCCATCATTTAGTTTGTGTGATCTTGGTCAAAAGAAATTAGACTTCACTGATCTCTTTAACTCATCTATAAACTAGAGATATTATCTTCCTCATAGGTTCATTGTGAGGATAACCAGATAAAGGTCCTTTCTTCTCTTGCATACTTTTAAGTGTAGCTCTCCTTCTCACAGCCTCCCCAAACCGTAGGTGATTTGTCCAGATGTCCATCACTGGTCCAAGTATATTTGTGAAGTAAAAGATGGCTAGGCCATTCTAGACATTACAAGATGCTAAGAAAGGCAGGCCAGGAGAAAAAACATATATGTAAAACAAATCTGTAAAGATAAGCAGATACAAGACTACAAAGCCCCACAAAGAGGGCAAGCTTTGCCAAATGGGACTTTGGCCCCTTGCAAGATATGCCAGGTCCCGTAGCTATTATATTTTGGCTTATGTGTGTTGGAGTTCGCCTATTTATGGCAACCAACAGACAGTATGTCAAGTACTTTACTTAAGCACCTGCTTCTGTCTCAGGTATTGGACTCATGGGAGCTATTATTTCAAAACCTCTCACTCACAACTTACTGCTATGTGCTTAATTCCTGATGTCACTAATGGAAGCAGATACTCCATGGGACTATCTGAATGATGATGGTTTTAAATTAATCAAATTAGCTACAGTGTTTGATGAATAATTTCTATGGTAACTGCAGATGAAGCTCAAGACAGAACATGCTCTTCTATTTTTCTGTGTAATTCTTCACATTAAATAAATGCCTCCTTGATGAGTGGAGAAAAAATAATTATATTCCATTGAAGCTAAGAAATAAAGCAACCTGTTTATTTTTTAAAAAGATAAACATGGCTGATCTGCACTAATCATAACATTTTGAAGGAAATAAAACAATATTCAACATTTCTAGACTACAAATAAATAATACCCTGTTTTACTTATTCTGTTAACCAAAGATGAAGGTGGAAATGAGAAAATTGAATGCTTATGGACTTAAAGGTATCAGACATGGCATTTGATTTTTGGAAAATGAAGACATAAATGGAAAATGGCTATGGCAATGAACTTAAGAATGACATTTAAAAGTTTTTACACAAACTTTACATACTTGACAGACTAAAACATTTTTCAAGTCCTTAATTATGAGAACAGCAGCAAAATTTAAGACAATTAAAAATCGGCATTTAAGAATCTGCTGTATTATTGTGAATAAATGCAAAACAACTGTATCAGTGAAGCCTGGGAAAATCTCAATTACTATAATATTCGTGCACTGGCTTTACATTTCACTTTTGAATGCGTTCCCTCATCCTGGGTGCAAACTGGGTACCTTCAGATACAACAGCTTGGACGGGGAACAAGATTACGACACATGGCTGTAGAACCAGTCTCGCTGCGTTACAGTTACAGCATATAAACAACTCTGTCTAATAAAAACAGTAAAACCAGGCTCAAGTGCACACCCTGTGTTACAAACACATCACATATCAGGATTATAAATCATAGAAATAAAGACAAATAATGGCATGAAGGGCATGATAGTTTATTTTTAAAAATTGTACCACACTGATCATGATGACCAGCATACACATGATAATGGCTTTTCTCTTGGGTTTAACATTGCAGTAGTTTTGCATACTGCAATGTTTCAATAGGACCAAGAACGTTAGAGAATAAAGATCTTAGATGAAAATGAACACTAATAATTCTAGTGTCCTCCCCCATAGAATTAATGTAAATCCCGTATGAATCAGTGGCATTATAATGTTATGTGGTTATGAAGAATGAAATTTCTCTTAGAAGTAGGCAGCATGAATTTATACTTACATAAGTATAACTTATACTTCCTTGTACTTTCATCTTTAGTTTTTATAATTTAAGCTATGTCCACCCTGGCTAAAGTACAATCATACAATATACCTCAGATAATTTCCATGCTACCATTGCACAAGTTTAGTGATTTTACTATTAAAAAAAAAAAAATCCAACCACCATCAAAATAAAGAGGCAAATAAAAGTAATTTTTAAATCATTTGAAAAGCATGGTGCTTATTTGTCCAATACAGACTCAAACTTAAATGCTATAGTTATAATTTCCAGACTTCCGCAAAATTAACATTTATATATACATATGGGTTTTGTTTATAGAACTGTATTTTGCAATCAACAAGTTTTAGAGACAACATATTTGGTTACAGTTCCACATATCTGTAGTAAAGACAAAGCCACATAATGTTCATGATGTTAAATCTGGCTCTAAGTAACCTAAGGTACAAAATTTTGACCAAATATCAAAATGATAATCTGATCTTAAAAATACAACCCATATGAAACTACTTTTTAGAGAGAAAATGTGCTGTTCAGTAATTATTTCAATAACCTTTTCTGAGTATCTGCAAACTGATCCTTTTCTTTAATCTTTGTGACTCACCAATATTTCAAAGTGACCTCTTCACTTCCATGTTACCATTTCAGTACCCAGGGATTTCTGAGGCAGCATAAGTTTGACTTCATAAAAACAGTAGATACTCTAACAGTGACAATTTTTAAATCTGTAAACTCAATAATCACATTAGTTAGCTCAGCAACTATAAAAACATTGAGATTGGGGCACTGTAAGCCAGAATCTCTTTGTGCTTTTTAAATTAAGCTGCTTTTGAATCTTTTTGGTATTTATCAGCCATCTGTATTTCCCTTATAATAATAAAAGAATACATTTAAAATAAATTTTAAGGTTAAATGTCCTGGGGGGGGGGGGCTCATCAATACCTTTTTTTTTTTTAAAACATAGTATAAATCAATTATCTTTTTCCTTCAGTATTTGGAATAGCAAAAATTATTTCTGGTCCCTCCTTAGATCAATCCACACCACTTTTCATGACATATTAACACTGAAATTTACAGACATCCCTGAAAAGTTTTTAAGTAAACAAGTGAATCACAGTGGAGTCTCAATCAGTTAACAGTGTAGATCCATTTTTTTTCAAAAAACTGAATATTAAAAGAAAATCTTCAACCTAAAAACAAAAACAAAAACAAAACCCTCCTAAGAACTAAAGCCAAGTGTGTGTTGTCAATGATTCGATACTTTTATCCCCTGACTGATTTAGACTCCTCCTCCTCATGTTGTAAGACATGTTTGCTGAAATCTTCACGCCAAGCTTTTGGGACGCCTGGGTGAAGAGGCTATGCTACTGTTGCATCTAAGGGAATAGTGGCACTGTTTCTTCCCTAACAGACTTCATATCCAAAGATGAGCAATGAATCTCACTCCCCTGCATTCACCAGCATCTTATCAGGAGATAATACTTGCTGTGCAAATTGATGACAGCTGATCGTCCCACCCCACCGCCCCCCCCACCCCCTACTGCCAATATAAGGTTATCATCAGTTTGTCATTATATGCACTGGCCTTTCACTCTTTCAATCAGAAAAGCTGTGGCTTACTTTAAAAAGGTGGGGAAGGGACGGGGAGAAATGAAAAACCAAGAGTCTAAAGGCACAAGGTCGCATAGCTGCTCTAGTTGGAGTTTGTAAACAGAGAATAGGTTGAATTTAGGTAATCCCAATCTATGAGAGTAAAAAGGCATCCACAGCAGGCTTGTATCCAGCCAGCTTCTTTGAGACCCTTCATGGGTTTTGAGGTCTACAAAGTATGCACTAAAATACCCATACTTCAAAAAGCAATAAGGCAAATAGTATAATCATTATTCCAAAAGTTACAATGGTAGTGTAGGCATACATAGTATAATTTAGTTACAATGTGTGGTACTGTTTCTATTATATAACCATATTAACTGTTTATTTCCTACATAATTATAAATTCAGCTGGGTTTCAGATGAACACAAAACCGTCCTTGTACCACCACTGATAGCTGGCAATAGCTCTTTGACAGCAGTTTTTATTCTGCTGTAGAAATTATCCTTGAACTGAAAAAGTCCATAATCCAACGTCCAGTCATTAAACACTATCATATTTGTGAAGAGCTTCTTCCAACTTCTGGGTAACTTTTTGGAAAAATATTATTTGTTGTTGTAAGAAATGCTGCATCTGTGATTTAAAGTCTCTCACTCGAATTTGATGGAAGTGGTGAATTTCAGCCAAAGTGGCAAAAGAAATAGTGTTACAGCGATCCTGAATGCCGTCAGCCTTCTGCACCTCCATCTTCCCTTCCTCCACGTGTCGCCTACTCTCCTTGACTTTGGTAAGAGCTCCTGTAGTTAAAAATAACAATTAATTAAAAACCTATATATCCACATATCCCAAGAACATAACTACATATTAAACAGAATCTTGGGCATTATAAATAGTTGCCCAAACTATTTTCAATACCTTTGAAATTTAAAGTGAGGACCATAATTACTCATTTTAAAAAAAGAAGGAATCTGGTAAAGTTTCTGAAAACACTCCCTTTGTTAAAATTTCTCTTCAAAAACTAGTGTTTGTTACATTGACCAAGAATCTGTAGTATCCCATCTCTTCCAAGTAGAGATGCTATACATAACTGATAATAAACTGCAAGGAAATGTCCTTAAAAAGACACAACAAGAAACTGCAGTTTTCACAGGCTCAAAAGGTGTGACATCATTATTTCCACATATATTAAGAGAATTATACTGTTTATAAAAACATCCCATAAAGGATCCAAACCCACTTCCTCAGAAAGTCTCACTAAATAATTCAGACTCTAGAACCAGTCTCTGAAACAAGTTAGTACCAACACAGGTTGTGTTTTGGAATCATGTCACAGTCATGGAGGGTGCTTGGCAATGTTGCCAGTCTACAATTGGAGGTCACCCTCATGAGGGCTGGCCTAGCCCATTATCTTGTCATCCAGAGTAAACACCTAGCTGAAGTGCTCAGCACACAGAAAGTGCCTGGTGAAGGGGTGAATTGCGAACACATGTCTGATTCTGACTTCACGTTGCATCGGGAGACCCACACCTGGAGTACAAGGGCTTTAATAAGAATTTGCCCCTTTTTTGGGACTATAAGGATCGGTGAGTGTTAACTCTGCCCTAATGATGACTTAGGAATGATGCCAGCGGTTCCATAATCTCATGCCTAGAAGTATCAACAGAGGGTGTTGCAGGGGTGGGGGTGAAGGATTGACCACTCCGGCAGGTGCCATACGAACGCAGGCCCTCCCCCGAAAGCACAGTCATACAAAGACACAAAAGTTTGAGGATGTTTAGGGGTAGGAAATAGGCTATTCCTGAGTTCTTAGGAATGAGTAGTAATAAAGCTCAAATCACTTGAACAAAGCCAGCTTAAGAATTCAGATTTCCCGACTGTGCCTAGCACTCATTCCACTAAACCATACTGAAAGGCAAGACAGAACACAGAGACAAACAGCTAGAGTGCCTGGCTTGGCAGTCTGAGAACACAGTACTACTGAGGAGGGAACCAGGAACCTTGAGTAGGAGGAGGTACAGAAACTGAGAGACTTTGTTTCGGAAATGTTGTTTTGCCCAATAGTGAAATATACAAGGGAAGATGCCCTATTTCTAAATTTCTTCAAATCTCCTAAAGAATAATATAATATTAAACAAAACCCTTAAACGTAAAGCAGTATGCTTTTTTGGCATAGTTCAAAGACCTGAGAAATGAAAAAGCACCAACAGCAAATTTCATCCATATATATGTACGTGTAGGTGTGCACATATGTACACATTTATTTTCATTGATTTATTCTAAATGAGACCTTTAAGTGAAAAGCAGCAAAGTCCTGAAACAAGAACACATGTACTGCAGGTGCACAGAGCACACATGCCCCACCCACACCACTTCCACCTAACCCATGGCAGAGAAATGCACTCTGCTAGACAGAGGAAGACCCCTGTCCCAGTTCTACTAAGAAGCCATCACTCTGAAAATAGGGCCCTTTAAACATTTCTACTGTGGCTGACAGTATCAGCAAAGCACTAACATTTGCCTGCTTGAAGAGAAAGACATCTCCCCAACATAAAAAATTAATAATAATTTATTGCAAAACATTTATCTTTGTTATATTTGTACAGGTTTCACATTTCATATACAGAAATTGAAGTTGAAAAGACCAGGAGGGCCGGGCGCGGTGGCTCACGCCTGTAATCCTAAGACTTTGGGAAGCTGAGGTGGGTGGATCACCTGAGGTCAGGAGATCGAGACCAGCCTGGCCAATATGGTGAAACCCTGTCTCTACTAAAAATACAAAAATTAGCCGGGCGTGGTGGCGGGCACCTGTAATCCCAGCTACTCGGGAGGTTGGGGCAGGAGAATCGCTTGAAGCCGGAAGGCAGAGGTTGCATTGCGCCGAGATTGCGCCACCGTACTCCAGCCTGGGCAACAAGAGCAAAACTCTGTCTCAAAAAAAGAGAGAGAGAAAAAAAAGAAAAGACCAGGAAAGTGTAACAGGTAAAACTAAAGGAAAAAAAAATTCAGAAAGACTGAGAATGTGTAGCGATAAAATACATGTTTTATAATGATAAAGAGAATAGGAAATTAAAAGAGAAAAATCTCAAGTGATTTGACTATATTTTCATCTGATTTCAATCCAAGGTACTGGAGGAAGCCAGTCCCATGTTCAAATGCTAAGGACCAGTACGCAGGATCCTTCCCTGCTCAGATCCTGACCTGTCTTAACAGTTGTTGCCTGCACTGGTAATATTCTGCAAGTATTACTTGCTCTAATTACTAGAGCCCAGCTTTTCATCATAGAGAACAGAGTCCAGTATAGAGAAGCTCTGAAACCTGGCCTTGAATTGGGTGATTGTCAACTAAGTTGCAGCTTGTCAAACTCCAAATTAGTTCACCATATTTTGACAAACTGCACTGTGTTATATAGAATTACAGATGTCCATCCGTAACAACCAATTTAAAAATCAACAAGTCCAGGGCTTGCCACGGTGGCTTATGCCTAAAATCCCGGCAATTTGGGAGGCTGAGGCAGGGGGATGGGTTGAGGTCAGGAGTTTGAGACCAGCCTGGGCAACATGGTGAAACCCCATCCCTATGAAAAATACAAAAAATTAGCCAGTCATGGCAGTGCATTTCTATAGTCTCAGCTACTCAGGAGGCTGAGGAGGGAGGATCATCTGAGTCCAGGAGGTTGAGGCTGCAATGAGCCGTGATCACAGCACTGCACCTCCAGCCTGCTAGGTGACAGAGTAAAACCCTATCTCAAAGAAGAAAAAAAAAAAGAACAAGTCTAAAGTTTTTACAACTTATTAAATCAGCATACATTTTCCAAAGTCTCAGATACAGCAATAAGTATTAACATCTCTTTGAGGCCCCAGGATCTGCCAGCATGTAATATCTTCAAGCTTCCTAAGCATACATACTAGAGGAGCCAAGAAGAATTTGGGACTCATTTTTAGCCAGGTGTGGTGGTGGGCGCCTGTAATCCCAAGTACCCGGGAGGCTGAGGCAGGAGAATCACTTCAACCCGGGAGGCGGAGGTTGCAGTGAGCCGAAATCGCACCATTGCACTCCAGCCCGGGCAACAAGAGCGAAACTCCATCTCAAGAAAACAAAACAAAACAAAACAAACAAAAAACAAGAAAACAACAAAACAAAACAAAACAAAAAAACCCAAAGACTCATTTTTTCCCAAGTATGAATTTATTAAGTGAATAACACAAAATGTTGCTATTTTTAAAAGTCCCCAAAAGGTTGGGCTCCAGGGTGAGAATTTTAACGTGAACATTTATGGAAAGGCTGGCATGTATAGAGCACACTGATAGAACAGGGAGATTCAAACAGGAGACACACCACAAAGCACCGTCAGGGCAGGCACACTACCCTGACGCAAAGTGAAATAGGTCCATGAAGCACAATTCTGCATGGGAGTTGAATATGGCTTTCTCCAAGATAACGTGACCAATGTGACAACGGAAAATGCTCAGAGGGCCTGCTACATGCCCAGCACTGCACTATGGATGGTGGCAGGGTGGAGGGCAGGGAATAGAATATCTGAACAGTAAATGGTAGCTGCTAGAAATAGTAATAACATATGCTAGGCACTTTCCATCTACTGTTTCTAATCTTCACTACAACTTTACAACAGACATTACTCCTAGTTTTACTACAAGGAAATTGAGGAAGTTACTCAACATCTTTGAGCCTGACAGTCATCCAGGTAACCCAGCAGGAGGCTGAGATGGGATCTGAATGCATAACTGACTTCAAAGCAAGCACTACAACTATTTAGAAGAGAAACTGTTAGCCAGGTGTGGTGACGCACACCTGTACTCCCAGCTACTCAGGAGGCTGAGGCGGGAGAGTCCAGGAATTCCAGGCTGCAATGAGCTATGATCGCACCACTGCACTCCAGCCTGCGTAATAAAGTGAGACCCTGTCTAAAAAATTAAAAAATAAAAACTATATAAAATGGTCAATGAAGGTATTAAATAGCATACTTTAAATGTACAAATTTAAAGAGTAAGGAGAGCTACGTGTAATCAAGGAAGATTATGTCTCCATAAAATTGTACCCACAAATGTAGAACAAGTTTAAAAAACAAAAATAACTTCCTTTAACTGAAATGTAACTAAATTGATTTTTTCCCAGATCCACCTTCAAAAGAAAGTTAAAAGATGATTAGCAATAAAACAAGTTGATAGTAATATACTTAAAACAAATTAAAAATCGAGAGTTCCTGATTATATCCTGAATTGAAGCGAATGGCTGTTAATGTTCAGAATGACAATGCCAAGGGTCTTCCAACATCTGAAGCCAAATAAAAAAAGTTGACTCTTATAAAATACTTTGCAAAGTTTTAAAATATATACATCTTTTCCCAAGAAAGTAATTTGTTTTTTAAAAAATTCATCTCACAACTTTCCAATTAGTTTTTTCTGTACACCTTTTAACAAACAGTAAAGGTATCAGTGCTTTCCTCCCTATGAAAACGGTAAGCTAATTATGGAAGTCAATTGACTAGTTCTGACTAGAAGTAAACAGAAAAAAAAATATGACATCTTTTAAACAGCTCAAGTGATCCACAGACAGAGAGCATGAGTGTTTAACACTTGGGGACTAACACGCAGAACCACTTTCTGGGGTTCCCAGGAAGCTTCCCTCTACCCGCCTCTGCCCACTGAGCTCCTAAGCTCTGAGTTCACTAGAAAAGAAAGTGGAAACATATTTTTCCAATAGAAACAATATTACAAGTGTTGGCTAGATGTGAGTGAAATAGTATTATTATTAGAAGTAGAATCTGGGTTTTGTTACAAATGATTGGGTTCTTACAGTTGATCTGACACTGCTCAAACTGGGAATTATGTGTACATATTTTCAGGCTTCACAATTATCTTCATATTCAAAATTTTAAATATCACAAGAAAGGCAGAGAGCAAAATTTTCAGCTCTAGCATGTTGGAAGCGGAAACTACTGGAGCAGAGTTAGATCATCATAGACTTGCTACTTCTAGGATAGCTTTAGAAATTAAGTAATTTGTAGCTGCCTAAGAAACAACTGCAGAGGTACAATACAACCAGCTGCAGAGCTGTAACAAAGTATGACAGCATTTTTAAAGCATTCTCATGGCTGTACTGCATTGTTTTTTAACCAAACCCGAGGAGTGTAAATGAAAACTAAAAATGTTGCCCAGAATCTAAATAACACAAGGACTACACATTTTTCATGATGGAATCAATATGAAAACAGGCAATAGCATTGAAAGCTCTGCTTTTTAAGTGGCTAATTTAGGAGGAACATGCCCCCTTGCCAGCCCCCTCCCCTCATAAACATCATATTGCCACCACTCTGCTTTCAAAACAGAAGACGGAAATGAAAGAATGGGGGAGCAATTATATAATGAAGTTTAAGGTCAAAAACATCACTGTTAGAACAAACAAAAGATCCCACAGTACTCATAGTTAGGGGAACAGCTTTAAGATGAAAGAAAATAATAAACAGGTATAATCAGAGGGAAAAACATTTTCCAACGACAATGTCACTGTAAACTGAAACTGCTTCATTAGTTAGCTGCATCTGGAATAGCATGAGCATATTACGATTTTATTATGAAAAGAAAGTGCAGGTGCACATTAAATAGAGATTTAAAAAGCGGCTGACAATACAGACCAGTGTGAATATACTCTTTAAAAAACCTAACAATTAAGTAGTACCGTTTCCAATTCAGAAGAAAACACTATTCATACATGAAGTAGTGCAGCCTCTCCAAGTTACACAACTGAAAAGAAATTTTCTTCTCTCTCTCTCTCTTTATTTAATTTAAACTGTAGAGACAAGGTTTCACCATGTTGTCCAGGCCGGTCTCCAACTCCTGAGCTCAAGTGATCCGCCCGCCTCAGCCTCCCAAACTGCTGGGATTATAAGCATAAGCTGCAGCGCCCAGCCTGAAAAATACATCTCAAAAGAAGACATTTATGCAGCTGACAGACACATGAAGAAATGTTCATCATCACTGGCCATCAGAGAAATGCAAATCAAAACCACAATGAGATATCATCTCACACCAGTTACAATGGCAATCATTAGAAAATCAGGAAACAACAGGTGCTGGAGAGGATGTGGAGAAATAGGAACACTTTTACACTGTTGGTAGGACTGTAAACTAGTTCAACTATTGTGGAAGACAGTGTGGCAATTCCTCAAGGATCTAGAACTAGAAATACCATTTGACCCAGCCATCCCATTACTGGGTATATATCCAAAGGATTATAAATCATGCTACTATGAAGACACATACACACGTATGTTTATTGCGGCACTGTTCACAACAGCAAAGACTTGGAACCAACCCAAATGACCATCAATGATAGACTGGATTAAGAAAATGTGGCACACATACACCATGGAATACTATGCAGCCATAAAAAATGATGAGTTCACGTCCTTTGTAGGGACATGGATGAAGCTGGAAACCATCATTCTGAGCAAACTACTGCAAGGACAGAAAACCAAACACTGCGTGTTCTCACTCATAGGTGGAATTGAACAATGAGAACACTTGGACACAGGAAGGGGAACATCACACACCGGGGCCTGTCGTGGGGTTGGGGGAGGGGGGAGGGATAGCATTAGGAGATATACGTAATGTAAATGACTAGTTAATGGGTGCAGCACACCAACATGGCGCATGTATACATATGTAACAAACCTGCACGCTGTGCACATGTACCCTAGAACTTAAAGTATAATAAAAAAAAAATGAATTTGAAGTACAGGAAAAATAATTATTTAAAGTGAGGCAATCGATTTCAACCACATCCCAATACAGTGATACCGAACAGGCAAAAGGAGCCCAGAGTGCCGCCTAGGCTGAGCCTCCAACACACTGCAGCTATTTCTTCTTCAGGGGATCTCTGTGAAGGAGGCAGGAAGGATCCTAGAGTAAGCTCTAGGTTTACCTGTTGAGAGTGAAGTTTTGGTTGAGAGTTCAACTTAATTACTGAATTAGTTTGGTGGATTACTCGAATTCTTCCACAGGACAGAAAGTGCACTCAGGAACTAATAACCCTGAGGTCTAATTCCTAAATGAGAGGCAGGAGCCCAAGGGCACCTTCCCACACTCCAGTCCTGGAGATGCCCTCTGGGGAAGGCAAGGCAGAGCTACCTCCCAGGTAAGAAGGGCAGAGCTGGCTCTCAAATTTTTGTTTTTAATAAAGCTAAAAAGGTCTTAGAAGAGTTTTTATACAAGTCTCTCCATTCTACAAACAAGAGGGTGAGCTACTTGTTCAAAGTCCCACAGCTAATTCATGGCAAAGACCCCACCTCCACATGCCTGCCAGCCCTGGCACGTCCCATTCTCCCTTCCAAGCAGGGCATCCTCATTCAGGAGACCTATTACCCTCTTTGTGGGCACAGATTGAGTGGATTAGTGTATTGAGGCCTGAGATGGAGACTTGACCCTACTACATTGTTGAAAAGGGTCCTTTCCTTTCTATGTTTTGAGAGTTAAAAGGAAAATTAAACCAATATTTTTACTTTGCTTTAGGATTTGTTATTAACAAAACCTCCTAGATTCCCACGCTGATTCTGTACCTGGAAAATTCCCAACAGGGCTCATTTTCATATCAGTGCAATTTCCCAAGCTCAGAGAAAGGTACTTTGCCCCACTTCTCCATCACCAGTCCTAGCTCCAGAGAAATCGAATGTCCTAAATTCACTTCTATCCCCTCCTACCTTTTTTCTTTGTATCTAACCAATGTAAGCCATCTCGCAGTTCTAAAGGATGCTCAGGCTGAAAAGACCAAAGCAAGAAATAACTATGTCTTTGTTTATAATACATATATTCTCAATTTTAGAGGAATTATGTTACTCATGTTTGCAATGAATATAAAACAATGAAAACAAAAGAATTTAATCATGTGACAAGGTTCATTAATATTACCTTAAAAGGCTCAAATTTTTAAAAATCATTTATAAATTATGAATTAGAAATCAGCACCATGTTCAAAAGCATCACAGTATTTACACAGCATATCATTAAACTATTTCCATCAGTAAACGCTAACACTTAGGATTTCAATGCCAATTTTTTTCTAGAATGACAGTATGAGAGTAGTGAATCTCTCGAGTCATGTAGCCCATGAGCACATATTAAGAACACACTGCAAGCTGAAACTCAACCAGCACACTAGCAGATGTACTTGCACTGCACTAAACTTCTCTGTTCCATGTTCCTCTGCTTCTCATTTGCAGGGAGAACAACTTTCCTGGAAATTTCTGACCCATCAAAGTGAGACAGAGGGAAAAAAAAAACAAAACAAAAAAGCAAATCCTCATACGCTGTACTGCCTCAGGCATTTTAACCAGAACTTTCCTGGAAACTTCTGACCCATCAAAGTGAGACAGGGGGAAAAAAAAAGAAAGAAAGAAAAAAAAGCCCTCATACACTGTACTGCCTCAGCCATTTTAACCAGGCAAGGCCCTGCCCTCCCTTTAAAGAAGCTGTCTGGCCTCCTTACCGTTTTCCCTCTTTCTGCCTGCCCCCAAACTCAGGTCCCCACAGGGCTTGCCATGGCTCCAAGAGCTCCCAGTCCAACCCCATCCAGTCCTTGTACCTGAACTTTGCCTTCCTTTCCTCAATCCAATCTCTTATTCTCAGTATGTTTTGTCTCTTCTAAGACTAATTATACAAAAGGCCCAGTCACTAAGCAACAGGAATCCAAAGGCTACATTTTCTCCCTTAAAAAAAAAAAAAAGAAAAAAGAAAGCACCTTATTTAATTTTGAAATCATGAATGTGCCAAAAACATTAACTCGATTTCTGTCTTCCAGGGGCCCTTCCCCAGGAAACAGAAGCCATGGTGTACGGGAAAGAACAGGAGACAGGCTGAAGGGCAGCAGGGACAGCTGCTTAGAAGTCGCTCAAGACTGGACTCGGCCTGTTTTTCTTCATTCCCTGGCACACGTAACATGCTGAAAGAAAATGCTAATTTGGTCAGCGTGGCCTGTTGGGTTCTTATCCTCTCATTGCTGGGATCCACACCCTGGCCTTCCCTACTAACTCCCCATTAACTTCTTCCCCTCCCCTTTCCTTCCTCCCTGTTGGTCTCCACCTACTTGTTGATTACCCTTCCCCCTCTCTGCTCTAATATTTACTTTTTCATATTGTTTTGAGCAAAATGTCTCAAAAAGCAAAGGCCAGCATCCACTTAAAATAGAGAACTAGGGCAGCCGTCCAGCCACTTGATCATCACAGAGAAGCGCCTGCACTGTGCACACCTGTGCTCTGCACTTCGCATGTCTCATTTTCTTCTCTTTAACCGTGAAATAAAAGTAATCATTGCCACCATTTTCAGAGGCAGAAAGTGAAACTCAGAGAAACTAAATAATTTTACTCAGTGTCCAGCTGC
This sequence comes from Homo sapiens, assembly GCF_000001405.40. Classification (NCBI taxonomy): domain Eukaryota; kingdom Metazoa; phylum Chordata; class Mammalia; order Primates; family Hominidae; genus Homo; species Homo sapiens. The sequence continues at coordinate 54,533,584 of NC_000005.10, read as the reverse complement.
ATGTGAACCTGGGTCTGCCCAACTCAGGCAATTCCCTTGTATGTGGCCCAAGGGGGGATACCCTACCCATGGCGATCGCAAAGCCCCATAGATCGGCCTCAAAGCACAGCACACTACACCAGTACCCAACGCCTCCTAGGAGCCTATGCCACCAACATAGGGATGAGCAACCCACAAACCACCTCCAGACCCTAAATACTATTCCTGCATGGATTCATACTAAGTGGGTTCCAGGTTTAGACCACATTAATAAACCCTGGAGGGTACAAAATTAATACTGAACTCAAGTCAGGGAAAGCAATTTTCTGAATGGACTAATGAAGGTCCCTAAAGCTAATAACTATCAAAATTCAAAGGTAATTTAAAATTCACTTTTTAATTCATAAATATAATAAATGACAAAGAGAACTTTTGAACCATTTTGAAAAGGAGGGAAGAGGATCAAGACAAGCATAGTCAACTGCAAAAAGAAAAAAACCTGGTCACTTGATGGAAAAAAAATCACTTAAAGAATTCAGGCCTCTAAGCTTGATTTCATCCTGAAAATATCATTAGTCTGTTTCAGGTAAAAGCATTGTTATAATATTCTAATTAAGTAGTTCTTATAGCTTCATTCAGCAATCACCTAATGTCTAAAGGCAGAATGACATTCAGTTTGAATACAAATATTCACTTGCGTATAAATACCTTAAAAGATGATTATTTTAGTTACTATGCATATATAGTCATACAGTTTACCTCATTCCAAAAATGAAGAGAGAAATCACATGATTGTACCTCTTGTGGTTTATTTGGTAAAACTGTTTCTTGCTGGTAATTTTATATACATAAAGGTTCTTGTGTTCCAGCCCATAATGAATATTAAACGTGATAAAATTACTAGGGTGATAGTTTCAGGAGAATTCTGAAAACACAGTGTCTTTATTTGAGAAGTGTTTTTGGGTATGGTGGCAATGTTGATTTGCCTGTAGCCAAGCAAATATAGATGAAGACTTTAAAATTTGAGAGTAAGAAAGAAAACCATGTATTGTTTCTTTTCTTAAAGATCTGATACCCACAGAATCTTAATAAAATAAGGTAGACATACTATCCTTGATAATGCTGACCATACAATGAAACTTTTAAAAAACTAACTTTGTAAAAGTAAAACCCATATAATGGTTCAAATTCAGAGAACACAAATAGGGGCCTCAGGTCTGCAGTGCCCAGTTCTTTAATTACCTGAGGCATGTGCACGCATACTGGTCTCTACAAAAAAAAAAAAAGAAAAAAAAAAAGCAACAATAGATATGTTTGCAAGCTGCCAACACTTTCGACACGTGACATACAACAAGCATATCTGTACCAAAGAGTGAACTTGGGAAAGTACCTTTAATGAAAGGTAAAACCTTATTTTCTTTTTTTCTAGAAAGATAAAGGGAGACCCAAGCCAAAATAAATCTAAATAGAAGCTGCTAAAATAAATCTAAACAGAAGTCCCTCTAGATGGGGCCAGGAAGAGAGTAAAGTGGCCCCTGCTCTTTACGAGAGAAGCCAAGGCAAGGCAAGATAGAGCACACACGCAGAGCCAGGGCACTTATGGGACCCTATCTGAGTGCACTGTGGTTCATGCTGGAGTTAGCAGAATATCTGCAAATAATGCATTTCTCGTTTTCAAGTAATTTTCCAGTTTTTGTCTGAAATTGTAAACTCCATTGTCCCAATTGCCATGTATGCCACGGTGGTACCGACTGGTGAGCAGCACAAGCACTCTTCGTTATCCTGAGTGCTGCTTCACATCCCTTCACGATCACGAGGCTGTGGAGATAATTCCTAACTCAGCTGTTTTAAATGTAAGGACACGCCTCACTCCTGTGGTTTTCCCGCTGCCTCGCACTGGCAGGGCCCAGGTGTCCGGTGGCTGTGAGTCTTTACTCTGACCACATCCGGACATCCTTGTATGAAATCATAAATAACCAACTAAAGACAGAACAAAGCATCTAAAATTGTATCAAGTTTTAAAATATATGTGAAATACAAATCATAAAACGTGAAAATTTACAGATTATCCACACTAACATCTATCAGCATTTAGTTAAAAATGTCTTGCTGTAGACAACACGTGGCTTTGGTGAAAATCGCAAATGTCAACATAACTAAACACAATAAAAACACAATAAAAGAAAAAGGATTTTCTAAGACTCCCTTCAGCCCCATTCCTTGTCTTTCCTTTTAGTCCTGCTCCTCTTCTCAGTCTGCCTACCTCTTCTATCACTGGCTTCACTACTTTCTACCACCCAAACTTAAAACCTCTAAGGTAACACTAGATTCCTCAGGAGAGCCAGCGCCTCACCAGGTCCTGCCATGATACCTGGCAGGTGTCTCGAGTTCACCTGTTCCTTTCCAAAGCCAACTCTTCCCCTGGAGTACTCTAAGAGCCTCCTCATCTCTGCCCAACCAACAGGAGTAACTTCCAAAAGCCCTGCCTCAGGGAGCCAGGGTGCACCAGTGAAGGATGCTTCCAGGAACTCGCAGTTTAAATTTCTGTGGTTTGGATGGGCAGGGTGACTCACACCTGTAATTCCAGCACTTTGGGAGGCCGAGACGGGTAGATCACCTGAGGTCAGGAGTTTGAGACAAGCCTGGCCAACATGATGAAACCTCGTCTCTACTAAAAATACAAAAAATTAGCTGGGTGTGGTGGCGGGCACCTATAATCCCAGCTACTCAGGAGGCCGAGGCAGGAGAATCGCTTGAACCCAGGAGGTGGAGGTTATGGTGAGCCGAGATCACGCCACTGCACTCCAGCCTGGGCAACAAGGGCGAAACTGTCTCAAAAAAAAAAAAAAAAAAAAAAAAAATTTCTGTGGTTCAGCTCCTGTCTGCAAAATGGGTATAAGAAGAGTATTTACCTCAGCTTTTTTGAGGTAAATACTTTTTTAAGCTCCTCTGAAGCTTAAATAGATATAATGAATATAAAACACAAAGCACCATGCCTGGCACTCAGGAAGTCTTCAAAACATGATAGCTATTTTGATTATGATTAAACGTCACTCTTTGGTTTGAAACCTTTAGTGGCTGCTGACTGCCTGTAGAATAAGTCAATTTTCTAACAAGCATGTTATATATTGTAGCGTAAGAAATACCAGTCTCAACTTAAGGCAAATAATGCACTCGAATCCTAGCTCTCCTCATTAGCTCTGTGAGCCTGGAAATCACTTAACTTCCCTGAGCCTCAGTTTTCACAGCCACCAAATGAGATGACACCACTTTGGGGGAGTTAAAAACTGCGCTGTGTTCAATAGTGTCCCCCTAAAATCTACATGGAACCTTTGACTGTGACCTTTTTTGGAAACAGGGTCTCTGAATATGTAATTAGTTAAGGTAAGGTCATTCTAGGTTAGGGTGTGCCCTAAATCTAGGACAACGGGTGTCCTTAAGAGAAGGCACAGAGACAGACACACAGGGACAATGCCACGTGAGGAGGGAGGCACAGACTGAGGTGATACAGCTGCAGAGCAAAGAAAACCAAGGGCTGCTGGCAACCACCAGAAGCTGGAGAGGCAAGGGAGGGGTCTCTCCTAGAGCCTCTGAAGGGAGCATGGCACTGCCACACTGTCCTTCCAGACTTCTCGTCTCTAGAACTCTAAGAGAACCCATTTCTGTTGTTGTAAGTCACCCAGTTTGTAGGAATTTGTTACAGCAGCCACAGGAAACTAATACAATAGCTGATAATTAATGCTGAAAAATATTTTTCAGCATTATCAGCTATTGTATTAATAACATAGTTACTCCATGTTACACATGAGGAAACAGAGGTTAAGAAGTGTGTGGCCCAAGGTTACACAGTGAAGCTGGCAGGAACTCAAACCCATCTGGTTTTAGCCCATGCCAACAACCACACTGCTGTCATACCCACTCCTGCATAGAATTAAGACAATGTATCGCTTCTGAATTTTCTAGTGGAAAAAAAAAAAGGACATATATAAAATGCTTGGAATACTGCCTATCACGTAGTAAGTACTCAATAAAGAGTAGCCACACCCACTCCCCTAACCTGCTTGTCATCCAAGTCAAGGGTCAGCAAACATTTTCTTTAAGGGCCAGACAGTAAGCATTTTAGGCTTTGCAGGTCAAGAGGGAAAATTGAGGTTATTATGTAGGGACTTATACAACCATTAAACACAGAATCATTTAAAAATACAAAAACCATTCTTAGCTCAAGCACTGTAACAAACAGGCGCCTGGGTGAATCTGGCCCGTGGGCTGTAGTCTGCAGACCCCGCTCCAGGCCATCTCCAGGCATCTCTATTGGTGACCCAGAGACTCTAATCTGCAGGCCATTTTGTACTTCTCCCTATCCCTTACCCTACTCTGCAGGCAAGCAGCCCCTTCTGTGTTCTCCTCCCACCGCCACGGACACTGCCCCCAATAAGATGTTATCACGTCTTGTCTGAATTACTGAATTACTCTCCATTTCACTTAACCCCCAACCACGTTCTACACCTGCCACCAGGACCTGTCCATCTTAAGTGCAGGCCTGGCCATGTCGGCACCCCATTTGATCTTCCGTGTTTCCGCTATCACCTCCAACAGCAGCTGTAAACCCAGCAGCACATCAAAAGCATGTGAGGAGCTTTTCAAAGAACACCAATGTCTAGGCAGCACAGACATTCCGATTCACATCCAGGGTGGGGCCCCATTTTCTGCTGTATCCCCTCAGCGGCTGGTTCTGAGAGGCAGCCAAGACGGATCCCATATGGTTCGGCCCAGACTGCCCTTCCCCGACTCTGCCGGCTTGGCAAACTTCCACTTGTTTTCAAAACTCTTCTTAGACTGAGACTGGCAGAAGCCACCTCTGAACCTTCCTATCCACTGCCCATAATTACTCCTCCTTCTGTCCTACTTCACATCATGGTGCATGTCCACGACTGTGTGTCATACGGTACAGTGACAGCTCCTCACTTCAGTTCCCTTCACTGACCTGAGCACCGGGTACCTTGCTTATCAATTACTGTATGCTTATCAAACCTATCCTAAAGCATTTCAAGATCAGGAGTGCGCTTTCCACCTACACTCCTCCAAAAGTCACACTGTGACCATGTTTCAAAGGGGGAATTCAAATGCTGCCCACTCAAGCCTCTAACACAAACTGACAATTCCTCTCTATCACCTGGACTCCCATGCACTGTCTTATTCGCAGTACTAAGTTAAATCTACCTTTTATTTCAGTCCTCTGTGCACACATTCTACCTCTCTCAAGGAACTGAGTGGGCCTTCCATGAGGGCAAGTACCTACTGCTCTACACATGAGCTCAGTGCTCCGTGTGTATCCAAGTCAAGCAACAAGGTGAATGTATTCTCTGGATCTTGTGCTCTGAATTAAGCAAACGAGACCCCAGTAAACATGTTATAACTAAAACTTACTAATGAGGAAAATGTGTGTGTGTGTGTGTGTGTGTGTGTATGTGCGTGTATGCATGCGTAAGTTTAAACACCAAGAATCAATATAAAGTGAAATCATGAGGTATACAATATTAATTCTCTGGCACTTTAAGCATTTTCAAACTTCCCCTCCCCTCCCCAATGAATTATGTAAAGTCATTTCATAAACACAAAACTCTAAGACTTTTAAATCACTCACATGTTAATGACTTCATCCATAAAATACATCTAGATTCTATCTTTATTTCCTGTACACTTTAGACTGTTATCCATCATCATATAAATGGAAAAACAAAAACATCTTATAAATCTATTTCAAGATCAACCAAGTAGCTACTGAGTGCCTACTTCATTAATTCAGCAAGCATTCATTAAGTACTTGCTATGCATGTATAAAACAGTAGTTAACAGCTATACAACACAGGAACATAAAAACATAACCCACACACTAATAACTGAGCACCGCACAGACAATTATTCACAAAAGGACTACAATCCAAGGGGGATACTCCAAGGAAGGGGACTAGACCTGAAGCTAGAAAGTGCTTGTGTTGGGGTGGGGAGACATGGAGCAGAATGCATGAGCCTGATCTACCTAAAAGGAGAAAACTCAATTCCTGATTGCTGCTCCCCACCCCTGTTCTGACAATTCTTATTGTAGGCCAGGCCAAACAGGCCAAAATTACAGTCACCCTTGATGACTCCCCTTTCTCTTGCATGTCACATCCTTCACAATCCCATCTCTCAGGAAAACCTGTTGATTCTACCTCCAAAATATAGCTGGAGGGGGACCCCCCCCCCCGGCTCCCCGACCACCACCTCTGTTGTCTCCACTCTGGTCCAGGCCACCAGCATCTCTCACCTGGATTACTGGAGTATTTCCTACTAGCTCCCTGCTTCCATCCACCTTTGACTGCCACACGCCATTCTATTCTCATTGCTCTGGACTAAGTCTGTTAATATGTCCAGTTGGATGTCATACCTTGGCTCAAAATCCTGTAATTGCTTCCATCTGACTCGGGCTTTCATTCCAAGTCCTAACAGTGACCTGCAAAGCCTTGCAAATCTGACTTTCCATGACCTCATCTCCTAGGATCCTCTTAACTTCAACCACCTGGCCTTGCTGTTCCTCAACCTGCCTGGCACATGTCCACCCCAGGGCCTTACTTTAGCTAAACCCTCTGCCTGAAAAGCTCTCCCCCGAGATACCTGCTTGGACGACTCTCCTGACTCCAGAGTGATTCAGGTCTCTGCTTAAATCTCACTTTCTCAATGAGACCTACTTTGAGCACTCTTACTAGTACTTCATCCTGCCTCCCATGCCCTCTTTCCCTGCTCTACTGTTTTCTCCTAGCACATACCAAACTCCAACATACATCAAAACTTACCTCCTGTGTTTGTTTTTCATTGAGTGTCTCCACCCTGCTAGACTGCAAGCTCCACAAGGGTGGGGATCTTTGTTTTGGCCACTGATGCAACACTAGCATCTTGAATAGTGCCTGGACGATGATGGGTACATACGTATTTGTTGAATAAAATCTAGTTTATCTTTTAGAGGGTCCTATGAATAAATCTAATGATTTTATCTCCCCTTCCTTCACTGTCCCCTTACCTGCTAAATAACAATTTATTTAGCAGAAGAGGAAAGTCAAATCACAGTGACAGATAAGTCATAAGAAAAGGTACAGAAATGACAAGTGAACTAAAACTCATTCAAATTAAAGTTTAATCAAGCTATAAGATCAATATCAGAGGCTGGGCACGGTGGCTCACACCTGTAATCCCAGCACTTTGGAAGGCCAAGGTGGGTAGATTGCTTGAGGTCAGGAGTTCAAGACCAGCCTGGCCAATATAGTGAAACCCCGTCTCTACTAAAAAAAATAAAAAAGTTAGCCAAGCATGGTGGCACATGCCTGTAATCCCAGTTACTCGGGCGGCTGAGGCAGGAGAATCATTTGAACTCGCGAGGCAGAGGTTGCAGTGAGCCGAGATCGCATCACTGCACTGCAGCCTAGGTGACAGAGCAAGACTCCATCTTTAAAAAACTGTCATAATTTATCTCTTTGGTAGTCCTATTAATTTGGGTCAGAGAGAAGTCGCTCCAGCTGTCTACCATACCACAGCTTCAGAACACCCGGGAACCCTCACCAGGCAGCAGCAGGCCAGGTATTAATCACTTTTACATTCGAAGTTCCTAGTGAGGTAAGCCTGCAATGCGTGATTGCTGATCTGAACTAAACGTGCATAAATGTTCTTTCACATCAACTGATAAGGGCTTTTCATGCTCCCGTAAAACAGTCACATAAGTAGACAGAGAACACTATTAAAATCAGCCTGAAACAATGTCTAAAAGTTTCCTGGATACTTAAGACTACTCTTATTTTTTTAAAAAAGTCAACTAACAAAATAGTACCTAGGAAATAATGAACCTCACTTTTACAGATGAGGAAACTGAAGCTCAGAAACATTAAGTGATCTGCACCAGAACACGTGATTTGGGTTAGAGGGGAGCCAGGAGGAGACAGTTTACATACACTCTTCAATGTGAACAACAACAAACGATTGACTCCAAACAACATCTACATTTATCCCAGTTGCCATTACTTCCGGTGTGCAATACAGGGCGAACTGATTAAAGCAGATATTTAATTGCTAGACTGAAGACTCCTTGAGCTTTTGTACTTTTGCCTACAATTCTGGTGGCAATAGGTTGCCAGGAGGGATGATAAGATTACTGGAATTGTCCTTCAAAGGAGAGCGCCCTTAATTTTTTTTTTTTTTTTAAAGAGACAAGGTCTCACTGTGTTGCTCTGGCTGGATTTGAACTCTTGGGCTCAAGTGATTCTCCTCCCTCAGCCTCTCAAGTAGCTGGTATTAAAGCCATGTGCCACCATGCCTGGTTGTCATCTCCTTTTAAATTCACCCATCTATTTTTCAAAAATAAACATTTAGTGACTAGCTACTATGAACTATAACATTTAATTCTCATGCTGACCTCGTGAGGAAGTGCCCCCACTTGGCCAAAGATAAGTGAGCGTTACGCAGGTTAAAATAGCTTGTCCAAAACTCCTCCATGCCCACACACTGGCCCTCCAGAGCCCATGCTGGTCCCGACAGGCCAGCTCCCACTGCGATGAGGCTCTGCACCCACGGCTTCTTGGCTTGGCATGCTGCCCCTTCACTGGCACAGCTTCCTCAGCAGACCCAGCTCAGTCCCACCCCTTGGTGCAACTCCTGGGGCAGACTGGCCCATCCACCAGGCTCTCAGAATCCTGGCACAAGGAACTGCCGAGGCTGGCTGACCTGTCTCTGTAGCTAGTCAAATAACTCACTTAAGACCAGAGGCCTACCCAGCCCTCCTGCAGACACCGGCAGAGCGGCCAGATTCTAGTCTGTGTTGTATAAATATGAGACATGATACACGTCTGCCTTCCGGATATAATCTTGTCAAACAGAGCTCAGCATTACTCTGCCACTTTATAATCCTTTAGTTAATGATACAGAGCTTCAAAAATATATGGCAAATTAAATCTAACTTGATATTTAAACTTTGATTTAAAAATACATGGGGTAATACAATAATAGTTTTTTATTCAGCCCAAAGAGAAGGAACATATTAAATAGTTCAAGGGAAGTGTTTGTAAGTGAATCACAGAACTTCTCACTTGTTTGGGTTCTGGCATTATGCTTAGAAGTCCTAAGATGGCCAGACAGGACAACATTGCTGAACAAGGAAACCTCATAGGCTCCCTGAGTTACTGGGAGGAGGGTGGGAGTGCAGGTCCTCTGCCTCCCTTCGGTCCCACTGTGGTCGGCATGACTCTGAAGGCTATGTGGCTCAAAAAAGAAGTCTGAGAAACCCCTGACGGTGTGGTATGAGCGGTGCCCACACCCAGTTTCGTGCCCAAGACTGTCCTTGGGCAGTCACATTTATATTTTAACCAAGGAACTGAGTCGTGTATTTCGAAAGCACCAACGGTCACCTTATTTTCACTAAGAAAACACAAACTGGGGCAAAGGGTAAGCCCCAGACCTGTTCTCTTTTTAGAGACATGAGGTCTTTTTAGAGAACAGCTGGGGGTAAATGCAGGGGAGAGGAGAAATGGGTTCAACTAAAGATGGAGTGAAAACAAAAAGAATGAACAGCCTCAATTTCTAGCCCAGAGGTTTCAAAAATAAGGATGAATTTGCAAACAGCCCCAACTTCTTAGAGCTTTTCTCTGTATTCCTGGCACCACCCTTTCAGGGCTATTTTTAGCTACAGGAGAATGGGGAGCAGACAGGGAAGGGTCTCCGTGTGGCCCAGCCTTACCTTGTGTGCCCTGCTGGGACTCCAGCTATCTTTAATTAATGTCTGAAGGACATCAGGCCAACTCTACTAGTGGTAAAAGGAAGCACAATGGTGAAATTCTACCCAGCAAGACTGACAGGCCCACTACTGGTATACCATTCCTGAGGTCCTGGGGCTTTTATTGAAAAAAGGCTCCATCTGGAACATTTAGAGAGCGATGAAGTAGAGTCTGTATATTTAAGAGTACAGAAAACAGGACTGCCTATTTACTTATCTAGTCCTGCCTCCCTGCTTCACACAGCCCAAATCGACAAATCAATTTAACACTATTTTACACCTTTTCTCTAGAAGAAAGACATTTCACTTAAAGGAACTCCCTCTAGCCATTTTTATTTAGTCCAAATTCCTAAACAAGGATGAAACCAGTATTTCTCATAATCTTTTACAGTCTTCCTTTTAGCAATAGTCGCAAGAGGTAAACCTAAATCTTTTAAACCTCAACTTGCTGCCACCTAGATTTAGCTTTATTAAATATTAGAGATTGATCATATCTTTGGAAACAAAACTGAATATGCCAAGAAACTAATAATAAAATATATTCCTCAGTACTACCCAAACTCCTCAACATCAACACTATAAAGGTATACTGCAGACAGGCATGATAAGGAGGGAGAAGATAAAATGCTATCACTTAAGAAAAAAAAAATCAAGACCACAGGGGTTACATGTCAGTGACAAACATCTGCACACTGCCTAGTCAGGGATTGATGAGCTACCTATGAACAAAGAACTTAAAGGACTCCTATTAGGTCAAAGCAAAACACAAATAAAATTCCAATAGATTCTGAATTCCCATCTAATGTACCGCAGACTACAGCAAACTACCGTCTTTCTTCGCTCAACTCCATTAACCTAAATAGTTAGACTCCATCCGTTGATGAAAAAAAATCAAAATTCCAGAATTCTCTTTTGGCTGAAGGAAGTATATCGCTTTCTTCACTTCTGCAGAAAGTATGTACACTAAAACCATTATTAGTTTAAAGAATGGGTTCAGTATTTAGTATAGTCAGGAAAATTTCAGCCCACCAACATTTAAGAGTATTTGAGTTTTCCACCCTCATTTTGCAGCTGGGTTCTCACCAGGATGGCCTCAGACATCCATCCCGTAACCAATGTGTTTTCTGAATGGGACATAAAGGCACACTGCAAGAGATGCTCACGCTACTGAAATGTCACTCAGGTTGAGTGCTTGGGAAATTCAGCAAAGAAGAATCTAGCAGGACTTGCTTCCCCCTTCCCAGTTTTTATTAATTAAGCCTATATGGGAAGGAGGAGGTGCAATGAGATGACCAAGTAAAAATAAAGCTATCAGGAAACTATATTAAAATATAATAATTTGCTGGAGAAACTTACGATGGGGTTGATAGTTAAACTGCAGCCAGCAGTTTAACACAGCACTGTCCAATAGAACTTTCAGCACTGATGGAAAAGTTCTATCATTTCTGTTGACCAATATTCAGTTCCTTAGTCACATTAGCCATATTTCAAGTGTGTAACAGTTGGGGTTGGGGAGGTGACGGAATTGAGATGCTCTTTACAACCACAAGTCCTGAATACGCTCAGAAAGCTTTTATCCTGGCTTATGATGTTTGTCTCATCTATACTCCTAAAAATGGCCTACACTAGCATCCTTGATAAACACTGGTTATAGGCAAATGCTTTTAGCCTTATGTATCGCACACTGTCACTTTAAATGGTAGTATTTTCTAAAGATGTGTCATCCAGGGACACAGGTTCACTGTACATTACACACCAAGGTTACAGCAGAAACAAACTATACTGAATATCAACTGCTGTTCTTTCCAAAGTTCCTAGAGATTATGTTTAGTGCTCTTGAATCTGTTAAGCCACATAAAATGATACTGGTTTTAATGAAGGAAGTTTTTCAAATCCCAAGTGACTAGAGACAAATCCAGTTCTATAATTTAAAAAAGATAAACTAGGCCGGGCATGGTGGTTCACGCTTGTAATCCCAGCACTTCGGGAGGCTGAGCTGGAAGGATTGCTTGAGCCCAAGAGTTAGAGACAAGCCTGGGCAACATAGCAAGACACCTGTCTCTACAAAATAAATAAAGAAGTAAATAAGCTATATATTTTTTGTTTTGGACACAGGGTCTTGCTCTGTCACCCAAGCTGGAGGGCAATGGTTCAATTATGCCTCACTGCAACCTCAAATTAACTCCTAGCCTCAAGCAATCCTCCAGCCTCAGCCTCCCTAGTAGCTAGGACTATAGGTATGAGCCACCATGCCACGCTAACTTCTTTATTTTTTGTAGACAAGGGAGTCTCCCTATGTTGCCCAGGCTGGTCTCGAACTCCTGGCCTTAAGGCAATCCTCCTGCCTCGACCTCCCAAAATGCTGGGATTACAGGCGTGACCCTGGCCATAACCAGATGGTTTAATAGACTAAGTAGACCATTGCTGTAAACTCAAAATAGATATTAGAACACACACCATACCTTTTCTAATATATAATTTCAAAAGCAGGCCATTTGACAAAGCCTGAGTGCATGGTGTGATTGACAGTGAATGAACTGATGCCAACCTAAAGTAGACAGACACCAGCGGCCCAGCACACATGTCCAAGTGTCTGTACTTGGTTCCATCCTTTCAACTGTTCACCAGTAATTTGCACAAACTCACAGAAATGTGTAAAAGGGCAGCCAGCATAGGTCCAGAATGATGTAACACAATGGAATTTAAATGCTAAATCCCTCCATTAAAGGCTCACAAAGGCAGTTCCACCAACACCAGTCAAAAAAGTCAAAGATTCATAACAATTTATGTTTTAAAAAAAGGCATAGGTAATGTAAATACAGGTTTAATACAGGCCAACAGCAATATGATTGCACAAAAAACGAATTCAATATTAGACTGCATTTACAAATCGCAAATTGCCAAGAAAGTTACTACTGTCTACTAAAATTAGTACTGATGTCCAGGGTACTCCCTTTCAGCGGCAGCAACAAGACTGAAAACGTTTGATCATTCTCCCAGCAAGCCCCTTCCCCCATAGGAGTCAGAAGACCAGTCACGCATTTGGAAGGGGAAGGAGAGAAGCAGAGAGGAAGGAAGCGAGACTGCTGTCTCCAAATGTCTGAAGGCGGTCCCAGGGAACAGAAAGACAATCAAGGGAGGCAAACTTCAGTTCAATACAAGAAAAGACATGCCAGAGATCAGGGTTGCTCATAAACGGACTGGCCCACCAGAAAGGCAGTGAGCACTTCACCAGTAAAGGCCAGACCCGCTGAGGAAACAGGGACAGTAGGTTTCCCTGCTCAGGAGTAGGTTTCCCTGCCCAGCCGCCCCTACACTGGACTTTCACAGGCAAGACTGCCTCCCTAACTCCCACACCTCCCCATTCTCTCAATCAAGGCATTATATGAGAATGCACATTAGTAAGAAATGTTAAGACAAGCACTACTGCTATATATTTTTTTAATTTGCAAATTCTGGTGCTTTAGCAAAGGTCAGAGACACTAACAACTATTAATAACTCATGAACTCTGATAGTTGGACAGCTAACTCACTGGGATACCAGCAACGCTGCTCTCAGATCCAATACTCAGATTATATTCATTCTATGTAGTTTCCCTAAACAATTTTCCTAAACAACGTTCTCAATTTCAGTACATTAATAGATTTCAAACTCAAAATGAGTACGCTTTTCCTGAAATTACTTCACTTCGTAAAGGTTGCAGGCAAGAATTCTTTGCAGGAATTTCTTAAACTCAGAGAATTGATCTTAATTCCTCTACCAAAGCAGAGATTGAGAGGTGTGGAAGGGTGAAAGCAGATTTCTATTTACAGACATCCGTTCTTCTCCATTATTTCCTCACTTTTTGAAACTCACCACTAAGTGACAGTGCAGTGTTCAAACAGATACCTAACATGGTTTAGGTCCCCTTCTAATTCTACCCTCGTCTCAAGATTACAGATTTGAGCAGCTCATTACTCAACTATTCAAACTCTAAAATGATAGCACTGTCATCAAAGGTACTCTTTGAACCTTCGAGAAAGAGTACTCATTCCCTAATGCAAGATACTCGAGGAGGAAGCTGCCTGTCGAGCAATCCAACTTACACTCTAGGGAAAAGACCCAGGCGTCCACGTCTCTGCTCGCTTCCTCACCTGTAGAATATGATTCTGAAACCCACAGTGGTACTGCTGTCAAAGTCGCCCCTTTCAGCCTGCACAATACACTCCATATCACCTGCTCTAAGGGCCAGGCTTTACCTTTCTGAACGTGGATGATGTCCGGGAAGTTAGCCAGATGCCCCTGATACAGCGCTAATAGGTCCATGACGGGATCCAGGTCCTGCCTGGGCTGCTCCGCGAAGAGCTCGCCAATGGCGTCATAGGCATCTCCGGTGAAGGCGATAGCCTGGTTCAGGCCCACCGAGAAGGCCTGCTGGTCCAGCTCAAAGGCCTGGCTGAGGCCGCGGAAGGACTGGCCCACCTTCTGATACTCCTTTTTGAAGCCGGTCACCTGCTTGCGCGCGAACTCGTTGGCCGTGTGGTTGAGCTGCAGCGCGCTGTCGTCCATCTTCTTGGTGAAGCACTTGAAGCCGTCGATCTTGCTCTCCACCTCCTGCAGGTCAAGGGCAGCGGCGGGGGGCGTGCTAAGGGTCAGGAAGAAGTTGGCGCCCACCATCTCGTCCTTCTCGGCCTTCCTCTTGCCCTGCTTCCAGGCTTTCTCGTCGGTGCTGCTGGGGCACGTCAGGAAGTGCTGGAAGACGTCGCACTGCGCCAGCACTGGGTGGCTGGCCATGTGGTTCATCCACCAGATCAGGCCCTTCCTGCGCTTAGAGATGAAGTCCTCCTCGAAGCGGCCGGTGGCCTGCTTCTCGGGCAGGTGGGGCACGGAGATGACCGGGAACTTCTCCGCCAGGCGCGCGTACAGCCAGTCGAAGTGCTTGTAGCGCCGATGCACCGGCACCTGCGTGTGCGTGGGCACCAGCTTGTAGGAGATGTAGCTCTTCATGCCCTTGAACTTGGTCTGCTTGGTGGGGTCGTCGATGGTGCACTGGAACGGGTAGGGGTTCTCCTGCCACTCGGGGCCATAGGGCCCCAGCACCACGCACAGCTTGTCCCCGTCCTTCACGAAGCCTGACGCCTCCCCCAGCACGAAGGCCTCCCCGCCGGACTTGACGAAGGTGGAGAAGCGATTGAGGTTGCGGCTCACGGTGGCCGAGCTCTTGGGCCCCGACGGGTGGTGCTGCGGGGGGACCGAGCCGCCGCGGGAACCCAGGGACAGGTCGGAGCGCGTGGACAGGCGGTAGCGGCCGGCTGCGCCCACACCCGCCGAAGACGAGCCGTCGAGGTCCGGGTATGCTCCGCTGCCCAGAGCGCCCGGCTCGTCCGCCACCGTGGAGCTGTCGTCCCACTCGTCGTCCCAGTCATCATCGCTGCCTTGGCTGGCCTGGTAGCCGCCGTAGAGCTGCTGAGGCGACGGCTGCAGGGCGCCCCCGCCGTACGGGAAGCCCGCGCCGGGCGGCTGGAAGGTGCTCGGAGGCGGCGCCTGCTGTGGCTGCAGCAGCGCCTGGAAGGCGTCAGGCGGCGGCTTGAAGGAGGCGGGGGGCGCGACAGGCAGGGGCTCGAAGCCCCCGGGGGGCACATTGGCGTAGCGGGCCGGGGCGCCCGGGCCGCCGTCTCCCGCCGGGCCAGGCTCGGGGGCGCGGATCACCTGCACATAGGAGGCCGGGAAGAGGCCGCGGTCGCCGCGGCTGTTGACCCCCTCGAGCCAGCCCTCGATGTCCTGCTCGCTGCACAGGCTCAGCACCTCGTGCTCTCGCAGCGAGATCTCTCCTGGGTTCTCCGACCTGAAGTCGTACAGCGCCCGGGCGCGCAGCGCCATGGTCCCGGCGCCCCGACTGGCGGTCCCGACTCCCGGCGTCCCGAGCCGAGGCCCACCTGAGGGGCCCGCGGTACTGCTCGAGCCCTGGCGCGCGGACTGGAGCCCCGAAGGCGGCAAACCCACGCTGCCCGGACCAGCCGGTCGCGCCCTCCGCGCGGCTCCGCTCGCAGCGCCTCCACTTCGCAGCGCCGACTGCCGCGCTGGGCCGCCGCAGCCGCCGCCGGTCGGGGGCGGGGCCCGCGGCCTCCCACGTCTCCAGCTGCGCTAATCCACGGCCGAGAGCCCCTTGCCAGGCGAGAGCAAGCGATGGCCGAGCCGCCGAGCCCACCGCCCGCGTCGGCTTTGCGGCGGCCACTGCCCTCTAGTGGCCGGTGCCGCGAAGCCGGGCGCCGTAGTGAGCGCGGCTGAAGGAGGTTTCTACTCCGAAGTGAATTATCTGAGATTTCTTTAGGCTTTTAAGTTAAACATTCTCTAGAAAGTAAGTTAGCATTTGCATGCCTGATAAACGTTCCCACTCTGAGCGCTCAGTGAATGCTCCTAGAATGGCAACCCAGTCATGTAATAAAGCATTTTGCAATGCGAATTAGTGATTGCACTAAGAAAACAGGATGCCTCTGCGGAGGAGCTGTTCACCTACAGAGCAGGCTCCCTTCCCTCTTCTGCTCAAGGAGAGGAGATTGGCAAGAACAAAGTAAGGGCCAGGGAAGGTGCTGTGATTGACAAAATTAGAAGCAAAGGATCATGTAGAGAGGGAGGAGCTGGAGAGTTTCCAGTACAATAAATGCTCACACATTTATTACATGCATGTGTCGCCTATCCTCCCATAGATATATGTAGTGCGGTGAATGAGAGCTCAAACTTCGGAGCCAGGCTTCTGAATTTCAATCTGTGTTCTGACACTACCTAGCTGTATGACCTGGAACAAGGCACTTATATCGTACCTACCTCCGGGGGTTGTTGTGGGGATTCCATCATAAAGTAATCCCTATTTTACAGATGAGGAAAGTGAAACAATATCTGGCAGGGTAAGCAGATTTGAAGGGTTTGTTGCTGCTTTTGCTGCTGTTACTGTTATTTGGGGGAAGCAAAATCCCTGGCCTCTTTCACAAAGGGAATAGGGGTACTAAACTAACAATTGCAGGGTACATGCACCAGGAAGCGTCCCAATGTTCACATTGCCACTCCTAGTAAGAGGTCAGTGACCATCCATCCATCTGTTGTCTCTATGTCTCACTATATTTATATTATTTTTAAGATAAATAGAACAAAAATCACTTCCTGAAATAATCAGCTCCAATCTATCGTTGCCTTGTTTCCTATCTTCCTTTCCTTCAGTGTATAATTTGCCCAAAGCTTTTTCTTCTCTTAATCCCCTCTTATTAAGTCTAGCCTAATTATTCCTTTGAAGACACTTCTAATTGAGGTTCTGCATTCATGTGTCATTAATTTCAGCCTGTCCTCTGACCCTTTTCAAGGAAACCTGGGAAACGGGCCAGAAGAGTGTACAATTATTCTAAGGGCTGTGGTATTGTAAGCATCTTGCACAAAAACACAAACCCACTATACCAGAATCACTCCCACAGTGTTTATCCTAATGCAAAACCTTAATTCAATTCAGTAAGCATATTCTAAATTACATTTTTAGCTGAAAATTCTGGGTTTTGACTATTCTCACAGTAAGCAACAGGGATCATTGAATTTCAATGCCAACATTTCATGTGGTCAGAAACATGAAGTCCACATTAACTAAACCTCTAGAATATGACTCATTTTACTTCTGAAAAGCTAACCTAGAATATGTAAGATAAATAAATTTAGTTTCGCCCCTTCTGTTCGTTTAGTAGTTACTTTTTAGATTAGAGTTAAGTACAGTAACTTTGGGCTTATTTCAGGTGTGAAAATTCCAGGAGTTTAAGGTGATGATTTTTTACAGACTGGTTGAGCTACTCTGTAGAAATGGTGGTTGAGGAATTATTGGGTGTCCAAGGTTGTTTGTAGCACTGGGGCATGGGCGTCTGCAGGTGCTTACTTTGTAGGAGTCCAGTGGGAGGCCTCTGTGCTTGCCGCGCATCAGGCTTCCAGAAGGATGAGGACAGGCTGTCATGATGTTTGGCCCTATGGCCACTAGTGGCAGGAAAACCCCTACCTCTAGAGGGTCTTAGATATGTAGAAAATTGTGCTCCAGTATTAACAACCTATAACTGTTCACTCAGGGAAATAGATACAGTAACACATTTTGTAAAGATTTCTCTAGAAAATGGAGCATATTATTCACAGTTTAGTTTACACAATCATTATAACCACCCATATGCTTCTGTAAAGTTTTTAGGGGACACTAAATGACCCCAAACAATTGCATTTTCTTACTTCCTCCCTTGGCCTGAGAGGCCTTAGATAGCCTGGCCCTTGGCTATCTTTCCAGCCCCCTTTTCCACTGAAAGAAGCCACAGTGGTTGCTTTGCTATTTTTGGGACAAGTCAAGCACGTTTCTTGCTGAAGTTTTTGCCTTCGCTTTTCTCTCTCCCTGGAGCCCTCTTCCCCGGGAGATCCACCATGCCACATCATCGCTTCATTCGGTCAGAACCATGGGGCTTTCCATCCCTCCTTTCTTCTCCTTCCTTGGAGATACCGGAAGACAGAGGGAGCCTGGGTCCCTGAGTCACCGACCCCAATCATACTTTGTGAGAGAAAAATCCTTTGTCCGACTAAGCCACTGAAATTTCAGAGATTGCTGAGGCAGCTGGTACTAATTATGCTAATATAATCTCCCTCCCTCCCTCCCATCCCCTGTCCATCCCACAGTCTCACTTTTCTTTGTAGCAACTATGACCTAAGATAAACACGTCTATACATTAACGGCCTCCCCTATTACAACATAAACCTTTTCAGGGCAATGAGGTTTTCTGAGCACTGAGGATATAGCAATGAACAAAACAGACATGTTAGGCAACCAGTTAGTATTTGTTAGATGAATGAAAGAATGTCCACTTACATCCTCCCTAGATGAAGTCAGCTCTCTCCAGTAGCTCTTATTGTGTCTGGGTCAGCTTGCCTGGTGCCCTCTGCCACCCAGCTGTAACTGTTTCTAAGGCAGCTAAGTAACACTCCTCTTTAAATCAACAACGTTAAAGGTAACACAACCACCCAGAACACCACTGCAAATTTTCAGATTGTTAGAAATTTCACTATTACAGAGTGGGTCATTATTAAAATTAACACTATATTTTACTTGAAAACACTCATGTAATGCATCAAGCATTACACAAATATGTACATATGATTTTAGATGCACTTACACCTTTCCTGTGTTATTTCCTGCCGTATTTTCACACCAACTCATCCATGCATGGAGCAGATATTGCCATCCCCACTATCCCAGATCAGGACAGCCAACTGCAGAGAGGGTCGTCTGCTGAGGTCAGGTGACTGAGGAATGACCCAGCAGCTACTCAGCTGTCCTGAGAACTTCGGTTCACTGTGTCACAGGTCTGCACTCTGCTGGCGCCTCAAAACTACTACTATTATTAAACAGCATCCAGGCCCAGCACAGTGGCTCACACCTACATATATATGTTTTATGTATATAAAAATTTATATATACAATTTTTTATTATTTATATATTATATATTATATATATTTTATATATAATATATAAAAATTTATATATACTATATTAAAATTTCTATATAATATATAAATTTATATATATCATATATATTTATATAATATATAAATTTATACATATGATATATATATTTATATATTATATAAATATATATATCATATATATTTATATATTATATAAATTTATATATATCATATATATTTATATATTATATAAATTTATATATATCATATATATTTATATATTATATAAATTTATATATATCATATATATTTATATATTATATAAATTTATATATATCATATATATTTATATATTATATAAATTTATATATATCATATATATTTATATATTATATAAATTTATATATATCATATATATTTATATATTATATAAATTTATATATATCATATATATTTATATATTATATAAATTTATATATATCATATATATTTATATATTATATAAATTTATATATATCATATATATTTATATATTATATATTTATATATTATATAAATTTATATATATCATATATATTTATATATTATATATTTATATATTATATAAATTTATATAATATAAAAGTTTATATATTATATATAAATATATATTATATATAAATTTATATATTATATAAAAATATATAATATATATAAATTTATATATTATATATAAATATATAATATATAAATTTATATATTATATATAAATATATATTATATATAAATTTATATATAAATAAAAATTATATAGGTATACATTTTATACATATGCGTGTATATATGTGTACACACACATGCGTGTGTATATGTGTGTACACACACATATGCACACACGTATATGTAATATTGTTTTATACTTTATATATTTTATATATTATAAATAAAGTAAAATGAAGAGCAACAGCCATTTACTAGAAGGTTTGTAGCTAGGCTTAATAGAAAGCCTGGCTCAAGCCTGCACTCCCAGCACTTTGGGAGGCCAAGGTGAGTGAATCACTTGAGGTCAAGAGTTCGAGAACAGCCTGGCCAACATGGCAAAACCCTGCCTCTACTAAAAATACAAAAAAATTAGCCATGCATGGTGGCACACACCTGTAGTCCCAGCTACTCAGGAGGCTGAGGCACGAGGATCGCTTGAACCCAGGAGGTGGAGGTTACAGTGAGCCAAGATCATGCCACTGCACTCCAGCCTAGGCAACAGAACAAGACTCTGTCTCAAAAAATAAACAAATAAACAAATAAATAAAAATTAAAAATAAAAAAATTAGCCAGGCATGGTGGTGAACACCTGTAATCCCAGCTACTTGAGAGGTTGAGGCATGAGGATTGCTTGAACCTGGGAGTCAGAGGTTGCAGTGAGCTGAGATGATGCCACTGCACTCCAGCCTCAAAGAAAAAAAGAAGAAAAGAAAAAGAAAGAAAGAAGGAAGGAAGGAAGGAAGGAAGGGAAGGAAGGAAGGAAGGAAGGAAGGAAGGAAGGAAGGAAGGGAAGGAAGGAAGGAAAGAAGGAAGGAAGGCAAGCCTGAATTCAAAAACAGTGCTGCGTCTGAAAGGAAGGCTATTTACTGTGTCTGTTTACTTGGTTTCACCTGGAGTTGAAACTCCATGAAGGCAGGAGGTTTGGTTTGCTTTGTTCACTACTGCATACTAAATTAAATATTTGTCAAATGAATGAATGAAACTTTTCCAAACCTTAATTTCTTAGCAAATGTGGGAATACAAATAATCTACTTCATTGGGTAATATCAGGACTTAATGAAGTAATAAGTTTGTATGGTATTTTACAGTGCTCAAGATGAAAAGTAATTTTAATATAAAAATATAGTCCAATTATTAAAATCAGGTCCCCAACTTGTGCAATTGGTTCTTGTAGTGAATACTTAGCATGGATAAATTTTCATATTTGGATTTAATGATGTTAGCTGCTTCTACAGGGGTATTTATAGCTGAGAATGCATAAGTACCTACAAAATTATTCACCCCTATTGAAGAAATCTCCCATTGTTTTTATTACTGGACCTCCTTCATACATAGCTCATTTCTGCTTCAAAATCAAATCAAGGACCTGATTCAATATTTATTACCTGACACTTCCCTTAATACATTTTCCTCTTTTCTCCAATGTGTATTTAACTAAATTAACTCAGCTTTTGATTGATGAGTGTGTTCTTGTAGATATATTTCGCCATTTGCTCTGCAACTGTCCCATTTTGTTTTGTTTTGTTTTTTGGAGACAGGGTCTCACTTTGTAGCCCAAGCCAGGAACTGGAGTGCAGTGGCATGAACATGGCTCACTGCAGCCTCGACCTCCCAGGCTTAAGCAGTCCTCCCACCTCAGCCTCCCCAGTAGCTGGGACTATAGGCACACGCCACTGTGCCCAGCTAATTTTTGTATTTTTTGTAGAGACAGGGTTTCGACATGTTGCCCAGGCTGGTCTCTAACTCCTGGTCTCAAGCAATCCACCTGCCTTGGCCTCCCAAAGTGTTACGATTACAAGCATGAACCACTGCACTGGCTCACATTTTTATAGTTTTACAAATCAACATTCCTCAATGTCTTGTACCAGAAACCACAAATTGTCAAACCAAGACCAGAATCTAGCCTAATGTTTAATGTGACCAATATTTAAAATGTAGGAGATTTCTCATTCTAAAATATTGATTCTGACTTCTTTGGGGGAAAAAATACAATCAGTATTAACTGATTAAAATAATGATCCAATTTTTTTTAAAAACAGTCAAAAAAGAATCCAGGCCAGGGCTGGGCGTGGTGGCTCACGCCTGGAATCCCTGCACTTTGGGAGGCTGAGGCGGGCGTATCACGAGGTCAGGAGATTGAGACCATCCTGGCTAACACGGTGAAACCCCATCTCTACTAAAAATACAAAAATTAGCGGGGTGTGGGGGTGGGCGCCTGTAGTCCCAGATACTAGGGAGGCTGAGGCAGGAGAATGGCATAAACCCGGGAGGCGGAGCTTGCAGTGAGCTGAGACTGAGCCACTGCACTCCAGCCTGGACGACAGAGCGAGACTCCATCTCAAAGAAAAAAAAAAAAAGAAGAATCCAGGTCAGGCACGATGGCTCATGCCTGTAATCCCAGCACTTTGGGAGGCTGAGGTGCAGATCACTTGAGGTCAGGAGTTCAAGACCAGCCTGGCCAACATAGTGAAACCCAGTCTCCACTAAAAATACAAAAATTAGCCAGGTGTGTGGCACACACCTGTAGTCCCAGTTACTGGGGAGGCTGAGGTAGGAGAATCACTTGAACCCGGGAGACAGAGGCTTCAGTGAGCTGAGATCATGCCACTGCACTCCAGCCTGGGTAACAGAATGAGAGTCCATCTCAAAAAAGAAAAAAAAATCCAATCAGAAGGTCTGGCCACACAGGGCCAGCATTTCTGCATAGCAATTATTAGCTTGTTCCCTTTAGACAGAGCATTTCCTCTCTGTCTGTTCACCACAGTCCCCACTACTTTTTGGTGCCTTATACCTAAGACTACCTTCCTTCACTGTCCCTGTAGGCGTAAGAGTTTGCCCTGTACACATCTTCTGGGCCAAAGAGCCATCACCTTGGGGGCATCACCATGGGTAATTCACATCCCTCTCTGCCACGGCCCTCGGGATATCTAGACACTGCTCTCAGAATGTCTGTCAGCATCCCTCCCTCCCTCCCTCCCTTCCTTCCTTCCCTCTTTCCTTTCATCAAACAAGTAGGCACCAAAATCTAAAGAAGATACCTGCTTTATCCCTTAAGGAGCTGGTGGGTGAAACTGACATGGAAACCATATGCTATGTGGTATGGTTAAGGTGTATGCAGCATTAAAGCTAACTAAATATGGCCTGAGAAGGACTCCGTATTTCTTTTATTTTTTATTTTTTCTTTCTTTTCTTTCTTTCTTTTTCTTTTCTTTTTTTTTTTTTTGAGACGAAATCTCACTCTGTTGCCCAAGCTGGAGTGCAGTGGCATGATCTCAGCTCACTGCAACCTCCACCTCCCAGGTTCAAGCAATTCTACTGCCTCAGCCTCCCGAGTAGCTGGGACTACAGGCACGCACCACCATGCCTGGCTAATTTTTGTATTTTTAGTAGAGACGGAGTTTCACTATGTTGGCCAGGCTGGTCTCAAACTCCAGACCTCATGATCCGCCCGCCTGGGCATCCCAAAGTGCTAGGATTACAGGCATGAGCCACCCGCACCCAGCCAGGACTCTGTACTTCTATATTTGAGTCCTTGTGGATGAACTGTAACCTAGCTTAATAATCAGACAAAATTGAAAACCTAACTTAGTTGTATGCACCTGTAACAACAGCTGAGTTTTGGCCAATCCCAGAAGCCATACTGCAACCACTCAGACTGCTAAGTGTTCAAACTGTGTTCAAATAAGGCAAACACCAAGCAGTAACCAATCTCTGTGGCTATCTTTATGGCAGTGATATTCAGGGTTGTTCCAATGTTTCATGTTGGAAGTGATCAAATGTGTAGTAGCTATAGGAAACATTAAGCATATAAATGTGGACATTAGCCAATCTGGGAGAAGAATGGAAGGAGGTGTTTGGGGATAAATATAGTGAGTTTCAGTTCCTGGATATGGAAGTAGAAAGAATCTTCTGTTCTCATCCTTTACTTTGGAAAAGAAAAAAAAATCACTTGTAAAGTTAGAATATGGAGGTCAGGAAGAGAAGAGGGAAAAAAAAAAAGAAAGAAGCACCCAGTTGTTCTAGCAAAGGAGCCTTGTACTCTTACTTTCCTTATTGCTAATGATGGTGGCTCTCCCTGGAGCAGCTGTGTCTCTTGGATGAATTCTATTGAGCCCTTTATCTCACTAATATATCAGAACTCCATTCATCCACCTTTGCCTGGAGGTCAGAAACTACAGAAGAATCTAAAATTCAGAGAAGTAAATCAGCAATCAAACCTAAAAGAATAAACAATCAAACAAAACCTAAATGAAAATTTACTAAAGATTAATTTTCACAATATATTGATACCCATTGAATAGCAAGTAACTAATGGGTCCCTAAGACAAGGAAATCACTTGGAAGAGAAATGAATATGTATATAATAGAATATTTATCACATTAAGAACTTAATCCGCATAGTATTCTAGGAGAGTATAGCAAGTTACAAAATAGATTTTTAAAGGGTAAAACTATACAAATCCAGTAATCTAAGTTGCATGAGGTGGGTACCAGCAGGACTACTATTTAAATATAGAGAGGGGCACTTAAATAGGAGAGATAAATAGCATTTTAAAGAAGCCATTGCCTGGGCACAGTGGCTCATGCCTGTAATCCCAGCACTTTGGGAGACCAAGGTGAGAGAATCAGAGGCTGAGGAGTTTGAGACCAGCCTGGGTATCATAATGACACCCCATCTCTACAAAAAATTTTTAAAAATCCACCAGGTGTAGTGGCACCCACCTGTAGTCCCAGCTACTTAGTAGGCTGAGGTGGGAGGATCGCCTGAGCCTGGGAGGTCAAGGCTGCAGTGAGCCATGTTTGTGCCACTGCACTTTCCTGGACAACAGAGCAACACCCTGACTCAAAACAAAACAAAGCAAAACAAAACAAAACAAAACAACAAACAGAAGCCATTACATTAGTTCAAATGCCCTCATTGGATATAAGGACTAAACTCTTGATTTTTTATCTTGCCCAAATTCCTACCTAAGGGGTCTGGGGAGTCATAACCTACAAATCATAAATTCACATCAGATGGGTTTTAACTCTATATATCATGACTTACTTTCCAAACTGACTCTGGCATCATAACATTTTGAGACAAGGAAGAAAATCAAAATATTTTACCCCAAAACATGTTTCTTTGCCGTATTTTGAAATTGTCCTGCAAAGCTGTTCTTTGTGGGGGAAAGTTTGGATCTGTAAAGAATCTCTTAACATAGCTAGATCTTTTTATTGCAGATCCTCCCAATCCTGAAGAGACTAAGATCTGAATAGGAAATATTTGTCATCTATCATCTCTTAGGGCAGCCACTATAAGATTTCAAAAGAACTTTGGTCTCCACAGTCTTTATCTTAACCTGAACATTCCCTTTCTATCAATCCCAGGTCTTTAGATAAACTCAACCAATTGTCAATCAGAAAATGTTTAAATTCACCATAGCCTGGAAGCCTCGGCTTTGAGTTGTCCTGCCTTTCTGGAACAAACCAATGTATTTCTTAAATGTGTGTGGTTGATGTCTCATGCCTCTCTAAAATGTGTAAAACCAAGCTGTGCCCCAACCACCTTGGACACATGTTTTCAGGCCCTCCTGAGGGCTGTGTCATGGGCCATGGTCACTCATATTTGGCGCAAAATAAATCTCTTCAAATATGTTACAGAGTTCAACTCTTTTTATTGACAGGTAACTAATGTGTGGGCCTGGTGGAGGGGTAGGGAGTGGTAGGGAGGTGGGGGCCTTTGGTGAACTGAGGAGCACTTGCCCCATTTAAAGGGGACACTTGGACTGAACCCCTGCCCCTATGGTTTTATGCAGGAATATGGACCTTGTGTTGTCATATAGCTTGATATTCCTAAGAAGCCAGAAATTCTGTTTGTGTATAAAAAAGTAGTATTAAAAACATTATGTGCGCCAGCCAACATGTATCTAATGGCAAGATTTGCCCTCCTGGCCTCCAGCATGCCACAGCCGTTTTTGAAAGACCAAGTTATTTCCTACCTGTCTTAATCCTGATTGTAGAAAAAATACCTGAGATCTGGGAGGTGATGCTGTGTAGCATGCACTATAACTCGCTTGGAGATTATGTTTTCTTTGTTCTTGAGACATTCTCACTCTGTCACCCGAGCTGGAGTGCACTGGTGCCATCTCAGCTCACTGCAACCTCTGCCTCCCTGGTTCAAATGATTCTCATGCCTCAGCCTCCCAAGCAGCTGGGACTACAGGTGCATGCCACCATGCCCAGCTAATTTTTGTAATTTTAGTAGAGATGGGGTTTCACCATGTTGGCCAGGCTGGTCTTGAACTCCTAACCTAAAGTGACCTGCCCACCTCAGTCTCCCAAAGTGCTGGGATTATAGGAGTGAGCCACCACGCCCCACCTGTCTTGGATGTTTTGAAAGATGTTTCAGGAGTTCAGGCCATAGGCGTGGCAAACACTTGGACAGATTTTCCCCAGAGCAGTTGTAGACAAACCCCTCCTTTAGAGAAAATCTCTGTTCTCTTTAACATTAATTCAAATGTTCCTTCTCATAACAGGAAAAGATGGGTTCCCTGTGCTTAAACATTTTCCCCATTTCATTATATGTATATTAGCCAAACTAAGAGAACATTTTTATAAACATTAGAGGAGCAGTGGAGAAATGGATCAGATGATCTTTCAATGGCATAGATAGCACTGATGTCAACGAATTTCACATAAAGATCTACATATGCACCAGGCATTATTGTCACAATTTTCCAAACCAACTCAAAAATATACCTAGAGAAGCCCAGGTGCAGTGGCTCAATCCTGTAATCCCAGCACTTTGGGAGGCTGAGGCAGGTGGATCACCTGAGGTTAGGAGTTCAAGACTAGCCCGGGCAACATGGTGAAACCCCGTCTCTACAAAAATACAAAAATTAGCCGGGCATGGTGGTAGATGCCTATAATCCCAGCTACTAGGGAGGCTGAGGCAGGAGAATCACTGGAACCTGGGAGGCAGAAGTTGCAGTGAGCCAAGATTGCACCTGGGCAATAGAGCAAGACTCCATCTCAAAAAAATAAAATAAATAAAATACTCACACACTTATATACACACACACACACATATACCTAGAGAACAATTAACCAGGGTATCACTCCCACCCCCAGAGATTCTGCTTTCATATAAAATAAATCAAAAAGATTAAAATTCAGTACCATCATATAGTATATGAAGGACATTAAAAAGTTTTAATTAAAATTCAGGAAATAAAACATTTTAAGTGAACATGGGGAGTTTCCTTTTTAAAAAATCTTTTTAAAGAAATTTTATCAGCCTGGTACAGTGGCTCATGCCCGTAATCCCAGCACTTTGGGAGGCCGAGGCAGGTGGATCACCTGAGGTCAGGAGTTTGAGACCAGCCTGGCCAACATGGTGAAAACCGATCTCTACTAAAAATACAAAAATTAGCTGGGCATGGTGGTGTGTGCCTGTAGTTTCAGCTACTCAAGAGGCTGAGGCAGGAGAATTGCTTGAACCCAGGAGGCAGAATTTGGAGCTTTTTCCAAAAACAAACTCCCTTCTTGCCTGGGGACCAGACTGCCTTTGTAGGACTAACAAACTAGCCACAAGATTTGCAACTTCCCCAATTACTCCTGCAGATAACATCACTATTGTTGAACTGAAGATTGGCCTTTTGAGATATATTTTCAGGTTTTTAACCTTTCTGATGACTGATGGCTCCATTCAGACCCACCAACCTGTCCTATGGCTCCACCCAGAAACAGACTCAGTGCACCAAAAGAGGACCATTTTCCACACCCCTATGATTGCACTCACCAACCAATCAGCAGCACCCATTCCCTAGCCCCTACCCAGCAAATTATCCTTAAAAAACCCTGGCCTCTGAATTTGCAGAGACTGGTTTGAATAATAAAACTCTAGTATCAGCTGGCTCTGCATGAATTAAACTCTCTATTGCAATTCCCCTGTCTTGATAAATTGGCTCTATCTGGGCAGTGGGCAAAATGAACCTGTTGGGCAGTTATACTTTCACCCCTACAGAGGTGATACCTCAAAATATGGCTCTGCAAAATATCTCAAGCAGTGATCTTAGGCCTTACAATAGTGATGTTATCCCCAGAAACAACTTGGAGAGGGTCAGAATCTTGCAGCCTCCAGCTGCATGATTCCTAAACCATAATTTCATATCTTTTGGCTAATTTGTTAGTCTTACAAAGGCAGTCTAGTTCTCAGTAAAGAAAGGGGTCTGTGTTGGGATCAAGCCCCCACAAAACTGGCCATAAACAAAATCTCTGCAGCACTGTAACATGTTCATAATGGCCCTAATGCCCAAGCTGGAAGGTTGTGGGTTTACTGGAATGAGGGCAAGGAACACCTGGCCCACCCAGGGCGGAAAACCACTTAAAGGCATTCTTAAGCCACAAACAATAGCATGAGGGATCTGTGTCTTAAGGGCATGTTCCTGCTGCAGTTAGTTAGCCCAACCTATTCCTTTAATTCGGCCCATCCCTTCGTTTCCCACAAGGGATACTTTTAGTTAATCGAATATCTGTAGAAACAATGCTAATGACTGGTTTGCTGTTAATAAATATGTGTGTAAATCTCTGTTCGGGGCTCTCAGCTCTGAAGGCTGTGAGACCCCTGATTTCCCACTTCACACCTCTATATTTCTGTGTGTGTGTCTTTAATTGCTCTAGCGCCACTGGGTTAGGGTTTCCCTGACGGAGCTGGTCTCAGCAAGTGGCGTCCATTCGTGGGGGCTTGAATCCAGGTCGAAGGGTTGCCAGAGCAACGGTTGGAACAGAAAACTAGCTGGAGGACACCCAAGTACTCTTAAAGCAATCCGCATGGTGAGTAAGAAGGGGAGCTCGGAAGCGTCAGGGTAACAATGGACAGGTATGGGGTCTGGTTCATTTCACCTTGGAACTTTTTCACACTGATAATTAGGAGGAACAAGAGTATAGTGAAGTAACAGAAGAGGTTACAGAGCAGGTTTATTTGCCAGCTAAAGCCAAAGTGGCAAAGGAGGGAGAGGTTCATCCCTACCCTTCTGCACCCCCTCATTATTATTTTGAAGAAAATGACCCCCCAGATCTTTCTTTTCCGGAGGACACTGGGCGAAAAGTAGTTGCCCCCGTGACTGTTCGAGCAGCACCTCGAGGGACTGCTCTTAGTTCTATTCAGGCAGGCATTCAGCAAGCTAGACAAGAGGGTGATTTAGAGGCTTGGCAGTTCCCTGTTAGAATACACCCCCCAGATCAACAGGGAAATATTATAGCTACATTTGAGCCTTTTCCTTTTAAATTACTCAAAGAATTCAAACAAGCAATAAGTCAGTATGGACCAGGTTCTCCCTTTGTAATGGGACTGTTAAAGAATGTTACAGTTTCCAGTCAGAAGATTCCTACTGACTGGGACACTCTTACTCGAGCTTGTCTAACTCCTGCTCAGTTCTTACAATTTAAAACTTGGTGGGCAGATGCAGCCTCCATTCAGGCTGCTCGCAATGCCCAGGCCCAACCTCAAATTAATATAACTGCAGACCAACTTTTGGGGGTTGGCAGCTGGGCTGGTTTAGATGCATAATTGTCCATGCAGGATGATCCCATAGAACAGCTTAGAGGAGTGCGCATTAGAGCTTGGGAAAAAAATCACCTCAGGTGGGGAACAATACCCTTCCTTTAGTGCTATGAAACAGGGACCAAGGGAACCATATGTTGATTTTATAGCTCGGTTACAGGAGTCTCTTAAAAAGATGATTGCAGATTCGGCTGCTCAGGAGATAGTGTTGCAGTTACTAGCTTTCGACAATGCTCATCCCGATTGCCAGGCTGCTCTGCGACCTATCAGAGGGAAAGCACATTTAGTTGATTATGTCAAGGCCTGTGATGGTATTGGAGGTAATCTGCATAAAGCTACTTTGTTGGCACAGGCAGTGGCAGGACGGAGAGTGGATAAAGGAAATACTCCATTTCCTGGAGCTTGTTTTAACTTTCTTGTGGGAAGCATGGTCATACTAAAAAGGAATGTAGAAAAAATCAGCAAGTCAGGCCGCCAGATAGGGGAAAAAAGAAAACTGTTGAGCCTGAAATATGTCCAAAATGTAAAAAAGGAAAACACTGGGCTAGTCAGTGTCACTCTAAGTTTGATAAAGAAGGGAACCCAATTTTGGGAAACGCCATGAGGAGCCCGTCCCAGGCCCCATTCTAAATCAGGACATTTCCAGCTCAGGCCATTCCCTCACCCCTGTACAATGTCTGTCCCCTGCCACAGCTGGTAGTGCCACAGTAGATTTATGCTGCACAAAAGCTGTCAGCCTTCTGCCTGGGGAACCCCTGCAAAAGGTCCCAACAGGAGTCTGTGGACCCTTGCCAGCAGGGATAATGGGATTACTTTTAGGAAGGTCTAGTGTAAATTTAAAAGGGGTACAAATACATACAGGAGTCATTGATTCAGATTACATTGGGGAAATTCAAATTGTTATATCTACTTCTGTTCCCTGGAAAGCAGAGCCAGGAGAGTGCATAGCACAGCTCCTGATTGTGCCATATGTGGGAATGGGAAAAAGTGAAATTAAATGAACAGGAGGATTTGGAAGCACAAATAAACAAGGCAAAGCAGCTTATTGGCTAAATCAAATTACTGATAAACGTCCTACCTGTGAAATAACTATTCAAGGAAAGAAATTTAAAGGTTTGGTAGATACAGGAGTGGATATTTCAATCATTTCTCTACAGCACTGGCTGTCCACGTGGCCAATTCAACCCACTCAATTTAACATAGTTGGAATTGGTAAAGCCACTGAAGTATATCAAGGTAGTTATATTTTGCACTGTGAGGGCCCGATGGACAACCTGGGACTATTCAACCAATTATAACGTCTGTACCTATAAATTTATGGGGAAGAGATTTATTACAACAATGGGGAGCACAAGTTCTAATTCCAGAACAATTATATAGTCCTCAAAGTCAATGTACAATGCAGGAAATAGGTATGTCCCTGGTATGGGACTAGAAAAAAATTTGCAAGGTTTGAAAGAACCGCTTCAAGTGGAAAAACAAAGTTCTCACCAAAGATTAGGAAATAATTTTTTTTTTTTTTTTGAGACAGAGTCTCACTCTATCGCCCAGTCTGGAGTGCAGTGGCGTGATCTGGGCTCACTGCAAGCTCCACCTCCTGGGTTCACACCATTCTCCTGCCTCAGCCTCCTGAATAGCTGGGACTACAGGCGCCTGCCACCACGCCCAGCTAATTTTTTTGTATTTTTAGTAGAGATGGGGTTTTGCTGTGTTAGCCAGGATAGTCTCAATCTCCTGACCTGGTGATCTGCCCGCCTTTTGATGGTGGCCATTGTTAAGCCTCCAGAACCTATACTTTTAAAATGGTTAACAAATAAGCCAATTTGGATAGAAAAATGGCCACTAAGTAAAGAAAAACTGGAGGCTTTAGAGAAATTAGTTGCCAAACAATTAGAAAATGGGCACATAGCTCCACATTTTCTCCTTGGAATTCTCCAGTTTTCATAATTAAGAAAAAATCAGGTAAATGGAGAATGTTAACTGACTTAAGAGCCATCAATTCAGTTATACAACCTATGGGAGCATTACAGCCAGGATTGCCTTCTCCTGCTATAATTCCAAAAAATTGGCCTTTAATAGTCATAGATTTAAAAGACTGTCTCTTTACTATCCCTTTAGCTGAGCCAGACTGTGAACGGTTTGCATTTACAGTTCCTGCAGTAAATAACCTGCAGCCTACTAAGCATTATCATTGGAAAGTGTGGCCACAGGGCATGTTAAACAGCCCAACAATTTGCTAGACGTATGTGGGGCAAGCAATTGAACCCACTCGTAAAAAATTTTCACTTTGTTACATTATTCACTGTATGGATGATATACTACGTGCTGCCCCCACTCGAGAAATATTACTCCAATGTTATGATCACTTGCAAAATTCAATTTCTCGTGCTGGTTTAGTTATAGCTCCTGACAAAATTCAGACTACTACTCCTTACTCCTACTTGGGGACCTTAGTAAATGACACCACCATTGTGCCACAGAAAGTAACTGTACGTAGGAATCAACTAAAAACATTAAATGACTTTCAAAAATTACTAGGGGATATTAATTGGATACGACCTGCTCTAGGCTTTCCTACCTAAGCCATGAGTAATCTGTTTTCTATCCTTAGAGGAAATCCTAGTCTCACTAGCCCTTGGCAATTAACAAAGAAGGCGGAGACAGAGTTACAACTGATTGAGAAGCAAGTCCATAAAGCTCAGATAAATAGAATAGATCCAGAGAAGACTCTAGATTTGCTAATTTTTTCAACTCAGCATTCACCTACTGGTGTTATTGTCCAAGAACAGGACTTAGTAGAGTGGCTTTTTATTCCACATACTAATTCACGGACTCTAACTCCTTATTTAGATCAAATCGCTACTATGATAGGGATTGGGAGAACTTGGATTGTTAATTACATGGATATGATCCTGGAAAAATTATTGTCCCTCTCATGAAGGCACAAATACAACTAGCTTTTATAAATAGTCTTACTTGGCAAACCCATTTAGCTGACTTTGTGGGTATTCTCGATAATCATTTTCCTAAAACGAAGCTGTTTCAGTTTCTGAAATTAACTAATTGGATTCTCCTTAAAATAACTAAATTTAAACCAATTGAAGGTGCTGAGAATGTTTTTGCAGATGGGTCTAGTAATGGTAAAGCTTCTTATTTTGGCTCAAAAAGTAAAGTTTTCCAGACGTCCTGTACTTCAGCTCAAAAAGCGGAGCTTGTAGCTGTAATTGAGGTATTGACTGCTTTTGATATGCCTATTAATGTGATTTCCGATTCTTCATACGTGGTTCATTCCACACAGTTAATTGAAAATGCTCAGTTACGATTTCATACAGATGAACAACTGATGACTTTATTTACCCAACTGCAAACAGCAGTTAGGAGTAGAATGCACCCTTTTTACAGCACTCACATTAGAGCTCATACACCTCTTCCAGGACCTTTGACTGAAGGGAATCAAATGGCTGATTGCCTACTTGCTACTGCAATATCTAATGCTAGACACTTTCACAATTTAACCCATGTTAATGCTTCTGGTCTCAAATGCAGATACAGCATTACCTGGAAAGAAGCTAAAGCTATTATCTAGCTATGCCCGACTTGCCAAATGGTACATTCCTCATCTTTCACAGGAGGAGTTAATCCTCGAGGATTGGAATCTAACTCTATTTGGCAAATGGATGTCACACATATTCCCTCGTTTGGGAGACTAGCTTACGTACATGTATGTGTGGGCATCTTTTCTCACTTTGTCTGGGCTACAGGCCAAACAGGAGAGTCTTCTGCCTGTGTTAAACGTCATCTTTTGCGGTGTTTTGCGGTGATGGGCATTCCAGCTTCTATAAAAACAGACAATGCCCCCAGGCTATAATAGCCAAGCTCTAGTTACATTTTTCTCTATGTGGAATATTAAACACATTACTGATATCCCATACAATTCTCAAGGACAAGCCATAGTGGAAAGAATAAATCTCTCCCTAAAACAGCAGTTGCAAAAGCAGAAAGGAAGAGACAGAGAATATGGAACAGCACAGATGCAACTGAACCTAGCATTATTAACTTTAAATTTTTTGAGCCTGCCCAAAGGCCAGATGTTATCAATAGCTGAACAGCATCTACAGAAACCAGCTGCAAAGACAGAAACAGAACAACTGATTTGTTGGAGAGATCTGATAACAAAAAGTTGGGAAATAGGTAAAATAATAACTTGGGGTAGAGTTTATGCTTGTATTTCTCCAGGCCAAAATCAACAGCCGATTTGGATACCATCAAGACACCTGAAACCTTATCATGAGCCAGATGCTGAGGAAGAGATTCCGGGAGGATCCCAAGGACCCCTCGGTTGCAGCCATGTCGAGACTGATGCTGAGGAGGACCCCAACTGTCACAAGCAACACCTGTCGAACACAGCCACCCATCTGGGGGCAGATCAAGAAGCTGTCACAGATGGTGGAAGAAAACTTGAGGAAAGTGGGACAACCAGTCACAATGAATAATTTAATGGTAGCTATGATAGTGGTTATCACCACTACTGTGAGTATTCCTTCAATAAGGGCTGGTAATAATGCCTGGATGCAATCACTGTATGAGAATTACACATGCTTTCTGGTCTCAGTATTTACCATAATAAATCTGCTCCTATAATTGAGGCATACTGCCCTCAAAAACCTATTTGTAAACAGGATTGGACCCAGTTAGAAAAAATGAAAGTAGTTGTTTAGGAAGATTGCTTTTCAGAACCAGCAGAGGTGCTGCACAACAATTCCTATGGAATCATTATTAATTGATCCCCTAAGGGGATATTTAGCTTGAATTGCACTCTCAGTCTGCGTGCCATGGCCACACTGTGTTCAGATGATCTGAACAAAATGGTCAGATGGTAGAAATGATAAGAAGTACGGCAAAAGTTCCTATTATCTGGAAACATGGCGGTATAGTGGCACCTCAAACTCAAATGATATGGTCCGCTGTAGGAGCTAAACATAAGGATTTGTGGAAACTATTAAATGCTCTTAATAAGATCAAAATTTGGGAAAGAATAAAAAAGCTTCTAGAAGGAGACTCTACAAACTTGTTTTTGGATATAGCAAAATTAAAAGAACAAATATTTAAAGCATCCCTGGCACACCTGATGTTAATGCCAGGAACTGGAGTGCTTAAAGGAGCTGCAGACAAATTAGCAGCTAGTAACCCATTAAAATGGATAAAAACACCTGGAAGCTCTGTGATTTCAATGATGACTGTGCTTTTAATCTGTGTTGTTTGTCTTTGTATAGTCTGCAGGTGCGGATCCTGACTCCTGCGAGAAGTAGCTTACCGTGACAAAGCTGCCCTTGCTTTTATCTCTCTGCAAATCAAAGAAGGGAGACATGTTGGGAGCAAGCCCCCCCAAAACTGGCCATAAACAAAATCTCTGCAGCACTGTAACAAGTTAATAATGGCCTTAATGCCCAAGCTGGAAGGTTGTGGGTTTACTGGAATGAGGGCAAGGAACACCTGGCCCACCCAGGGCGGAAAACAACTTAAAGGCATTCTTAAACCACAAACAATAGCATGAGCGATCTGTGTCTTAAGGGCATGTTCCTGCTGCAGTTAACTAGCCCAACCTATTCCTTTAATTCGGCCCATTCCTTCCTTTCCCATAAGGGATACTTTTAGTTAATCGAATATTTATAGAAACAATGCTAATGACTGGTTTGCTGTTAATAAATATGTGGGTAAATCTCTGTTTGGGGCTGTCAGCTCTGAAGGCTATGAGATCCCTGATTTCCCACTTCACACCTCTATATTTCTGTGTGTGTGTCTTTAATTCCTCTAGCGCTGCTGAGTTAGGGTCTCCCCGACCGAGCTGGTCTCAGCAGGTCTGTTTTGGGAAAGGGCTGTTATTGTCTTTGTTTTAAATTATAAACTAAGTTTCTCCTGATGTTAGTTTGGCCTACACCCACGAATAAACAAGGACAGCTTGGAGGTTAGAAGCAAGATGGAGTTAGTTAGGTCAGATCTCTTTTACTGTCTCAGTTATAATTTTGCAACAGCAGTTTCAGTATGACAAGATGACCAGGAAAAGCACCATAAACAAAGGTAAGTTCTGCTATGCAGATTTAAGTCAATGCCTTCTCCATTGATTAAGAGTCTAGTGATCTAGTGTCCTCCTCTTCCTGGTGTAGACAGGGACACAGTCTCACAAATGGAGATTTCTTTGATAGATGTAAATTTCTCTCACACAGGATAACTTTTCAGAGCCTCTACTGTGTCTACAATTTCTCAAAATAACAGCTCAAAATAATCCTTATGTTAAAGAGACATATTTTGGCCTGGCATATTCTGGTCTCCTAAAGTCATATTTTGGCGTGACTTGTCCTGGACCCAATTAATAGAGTGTTCTCATTTTTTATAGCAACATAATATCCCATTATGTGGACATACTGAGGGAGCACAGGGAATTTCACCCCAAAATATGGCTCACTGCAGCCTGAACTCCTGGGCCCAAGCAGTTCTCCTGTTACAGCAGGCAGATACCTAGACATGAGCAGGAGGGGGAGCCTGAAGAAAGGGAGGTCTGGAAAATCTCACACCTCAGAGACCACTGGAAATCTGCATGCTAGATATGAGCATAAAGGAGGGAAAATACCTGTGCACGAAGAAACACCTCAGAACAACTCTTAAGATGCCCAGTAATCACTCACGCTGCAGCTAATCGGTCAGAATGGAGCTAGCCACATGCTGATAAGGAGGGGATGGCTGGGCACAGTGGATCACGCCTGTAATCCCAGAACTTTGGGAGGCCGAGGTGGGTGGATCACCTGAGTTCAGGAGTTCAAGACCAGCCTGGCCAACATGGTGAAACCCTGTCTCTACTAAAAATGCAAAAATTAGCTGGGCATGGTGGCAAGTGCCTGTAATTCCAGCTACTCAGGAGGTTGAGGCAGGTCAATGGCTTGAGCCTGGGAGGCAGAGGTTGCAGTGAGCCGAGATCATGCCACTGCACTCCAGCCTGCACAATTGAGACTCTGTCTCAAAAAAAAAAAAAAGGGCAAAGGGGAAATTTCTAAGAGTCTGAGAGATATGCAGGGGTAATATGTACACATATAACTGCTATATGACCTTCCTAGAGGGCAACGCTAGAGGGTAATAAGCAAAGCTGCCATTAGGATTGTACCCAACACCAGTCCTTGCATGTGCCTTAACTACCAGTAAAGGAGAATCCCATAAACCTAGAGCAGGAACTAGGCAGGAAAAAAGCAGGGACTTAATGCAGAAGGGGGAAGCTAGATAAAGATAGAGGTGGAGACTTGAGACAGAGGTGGGAACTTAAAGAAACAGTCCCAACATAACAAAAATCTCAATGCAGAACCCTAGGGGCTGCTGGCTCATTCTCTTTCCAGCAGCCCACTCTGACTTTTCTTTCAGAGCATACTATCTCTTTAAACAGACTGCTACTACTACTGCTCCCAGCAGGGTCAGCCCACTCCTCTCTTGGAGCATATTCTTATTTCCTTAATATGTCTTTGTTTACTTTACTAATTGGTCTCTTGGCCAAATTTCTTCTCCCAAGAAGACTAAGAACAGAGGACTCCACACATCCTGGTAACACTCCCACCTCAGCCTCCCAGCTGGCTTGGACTACAGGTGTGCACCACCATGCCTGGCTAATTAAAAAAAAAAAAAAAAATTGTGGCCAGGCATGGTGGCTCACACCTGTAATCCCAGCACTCTGGGAGGCCGAGGCAGGTGGATCACATGAGGTCAGGAGTTCGAGACCACCCTGGCTAACATGGTAAAACACCGTCTCTACTAAAAATACAAAAATTAGCTGGGCGTGGTGGCGCATGCCTGTAATCCTAGCTGCTTGGGAGGTTGAGGCAGGAGAATCGCTTGAACCCAGGAGGTGACGGTTGCAGTAAGCTGAGATCTCACCACTGCACTCCAGTCTGGGAAACAGAGCGAGACATTGTCTCAAAAAAAAAAAAATTTTGTGTAGAGATGGGGGTCATGCCATGTTGCCAGGCTGGTCTCCAGTTGATCTTCCTGCCTCAGCATTCCAGAGTGCTGGGATTACAGGCATGAGCCACCATGTCCCATGCTGATCAAAATTTTTAAATGAGTTGGAATTAGTCAAAAACAGGATTGGTATTCCAGGTAGGAAGAGCATCAAAGACACAAAAAATGTTAAATGCCATGGTGGATATTAGGAAATACAAGAAATAAGTAATATTACAGTGTAAAACAACACAAGGTGAGATGTAGAAGGAATTAAGGCAAAAACATGTGTAAGGAAATTGGACTGTATGAGGATGAAAGGTGTTTGAAATGAGAGAAATGACAAGCTCAGGCAGTAGTAAGACATCATAGAATGGTGGCCAGCATGATGCTAGAAGCTACTTCAGGGAACTACTGGATTGACACATGATAAAGATAGACAATGGCAGTTGGGAGGTCAAGAAAAGGGCAGAAGAACAATGCTTAGAAGGTAAAACTGGCAAGCCTTGATGCAAAGGTATGAAGAGGAGGAGGTCGGGATGGATGAATGGTGACTGTAACAAGTAGAGAATTCAGGTGGGGAACAAGTTTTGGGGAAAGGAGGAGAAGCTTGACTTTCAAGAAGATTATTTTGAGTTACATACCCTTCACTACTACACCCCTGTAAGGGAAAAAATCAAAGGCACTATGCTATTCCAACTTTACTACTTGAGTTGGCTGATGGGAGTATTGGTTTCTTATTTGGCAAATGGTAGAGCTTGAATGTGAATCCAGCTTTTTAAATGCCAGAACCAGCCATCATTCCACTATGTATGCTGCTGTCAAAATAAGCACTGCTCATAAAATAACATAAGTGAAAACAAGCACAGCTGGCTAAAATGAGGTGGCAAATGTCAAGAGAGAATGATTAATAGAGGAAGTATGCTAGAGATAGGTGGACTGGGATCCCATATGTAGCAGAATCATGGGGTTTGGATCCAGCTAACCCAAATTTAGAGAGTACAAATGGAAAATGCTAATTTTTAAAGATTATGCACACTTTAAGTCACCCCCTACTCCATCTGTTGAGAAAGGTAATCTACTGTGAGCCCTGAACAGCCCTATACATTCTTGCTGGGTATGCTAGAGAGACTTTCTTGCTGGCTTTGAAGATAGGAACTGCCATGTTGTGAGAGGGTCATGTGGCAAGGAACTGTGGGTGGCTTCTAGGAGCTGATGGCAGCCCCAAACAACAAGCCAGCAAGGGCAGGGCACAGTGGCTCATGCCTGTTAGCCCAGCACTTTGGGAGGCTGAGGTGGGAGGATCACTCAAGAGCAGGAGCCAGCCTGGGCAACACAGTGAGAGCTGTCTTTACAAAAAGTACAAAAATTAGCAGCAAGAAAGTCTCTCTAGTTACTTTAGACAGTCTTCTATAATGAAATTGATCAAGGGAATGATATCCTGTTTGGAAAAATCTCTCAAGCCAAACTCCTCTACTCATATCAACACAATAAACACAGAAGACTTCTATGACCCCGAAATATGTGGGGATTTCTCTCCACCAGCAAGTAAACAATAGATTCTGCAGTGGACACCAGCTGAGTGTCCTCCAATTCAGTTCTGACATTGTCTACCTGGAGATTGTGTCAGATCCCACAGGTTGAGGGCTCAGTCCCACCAATCGCCAGTCCAAGTGTCTGGAACTTCTGGCTGACCAGATTTAAGTTGGGGTTCCCACAACCCCCTCTTTGGTTTCAATTAATTTTCTTTTTCTTTTTTTTTTTTTTTAAGATGGAGCCTCGCACTGTCACCCAGGCTGGAGTGCAGTGGCCCGACCTCAGCTCACTTCAACCTCCGCCTCCCAGGTTCAAGCGATTCTCCTGCCTCAGCCTCCCAAGTAGCAGGGATTGCAGGGGCATACTACCATGCCCAGCTACTTTTTGTATTTTTATTAGAGAGGGGATTGCACAATGTTGGCCAGGCTGGTCCCTAATGCCTAACTTCAGGTTATCCATCCACCTTGGCCTCCCAAAGTGCTGGGATTACAGTCGTGAGCCACTGAGTCCAGCAGGATTCAATTAATTTTCTAGAGTGGCTCACGGAACTCGGGGAAACACTTACTTGCATTTACTCATTTATTATAAAGGATATTACAAAGGATATAGATGAAGTGTGTAGGGCAAGGTATAGGGGAAGGGGTACAAAGCTTGAAGGCCGTCTCCAGGTATACCACCCTCCAGGAACCTCCACGTGGTCACCTCTTCAGAAGCTCTCTGAACCCTGTCCTCTTGTGTGTGGTGGAGTTGTTGGCGGGGAACGGTTGTGGGGTTGTTTTTTGAGACAGGGTCTCACTCTGTCACCAAGGCTGGAGTGCAGTGGTACAACTATGGCTCACTGCAACCTCGACCTCCTGGGCTTAAGCAATCCTCCCACCTCAGCCTCCCAAGTAGTTAGGACTTACAGGAGCCCGCCACCAACATCTGGCTATTTTTTGGTAATTTTTGTAGGACCAGGTTCCACCTGTTGCCTAGGCTGGTCTTGAACTCCTGGGCTTAAGCGATTCACCTGCCTTGGCCTCCTAAAATGCTGGGATTACAGGCATGAGCCACCGTGCCCGGCCCTCTTGTGTTTTAAAAGAGAATTCATTACATAGGCATGATTGACAACAGTGCAGAAATGTGATTGGACGAAAAGGGTATGACTGCATACAAATAGGCTGAGCGGGGAAACCCAGTAAGACCCACTGTTGAGATTCTTCCTGGCCTCTGTGCAGCATTGCTTCCTTCAGAGTATGGGGCACGCTTTCTGGAATGAGGGTCTTTTGACTTGCCTTGGACAGGTGAAAGGAGGAAAGAAGTTCAGAGAGACAGAGAGAGATTGTTTCCTGAGGCCTGTTCCTGAGGCCTAAAATGCCCCAGCCAATGTCTTGTTATAGCCAAAAAGGCTATAACAAGAGGGCTATGGGAGTTATCAGCCAGAAACTATGACTTTCATGCTTTATATATATATATATATATATATAAAATCATATCACACATCTCATCAACTTTGCCATATTCTTGTGGTTAGAAGCAAATCACAGATTCTACCAGCACTCAGGGGAAGGGACTACACAAGGGCAGGACTCCCTGGGGGTCACCTTACTGTGTGTCCACCACCCTGTCTGTGGGGTGAGCAGAAGGCCAGCAGATGCACAAAGTAACAAGTATGCAGACACAGCTAACCTTTTCCAAGGTAATTTGGGGGTGGCAGAGTAGCTCTAAGGAGCCAGAGGGGCAAGGAGGAGAGGCTAATGCTTCCTGGAAGGAGTGCGACAATCCAGACTGGGGTCGGGCAGGAGCTGAGAGAGACATGGGGCAGGGCCCCTCTTGAAGGTCACAGCTGGACAGGGGTGGTCACCAGGAACTGAACTGCCTGTGACATGGGCAAATCCAGCTGACAGCAGAGGGAATATCAAAGATCAGGAGAGTAGGAGGTGTGCGAAGAGCCCATGGGAGAGGGCTAAGGTGTGGTACCAAGGAGCCAAGCCTAATGCATAAAAAGGAATTCCAACTTTGTAACTTGAGGACTCAGTTCCTCACTCCCATGCCCATCCCAGCCAACTTGAAAGGGGCCTTATGTCCCGGGAGGGTGGGAAACAGTGAGGAGGCTCACATAAACCAGACATGCCTTTTTTGACCCTATGCAATAGCATCATAAGGGCAGAGCCAAGTTTCATTTCCTCTCTTCAACATTCTTAGGCTCATTGTTAAATTTCCTGGCTTCATCCCAGTTCTCATCTTCTACCACCTCTTTGAAGTAGCTGACTGGGAATTTCTTAAATTATGCAGAGTAACTTCCACAGCACCGTGCTGTCCATATGCCCTCCTCTGTTGGTGTTTCTCTTCTGCTTCTTTAGTGACTTTTTTCCCAGGGAGTTTAACATTTTGTGGTTTCAGCTCTCAAATATAGGTGAAACCTCAAATTCATACCTCCAGCCTTGTTTGTCTTCTAGGCAGGTGCTTGGAAAAAAAGGACAAGAGAACACGTTTCCACTTTCAGCTATGTGCCTTCCCAGCAGCAGCCCAGGGGATGCATAGAGGGTCCAGTTCTGTTTTTGTTTTACCCTCTTCTCATATGTACATAATGTCCAGTCTACCAAACTGGAACCCTTGAAATCTTTGGAATTAATGCAATGAACAGTATGGAATTGTTCTTGGTCAGGAACACAGAAAGATGAATCTTCTTTTTCTTTCTCCACAGCCAAGTTCCTGTGCTTGGCTTTCCAAACCCTCCATTGATGAGCCCCCACTACCTCCCAGCTTTATGTGGCAGCCTCCAAAGTCCAAGCCATCACTCTGGTCTCTTCACTGGTTTCCTTCACAAGAGAGACCACCCAACTTCTTCCCTTGGACTGAGAAATCGTAAAGCTGAATGATGAGAGAGAATGGGATGCAGGTCAAACTACCTGGGTTTGAACCCTAGTTCTGTCTCTTACTGGCAGTGTGACATTAGGCTGATAACTACTCTCTATGCTTCAGTAACCTCAGTTGTAAAGTGGAGGAGATGATGTCTATGTCATACAGTTGTTGTGAGGAGTAAGTGACTCAATATGTGCAAAGTGCTTAGAACATTCCTGGCAATTGGGTCACATAATACTAAAAAATCAGGCAGCAAGGACCTATGTCATCTATTTCTCCACCACAGCCTGGCTAGGTCACCATGTGTCATCAAACAGGAATATAACTAATTTTAATCAATATTTTATATATTTCAATTACATAGAAGTACAAACTTCAAAAAAAATTGCTTTGCTTGCAGAAGGGCTCTTGCTTTTCCTCCTTCTCCCCATCCAAATTCTATCTCATTCTTCAAGAACCAGCTTAAGTCCCACTTCCATGAAATCAATTCCTGTTGCTTCAGTCTACACCAAATTCTCATTTCTGGAAATGCTTTTATAGTAGGTTCACACCATAGAAGTTGGCGCTGAATGGCTCTTGTGTTTTGTGGGGTCTCTAAGTGTCTCCTCAGTAAATAGTTTGCCACTTCTGGCTGAGTTCTGAAAAAAATGAACCATAACCGGTAGTTGACCCCCAGAACCCAGGTTATTACCTTTATTATTGATGGAGGCAAATTGTAGGATATACTATAGAGTAAGGGCCAAACATACTTCCTAACTGCATTCAAAAATATGTGTCCTTTTCCTTGTGGGACTGCGCCCAATGCCACTTCACTCCAAGAAAGTTGCTCCACATCTTGCAGGGGAACAAGAATAGGGACATAAGAAGCCAGGCATATGTTTAAAAAAAAAAAAGTCCCCCTCCTGCAAACCAACAAGTGGAATGAAGGCCCATTCCTCTAGCAAGATCTTTCCATGTCAACTATAAATTCTTGAGGACAGGGCCTGGATTTTCAGCTTTGGATGCATTCTCTATAGTCCCTAGAATGGTATAGGTGCATAACATCTGCTCAATAATAATTCCAGGCTCTGTTCTAATCACTGTCTATATATTAGCTTAATCCACCATGAGAACCACCTATAAGGTAGCTGGTATTAACACTGATGTTTTATAGATGAAGAAACTGAGGCATCAATCTCTCATAGTCAACAAATGGTAAAGCTGGGATTTAAACCCAGTCTGGCTTCAGAGTTCATGCTCTTAACCACCATCCTATACTGTACTGATTGAATTTCACGAGCAGTAATGTTGGCAGAAATGGAGATTGTAAGAGTTCAGAAGCTGGATGGGAACCAGCCCTGCTAATGTCCAGTGAAGGCAAGCTCTGTAAGTAATAACTAGTGCTTAGACAATGTCATCAGTGAAGATCCTACAGCACATTTTCTTTTTACGACACTATCAGAAATTCTGCAAAATGATCCATTATGAACTACTCTATGTACTTGGAAAGAAGTTTATAATTCCACTTAAGGTACTACTGAAATAAATTTTAATGTAACATCTGGTCATTTGTGCAAAAATGAATCAAAATAGCTCATATTTGTCAAAAAAATCAAATATAATTTGATTTTTTTCTGGCTCTGATTTTTTTTTGAGACAGGGTCTTGCTCTTTCACCCAGGTTAGAGTGCAGGGGTGTGATCATGGCTAACTGCAGCCTCAACCTCCCAGGTTCAAGCAATCCTCCTACCTCAGCCTCCCAAGTAGCTGAGACCACAGGTACATGCCATCATGCCTGGCTAGGCTAATTTTTGTATTTTTGGTAGAAACGGGGTTTCACATGTTGCCCAGGCTGGTCTCAAACTCCTGGGCTCAAGTGATTTGCCTGCCTTGGCCTCCCAAAGTGCTGGGATTACAGGTATGAGCCACTTTGCCTGGCCCCGATTCTTTTGTTACTCATATGATTAAACTGCAATTTTTGGCATAACAGAAGGCAAGGACATTTTCCTTTATTTCATTGTTTTACAGAATGGCATGAAGGCTAAATTCTTATCCAAGTATTAATTACATTTGATCTCATAGCTTTACATTGCACTTCTGTGATCAATTTCAGGCTGAATCCTAAGTAAGGGAGAAAATGTATCGCCTTTAGGCATTTTGCCTGTTTACCACTAGAGGTCACTACCTAGTCTTTTATCTGTGAAAACCGAGGCCTAAATGTTCGTTTTGCTTCATTCATGTCATTCATGTTTATGAAGGAGAGGCATGAAAATTTGTTACAGCATGTCTCAGACTTATTGTGAAATTATCTAAAGTAGAAATAAGTTTCAAATCAAGCTGGTTAATCAGCTTTATTTGATGTTGACTACCATTGATTTAGGGCCTACTGTGGGCAGGTTCTGTGCTAGGTGCCTTATATATGTTGTCTCTGAATGCTGCAACATTATCCTCATTTTACAGATGAGGAAATTGAAGCTCAGCAAAGTCATAACATCACACAATTGCACAACAAGGACTTAATTCAGGTTG
Source organism: Homo sapiens (assembly GCF_000001405.40). NCBI lineage: Eukaryota > Metazoa > Chordata > Mammalia > Primates > Hominidae > Homo > Homo sapiens. The sequence goes on along the minus strand of NC_000005.10, from coordinate 54,489,211 downwards.
TGAACCCAGCTCAGGACTGGTAAATAAAAAAGGGAAACTTAGGCCGGGCACAGTGGTTCATGCCTGTAATCCCAGCACTTTGGGAGGCCAAGGCGGGCGGATCACATGAAGTCAGGAGTTCGAGACCAGCTTGGCCAATATAGTGAAACCCCGTCTCTACTAAAAAAAAAAAAAAAAAAAATTACCTGGGCGTGGTAGTGGGCGCCTGTAGTCCTAGCTACTTGGGAGGCTGAGGCAGAAGAATCACTTGAAATCGGGAGGTGGAGGTTGCAGTGATCCGAGATCGCACCACTGCACTCCAGCCTGGGTAACAGAGTGAAACTCTGTCTCAAAAAAAAAAAAAAAAAAAAAAAAAGATTAAAAAAAAAGAAAAGAAAAGAAGAATTAGCCAGGCATAGTGGTGCACACTTGTAATCCCAGCTACTTGAGAGGCTGAGGTGGGAGGATTGCCTGAACCTAGGGGGCAGAGGTTGCAGTGAGCTGAGATTGCACCGCTGCACTCCAGCCTGTGTGAGGCTCTGTCTCAAAAATAATAGTAAAGTGAAAAGGAGAAATTTCCAATGATGCCTGACCTGAAAAGAGGTCCAAGAATATTTATTCTACCTTGTAAGACATTTGGCAATTCACCATGATGATGGGTGGGTTAAACAGAGTTGAAGAGGAATACTATTAACAACTCTAAATGGAATTTACAGCTAAACAGATTCTAGCAAAACAGCCATCTAGCTGCACTAGAAATTTCATTTTAATTCGATTAAAGCTAATTTGTCCCCACATTTTTTATTTAAATGTAATTAGTGGATAATTTAAGGCGTCTGATGTTACAAGACGTTTTAGCTAATAAAGGAGCTGTGTTTCTGCCTTAGACCTTCATCTTTCTTAGGTGATAAAGGTATAAGTGTCCATGCCTAGGAAAGAGACCATGTTTACATATGTCTATGGGTCTTGATAGTACATTTTCTGGCATAAAATTTTGTTGTAATGACTTTCTAGTTTTTTTTTTATTTTTTCTATTTTTTTTTTTTTTTTTTTTTTTTTGTTAGAGATGTGAGGTCTCACTACGTTGCCCAAGCTGGTCTCAAACTCCTGGGCTCAAGCAATCCTCCCACCTTGGCCTCCCAAAGCGTTGAGATTACAGGTGTGAGCCACTGCTCCTGGCCCTGTGACAACTTCCTGTCTTTCCACAAACATGGCTGCATTTGGCAGTGCAGTGTCACACTAAATAATGACTCCATTGAAGTGGATCAGACATGTACTTTGTGCCATCAGTGTTAATAAACATCAGTTCTAGTATTGTGCTGAATCTGAACCTATTCACTGAGATCATAATGAGCTTAGAATTATTCATTATAATGCCCTTGTATTTCCTGGTCTAGGGCTGTTTAATAAGATACTACTTTCATCTGAGGAGACGAATAAAATTTCAGTCCTGACTACACCAATTACATGCTTTTTTAAAAAAAGACAATAAAATTAATGCTGCATGAAACACATCCTACCCTAAAATAAAACTACTTAAACCTTGATCTTCAAGGATTTGAATAAAAAGCATACTATCACTGAGGGTTCTTTTGTATACAGGACCAAGAATTATATTTGTTCTGCAACTTTAGCCTACCAATGTATTATTATTATTATTATTTTTAAAGAGATGGGGTCTCACCATATTGCCTAGGCTGGTCTTAACTCCTGAGCTCAAGCAATCCTCCCAACTTGGCCTCCCAAAGTGCTGGGATTACAGACATGAGCCTCCACTCCCAGCCCCATGTATTAAGTTTGTGAAAAAAAAAAATCTGGGGGTAAAAACATACCTGGAGACTTTACATATTCCACACACTCATTTTATTTTATTTTATTTCATTTTTATTTTGTTTGTATACATTCTTATAATTTCAATTTTTTTTATTATACTTTAAGCTCTAGGGTACATGTGTACAACATGCAGGTTTGTTACATATGTATACATGTGCCATATTGGTATGCTGCACCCACTAACTTGTCATTTGCATTAGGTATTTCTCCTAATGCTATCCCTCCCCAATCCCCCCACCCCACGACAGGCCCTGGTGTGTCCACAGGCCCACCTATGAGTGAGAACATGTGGTGTTTGGTTTTCTGTCCTTGTGATAGTTTGCTCAGAATGATGGTTTCCAGCTTCATCCATGTCCCTACAAAGGACATGAACTCATCCTTTTTTATGGCTGTATAGTATTCCATGGTGTATATGTGCCACATTTTCTTAATCCAGTCTATCATTGATGGACATTTGGGTTGGTTCCAAGTCTTTGCTATTGTGAATAGTGCTGCAATAAACATACGTATGCATATGTCTTTATAGCATCATGATTTATAATCCTTTGGATATATACCCAGTAATGGGATGGCTGGGTCAAATGGTATTTCTAGTTCTAGATCCTTGAGGAATTGCCACACTGTCTTCCACAATGGTTGAACTAGTTTACAGTCCCACCAACAGTGTAAAAGTGTTCCTATTTCTCCACATCCTCTCCAGCACCTGTTGTTTCCTGACTTTTTAATGATTGCCATTCTAACTGGTGTGAGATGGTATCTCATTGTGGTTTTGATTTGCATTTCTCTGATGGCCAGTGATGATGAGCTGAATTCTACCAGAGGTACAAAGAGGAGCTGGTACCATTCCTTCTGAAACTATTCCAATCAATAGAAAAAGAGGGAATCTTCCCTAACTCATTTTATGAGGCCAACATCATTCTGATATCAAAGCCTGGCAGAGACACAACAAAAAAGAGAATTTTAGACCAATATACCTGATGAACATTGATGCAAAAATCCTCAATAAAATACTGGCAAACCGAATCCAGCAGCACATCAAAAAGCTTATCCAACACGATCAAGTTGGCTTCATCCCTGGGATGCAAGGCTGGTTCAACATATGCAAATCAATAAACATAATCCATCATATAAACAGAACCAAAGACAAAAACCACATGATTATCTCAATAGATGCAGAAAAGGCCTTTGACAAAATTCAACAGCCCTTCATGCTAAAAACTCTCAGTAAACTAGGTACTGATGGGACGTATCTCAAAACAATAAGAGCTATTTATGACAAACCCACAGCCAATATCATACTGAATGGACAAAAACCGGAAGCATTCCCTTTGAAAACTGGCACAAGACAGGGATGCCCTCTCTCACCACTCCTATTCAACATAGTGTTGGAAGTTCTGACCAGGGCAACCAGGCAGGAGAAAGAAATAAAGGGTAATCAATTAGGAAAAGAGGAAGTCAAACTGTCTCTGTTTGCAGATGACATGATTATATATTCAGAAAACCCCATCACCTCAGCCCAAAATCTCCTTAGTAAGCAAATCTCCTTCAGCAAAGTCTCAGGATACAAAATCAATGTGCAAAATCATAAGCATTCTTATACACCAATAACAGACAAACAGAGAGCCAAATCATGAGTGAACTCCCATTCACAATTGCTTCAAAGAGAATAAAATACCTAGGAATCCAACTTACAAGGGAAGTGAAGGACCTCTTCAAGGAGAACTAGAAAGCACTGCTCAACGAAATAAAAGAGAACAAAAACAAATGGAAGAACATTCCATGCTCATGGATAGGAAGAATCAATATTGTGAAAATGGCCATACTGCCCAAGGTAATTTATAGATTCAATGCCATCCCCATCAAGCTACCAATTACTTTCTTCACAGAATTGGAAAAAACTACTTTAAAGTTCATATGAAACCGAAAAAGAGCCAGCATTGCCAAGACAATCCTAAGCCAAAAGAACAAAGCTGGAGGCATCATGCTACCTGACTTCAAAATATACTACAGTGCTACAGTAACCAAAACAGCATGGTACTGGTACCAGAACAAGATATAGACCAATGGAACAGAACAGAGCCCTCAGAAATAATACCACACATCTACAACCATCTGATCTTTGACAAACCTGACAAAAACAAAAAATGGGGAAACGATTCCCTATTTAATAAATGGTGCTGGGAAAACTGGCTAGCCATACGTAGAAAGCTGAAACAGGATCCCTTCCTTACACCTTATATAAAAATTAATTCAAGATGGATTAAAGACTTACATGTTAGACCTAAACTCATAAAAACCCTAGAAGAAAACCTAGGCAATACCATTCAGGACATAGGCATGGGCAGGGACTTCATGACTAAAACACCAAAAGCAATGGCAACAAAAGCCAAAATTGACAAATGAGATCCAATTAAACTAAAGAGCTTCTGCACAGCAAAAGAAACTACCATCAGAGTGAACAGGCAACCTACAGAATGGGAGAAAATTTTTACAGTCTACCCATCTGACAAAGGGCTAATATCCAGAATCTACAAGGAACTTAAACAAATTTGCAAGAAAAAAGCAAACAACCCCATCAAAAAGTTGGTGAAG